>NC_000005.10:136207764-136856743 GCF_000001405.40 Homo sapiens
CCTGGTCCTGAGGTGTATGCATGCCCAGGGTCGCGAAGCAGGCCTGCTCTGCCCCACGGCCTCGAAGCTTCTCTCCCAAACAGTTTAACCAGCTTCTGGCCCTCACTCATTAAACAGAACCACACCACATCTCAAGAAAAACAGTCCTGGCAGTTTCTGGCCCTCGCTCCTTCAACCACAGAAGCTCAAAACCAGCCCCATGGTTGGGAAGGGTGGAGAAGTCACTGCACCATTTCTGTGTTCATCAAGACTCTGAGGATGTAAATGACAGAAACCCAAAGCAAATTTGCTTAAACAAAAATGGGATCCATTTGGCGGGGAAACTACGAAGGCTTCTGGAGCAGCCCTAAGGAAGAGTTGCAGGAAGCAGGGCCTCGGGGTGGGCCCCACCTAAGGTCAACGGCACCCCTTCTGCTTCCCTTTCCCTCCTTTTCTCTTCTATCCCCCTTCCCCATCTCCTCTTCTCCCTTGTCTCTATTTCTCATCTCTTTTTGACTTCATTTGCAGACAGTCCCTCTCCATGTGGCAGAGGGGTGTCCCAAATTCACATTCTCCTTTTCATCAACCCTGCCAAAGAAGGACTTTTCTTTCCCAGTGGCTACTTATATATAAAACCAAGGAAAGACTAAGATCAGCTCTGTTTGGGTCTGCTGTTGATTTTAGAGGAGGTGGGCACTCTGGGTGGCTGTCCTGGGGTTAGGTGCTAGACGGTGTCTGGGGTACAGTGAGATCTGTTACCAGCCAAAGAGGGGGTCACAGCCAGCACCAAGCCTACATGCTCCATAGCCCACCCTTCCTCTCTGGCTTCTGTGCCGGCCATCTCTCTGCCTTATCCCTGTATATTCACCATCACTGGGGTGGTGGGGGTGGAAGTGGCAAAGTTAAAAATGTTGTCTGTCCTACCAGTGTCTGGACCTGCCCTCAGACACCTAAAAGTGTCTTGTTAAATTTTTCTTTAGCATATTTAATTGCCTTCTTTTTTCTTCTCTTTCCCCAGCATGCTGCCTGTCTGCTGGGTTGGGTGGGGGCTGCTGACCTTAGGGGTGTGGGGTCAGTGCCTGGCAGCAGCCTCCGCACGTCAGCCTCCACGGGACACTCAGGCCTCTTTGGTCAGTGGCACAGCTATGCCACATCCATGTCAAGGCGTAGCGGGCTGTGTTTTGCCCAGTTATTTCTGACTCAGATACTCAGAGGACATGAAATCAGGACTTTTAAAACTTATTGTAAGGAGAGGACACTTTGCCTCTGCCTCAGCCCTGGAGAGCCTCTTCCTTCCTCTTTCTCCCTCCTAGTGCAGGGGAGAGGCTGACAGGAGGCAACTGGGCTGGTCCCTGCTCATTCTAGAGGAGGCCAGGCAGTGCAGAAGGCAGACCCAGCCAGGCCCCGGGTTCTATCGGCATGGGAGCACACCCTTTCCTCTGGGGTCTGACTCTCTCTGTCCAGCACCTTGACCTCTCTGCTCTCACCACTTTGCCCATTCCTCTGCTGCTCCAATCTGGGTAGGGGAGAACCCATGCTCCTCAGCCATCCTTTCTTCCAAACTTCGACTCTCCCCTCATCTGACCTCTCCCTTTTTTAAAGCCTCAGGTCTGGGAAATGAGCACACCTTTATTTTTTCCTGCTTTCTGTGTCATTCCTTCGCTGAAGCAAAAGGCATGGGTTGTCCTAGCTGCTTGACGGCACTGGGGAAACAATGGTGAAATACTGGGCCACAGTGAGTGTCTGGACCTGCCATTCCGCAATGCCATCCAGCCCATGTGGGCCCCGCTCCCAGGACCGGGATGAGGTAGCGTTACCCAAGCTCCTGCTGGCTGTGCCTGGGAGACCACGGCCGGAAGTGGCTTCACTCCTGTGTTAATCATCATTAAGTTGATTGGCATCTATGTGTCTTTCCTGGAGCTCCTTCCCTCTAGTACTCTCACCCTTCATGGGATGCAGAGAAGAGCTGGGATAAGCATAGCGTGGAGGCGTGCCTGCCTGCCTCCGCAAATGAAGCTTCTCTGGCCTGCCGGCCTCTGGGGCTCTCAGACTCTGCACTTTACAGACGCAGTCATGGGCACTTTGAGAAGTGATGGGATCAAGGCCGCTTATTTGTAACCAGATGCTGCATGCTCCTGAGCAGTGCAGGGTGTCTCAGCCTCCCCATGAAGGTGTCTGGTCAGAGCTTTCCTGCCCTGGGGAATCTCCCCCTGCCTGGCTTGTGTGGGCCAATGTTCTGTCTTTGGGCCTTGCTGGGAGGGAAGGAGACAGGCTTTGATGGGCAGAGGCGGTCACTGCACTTTCTCAAGTGTGTGAGCATGGTCCTTTAGGAACAGCTCGGAGGACTAATTGGGGACTTCTGCATGAGAAGTGTCACTATGATTTGTCGAGTCCTATTAGTAGCCATTGTAAGGTGACAAGTCACTGGAGAACTCACTGCTTAACCACTGGTTACCCAGGAAGCCTGGACAGGGGCTGCAACTCCCGCATCAGTGTGCCATGTTATGGCAAGGAGCTGGGCCCCCTTCCAGGCTATAACTAGAAGGGAAATGGCTTGAGCTATAGCAGAGGATGGCTTATGTTTCTGCAAACTCACCGAGTTTCTCAGGGCCCGAGATGATGCTGTCTGAAGGAACTTCAGAAAACTGGAGATCAGAAGGGCCCTGCAGTAATTCATGAGGAATTCAGCAAGAGTGGCTACTCTTTGGCCCTGTGCCAGTACTCAGTGGGGAATGGAACAGACCTGACCTCCTCATGGAGCTTCCCTGGAGCAGTGGAGACAGATGCTGAACGTATACATTAGAGTTGTAGACAGAATGATGGCAAGTGTGCAGAGCTGCAGGGGACAGATGGGTGCCTCTGGCGGCATGCACATCTTGAGGAGTGTTAGTGAACTTTCCAGGGAGGACTGGGTCCTTTTTTCTCCCCATCTGCCCTTGGGTCTCTCTCAGGTTCCATTCCTCACCCTGCTGTTTGGCTTCTTCAAGCGCTGCTTCCCCTGCCTGGCTAATTTAGCATGGGCCCAAGAGATGGGGCAAGTGAGGGAGACTGGTAGTGCCTGGAAGATGACTGAGCCCTTTTCCCTGCTTCAGGCTGCTGATCTCTGCCAGCCCTCAGTTCCAGGCCTCTCCAACAGCTCTCCACCAAAAAGGGGCTCTCTTCTGCCCTTCCCCATAGCCATCTGACAGCCATGAATTCATTCCTGGACTACCTTTACCTCCTAGACATGGCATTAAAACCCTAATGGATGGTACTAGTTTTCTTTCCCAGTTTTTAATTACTCAGTGAGACTGGTTTTCCTTTATCTCTATAAGGAGTAGATCTGAGACTTAGGTTTGATAGGAAAAGTGTGCCCCATGGTTTGAAAATGGGGTTGCTAACTGCCTTTGGCTGAAGGCAGATAGAGAAATTGAAGAATGCATCTCAGAAGTATTGATTAGCATTCTGATAAAGATAAATGAGGGATCTGAAAGGCAGTCTTCCAGAAGTGTTAGCAATTTGTCCCCTGGATGAATCAATTGCTCTTCCTACAAAGCACTTAAGCCTCCCTTTTCAGAGTCTGGGTTTAAAAAGGGAGCCACACTGGATGCATGTGGCTCTGTCCCTAGCACTTGGCAAGGGGCTTAGTACATAGCTGCTGAGTAAAGTCATTCCTCATTTGTGGACTTGCCGGGGGCGTGTAGATGAGTGCTTGCAAAAAGCTACAGGTGTTCTCTCCAGAACAATGCACCCATTGCAAAGACAAGCACACAGCCTGAAGGGCACCTTAGGACTTGCAGGCTCTTTGAAATCCATCCATGGTCCTCTATGGATCCTCCTCCTGGGCCAGAGTTTATGTCTGTCAAGTGCCCCTGCATATGCAGTATGCCCAGTACCTGTCAAATGCCTGTTTCTGTCTTGCTTGAATACTAGGTGGTGGTGCAGATTGGGTTGGGAAGGCCCAGGCATGGAGCCATGTCTCATCTTCTGCTGCCTATCTTGGCGGCCAGGAGCCCAACAAATGTTGACTTTTTCTTTTTTTCAGCAGTTGGGAAGATGTGGCAAAACAGGACTTATATTCCTTATGGCAACGATGGGCTGAGCTGAGTGTCTGCAGCCTGCTTTAGGCAGGGCACGGCTGTGCAGTCTGTCATCGTCCCTCGTCACTCCCATCAATGCTGGCACCAACCTCACTTCTATTTATCGCCTCATCTGATCGGCTGTTTCTTATAGCAGAGTTAAGTAAAAAAAATGTTTGCCCCTGAAGACAAAGACGTATGTCTTGAAACACAAGCTCCCTCTTTCTACATATACATACATATATACATTTACACATACACACATGCATATATATATATATATATAATTATTATATATTTATCTTCCCCCCTCTAGAACGTCTGCAAGGCATGTGAATTTGTAACCATCACCCTCCTCACAGGGTTGCTGTGAGGATCCGGTGGACTGATGCATGCAAAGCCCCGAGCACAGTGCCTGGTACACGGCAAAAGCTGAATACTTCTGGCCAGCCCTAGGAATATTTCCTTGGGAGCAGAGGGCTCTTCTGGAAGCTTCTGGAAGATGAATGGCATCTTCGCACACCTGCTCCGAACAGGCATTGTTTGGGACTCAGCGCCCTCTGGTGGCTGCTCTCCCCACTCACACTTAGCCTCTTCCTTGGTTGGGGGGACACTTTGAGGCCTCATTCCTGCCCCTCCCCTTCCTTTCACATGGAGGAAAGTTCTAGAATGGGGTGGGAGAAAACTTTCCACTTGTTCTGCATTTCCTTTACCTCCTTCCTGACCTTAGGTCTGGGCACAGGAGGAGGGGCTTGGAGGTGGAGGCTGGAGCTTCTGGGGGTCCTGGCTGCATGACTCTAAGGAGGGTGGTGCCTTCGTCCCCACCCAACCCCCACCGCATCGGCCCATTCTCCTCCCGAAGCATCCCTGGGCCACAGGTTCCCAAGGCCACCTCCAGACTGGGCCCGCGAGTGGGGCGGCCCTGGTAGCGTATCCACAGAAGTTATTATGAGGTAATTTTATTTCTTTCCATTTTAGGTAAAAATAGTAAATACAAGATAATCTTAATAAAGGTAAAAATACATCATTTGGATTTTGTTGTTGTTTTCTAAACAGTGCTACCTACAGTACAGTTTTCAATTTAGGATTTTTAAACTTTTTTTTTATATAAACAAATAGAACTATTTTGCTATTAGGCTGTGTTCTCATCTGGCACTTAAGAATAGATCACAGGTCACCTCCTGGTTCTGTTTGGATGTGTTGGGGGTGGCAGGGAGGGAGTGAGAAGGAGTTTGTGGGTTGAGGTGTTTGTCTTCCCAGGACACAGCCAGAGCTGCAGTCCCACCTGCAGTGGGAGGGCACAGGTGTGCACCCAAGATGGCCTTTTCCTGCTCTGGCCACAGGGATGGGTTTCACTGTGGCTGGACCAAAGGTCTCACACTCGTCAGGGGGCTGTTCCTCCCCTCCTCCCATGGTAGCTTTTCTTACCCAACCACCTAGATTCACAGCAGTTCTGGGTCTAGGCAGGCCAGCGGGCTGGAGATGTCAGTCATGCTGCAAGAGACTGAGCCAGGAGATCCCCTTCGTGTCCTAGAGGAGTGGGCTGGGGACCCCTCCCCACCAAGGATGGGGGCGAGGGCATCCAACCTGGCCTTGGAATGCTGGTAGAAGTCACAGACGCCGATGTGGGCTGCTAAATGTCTTTGCCCTTGTTCACCCTCAGGTGGTCTTTGTTTAAGTTCTTTCCAAACTTCTCGCTGAGTTGTTGAATCAGGTCTGCCAGCTCACCAGTAGCTTGAGATTTTTCCTCAAGAAGCTCATAGCGCAGGCTGGAGATATCTTGCTTGATTTCCTTCAGCTCGCCTGCAAGGACAGAGGAGATTTTGCTGAGTCTGAGTAGGTGGAAGCTCGGGGCTTGTCCCATGCACATGTGGGCATGTGCATCCTTCCAGTGGAATGTCGGGTCCTGGGCCAGCCCACCAGGGTTGAAGGTGAGGCAAGGGGGGCTCTATTTGAACCCAGAACCACCCAGCTCCCCCACCACTGAAGGACACATCGATCCATAGAAAGCCCTTCTCCTCCCATTCCAGGAAAACCTTTCCCTTAGGGGTTTGAAGGAGGAGTCAAGATCAGGGCTGTGAATTGTGTCTAGCACTTGTTTCATAAAATACTTGTTAGAAAGTTTGTTTCAGAGTCACTAAAGGCAGATTTCAAGACTCTGGAAAACAACCCCATTAACCAGAGCATTGCTTTTGATGATGCTATGTTTTGTTCTGTCATTGTTATTTGTAGGGAGGAGAAACTCCCAGGAGCCTGGAGAGAATGGCTCGGCACAGCAGATGCAGCCGTGGTGGCCATGGAGCTGACCAGCCTCTTGGGAGTGAGCTGGCCACCTGAGCACGGTCCACTCAGCCCACACAAGCAGCAGCACCACCTCGCTGACAGGAGCTTCGTCAATGCCTGCCGCCTCCTCCTTCCATAACGAGGGACCACCTAGCAGGGACTTTCACTTTTATTTCCACAGAGAACCTTGTGGTTAGAAGTCCAATGGGTCTAGGCTGTGGGAATCTTCTTATTAACCACAAACAGATGTCAAAAGGATCTTTCCTAATACTGTAGATACTGCACTTGGCTCGTGTGGGAGTCCACTGTCTGTGGAAACATTACTCGTCTATTTTTCAGGTATGGTCTATACACATAAAAGGCAGAGATCTTAAAGGTACAGTTTGATCCATTTTGACAAATGGATACACCCCCTGTTTTTATCAGATGCTTCACTGAGCCCCCGTTTCATGGTGTAATTTAAGTGCCATGACACCTGGATACCCCCACCTTCTATGATCAGTGATATTCACATGAATCAGTTACATACTGCTTGAGGCTGGCTGGCCTGACACTTGGCCATTGTTTGAGACCTACAAGTAGGTAGGTGGGCTGTTGTCTGCCCCTAAACCATGTCAGCTCAGGGGCAGTTCAGTTATGGCTGAGCTTCGAGCTGCATGCTGGGTGCCCCAGGATGAAGCAGAGGGTCACCCAATGACCAGGCTCTTTCTGTAGTTCCCTGTGGCCCAAGCTAGGAGAACAGAAACTTCAATCATGGATGAGGCTGTTTCTAGGTGGCAAATATTTGTCATAAGTATCTCATTAATTACCTGGCATAAAGTAATTTGCTTTTCATCTAAGAGTAACTGCTTAAAATAGACTGGAAAACAACCCAAACAGTGAAAATAATATAGTTGGTAAACTTCAGTGTATATCAGAGACCCTTGGTGCAGTTTTCCAAAAGCAGATCCCCAGACCCCACTCCAGAGATGCTGATTCATTAGGTCTGGGTGGGGTCTGGGATCTGTAGTTTTAACAGCTAGTTCTGAGGTGGGGAACACTTTGAGAAACACGGCTGTCAGTTAGATGCTGAGAACCTCCCACTGAGACTGGACAGGGCCAGTTAGAAGCAAGCGGCGGCAGACCCTAAACGCAGTGTGCATCTGCTCAGTGGATGTGCACCATGGAATGAAGTACAGCATTGGAATTCTGAACCATCCTGCACTCAAGAGGCATGAGGTTGGCTCAAGGCTGCCATTGCTGTGGGAGGCAGAGGAATGTCCCCTACTCCCAAGATGTCCCCGTCCTGATCCCTGATGTTCTGCCTGTGGGAAACATGACTGTTTCTCCTCAAAGGGGAACTGAGGTGGCAAATAGAATTCAGGTTGCTGATCAGCTGCCCTTAACAGAAGGAGATTATTCTGGATTGTCCTGGTGGAACCAATTCAATCACATGAGTCCTTAAAAGTGGAGGAGGGGCCGGGCGCAGTGGCTCATGCCTGTAATCCCAACACTTTGGGAGGCTGAGATGGGCGGATCACAAGGTCAGGAGTTCGAGACCAGCCTGACCAACATGGTAAAACCCCATCTCTACTAAAAAAATACAAAAATTAGCTGGGCGTGGTGGCACACACCTGTGATCCCAGCTACTCAGGAGGCTGAGGCAGGAGAATCACTTGAACCCAGGAGGCAGAGGTTGCAGTGGGCCGAGATTGTGCCGTTGCACTCCAGCCTGGGCAACAGAGTGAGACTCCATCTCAAAAAAAAAAAAAAAAATGGTGGAGGAGGAAGGCAGAAGAGTGGGGTCAGAGATGGGACAATGGAAGATGAGGCAGGGCAAATGGAGTGTGAGGGTGCCTGATGCCTGCTGCCAGCTCTGAGGTGGTGGGGCTGTATGCACAGACCAAGTGCTGGAGCTCAGGGCAGCCCAGCTGTGGCCAGCAAGGCAACAGGGACAGGCCTGCAGCCCCGTGGAAATGCACTCTGCCGACAACTGAATGAGCAAGGAGACTGAGCCTCCCTGGAGCCTCTGGAAAGGAGCACAGTGCCCTGACAACACTGTGGCCGTAGCCCAGTGAGACCCACAGAACCTGTGTTGTTTTAAATCACCACGTGGGTGGAAATCCAGTCATTTACCTTCATTGACTTCGTCATTTTCTCTGTCCACCTGGGCTTTCAGGACGTATCTTTTTATGAGCCGTTTCATGATTTTCTGAAATGCCAAGCAAGGAAGGGATCAGACAGGGCTGGCCTAATGCAGAGGCAGCCTGCGTGGTGTAGCAGGACCCCTCCCTCCCTTGAAGAGCCTCAGCAACCATGGCGACCCTCCCATGCCTGGCGCCTCACTCTGGAGGGGTGCCCTGCACAGTGCGGGTACCTGGCCAGCCTCTGTTTCGCCTCCCCCGCAGGATGCAATGTGCAACTGAACCTGGGATGTAACAGGAATACTTCTTAATGGCAGGAAGCTGAGCCAAGCAGAGAGAGAGACAGAGAGAAAGGGTGGAGTGGGCAGTGGCACAAATCTCTGCTCCAGGGGCCTTGGCCTGGCTCTGCCCTGCTCAGTCAAGTCATCTTTCCTGGACCTCAGTTCTGTTTTAAGGATGGAGGGCTGGGGAAGACTTAGCAGGCCTGCCTGGGTGGAGCTGCCTCCCTCAGAGGTCACAGTGAGCAGTGTGCCCTTCATGAAGAGATCCGCTGGGTACAGAAGTCAGGATCAGGCTTGGAGGACAAGTCCACTGTACCTTGGAAAATTCCTACCAGAAGCAGAAGCAGACACAGCCGGGCCTCTGGGGTTTTACAGAGATACCACTTCCCACAGGCCTGACACTGTACTGCCGGAGTCACACTGGAGCAGGATTTGGCCCTCAAGTTCCATTTATTATGAAGATACTGAATTCGTTAAGCAGGCGAGGCATGAATAAACACTTAAGAGACACCAAGAATAGAGCCAAGTGTAGGAAAGACTGCAGGAGGTGAACTTTGGATTTTGCCAGCTAGTTGGTCCAGGGTTCCTGCGAAATCACAGGATTTAAAAATACTCGGGTAGCCGAGACTTCTGAATCTTCCAAGAGATGAGCAGTGTGGAAGAGAGGAAGGGATTTCCCTGCTCCTTGGTCCTCCCTTCTTGTGGCCTTCTGACCTGCTCACACCTGAGGACCAAGAGGACAGAGGCAGCATTTTCCAGTTTGAAGAGACCTGTAGGGACCTGATTCTGTTCCTAGCTTTGCTACATAGGCTGAGGAAAAGCATCTTGCAAATAAAAAGTAAGTGAACTGGATGCAAAGAGCTGCAGGATTTACTCATTATCATCAATTATGGTTCTTTCCATCCCTTTAACCATGAAGAGCTTGCCACAGAGATGCTTCCTGGCCTGTGATTCTAAGACTTCACCTGAACCCGAAAGGCTCTCTAGGATAACACTGGGTTTAGCTCATTCAGGCCAGCACTGCCCCTCCTCAGCCCTCGGGCTCATGGGCCAACTGGCTGTGTGGTTTGAGTTGTGATCTAATTTCAGGCTGAAGAGTTAATTGGCAGTTGCCTTCCTGCTGCTCCTTCTCAGAGAAGCCTGGGTCTTATCCTACTAGCGGTTAAACTGCAGCGCTGAATTTCTCATGGACATAGTCTAGTCAATAAAGTAAGTTATCTAAGTTATAAAAAATATATCCCTTTCAAGCTAGGTGCAGTGGCTCATGCCCATAATCTCAGCACTTTGGGAGGCCAAGGTGGGTGGATAACCTGAGGTCAGGAGTTCAAGACCAGCCTGGCTAAAATGGCGAAACCCTGTCTCTGCTAAAAATACAAAAATTAGCTGGGCATGGTGGTGTGTGCCTGTAATCCCAGCTACTCGTGAGGCTGAGGCAGAGAGCATTGCTTGAACCTGGGAGGCAGAGGTTGCAGTCAGCCAAGATCATGCCACTGCACTCCAGCCTGGGCAACAGAGCAAGACTCTAATTCAAAAAAAAAAAAAAGAAAAAAGAATATATATATAATATAATATATAATATATATTTAAGATATATAATATATGAGATATATAATATATATTTGAGATATATTATATATAAAATATATAATATATATTTGAGATATATATAAAATATATAATATATATCTCAAAAATATATTTTTTGAGATTATATAAAATATATATACAAAATATATGTATCCCTTTCCATGAGACTCAGTAATGCTGCTTTCACTTTGAGTTGGAAAAACAAAACAAGACAAAAACTTTGTCCTAAACTAGTTCTCATGAAAAAAAAAATAACAAAACAGACACTTAGTTATCTGTCATTCTTGCTGAATAAGAAATTCAGAAGTGTTCTTCCACTGCAATCTTTCAGGCTGACACAAAATTAAAGGGACCTAGTTAAAGTTGGTTGCCTTTTCAAGGCAAACCTCAGGAATTAAGGGTTCTTCAGTTTCTGGATCCAACAATTAAAGAGCTTTACTGTTTCTCATGTAAAATGATAAGCCAGAGATTGGCAGTCAAATGGTGTTGAGGAAAATTCTTTCATAGGTGCAGCCGGAATTACAGCCCTTCCTGTTTGGTGTGCACATTTTGTATTTAAGAACATTCCATAGCATGTATTTACTAATAATAGAAAATGTGCCCCTCAAACTCTATTTGGCTGGGATAGGTGAGATCCTGCTCACAGTCTCCTTCAATGCAGAGGAGCCCCTCAGGAGGAAGGGTGAAAGGATGAAGACGCAAAGAAGCAAATGCATTGAGTGCTTCCATAGACCAGGATTGTGTCAGCCTCTCATAAAAGTGATCTTACTGACTCCTCCAAGAAACTCAGTGAGATGGGAGTTGTCATTTCCATTTACAAATGAGGACACTGAGGCTCAGAGACTGATGTAACTTCTCCAAGGTCACACAGCTGGAAAGTGGCAGATCTGAGATTTAACCAGCATGGAAATCATGGCTGAGACTTCATCTGAGCATCAAAACAAAGGCTCAAGATGGTTTAGGAAATGAGATGTGGGAAACTGGCTCCCATTAGTCAAAGAGGGTTTGGGCTGTGTCTGGGTACTGAGTCATTTTATGCAGGGGGAAGCCTCACTAGATTTCAGAGGCTGGGTGACATCATACAATGGTCATCCCTTGAAGAAGGGGGTCTCTGCTCTGGCACTGGCAGGAATGCTCATGGCCCACTCTTGAGCACTGGCATGCTCGATCTGAGCCAGGGTTTCTGTAGACCTAGGGCTCAGAGGGTAGAAAAGCAAAGGTTTACTTTGAAGCTCTCAGTATGCATTAGGATTATAAAGTCTTCTTGTGGAAGCAGAATCAGATGAGCACTGCAGATGTGCAGGGACACTTTAGCCTTCCTCCTCACCTCCAGGGCACTTCCCAGAGTGACAGGGACCTTCAGGGAGAGCAGTGTGACTGCCTGCCAGTTCTTAAAGACTTCATGTCCTGCCAGGCACAGTGGCTCATGCCTGTAATCCTAGCACTTTGGGATGCTGAGGTGGGTGGGTCACTTGAAGCCAGGAGTTGGAGACCAGCCTGGGTAATATGGCGAAACCCCATCTCTACTAAAAATACAAAATTTAGCCAGGCATGTTGATGTACACCTGTAGTCCCAGCTACCTGGCAGGTTGAGGCAGGAGAATTGCTTGAACCTGGGAGGTAGAAGTTGCAGTGAGCCGAGATGGTGCCACTGCACTGCAGCCTGGGTGACAGAGCAAGACTCTGTCTCAAAAACCAAAAAAACTTCATGTCCTCATAGAGACCTAACTTCCCTTCTGTTATGTGCATGCTGCACAACTTGGTATCTGCAAAAACCAGTTTTGCCACCAGAAAGCCTGAAATGGTTGGAGAAATGGCCAAAAGTTCTGTTTAACATGGATGGCACAGAGGATATTGTTGCGGGAAGTCAGGGACCCTGAATGGAGGGAACGGCTGGAGCTGCGGCAGAGGAACATAAATTGTGACGATTTCATGGACATTTATCACTTTCCTAATAATACTTTAACAATTTCTTACACTTGTCTTTATTTTAATCTCTTAATCCTGTTGTCTTTGTAAGCTGAGGATGTACGTCACTTCAGGACCACTGTGATGATTGCTTTAAGTGTACAAATTTATTGTAAAACGTGTGTTTGAACAATATGAAATCAGTGCACCTTGAAAAAGAACAGAATAACAGCGATTTTCAGAGAACAAGGGAAGACAACCATAAGGTCTGACTACCTGCGTGGTCGGGCAGAATAGAGCCATATTTTTCTTCTTGCAGAGAGTCTATAAATGGACATGCAAGTAGGGAAGATATCACTGAATTCTTTTCCTAGCAAGGAATATTAATAATTAAGACCCTGGGAAAGGAATGCATTCCTGGGGGGCAGTCTATAAATGGCCGCTCTGGGAGTGTCTGTCTTATGAGGTTGAGATAAGAACTGAAATATGCCCTGGTCTCCTGCAGTACCCTCAGGCTTATTAGGGTGGAGAAGAAACCCCACCCTGGTAAATTTGAGGTCAGACCAGTTTTTTGCTCTCGAACCCTGTTTTCTGTTGTTTAAGATGTTTATCAAGACAATACGTGCACAGGTGAACATAGACCCTTATCAGGAGTTTTTGATTTTGCCCTTTGCCTTGTGATCTTTGCTTTGCCCTTTGCCTTGTGATCTTTATTGGCCTCAGAGGCATATGATCTTTGTTCTCCTTTGAAGCATGTGATCTTGTGACCTACTTCCTGTTCTTGCACTCCCTCCCCTTTTGAAATCCTCAATAGAAACCTGCTGGTTTTGTGGCTCAGGTGGGCATCATGGTCCTACCGATATATGATGTCACCCCCGGAGGCCCAGCTGTAAAATTCCTCTCTTTGAACTCTTTCTCTTTATTTCTCAGATGGCCGACAATTATGGAAAATAGAAAGAACCTACATTGAAATACTGGGGGCTGGTTCCCCTGATAGGATATCTATTTCTATTCTAGAAATAGATATAGAAAATAGATATAGATATAGAAAATAGATATAGAAAAGATGGACATAGAAAGCCTCCCTTCTTTCACTATGTGGGGGAAATGTGTGTGTGTGTGTATGTGTCTGTGTGTGTGTGTGTGTGTGTGTATGTTTTGTGATGAGTTTGAGATACCTCCTTGCTATCTTCCATAGAGTTCTTTCACTTCATGGAGATAATAAGCTTTCTCCAAGTTACTATGTCCCTGGTAGTGGCAACTCTCCCTGCCCTGCCCCATGCATTAGCAAATACTGGAGATGAGTATATTGAGTGCTATCACTCAGGCAAAGCATACTCAAGAGGATGAAGATGAGATGCACAATGGATAAGAGCAGTTGTCACGCAGAGCCCTACATCCGGAGAGGAAGGCACACAGTTCCCACAGCCCAGACCCGGCCCAAACTACAAGAGGCCAAATGGCCTCTGGCCGCTGATGGTGAAGGGGAACACAGGACATCTTTCTATGGGAGAGACAACTCTCCCTGCACAGCCAGGGCAGATGAGGACACAGATAAGGAAGCAAGGAAGAGAACACATACTGTACACTGATGATGGCCAATGAGGTAGGATCCAGAGGGAAGAAATGTGGTCACCTAGGAAAACAGAAATTGAGGAACATTTGGAAGAGAGTGGACAAAATAGATCACAGGACAAGTCATTTGTTAAACTGAGGTTTATCAGACACAACAATAGAAGAAATAGGCACTGGCAAGTTGTCCATCCTCTTTGCTTTGATCTCTTCGGTAAAGGCTATTTAGAAGATGGAAAAGAGAACTCCCCACGGGGTTTTGGGGAGCAGATTGCAGCATAAAGATTGGAGTGTATGTGAATGATGGATGTGCCTGGATTCTATGGTTTATTTGGGATATCGCTTGTTTACTTTGACCATGAAGAAATATGCCTCTCAGAGTGAGTATGTGGGTCTGTATACTTCCTGCCCCAACAAACTGACAAGCTGGATCTTGAAACAGATCACAGGGAGCTTGGGGATGAGGCATACTTTGGCCATCTCACCAGTATCATGGTTTTGTTCCATTGTTTGGTCTCAGGTCTGCAGAGCCCAGACTGAAAAACACATTAAAAAAATGGTTTTGTGAAAAATAACAATTCAGACACCCTGGAGCCTAAGGAAAAAAAAAACACAGAAAGCCTCTGAAGTCTGAAGGAGCTGTCTTCCCTTACAACAAAGACCTCACAAAAGCAGAAGGATTGACAAACAGCTGAATGAACACCTGAAATGCTAACAGTCGAGAAATCGAATGAAGAGACAAAAAAGCAGCAAACTTAGTAACTAAATGTGTGTGAACGATGGTGCTTTTATCTTCTTGGGAACACTAAGTGATTTCTCAGAGCCACAACATGTGAGAAGCTGATGGAATATGTGCTCAGTGACAGCAGCTCTGCCTAGGGCCTGGATTGTAAGAAGGAGGGGGTGAATTGGGCTGCTCATGTTCTCTGCACATTTGGAAGCTGCTGTGGGAGGAAAGCAATGCTACTTGGAAGGCCACTGGTAGGCCCAAGGAAAGAGAGGAACCATACTCAGATCCCCCCTCAAATTGTCCTTGCTGCTGTTGACAGCAAAAGTGCCCCAGTGCCTTCTGCTCCTTGCCTCCTCACTGTGTGCTTGGAAGGCTCAAATAGGTCTCTTCCTGGTGACTGTCAAACACAGGCAAGAAAGGTTCTGAGGAGGGTGCTGGTGCAAAACTACGAAGATAAATAATAGGCAGGTGTCCAGGCAGCATGACGTGGTGAGAGAGGGGGGGCCCTCTGAGTCAGAGAGATCTCAATTCAGTCACTTGTGTGGCCTTGGCCACTGAGCCTCAATTCCCTCATCTGTTACATGGGGTTGAAGACAGTGCCCATCTCCAAGGAATATGGGAGAGTACACGTGAGCTAGTGTCCAGCCTGCATCCAGGTATCTTTTAGTGACATCTCAGGGTTTACTCCAATTGTGAGCAGATGATGACTCAGGACGATGCCACACAGCCTAGCAGGGTGGAGCCAAGAGCCAATGTGCAAAGACTGCTTTCTCTCAGCCCCTTTCCTCTGATGCCTACTGGCTGGCTTTTTGTTTCTTTTCTGTGACAACTATTTGAATAAGTCACCTCAGGCTTCTTCTGTGGAGTCACAAATTACAAAATGAGCAAAGCTTTCCAAGGTCATCAGTTGCCTGAAGCTGTAGATGACCAATCTCTGTAATCACAGCAGGAAGTTCCTGGGGAGATTCAAGGCAGTATGGACTCAACCAGCGAGGACGGAAGACAGAGATGGGACTGCTTTGAGACTGCTTTTGAAAATGGTCTCCTGCTAGGCGTGGTGGCTCATGCCTGTAATCCCAGCACTTTGGGAGGCCGAGGCAGGTGGATCACCTGAGGTCGGGAGTTTGAGACCAGCCTGACCAACATGGTGAAACCCCATCTCTACTAAAAATACAAAATTAGCCAGGCATGGTGGCGCATGCCTGTAATCCCAGCTACTCGGGAGGCTGAGACAAGAGAATCACTTGAACCTGGGAGGCGGAGGTTGCAGCGAGCCGAGATCGCACGATTGCACACCAGCCTGGGCAACAAGAGTGAAATCTGTCTAAAATCAATAAATAAATAAAGTAAAAAAAAAAAGTAAAAAAAGAAAAGAAAATGGTCTCTTTCAGAAAGGATTCATTCTGGAATGGGACATTCACACAGAATTGATCTTCCTTTATCTCAGGAGCTAATTCTGCTCAAAACCTAGGAGAGATTTGGCCCTAACCCATTGGGTATCTATCTTTTCTGTGACACAGATAATCTATACTTCTCTCTGAAAAGCTGAGAAATAAAAATACTTTCACTGACCAAAGGCTTTGGTCTGTAAAATAGCTCAAAGCAGATCAAACCAGTCAGTGCCAATTTTGTGCGCGATTAAACACAAGATTTGCCCATTGCTAATTTTTCGCCTGTCATCTGATAGAACTATAAGCTCTTTGAGGGATGAGCCATTTCTTAATTGTGCAATTAAATTCTCCTAACTGCACAGCTGGCTTCTGAAATATGGTTGGAGAGATTCAGTTAGAGACCTGTATCTAAAAGATCTAAGTCTGTAATTCTCCCTGTGGGAAGGTGGCACCAGGGGCACATCACCTCCACCCAAAGGAATGCTCAGGACAGCTTAAAATTTACATCTGATAAGAAATGATCAGCATAGGTGAAACTGCTGATCATCGAGAAGTGGAAGACAGGAAAGGAGTGGCCTGCCCTTTTATAATTGATCATCTGTAGCTATCGTTTATCACTGGCGCATGGGCTGATCCAAACGGATACAGAGATCTGGCATTCATTTCCAAAAGCAATGCAAGGATTGGAAGCATAAAAGTTCTTTTTCTAATTTTTCTGACAACAGACTTGGCAGGCTGGCAGTCCAAGTCTGAAGACACCTATATCTACTTGACTGCTTAAGACAGAAACCTGTGAGCCATGCTGGGTGTGCCTCGCCCTCCCCATATGTGCCCAGCAGCTATATATCCAGAAAGTGTATAGCATCTGTCTGCTTTTCTCTATCACCCTGCTCGTACCCCAATCCAAGCAACCATGCCTTGTACCTGAATGACTGTCACATCCTCCTCACTGGTATCCCTGCTTTTACTCTTGTCCCCACCTGTCTCTTCTCATTATAGCAGTTAGGTGGTTTTCTTAAAGCGCGAATACAATTTCATCATCTCCCCTCCTGGGCAAAGTTACCCTCTCCCCCATCCTGACAGTGGTCTGGCCCTCTGACCTCACTCCCTCCACCCTCTGCTTCCACAGGGCCCAGCTGCCCTGGACCTGCCACCCTTCTCTTCCTCTGCCTGGAAGGCCATATATGGCTGCCTCCTGCATCCGAGTGGTCTCGGCTGACTGTTCTCTCCTTGAAGATGTCCTCTCTGAAAACTATATCTAGGCTGAAGCTCCCTATTTTTCTCTGTTTTTGAGTCCTCCTGTTTGCTTTTTGTCACTATTACCAGTTTGAGGGCATACACTTATCTGTGTGTTGACTTGTTTATTGTCCATCATCACTAGACTGGAGGTGCCACTGAGGGAGGAACCACATCTGTATCTGTATCCCCAGGAAGTAGCACAGTGCCTGACATATAGTAAGTACTCAATAAATATTTGTACAATAAAGGAAGGAATGAAGCTGTGTTCTCGGGGGATGACACAGTCATGGGACTAAATCTGTGTCTTAGTGGAGTCTACTTCTGCCCATGCTTGGATGCTTGGGAAAGGGGTGGTTACCTGGTATCTGGTGGGCTTGCTCAAAGTGTTATTTGCTGTCAGATTTTCAGAATTCCTCATGCCAGCCTGGTAGCGAGTCTTCTGGATAAAACAAACAAACCCACACACATCACACAGAAAAACATACATGCATCCCTACATATCTCGTAGGACTTGAACAGTATCCATATACGGGGCTGTCTCAGTGAAGCAGCTTTTGAAAGCTGATTTACCTGGTGCTGCTTGGCTTCCTAGAACATTGTTCCTAGGACCTTTAGCTCTGTAGGATGTTAATAAGGGTTACAGAATATTTAGTCAACTTGGTTGGAAAGCACTGAATTAAGGTTACATGGATGTCTTTTCTCCAGGGGTTTTAACATACTAATAAACACTGAGAATCCCCAGGAAAGCCAGACAGTGGGAAGGAAACCTTTTTCTCAGAGATCATTTTCCAGATACTTTCTGAGAAAAGCTGTTCCATTTCCAAGTCCACTAAGGGGTTCCCTTCACTGGGGTCATGGCTTAGCCAGGCAGCTTACTATGTCCCCAGCAGGGCACCTCTCCAAGGGGTTGCAAGGAGAAAGGAGGGTATCACAGTAGCCTCTGCTGGCATTGGAGCTTTCAGATGTGTCCAGGTAGACTCTACAGAGTACCGGCCCTCCCAGCTCCTGGCTCCCCTTGCATGGGGTGGGGGAGGGCAGCCATATGACTCAAACACACTCTAGACTCGCCTGCCCCCTCCTGCTGCCTTCTCCAGCCTCATAAACCACATGCTACCTACCTTGAATTTGGAATTCAGCATGCCCATTTCAAGGTCATTTTCACAGCTTTTGGCCTTAGATTTGCAGAGTTTTATGAGGCACATCTTGATTCTCATTATGAGATAATAAAATGATTTAGGACTTGGCACTAGATTAAAAGGAGCAGGTAGAGTTCTTCCTTCATCAAAGTAAGACAGCCAGAGTTTTGCTCGGGCGAACTTCCATTCCACATCTGCATCCTCCTGTGGAACAAGGGAAACAACAACACACCCTCAAAGGCCACGATTTAACAACGGAGCCCAACCTGAGGAGCAGAGACACAGCCCCAACATTCGGAAAGCAGACTTCTAAGCAGGACTTGGTGTAGTTTTTCTACAGATGGCACAGAGAAGGGGAGTTTGCTCTCACTAAAACCATGCACAATGGTCACTTTCTGCCTGTCTTCTTTGGACTCATGGCTGAAAAGCCTCGACCAGTTCATATTAACCGCCCCTACCCTCCACTGGGTATATTTACCAACATTCTCCATTTGCAGCTAACCAAAGAACTTTTCTCACTGCCACTTAATATTGTTATTCATTAATTTTTATAGCTCTGCTAGCTGATTCACCAGCCACCACAGCATTATTGTACTTATTAATCTCTAAAGAAGTGCTGCTCACTAGAAATACATTGTGAGCCAAAAAGATGAGCCACATAGGTAAGTTTCAATTTTCTACTAGCCCCATTCTAAAAAGTAAAATTGAACAGGTGAAATTAATTTTAGTAATATATTTAATGCAGTAGATCAAAAATATCATTTCAACATGTAAGCATTATAAAACAATATTAAGATAGCTTACCGTATTGTTTTCATACTAGGTCTTCAAACTCCAGTGTGAATTTTATCCTTACAGCACATCTATTTAGACCAGCCACATTTTAAGTGCTTGATAGGCGTATGTGGTTAGTGGCTACCACACTGGACAGCACAGTATATTTATTAGACAGTATATTTCTTATTGGTCAGAGTGCTGCCAGGGAGGATGTTTATAGATCTTGCATATGTAATTCAAGGGGAGCAAAGCCTGAGTGTAGTTTGTAGGAGGTGATCCAGTTGTGTTCTCTTCTGGGGTAGACTTAAACCCAGGTTCTGTTCTTTCTGACATTGTGTCAATGCCAGAATGCTAAGTGGGCCCCTGAGAGTAGCAGGTGTATTTTGTCTAGACAGGTTCCTTGAACCTCTGTCCTAGGAGGGCAGTTTGAGACCAGGAAAGAGGCATGGGGTTTGTAAACAGATGGACCTGGGCTCAAAACCCCTTATTAGCTGTGTAACTTTAGGCAGGTGTCTTGAGCTTATGGAGATAAAACTGCTTCCCTCACATAGCCCTGAGGTCGGTAGTGCATGTGTGCTCCCTGAGCAGTGGGTTCCTCTTTCCACAGGCAGTGACTACACTCTGAGGGGCTGTGAACCCAGCAAGGGCCCAGGAGAGGCTGCTGGGATATACCACAAGAGTATAGGGTTATAATCAGCAGGGTTGACCACTTTGCTTTTGTTGAGGATCAACACTGGTCCTGGTCTACTTGGGGACATCCTATAAGGATCTTTTAGGTTGGAAGCTTTGTGAGGGCAGGGCTTACTCCTGGTCTCGCTGTACAAGAGAGTTGTAACAGGGACATCCGTCCTGAGAGGAAGTGTGGTATAGTGCAAAGCACATGGGTTCTGCAGCCTGTGTGGGTTTAAATCCTGGCTCTGCTCCTTACTAGCTATGCAACCATGGCAGGTGATGGACCACTCTGGGCCTTAGTTTCCTCATCTGTAATATAAGCATAGCAATACCTATCGAATAGGCTGTGAGAATTAAAGGAGTTAATGCATAGATGACACGGAACAGTGCCAGACATTTAGTAAGCCCTCAATAAATGTGATTTGCATCTCCATAGCCTAGCATAGGCCTGGTAGTCAACCTTCAGTCACTTAGCATTGATGGAGCACCTGCTATGTACTTGGCATGTGCTAGGGAGGCCCTGGGCATGACGATCCATGCCGTGGTGGAACACACAGTCTGGCCGATGATGTGAACCCAGCAAGGGCCCAGGAGAGGCCCACAAGAGTACAGGGTTATAATCAGCTATTCAACAGCTAGTTAGTTAGTCTTTTACTTATTGTTGTACCCAGAGCTGGAGGAGGGTCTAGGTGCTGAGGCCACTGACCCAGTCTGGGGGTCAGGGAAGGCTGGCTGGTGTTTGGGCTCAGATCCGAGGAGTGAGCAGTTCTCAACAAGGTCAAGAGTGGGTGGGGTGGGGGGTAGGGAATTTGTAAGAATTAACTTGTGGAAGAGGCAGCGAGAAGTGTAAATAACTTGAGGATGCCGGCAGTAAGGAGCAGGGGAGAAAGGTTGGGAGCTGGAAAGTAAGCTAGAGGGAGGATTTTTTATAGTTCCTTTTTTTTTTTTTTTAAGATCAAGTGACTTATTTAAATGCTGACAGGAAGGATTAGGTAGCAAGAGAGGGGTGAAGACGCAAGCAGGCAGGGTGCCGTGCAGTGGCGGCTGCTGGGGAGGCGGGATGAGCAGAATGGAGCAGGGCAGAGCTCTCTGCTGGAGAAGGCTGTGCTGCTTGCAGAGGCAGGGGGCTGGGGTGGGGGGAGTTGAATGGAGAGGCAGGTGCAGGTGAGTTGTGGATTTGGACAGCAGGGGCTTAAGATCTACTGACCCAATAAATTAGTGTCCTCATGGAAGGGTTTACAAATATTTGCATCATCAAAACTACATGTGATCATGAACGCCTGGCATTTTCCAGTGGTACCTTCCATGGTCCAGTAAGACAGAAGTCCAGAGCCCAGAGGGAGGTGTGGGGCTGTAATACACTCTCTGCATGTCGCGGCCCCTTTCCGTGGTGGGATAACTTGACATCACATGCCGTGGGCTTGCCTGCTCCTGCCCTCAGCTAGTGGGCATCCCTCACAGCCAACTGCAAGGCTTCCCATGCTACTGTCATTTCAACTAAAGCATTACATGCCTGTTAGGATATGGCAGATTGCCGGGGGGAGTGGTGCAGAGACCTGCAGCTTTTCCAGGCACCATCTGGTTTTCTCTTACACATGGGGAAACTGAGGCCCAGAAGGGCAGGAAGGACTAGTGGACAAGAGCTCATTATCCACACTGGTGATTAAGTATGTAAAATGCTTTAAAAATATATGTGTTGTTTGTCCATCCACAATGTGCTGTATTTTTCTGGAGGGCAGCAGCTGAGGCTTCATGGCCAGGCTCACCTCTTCCTCTCACCTCTTGCCTTTTTTCCTCGCTCAATCTATGCTCTTGCAGCGCTGAGCATACCACACTGCTTCACCCCTCCCTGCCTTGGTACATGTGCTCCCTACTGCATAGAGTACTCTTTTTTGGGGAGGGTATCATAGACTGAATTGTGTCCCCCTTAAATTCCTATGTAGAAGCCCTAACCCCCAGCAAGTTAGAAGGTGACTTGCTTCTATTTGGAGATGGAGCCTTTAAAAGGTGACTGAAGTTAAATGAGGTCACGAGGATGGGGCCCCGATCTTCTTGGACTGGTGGCAAGGCTGTGTGAGGACACAGCAAGAAGGTGGACATCTGCAAGCCAAGCAGAGAGGCTCAGAAGGAGCCAACCCTGCTGATGTTGATCTTGGACTTGTGGCCTCTAGAACTGTGAGGGAAGAAACTTCTAATGTTTAAGCCACACAGTCTGTGGTATTTTTTAGGAAAGCCCTAGCAAGTTAATACACAGGGATCTTTACTTTTTCTATATAAGAAGTATATAAACAATTGTTTCTTATAATTTAAGGACAGAGGTGCACCAGGAAATGTGAAAGTCCCATTTCAGATCTTCTCTCCTTTTATTCCCTTCCCCAGAGGACGCCCGGTCAAAAGCCCTGTAGCCTCCTTGGAGTTCTTCTCTATGTTTGCATTTGTACTGTTACATAGATTAGATTCCCCTATTTGTATTTTTCTATAACTTGCATTTTTTCACTTAATAATGTGTTAGGGATTTTCCCATGTCAGTACAAAACAGTCTTTCTCATGCTGGATGTACAGTATCCTACACCTTATTCTAAAGTGTGACTATATCACAGTTTATTTAAACATTCTCATATCAATGGACTATTTCCAGGTTTTTCCTTTAACGAACATCTACGTAAAATGATATTGGATCTATTCCCAGAATTGGAATTGTTGAGTCAATAGGTCAGTGCTTTTTATTTTAACTTTAGCTTATTTATTTAATCATGTAGAAGGTAAAGCAACAACATGATTTATAAAGGATAAAAAGTATAAAGAAAAAGGAATTCCACCCACCATGCCCCCTATTCCCACCTCTCAACAGGCACCCCGTGGTGTCTTTCTTGTGGACCTTTCAGAGGTTTGTTCTTTTCATTTGCTTATACAATCACAAATGAATCACATTCCCTTTTCTTTCTCTCTTACACAAGAGAGAGCCCACTATATACATTGTTCTGGAACTTGATTTTTACCTCCTACCACTGTAACTTGAAGGTCTTTCCCCATCAGCATATACAGAACATATTTATCCTTCTTAAAATAGAATTGCACAGCATCCCATTTTTCAGATGCATCGTAGTCTATTTAATTAGATTCCTATTAATGCTCAGTTTGTTTTTAATTTCTTGCTGTTCCAAACAAGCTGCAATCAATAGCTTATGGTTCATGCCTTTTAGATTTTGATAAATTGCTTCCTGATACATTCTCTCAACCCCTTTATCTGTCAGGCAAAATTGTTCTGTTTTTAAATGGCCTTCCAGCATCACCTCTGGAAGCTTCCCCCATAGTCAATCTCTGTCTCTGTCCCCACACCACTCCCCACAACCTGGTTGCACTGGCCCCAGGGCATTGGAATTTGTTGATTGCCCTGTATGATCTCCTCACTGGACTATGAGTTTCTCTAGGCAGGAACTGTGTCTTAGTCATCTTGGTATCACCAGTGCCTAGTGCGGATTTGGCATACAGTAGGTACTTAATAAATAACACGTGAGAGGCGAAAGGGGCCTGGGGGCTGAAAGTCATTCTGATTGATTGCCATGGGTCATCTGCACGAGGTCCTGAGAAGACAAGTGTAAAAGAGAGAAGACTCATGACCCCAGTTCTTTCTGCTCTCGCTGGGCCTCATGGTGGTACCAGCAATGCCATGGGGCAGACTGACTTTGACTGCTTCTATTTCTAGAAGCAATCCAGGAAGAATGCCTGTTCTTTGCTGTTCTGGCTGCACATTTAACAACACATGGGCTTCTAACATCATTCCCCTCATTGCTGAAAAAAGCAATGTAAATTAGATGAAGGAGAGCAAGCATTTTCAGTGACCTGGCCTTACCTCAATTTCCTGATAGGAGTTGTTTATCATGGCTATTAGCATGTTGAGCAACACTACCACCATGGTGACGTTATAAACGCCGTAGAGAACGTAGCCAATGTTCTCGATGAATTTGTGGTCGTATTTCAGCACCACTGAGATTACTTCAGATAAGCCGAATATGGACCAAAACAAAGTTTTAAAACTTTCTTCAACCCTGCAAAGAAACAGACGGTCCTTTTACGCAGTTTGCATCAGCTTGAACTTTTATTTATTCATTCATTTATCTTGAGACAGGGTCTCACTCTGTTGCCTAGGCTGGAGTGCAGTGGCTCAATCATGGCTCACTCTAGCCCTGACCTCCTGGACTCAAGCAATTCTCCTGCCTTAGCCTCCTGAGTAGGTGGGACTACAGCTGTGCACCACCGCACCTGGCTAATTGTTTCATTTTTTGTAGGGATAGGATCCCACTATGTCGCCCAGGCTGGTCTTGAACTCCTGGGCTCAAGGTATCATCCCATCTTAGCCTCCCACAGTGCTGGGATGACAGATGTAAGCCACTGCATCTGGCCAGCTTGAACTTTTAAAATGAAAGTTGCCATTGGTCATGCTTTACCCTGGAGTGCCCAGTTGTTACCCTGGAGTGGGGCTGGGCTGGTTGGTGATGCCTGCATTCTGAGATAATGTGATATTCAGATTTCTAAGAAGACTTTGAAAGAATATTAAAAATGGCAAGCTCTTTATTTTTTATTCAATCCATTTATTGGGACTCCTGGCTGTGGTATCACTTTTCTCTTACTGTAATTAACTTAAACATTTAAAATTAAACACCTGGGTAAATGTTTGTTCTTGTGCATTATGAGCCCCAGAAAGTGCATTCTTCCTTCCATTAAGCCCTAACCATTTCTTCTCAGACTCCACAGCCCACGTGAAGGGGAGTGATGGCAGACACCTGGAAAGTGGGCAGTGTCCACACAGGAGGATGGCATCCCTGGAGTCTGACACTTCTAGGCACTCGACAAAGAGCAGCTCACTTAAGCCTCATGACCAGCTCTGTGGCGGGCTCTCATATGACCTCCTGTTACAGAGCTGAGGCTAGCCACATGTATTAAGCTTTCTAAACTGGGGCTGAATTATCAAGAATGAGAGTGGGGATTTTGGTGTGCCCACATGGTTCAAAATCACCAGGTGATTGCCCAAACCTCACCCTACGGCTCACTTAGGTTAGATGCTGCATGTGCCTTGAAGGCAGTTCAGGTTAGTCTCAGCTTTAACGACACTGCTCTTTGGCCCTTTTGAGACTACGAAGTAACTGAAATACAGTAGTGTTATGAATAAGACCCAAGTGCATTTCGTAGTCCATACTCTATGGGCATGACACTGTATCAGGCTGATGACCTAGAATCGAATAAGAAAGCTGGATTTTGGTTGGGAGGTTTAGACCATGCATGTATATCTGGTAACATCTGAATGGTTAAGTGCAGTTCTTTTAGTTTTCATCCAGATTTTTGGTACCACTGTAAGAAAGCACTTTTTTTTTTCCTCTTTAACATTTCAGGTTTTCAACACTCACCCACAAATGGCCAGGATTAGCTAGATCTTTAAAAATATCAGCATTTCTCAAGGATTGGTATTTATTTGACAAGATGTACAAAAATACTGGTACTCGTCACTTGGGCTAAAAATCCAACTCTTGACTCGCATGAATTTACAGCTCTCCCGAGTGTGATTGTGTGGGGGTGTATGTGTATCTGTGTGTGCGTGTGCATGTGTGTGTGTCTACCCAGCTGTTTGGCTCATTCCCTATGCACACTCTTCAGAGTCTGAAAAACTGATATTTGAAGTGGGATTCTATTGTCAGTGTTTGTTTTTAGTTTCTTTTAAAACTGTGATTTTGAAACATTTAATTCATTTTAGCATTAGCGAGAAATAATTTAGTTGGGTGTTTATAAGCAACGACAGGGTATTAAGCCATTATTGCAGAGCTCCAGCTCCTGGTGCTATTCTGGAAGGGGGGAGAACTGTTTTCCTCATGTGAGATGCAGCATTTTGTGTGAAAAAGATGTCATCCACCCTGTGTCATGATTCACTGCAGTACTGTGTCCCATTATGAACAATCTTTCAGTTATCACACTCGTGGAAGGGAACAGTGGCAGAGAGATTTCAAAACCACCAGATGAACCCTAAATTCCAAACTGGAAGGAGACAGTAGGCCGTGATCTCTCTTAGAGTTGCTCCCTTCCTGGCAGGATCAGTGAAAACTGGAGAACAGTGTCTGAAGGGGAGGCTGGGCAGACAAGGGCTGATCTAGGATTATACACTTGTCATGGACCAACAAAGGAATGGATCATACTTGCCATAGAGAAAGGCTTTACCCAAATTCATCTTCCCTTTCTTACCTTGGAACAACCCAGAAACCTTTGGCTGACACAAATGAAGTGAGCGATTACAGAACACATCCAGGGAAAACCCTCTGAATTTTGATTAGGGAACGTGGGCCTACATTCAGCTTCCATTTTTTTCTCATTTGCATCTTGCCATAAATTTTGCCACTGAGCCCTGATTTATCCTTGGTGCCTTCTCTTAGGTATTCTATATCAATAATCTGAAGAAACAGGCCTGGCTTATTAAGCAGTATGTGTTCCAGCAAGGTAATATTTACAAATCTCGAGGCTTTGCCTTAGTTTCTCCTTTACCTGACCCCCGCAGCTCAGGACAATTAACCTGGCCTGGAATGCTGATATGTTCAATTTGTTGTCTGTCTTCCAGACAATCTTCAGTACTGCACATCTGTTTTATTTCTGTTCTGTGGTTTAAGGAGTAACTCCTGGACTTGGATTTGGCCATTTCTCCAACAGGCTCTACAAAAGGCCCAAACTCACTGGGACTGCCAGAGTGGGAGCCACACCTCCACAGCAAAAACCAGCTGCACCTGTCTAGGCAGGACGGGGTCTTAGACAAACTATACATTTCTTTTCTTTTTTTTTTTTTCTGAGACAGAGTTTCACTCTTGTCGCCCAGGCTGGAGTGCAAGTGGCACGATCTTGGCTCACGGCAACCTCCGCGTCCTGGGTTTAAGTGATTCTCCTGCCTCAGCCTTCAGAGTAGCTGGGATTACAGGCGCGCGCCACTGTGCCCAGCTAATTTTTGTATTTTTAGTAGAGACGGGGTTTCACCATGTTGGCCAGGCTGGTCTTGAACTCCTGACCTCATGATCTGCCCACCTCGGCCTCCCAAGGTGCTGGGATTACAGGCATTAGCCACCGCGCCTGGCCCTAAACTATGCATTTCTAATGATCTCTTCTAAGCTGTTAAGGCCCTTGCTTTCTCTTTTCATGGGGCAAAATGAATGAGGTAATAAAATCTTCATTTAAAGAAAGGTGGGCCTATTGGTTTGATTCACCCAATATGGCTAGATTCACCATTTGAGGCTCTTGGGTCTTTCATTTGTACCCACATGTTCTTGTCATGAAGATAAGTGGACTAACTGAATAGACTAATTCTGTTGCTGTTTTTGTTGTTGTTATTAGAGGGCACCTTATGGGCAGAGTTATGTCCAATTATCTGGGCTAAACTGTAAGCAATACAATATTTTATCCATAGTTCAAACCATATAACTAAATAACTTCTGAATGGAATTGAAGAGTTAAATGTTAAAAAAAAAATTCATGGTAAAAACACTAGAATAAAGTATTGGTGAGAATTTATTACATAATTCTGGGCTGGGGGAAGTTTCAGAAACTACAAAGCTTGAGAGATTTGGCCACACAAAACTTTACTTGTACACATGAAAAACATAATAAGTAAAAACATAAGGCAGAAGACTGAGAAAAGAATTGGTATTTGCAAACGTAAGACAAACAATGGATGATATCCTTACACTAAGGGCTGATAAATCAATATGAAAATGACAGACGTCCTGGTAGGAAAAAAAGGAAAAAATTTTCAGTGAAAACTTGATGCTTTTTATGGTGATTAGAGCTCTACAATGAACTTACGATGCCATGCTAGTGTCATCTTCCAACTTAACATGTGGCAGGAAATAAATGAAACTTGACCTCACTACCCTGAGTGGGAAATGACTTGTGTTGCCTTGACCTTGGGCACCCATAGTAATATATTCTCAGAGAGAAGGCTAGCATTGGAATGAGTCAATAGTAAATCAGTTATCCCAAGGGCTCAGGTATTGGAGCTGGCTCTAATGCCCCATGAGGTTATGAGGCTCTCTGAGTTATATATTAATCATCATCCACAATTTTCATGAGCTCTGGAACCCAGGGCATGGGGTGGAAAGCCAGTCATTTGGGAGAAATGGGGCTGGCTTTCAGGAAGAAAATATCTTGGAATTAGGCTAGTTACTATTTGCCATAAAGCTGCTTGACTCACAGAAAGCCCCACTTAGCTGGTCTTAAGACTAGATATGAGGTTCTTTACTGATAGGAATGGCAACTACTGGCTCTACAACCTCTTTCCATCCACCCTAGCTAGTTATAAAGTTTGCCACAGATTCCTTCAACTGTGTCAATCACAGGAGATGACACAGAGCTGGAGGAGTGAGAAGATCCAGGGTGCATGCCTGGGTTCAAATCTCAGCAACACCTTGTAGTGGCTATATGAGTTTGGGCATGGGACAAAGCTTGTTTGAGTCTCAGTTTACCCAACTATGAAATTGGCATAATGATGCTTCTATTGTTCAGCTGACATGAAGATTAAATGGGCAACCTATGTGAAATATAAAGTCCAATAAATGGCAGCTATTATTTTGATTCATATATTTATTGAACTATGTGCCAGGCACCGTACCAGGCGATGAGGATACACAGGTGCCCAGATCAAATGTGTTTCTGTGCTTTTGGAGGTCCCAGTCTACAAGCAAGCCCAGTAAGATAAGAGAATGCTATGAGACTGTAAGCAGGGAGGCTCTGTTTGCCTCTGCCCTTCCCAGCATACGTACAGCCCCTCAGCCCCTCAGGTGCTTCTGCACAGGGTTGAATGGAGTCAATAATTCAGCTGCTTGTTTTCTGAACAAGACTTGTTTTTCTTCTAATCTTCAAAGATCATCACAGACCCTTGATTTCATGCAAATACTCTTTCTGATTATTCCAGCCCATGCTGTCTTTTTATATTTGACTCTGGGCCTGCAGTGGAAGGGACTGAAGTTAGTCAATAGGCCACCCCAGCATAAGAAGCACTCCTAATGAAGTAAAGGAGGAAAAGTGCCCATGAGTGATGTTGAATAGGCCACGATTCACCCTTCTCTGGGAGGGAATGTGGGTGTGTGGGAAGGTTGGGGCTGATTTGTCATGCAGACAGCAGGGACGAGGTAATCAGTTCTCCACCAGGTCTGTCTCGGCTGGATAACAGGACTTTAATAACAGGTTGCCTGAAGAGGCAGTTGTATACGGGCCTCAGAGAGCAAACTGATCAACAAGGAGAGGGTTCAGGGTGACAGGAAAATTGCTGCTTCTTCAGAATGCCATATCTCTCTCTCCCCACTGCCAGGACTCCTAGCCCCTACCACTGAATAGTTCAGTTCAGTTACCTAATCAAATCATCATATAGCAGGCTAAAATTAAGCAGGAGGATCAGCCTTTAATTGAAAAAGGCTGTTTCCCAAGCTCAGCGGACAATAGCTGGCACTCTGCTAGAGTTCTGCTGAAGGAGAATAATGCTCACCTATCATCCAAGTTGGGCTGATGGAGGAAGATGTTTAGAATGGATAAAGATCTTCTCAGAGGCTGTGCTTCTCTAATGCCCAGACCCAGAGACTGAAAGCAGTTGGACCAGGTTTGAGGATGGTTAAATGCCTGAGAAAGTCTGAACTCATCCCTTCCTTGGCCCTGCAAAGTTCTGTCCTCCGAATCACCTCTGAGTTCTACCTTGGGTCCTCAACAAGGAGTTTGATTTAGACAGTCTAGAAGTAGAAGAGTCTGGGGCCACAGAACTGATGCCAAGAACTGGGATATGTAAAGCCTGTGCAGCCTAGATTTATTTATACTGAGGGGTTTCACTGTACCCCATGCAGCCTGGGAACTCTTGGAGGGAAGAAGCTGTGTTTTCTTCATCTTCGAAACTGCAAACCTCATCAGAACCTGGTACACAGGAGGCATTCAACAAATTCAAAGTCAGCTGAATAAACGAATGAATGAATCCCTAATGCATGTTTTGACTTCCTGTTCCCTGATCCTAGTGTTGTTGAGTCCAGGTGATGATGAAACAATCGAGGTGCAAGTTCTGACTCCAGGCAAACCTGGTTTGAGTATACGTTTTTGGCCAAATAGCCTCATCTCTCTGTGCTGCTTTGTTTCTGGCTGTAAAATGGGAAAACAGTAATCTCCACTTCATAGAATTGTTGTGAGGATTGAATGAGTTAATGGAATGCTTGTGAAATGCATAAATTACTGCCTGGCACATACTAATTGCTCAATTAATGTTACTAATTTTATTACTAGTGTTCATTTTTTACAAAATCTGCATCAACTGCAATAGGCTCCAATATCTGGCTGAAAGACTATGGAGCCCTGCAATTAATTTTCAGAAAAGCCCTTGGAAAACAGAAATCAGATCCTGCCCCTCTCTGTTAGTGGCTTTCCCTGTGGCTGACAAAGCCCATCATCACCCAGCGCAGGCCCTCAAGGCCCTGGGTAGTCTGGTTCCTCCCGCCTCCTGGAGCCCGAGGCTGGCTCTCCCTTCACTCATTGCACTCTGCCTGGGTGCACTGGCTGAGCTCTCTCTTGGAATGCCTTCCTCTCTCTCTGTACCTGGCTGCTCCTCCTCTTTTTCTTATTGAGGCTTCAGGCTCAGTCAGCATGTGCTCCACGAGACCTTCTTTGACGACCTGTCTGAAGGAGGCCCTCTCTCATGACTCTTCTGTACAGTGTCTTACTTCCCTAGCTCCGAGCTCTTAATCTATAACTATCTTACTTGCCTATTTGTTTATCTTTTTGCCTCTTTTCCCTCTGAAATGTGAGCTCCATGCTGACAGGGCCTGCTGACCTCCTTCGTCACTCTGTCCTCAGTACTCAGAATAGTGTCCAGCTTGTAGCTGGGGGGAGGGGTCAGTGAACATTTTTGTCAATGGATGATGGAACGCTGGGAAACTGAGGCAGAAGGTGATCTGGCACTTGGCCTTACCCAGCTTGCCTCAGACCTGCCCCTGCTGGTAACATCTCAAGCTAACCCTGGACATTGCAGTTTCCTGCCACTGTCACTTAGAGAAATGGCAGCTTAAACCATATTATCATCCTAGAACTGAATTTTAGTGCATAAAAAGGTGAGACCCTCTCCCCTGTCAGACAGTGACCGTCAGCCTGAGAAGCAGATGGAGGGCCCTGGGCAGTGCTTGAGAGGGTGCCGTGAAGCCAGCATCCTCAGGAGCACATTTTCTGTGTGTTGTCAGGTCTTTTTCCTCAAAACTTGGTGGTTCTCAGACTGTTCCAGGGGCTCACAGGTCCCAGGCTTTTAGAATCCAGGTCACAAATAAACATGAGAAGAATGTATCCATAAACATTTTACGATAGTAGAGTGTCTGTTGTAACAATTATTCTTCTAAAGTAGCCCAGGAAAAGATCTATATTTTTATCACTTGTTGGAGAGTTATACAAAGAAAAAGACCTTATATTAGACCCAAATGATCTTTTTTGACACATAAAGGTCATTTCCAGGTCCCCAGCCTCTCTGAGCCTGACTTGAGCCCCACACTGATCTCAGCTGCCTTCTCCATCAAGCCTTAGAACTTTTCTGTGCTGGTTTCTCCACCTGAAAGTGGGTGCAGTAAGCTCTCTCATCCCTCCCAAACACCCTATGCCTAACTTGCATTAATTAATTAATTAATTTTTGAGATGGGGTCTCAATCTGTTGTCCAGGCTGGTCTCGAATTCCTGGGCTCAAGCAATCCACCCACCTTGGCCTCCCAAAGTGTTGAGGTTACAGGCGTGGGCCACTGTGCCCAGCCGGTCCTGACTTGAATTTATAACATGAAAGGTGGAGATTGTAACTTTCACAGTGTAATAAAGTCTGATGGTGAAACAGCCTGTGGAGCTTCTGAATCAGAGATGCCCATATTTCAACACCGACCCAGGATCCTGGGAAAAACGGGTCCTTCACAAAGCCCAGTAGGCTGATGCCATTCCTTGTTCCCCACCTGCAAACACGTTCAGCACACTGCACAGGTAAACCGGCAGTAGGCCAAGCTCCTAGGGTGCCTCAGGGTGACCTCTCCCTCGGTTTCTCTCAATATATCATTGATTCTGATGAGTTTTATGACGTATTTCAGCCTGGGCAGCCTCAGCAGGATCCCCTTTGCAGCCATAGCCTGCCACTCTACCCCTTGCCCTGCTTCTCCATCCCACTATTCCCTGCATGCAGCAATGCACCCTCTCTCACAGGGCTCCTGCCAGAGCCTCCCAGGCGATCTATCTAGCTCAGCTCCTTTTGTAGCTGCCTTTCTTTCACATTCCTGTCTTTCAGAACATTTTCTCAATTTGTAAACATGCCCTCATTCCTGTGATTATTTGATTAACATCTATCTTCTCAAACAGTCTGCAAGTTTCATGAGGGGAGGGACCACATCTGCTTTTGCTCACAGTAGAATCCCAGCACCCAGCTTGGGCCTCCACTCTCACCCCTTCCAACCCACCCTTCATGCAGTTGCCACAGCACTCTTCCTGAAAGCAGACCCAATTACATCTTCCTCCTTTTACAAAGGCCTTAGCGGAGACTCTAACACTCTATCAGGACTTATGAAGTGCTTCACAATCTAGCTCCCACCTGATGCTCTGATTTAATCTTCTGCCATCTACCCAAATGCCTTCCTACGTGAAGCTCTCCAAAAATGCCTTGCACATGCCAGAGTGCCCTTCCAGTCATCCTCCCAAACTCTCTGTTTAGAGCCACCCCTTCTAGGAAGCCTTCTCTGACTGCCAGGTAGGGCTCAGTGCTTCCTCCTCCCTGTGCTACTCAAGTACCCTTTGATGATGATCATATGGGATCGTAGCTGTTGCTTTTGCCCCCTGCAAAATCCCCACTGATCCATGAGTTTCCTAGGAACAGAATTGTCTTATTAATCTCTATGGCCTCAGGGACAAACACCACTTGGCATAGAGTAGTTGCTCCATACATGTTTGTCAAATGAGGGAGCTCACTTTGGAATAGAAACCTGCTCTATCCAGGGGAGAATCACAGTCTGCATATTAAAGCTGAGATATGTAGAATCAGCAGGTTCTCAATGGTAATCAAAATCGGAGTTAGTATGCTCTTTTTCAGAATTTACTACTATAGGAGAGCAACTCAACTTTTAGAGTCTTAGCATCCATCTCAAAGTGTAGGCCCTAGTGTGAGTGATGGAAATTTTAGGCCTAAGGTGGAGGATGGGCTTGGACTCATGCGGATTTGGATTCAGATTCTCTCATTGGCTCTATGATCTTGGGCAAGTCTGGTACCTCTCTGAGCCTCAGTTTCCTGTAATAGTATTTGTATTATTCCACTGTGGATTAAATGAGAAAGCAGGTGCATATTTTTCATGAGTTGGTCAACAATTTGATATTTATTATTATTATTATTATTGCTGCTCTTTACCAACTCCAAAAGGATCATCTGAAGCCTCAATTTCAGCTCTAAGCCGAGTACGTGAAGCTCAGCCTTGAAGCTGGGACAGTCCGTGGCAGGTGGGGGTGTGTGGGCAGAGTCTTAAGGATCCTCTCCCTCAGCTGCAGTTCCCATAGCTGGAAGGGGAATCTGGCTTCTCTATGGCAAGGACAAGTTGGGTGGGGCTGAATCAGTGCCTCCTGAATCCCTCCCTCATAAAGTATGGAAATTTCCCATAAGTGTCACGGAAAATACAAGTTTCTAATTTTGCCTAGCATTGCTGAAGCTACTTCCATTAAAATGATTCCTGGGGAGACAGAACAACCTTAATAGAGGTATTATTTTGATTAGAAAACTCTCAACCCAGCTATGCTATGAAGCTGACTTCACAACAGCCTATAGAAAAGATGGGCTGAGATGATCTTTTGAGAAACAGAACACACATTTAGTCTCCAATCAGGATTGAGTCTGAAAGGCCAAGTTCACCCAAAGGGGAGACAGGGGCCCACCATGGGTTGTGTTAGAACACCCTTCACTTCCTACTCTGGACCACCTCATTGCCTCCGGCCCCTCCTATTCTCTGTGTAGCTGTCCCATCACAGTCACCAGCTAGGGTGTGAGAAAGGCACTCTTTTCCTTCCTTCCTTTTTTTTTTTTTGATGTAGTCTCACTCTGTCACCCAGGCTGCAGTGCAGTGACACAATCTCGGCTTACTGCAACCTCCGCCTCCCAGGTTCAAGTGATTCTCCTGCCTCAATCTTCCAAGTATCTGGGAAAACAGGTGCGAGCCACCACGCCCAGCTAATTTTTGTACTTTTAGTAAAGATGTGGTTTTGCCATGTTGGCCAGGCTGGTCTTAAACTCCTAACCTCAAGTGATCCACCTGCCTTGGCCTCCCAAACTGCTGGGATTATAGGTGTGAGCCACCGCGCCCAGCCTAGGCACCCTTTTTCTATGCATTGTCACTCAGCTGTATTTCATCTATGAGCATGGACCTTTTATTTCTCTTTTTCTAACCCTGTAACAAGAGTGCTGGGACCCCAAGAGTTCCACACAACATAAACAGAAAGTCTTCACTTTATGGAATATGTGCATTTCAGCAAAGTTGGCTATAAAACGAACCTCCAAAAGCAAATCCTATTTGTCTACTGAGTTCTATGATAGGGTTAAAAATATGTCCCCAGTCACAAAATTCCTAACAGTCTGAACTGAGAACTTTTCTTAAAGACTTTATTAAAGGAAGTGTGTTCTCAGGTGATTTTTCTCTCCACTTCCTTACCCATGTCTTGGGATACTTCGATTTTGTACTCTGAGAGCATAAACCTTGTCTGAACATTTTTCCTTTCCTCACCTGTGGTCATTTTCAGTTTCTAATAGAAGTGGCTTGGAGATAATGAGTTGCCAGCAGGTGTACTATCTGTCATGCCCAGACAGGCCCCAGCTCACCAACTAGTGACCCATGCTCCTCCCCTTAGGCCAGCACTGGACACAGAAGTGGCTATGAAAAACAACCCAGACCTTTGAGAAAATTCTTGGTTCTGAAGAGGAAGGAGGCTGAAAAATTGGGAACTATTAATAGGATCTGACTTTGGGGCTTGCTCCCACTGGATCTGGCTACCTCTTCAGTAGCTTGTGCTTAAAAAAAATTGCCTGCATAGAGCCTGAAATCCTACTAATAAGATATTCACTTAAGTTAACAAGCTCCTTGTTTTTGAAGTACAAAGAGCTGAGAGTGACTTCCATCTCCCTATTGGTGCAATGATGAGGTTGGATCAGATTAGCATTTCTCATACTGTGATCCTAGACCATCTGTACCAGAATCCTCCAGGGGCTTGTTAATGTTGATTTCTGGGTCCTACCCAGAACTACTATAATCAGACTCTCTAAGAGGAAGAGCCTGGGAAGTCCCACGTTTAGCCACCTCCCCAGGTGACTCTGATGTGGTTTGAAAACCACTGCTCTGTTAAGGCTGCTCATACTGTATATTTATTCACACCTTGGGCTAAACCAATTTAATCCATCCATTTTCTTCTAGCCTCTTCATTGAGGTCTGCCAGATGGAGAAAATGAGAATCTGGGAGTGGCCGGAGGGAGGCGGTATGTGATTTTAGAACTGGAAGACACTGGGCGATAGGGCAGGCCTTGGTTGAGGGTTGGGGCTGCAGTTAGTAGAGAAGTCTTTCTTCTCTTCTTTCCCTCTGTCTTAGAATGCTTGCCCTTCCTCTTCCCCTTGGGACAGTGCTACAACATGGTGAGACTGGTTTTTGTGAGCTGGCCTGGGACTGCACCCCTAGGGTGAGCAGAGCTCATATGAAAAAGCTCCCTGTAGGTTTCTAACAGCTGACTTTCGAAGTGGACTCCTGAACAGTCTTTAGAGACTCCAATTGCCCTTGGATGTGGCAGGAATGGGGTTGGGGGGAGGTCAAAAGTGGGGCTGGGGGGATACCTGCAGTGTGCTCCAACCCAAATTTCCCTTCTGTAGAATTGGGTCTGCCGAGTCTATAGAAACAGATGCTGAGTTCTATAGACTCCTGCCTTACCCTACAAGCTCAAAATTCCACAGAGAACAGGCCACTCACCTGTGGGTGGGTCAAAGGGAAGATTATGAGCTGGGCAGGGCAGCCTGGGGATGGGCTGCTCTGGAGCAAACATTCACCTGAGTGAAGTTGTTTGACTTCATCATCAGCATGGCTGGCACTCAGAACAGCTTTGAGTATCCTAAGGCACGAGTCTCATTTATTCTCACATGGCTTTTTTTTTTTTTAATTAACAAAGAAGATCTCTTGGGGGTGACATGCACCGGAGAGCAGTCAAAAGGTAAAAGATGACATTTACAAAAATCCATTCTTTTCTCTCTCCACTTCACTGCTCTATTGACTGTTTTTCTGTTCAATCAAATCCTATTCACAGCTACACATCTCATTTCAGGAACTGCCACGGCGATAAATCTCCCATCCTTTCTTCACTGTGCTTGCCGCCTCCCCACCCTTTATCCTCTTCCCTCTCCTAGAAGGTCTGGGGTCCTCTTGGTTGGGTCTCTTGTGTCTAGGAAATCTTCATTCAGTTTGCCTTTCCCCATCACTCTTCCTAATCCCAAAGACCCCAACCCAGGCCACCTGCCTTCCTCCCTGTATTGGTTAGCTGTGCTGCATCTAGTTGAGAATTGTGGCTAGGTCAGCCCTACTCTAAAGTCATAATCTCTCTCTCTCTCTCTTTCGCCCTCCCCTCCCCTCCCTTCCCTCCCTCCTTCCCTCTCTTTCTTCCTTCCTTCCTCTCCCTCCTCCTCCTTCTTCTTCTTTTTTCTTTAATGAGGTTTCACTGTATTGCCCAGGCTGGTCTCAAACTCTTGGGGATCCTTCCACCTCAGCCTCCCAGTGTTGGGATTATAGACATGAGCTACCAGGCCTGGCCCCTTTGTCATTTTTCTGTGTGTCATGGCACTGATCTTCTGAGGGAGTGAGGGACTGTGGGCTGGTGATACAGGCTCTCCGTAGAGGAGGGAAGAGAGGGATTGCAGAGAATACTCTGGGCAGTAGGAACAGGATAGAAGTGCACACTGTCAAATGCCCAGTCTACTGTTTATTTGACTACTTTGACTCTGGCTTCCTTTCTCCTGTTTATTCCCTCATTCTTGTTCATAAAGCATTTAATGAGCAAACAACCTTTGCAAGGCACCATGCTAGGCTAGAAACACAGGAGGGACACCAGGGTCTGATCACAGAAAGTAAGAGCCTTCGTTTATCGGCTGACATCCTCTCCATGTTCAGTAGCAATGCATCCCATGTGGAGTGGATACATTTAGTTTTACCTTTAGCAGATCTAGAGCAAATTTGCTTTTGGGTGATTGAAACTTATTCTATTCCTTCAGCAGTTAATCACTAAGTATTGGAGTGATATAAAGTAGTCCAGCTGATTCAACAATGTGCTTGGCCTGTGCTGGTGGACAGTGTGTAAGCTAGACCACTGCCCAGAAAGGGCGCTATAGACCAATTCAGTACTCAGGTGTCTTTTCTTGCAATTTATTCTCCCCTGAGGATAAATTATTCACCATCTCCATTATCATCATTACTATTTATTGAAGGCTCACTTTATGCCAAGCATTGCATTTGGTCGTATTTCTTCTTATTGGATCCTTACAACAATCCTGTGAAGTTGGCTCTCTTAGTATTCTCATTTTGGAGCTGGGGAAATTGAGGCCCAAGGGATTTAAGCACTTGCCCAAGGCCACAAAGTCAGTAAGAGGCCGAGCTCAGACTGAAACCTAGTCTGTCGGTCCATGGGGTACCAAGGCTCCAACATAGCCTGTGGGCCGAGGAGCAGAGCCAAGCACCTCTCAGGTGCATTTCTCAGCACTGGGCCTGGCACCTATTCTCTTGACACACAAACTACTTTGCTTCAGGGAGTAACAGCTTCTGTGGTTCAGCAGCACCAGAGTCCCACTCTTTTAGGTAGTTTCAGCTGGGTGGGGCAGCGCAGTCCATAATTCTGAGCTAAGTGGCACAGAATTCATTGTACTTGGTTCTCAGAGACAAGTATCTTACCTTAATGGGTGATTTCTCCAGAAGAGTAAGATGAGGCCCTGCTGCAACCTGGAAATTGCTCAGGGAGTCTGAGGGGCAGGGATCAGAGCCATTTCTACTAGCTGGAAAACTGACATTCTAGGCCACTCAGGGCTTCCTGGGGACAAGTGTCAGGAAGTGCTTAGCCCCATTGATCCTGGCTGCTGTGCTGGGATTCCACAAGGCTGAAAACCTGACTATCCTCCTTTCAAGACTTTGGCCAAGAGCTTGGTGAAGGCAAGGAGAAGTTCTGGAACTGAGTGGGTCTGGGGCAGGACATGGACTGGAAACACTTCTGTGTTTCAGGCACTTTATGTAAACATCCTCATTTATCCATAAAGGTATTTGTGAATAAGGTGGGAAACCTTATTTTCATTTTATAGACGAGGACACAGAGGCTCAGATAAATCAAATGACTTAAGTTCACCGGCCAGTATATGCCTGTGTCAGGAAGTATATTCAGGTCTTCCACACTCTTCCACTAGACCCTTCTCGGTGCTACCGATGGCTGGCCCTCCAGGAGACTATCTGGCATCCTGCCCCGTGCCCATCCCCAGGGGAGGAGCTTTGGATCTTTGTGGACACAGGCTTAGAGAGCTCCATCACCACTTCCACGGTGGGGGATGTGCATGCCATTGTGTTACTCTGCCTGCTTTCTGGAGCACCCCTAGCAGCTACTTCTGGACCCCAATTTCAGTGTCTTGCCTCATGCTCAGGCTGCATGCCTCCTGCCTCTCTCACATGGGCTTTCCTTCCTGCTGCAGAGGCACATGATGCTGCAGGACTTGCTGGGTGTCCACACACAAGACCTGGCTTGCCCAGCCAGGCATGGAGAGCAGTGACCTGCAACCACTCGCAGACCTGCCTCCCATGCTGTGTGGATATGGCTTCCCCAGGGCTTCCCTGGAAGTGTAGGTGAGTTAACGTCCTATGGAGTGACTAATGAGAGACAGCAGATGGGACTGATCTGGATGATAAATTCTCTATTCTCAGCCTGATGGGCTATTCTGAGATGTGGTCTTTCCAGATAGTCCCCCTGGAGAGGTCCATCATGCCCATGCTGTGTATTCTGGTGGGCAGTGGCCAGGGAGCTGCCTGGATTTGCTTTCCCCATCTTCACTTCACACACCTCTCATGCAGCAGCACTTTGTACTTGCTTCCCCTCTTCCCATTCTTCACTTTCCTTTTTCCTTCAGTTTTATTTCCCTTAGATTGCAACTCCCTCACTCTAATAAAGTGTTAGCATGCAACTTTTACCCAGAGTTCTGTTTTCTAGGCAACACAGGCTAAGACAATAATAACAGTAAGAATAATTTTTTTTACCACATATTGAGTTTACTACGTGAGTTACATCATCTCACTGAATCCTTGCACAATCTCTATGAAGAAGGTACTATTATTATCACCATTTTAAAAACAAGAAAATGAAGTATCAGAGATGTTAACCCATTTCCCCTTGGCCCCAAGAATACTCGCCAGCATGCTTGCTGCTGCATTGTTTACCCTGAGATAACTCATGGATTGCAGTCCTAACTTTACCCCCAAAGTTTACCACCACAAAATATCTCGCTTTTATTATTATTTTCACATCACTCTAGTCTATCAACTTTGGAAACAAAAGACAACATTATATTAATGGCATTCTGTTTTTAGTAGTGGTCTTTCCATTTATGAAATTTCCATTTATGAAATAATTCCTGATTGCTGAGAATGTCAAATCCTAGAAAACGTAGCATTCCTACATGTGATTTTTTTTTTTCTAAATGGGAACATGCTCTGGTCACACGAAATGTAAGTGGCAAAGTGAGGATTTAACTCAACTCATCTGTTCAACTCCAGAACCTGAACTCTAAACCACCCTTGAATAAAGTTGCCTTTAACCTTGAGAGATAGCAAGGAAACAGCAGTCTCTGCAAGAAGCCACCTTCAGGAGACTCCCAAGGATTCCCAGGAAGCCCAGGGAGAACCTCAGGGGAAAGCTCTCAGATACTCACGTTGTAAACGCTGGGTTGTATTTGGCACCTCGGTAGTAAGAGTACAGGTTGAACATCCCAATCATGAAGGCCACAAATACCATGATGAAAATGACCATGAACTTGAAGATATCTTTCACAGTTCTCCCTAGCGAGATCTGCAGGGGCCCAAAACTCTCGTTGGCTGGCAGAATGTATGCAATGCGAGAGAAGCTCAGCACGACGGCTATCGCGTAGAGCCCTTCCGATATGATCTGAGGGTCTGAAGGCCACCACTTGTCCCTGGCTAAAAGAAAACAATCTGGGTTACTCACGAGGCCACAGGATCTATTCTAGAAGAGAAACCAGTTAGGCATCTTTAGAGGTCTCCAACTGCATCATTTGCCATTCTTGTCCTTGTCCTTAAATTAATCCCAATATCCAGAAGTTGCCACCCTCCCTCTTGGAATGTGCTGGACCATCTGCCTGGAACACTCTTCTCTCACTTCGAAGTATGATTCATTCCTAATCCTCCTCTAAGACTCTGCTCAGGCATCACCTCTTTCAGGAAGCCTTCTGTGATCCCCCTTACCCCCACCACGGGCTGGGCAGGTTCCCAGTTTCCGTCTGTGCTCTCATTGTATCCTGTACACCCTCCATGTCTTGGCACTCACCAGGCCACTTGCTATTCTGTCTCCCTCACCAGTGTTTAGCTCCATGCTCAGGAGCTGTCCCACTCACTGGGGAGGCAGCGCGAGGAATAAGATGGGCAAGAGCATGGACTTGGGAGTCAGACATCCCTGAGGCTGAATGTGGCCCATCCACCTACTGGCCACATGACTCTGAGAGACAACTAACTAACCTTTTGAGCTTTATTTTCCTCCTCTCTAAATTATGGATAATATCCATTTCACAGGACTGTGGAGAGGATGAAATGAAATCATACATGTAAAGTGCTCAGCACAGGGTCTGGCACACAGCAGGTACAGATAAGTGTTTGTCAAATGACTGAATAGACTTTTAACCACAAGTTTAGACCAGACACAGGTCAGAACAAATAAGCTCACATGGGGACCAGGAATCTAAAGGATCTTGCCTGAAAAAATACTCTTGGGTTTTGTTCCTCAGGTACTGTGTGCTGGGATATTGCTCCTTGATTAAGCTAAGGCCCCAAAGTGGTGACCAGTCAGGCAGGTTTGCCACGACAGCCCTGTTCCAGGTAGGCAAGGGTCCTAGGACTGATCCTGAGCTGGGAAGGCTCTGCTTGTGGTCACTGTGACCACAAGGGCCTGAGCTCTCCTATGGGTATTTCTGCTGCAGAGCAAACCTGCAAAGTGTTCCTATTGCAGTTCTAATGGTACAAGGAGCAGCACCTATCACGAATCAGCTGTCTATTACATGTCAGTGATTCTCAAGTGAGGGCAGCACTTCTCTCATGGAGGATGTGTGGCGGTGTCTCTGGTTGTCAAAGTGACTGAATAGGAGTACTACTGGGATGCTAATGTCCTGCAATGCTCCAGACAGATCTGTACAATGAAAACTGCCCTGCTGGAAAAGCTAATAGTGTCCCTATTGAGAAATGCTGAGTGAAATATTAATTGAGAAGCATTGAGAAACCTAAATTAGCACTTACACTTACATTAGCTGTAATTTTCACAACAGCCCTGTAGAGTAGATATCATTATTGCCATTTTTAAGATTGGATTTAGGGTATGGGGTCCTTTTCAGAGACCGGTAAATGCAGATAGCAAGGATATTACATAGCAATTCGTGGCATTCCAAGGGAGATTGAAGAGGAAGGCTTTTATTCTTTATTTTCAAAACTAGACTCTGTTAAATAATTATAATAATAGAGAGCAGTAAGAAACCTTTAGTAAAGGAAGCCAGGCCACAAAGTTTCATGGAGTGATTCTAAATTGCATTTGGAAATATAATAACATTACAGATTCTATGTTCTCATCAAGGTCATACCTCAAAAAACCATGAAAGACTAGTAAGCAGAATAAATTACATGTTTTCCAATATATCTGTCATCTTCTATGGATAAATATTTGGATAAGATAAAATAAGACATAACTTCTCCCGTTAAACAGAAGGCAAAAAGGAATTCTTTTTTTCTGCGGCCTCTAGCTCACCATCTTAAACCTCAGTCACAATAACAAGACACTCTTATAATCTACTCAGATAGATTTAGCTGTTGTCAGATCCTGGTGACTAGGTCAGGACTTATATTGAAAAATATTATATTTCAACTGACTTGTAAAGAGTTGTGATGAGTGTAGAATGAACAGCACTGTGATGATTTGGACAAAGGGGTTTTCTCCTTAGAGCTATTTCCAAGAGAAAAATTGCCCTATCACAACCTGAAAAATTGTTATCTGCGCATTTGGTGCTGTAGAGGTTGGAAGGAGCCACCGTCCAGCTGGCCACAAGAGGGCTCTCCTGCCCTGTAACTGGAGCACAAGTTAAGCCAGAAATCCAAAGGATTTCCAAGGGCACAGCGTGAACCGCAAATACAAGAGCAATAACGTACTATGCTTTGGGTTGGGTGAGACCTTAATACAACCCATAAAGCAACAGAAGTCAGAAGTGGACAATACTGCAGCCTGAATCCTGGCATTAAGAAAAGTACATAATGCAGCATCAATATTCTCTCTTCCTTCCTTGATGAACCCTAACAAGACAGAGGATAATATCCAAGCTATTTTGCTTTAAGAAAGTCTGAATTTGCCAAACCCCAAAATGGCAGAGGGTGGGTGGGTGGATGACTTGTAATACTACAAGACTCTCCATTTCTCAATGGAGATTTCCCTACCACATTTACATGTAACATAATCTACACTGAAAACGGGCAGTTACTCAACTTTTGCGTTAAGCGAACAACCCTCTGCAGATCATTGTTGTACCTGACCACAGAATCATTGTTGTATCTTACCATAAAGATTCTGTGGTCCCGGAGCCATCTGGCTTCATGTAACAGGGACATTCAACACTCAATCCCTTCAAGATGTTGTAGCTACCATTAGCAATTGCCTACTAAGTGTCCAGCTGCTTTTTACTGTTAACAAGTATCTACTGTTCCTTCAACTTTCAACATCTTTCTGTTTCAGTACAGAAATTACAGTGTTTGAACAAGAAAATGACCCAAAAGGTAGTAGTAAGACATAACTTATTTTAAAATAAGTAAGCAGATAATAGCTGCTACCATTAAGTGAGCATTTACTATTTTCACAGCAGAGTGCAAAGCGCTTCACATACACTATTTTATTCAGCCCTCAAAACAAACTTTTTGATGTAGGTATTATTATCTCTGTTTTACATATGAGAAAAAAGAGCTCAGAAAAGTTAAGTAAACAAGATCTCACAGTAAACTACCGAACTAGGATTTGAATCCAGGTCTCTTCTACTCCAAAGCTTGGGGACATAACCACTATGCTATTCAGCATGATTTTCAAATCATGTCAGGCCAGGATTCCCTGCTATACAAGGCAATCCTGTATTTTCTGGAAACATTATAAGCCCTGCTATAAAAACCTGATTCTTCATGTTTAAAATAGGGACAAAAGAAGGACCCTTTTTTGCCGGGCTATTTGCAAGAATTAGAATTGTGTGTATAAAATGTCTACACAATTCCTGGCACATAGTAGGTTCTCAATAAACATATGTTATAACTATTATTAGTATTCCTAAAGTCTCAATCTACTACATCAAACTGTAAGCCTTTGCATTTTGCAAGAATTAAGGTAATTAAGGTATCTTCTAAGAATGTATCTTGCCACCAAGCAATAACTAGGAAAGCAGGATTTATTTTTGCACAAAACACAGGGATCCAATATAGAAGGAAAATTCTTCCGCATATACATATCCCTTTAGCGCTCCTGGATGCACATCAGAAACAAGACGTTTCTTAAAAACAAACAAACTACAGAAATGTTCCCAAGGGCCTTTCAGAAACAAATTCACCCTTAACACAAAAAGATTCATTTCTCAAAGTCACTAATTCCACGTTCTATTCTGCTGGCTACACTTCCAGGACCAAGGGTTTTTTTGAGGTGGAAAGGATGCTCTGCACTGACAGTGGAACTGCCAAAGTCGGCTGTGTTACAAATCATGGGCCACTTGATTACAAATAGCGTTACAAGTTCACCAGCCACAGTGAAGCACCAGGCCCACGTCCCGGAAGCGCCAAAATGGAGTAGGGGAAGCACTCTCCGACTCACCGTAGGTGAAGTATGCCACTTCCGGCGGAAGCGAGACATTGTGCAGCGTGTCGTCCTGCACGTGCTGGTCCACGTACAGCTGTGCCTCCGTGGCCTTCAGGAAGGCCATGAAGCGTGCTGTGAAGGAGGCCACGAAGATGGACAGCATCCCGAAATCTAGCAGGTTCCACAAGTGCAGCACGTACTCCCGTGGCCCCTCCTCCCAGATTTCCTTGCATTCGGACCAAATCATTCCTGTGGGAGAAGGAGAAGGCCAGGCTCACTTTTCGTTTCTCTTGGCATTTGTGACCGCATGAGGTCATGGAGGGAACCAGAGTACAAATGTAAATATCAGCTCTTTGGAGCTGGGACCGTCGATAGCCAGAGGCAGACAGAAACGTGTTTTCAAAGGCAGATTTAGACCCAGGAGACTCAGAGACTTGGCCTTGTGCTTACGAACACACTGTCTCTGCAAGTGAGGAGAGAGTTTTCATTCGTTGATAGATTCTTGGAGGGAATATAGGAGAAATACAGTTGCTGACATTTATACACTTTAAGAACTTTAAGAACTTAAAGAATCAATTAGTCCTAAATTAAATATAGGGAAACTGAGGTCCAGGAATTGTAAAGGGCTTTCTGAAGGTCCCCCCACTCCATGCCCCAAATTCTACAGAAATGCCCCAAGAACCTAGAACTATGGTTTTTTTTGGACATAGAACCCAGTTTTTTGTTTTGTTTTGTTTTGTTTTTAAATCCCAGATTAGAATGCTTCTGTATTTCTGTGTCATGAGCATTAATTTAGGGTTATTAGATTTTTTCTTACTCTTTCATAACTTATTGGATTTTAAAGATATATGTCCTCATTGTTACATACTAAACAATATAGAAGTATATAAACAAAATGTTACTAGTTTCCCCAGCCTTCCTCTAAGCCAGCAGCCCTTTTGGCACCAGGGACCAGTTTCATGGAAGACAATTTAACACAGGGTGGGGTTGGAGTGGGGGTGGAGGGTGGGATAGTTTCCAGATGAAACTGTTCCACCTCAGATCATCAGCCATGAGATTCTCATAGGATGGCAACCTAGATCCCTCACATGCATAATTTACAATAGGGTTTAGGCTCCTATGAGAATCTAATGCCGCTGCTGATCTGACAGGAGCTGGAGCTCAGGAAGTAATGCTGGCTTGCCCACCGCTTACCTCCTGCTGTTCAGCTCGATTCCTAACAGGCCACAGACTGGTACCAGTTGGCGGCCCAGGGGTTGGGGACCGCTGCTCTAAGCCATCCCTGTGAGGTAGCCTGAGCTAATAGTTGATGAGTATCCTTCTAGACCTGTACTGTCCAATACCATAGCCACCAATCATATGTGGATACTGAGCACTTGAAATGTGTCTAGTTTGAGATGTGCTGTAAATGTAAGGTACACACCAGATTTCAAACACTTACTATGAAAAAAGAATGTAAAGTATCTCATTAATAATTTTTTGCATCAGTTACATGTTGCAGTGATTAATATTTTGGATATGATAGGTTAAGTATGTTGTTAATTTCACCTATTTGTCTTTATAATATGGCTTTTAGAACATTTAAAATTATATAGCTCATGGTTGTTGCTTGCCCTGTATTTCTATTGAATAATGCTATTCTATACCTTCACATTTACTGATTACTAAATTATTACTATTTAAATTATTTTAAATTACCGGCATACCTTGTTTTATTGCACTTTGCTTTATTGTGCTTCACAGAGACTGTGTTTTTTTCAAATTAAAGGTTTGTGGCAACCTTGTGTTGGGAAAGTCTATTGATACCATTTTCCCAATAACGTGCTCACTTTTGGTCTCTATGTCATATTTTGGTAATTCTCACAATATTTCAAACCTTTTCATTATTATATTCATTATGGTTGGTCTGTGACCAGTGGTCTTTGTGATCTTTGATGTTACTATTGTAACTGATTGGGGGTATCATGAACCACTCCCATATAAGATGGCAAACTTAATCAATAAATGTTTTGTGTGTTCTGACTGCTCCACTGACCTGCTGTTTCCCTGTCTTTCCCTCCCCTCGGGCCTCCTATTCCCAGTATTTCAACAATATTGATATTAGGCCAATTAATAGTTCTACAATGGTTTCTAAGCTTTTAAGTGAAAGGAAGAGTTGCATTGCATTTCTCACTTTAAATCAAAAGCTACAAATGATTAAGGTTAGTGAGGAATGTGTATCAAAAGCTGAGATAGGCCAAAAGCTAGGCCTTTTGTGCCAGACATCTAAGTTCTGAATGCAAAGAACAAGTTACTGAAGGAAATTAAAAGTACTACTCCAGTGAACTCATGAGTGATTGATTAAACCAGCTATGGCATTCCCTTAAGCCAGTGCCCAAACCAGAGGAAGACCCTCACTCTCTTTAATTCTATGAAGTCTGAGAGAGGTGAGGAAGCTGCCAAAGAAAAGTTTGAAGCTAGCAGAGGTTCGTTCATAAGGTTTGAGGAAAGAAGCCATCTCCATAACATAAAAGTACAAGGTGAAGCACCAAGTGCTGATGCAGAAGCTGCAACAAGTTATCAGAAGATCTAGCTAAGATAATTGATAACAGTGGCTACAGTAAACCACGGATTTTTGATGTAGATTAAACAGCTTTATCTTGAAAGAAGATGCCATTTAGAACTTTCAGAGCTATAGAGTAGACATCAGTGCCTGGTTTCAAAGCTGTGTAGGGCAGGCTGACTCTCTTGTTAGGGACTACTGCGGCTGGTGACTTTAAGTTGAAGCCAGTGTTCATGTACCATTCCAAACCTAGGGCCCTTAAGAATTATGCTAAATTGACTCTTCCTGTGCTCTATAAGTGAAACAAAAAAGCCTGGATGACAGCGTATCTGTTTACAGCATGGTATACTGAATATTTTAAGCCCACTGTTGAGACTTACTGCTCAGAAAAAATATATTTCTTTCACAATATTACTGCTCATGGACAATGCATGTGGTCACTTAAGAGCTCTGATCGAGATATACAGGAGATTAGCATTGTTCTCATGCCTGTTAACATAGTATCCATTTTGCAGCCTGTGGATCAAGGAGTAATTTTGACTTTCAAGTCTTATTATTTTAAAAAATACGTATCATAAGGCCATAGCTGCCATATATGATTATTCTTCTGATGGATCTGGGCAAAGTAAATTGAAACCTACTGGAAAGGATTTATCGTTTTAGATGCCATTCAGAACATTAGAGAATCATGGTAGGAGGTCAGAATATCAACATTAAATGGAAGAAGTTGATTCAAACCTTCACGGATAACTTTGAGGGGTTCAAGACTTTAGTAGAGGAAGTTACTGCAGATGTGATGGAAATAAGAGAACTAGAATTAGAAGTAGGGCCTAAGATGTGACTAAATTGCTGCAATTTCATGATAAAACTTCAATGGATGAGGAATTGTTTCTTATGGATGAGCAAAGAAAATAGTTTCTTCAGAGTCTACTGGTGAAGATGCCGTGAACATTGTTAAAATGATGACAAAGGATTTAAAATATTCTGTAAACTTAGTTGACAAAGCAGCAGCAAGGCTTGAGGGTATTGAGTTTAATTTTGAAAGAAGTTCTACTTTGGGTCAAATGCTATGAAACTGCATTGCATGCTACAGAGAGATCTTTAGTGAAAGGAAAAGTTAATTGATGCAGTAAACTTTATTGTCTTAAGAAATTGCCACGGCCACTTTAACCTTCAACAACTACCATTCTGATCAGTCAGTGGCCATCAACATTGAGCCAAGACCCTCCACCAGCAAAAAGATTATGCCTTGTTGAAGGCTCAGATGATTGTTAGCATTTTCTAGCAATAGAGTAATTTTAAAATTATGGTTCTCACTTTTTTTAGACATGATGCTGTTGCACGTTTAATAGACCACAGTATAGTGTAAATGCAACTTTTCTCTGCACTGGGAAACCAAAAATTTCCTGGGACTTTCTTTGTTGGGATACTTGTTTTGTTGTAGTGGTCTGAAACTGAACTTGCAATATCCTTGAGATATGCCTGTATTAAAATGTAACTATTCAGTTTCAATTTGAGCACCTACTATGTGCTAGGCACTGCCATATGTGTATATGTATTATCTTAAATCCTTGCAACAATCCTATAAAGTACGTTCTGTTATTATCCTATTTTTACAGCTAATGAGACAGTGGCTCAGATGGTTGTAATGTGCCCTGCTAGGAAGCAGGAGATCTGGAATTTGAACCCAGAAGGTCTGCCCCTAGAGTTCATGTTCTTGACTGCTATACTCTTCTGTCTCTCCAGGAAATAAAATTGGGCTCAAATCAGTTAGAAAAGACTCTTGAACATTTTATGTCATCAAAGAGTCTTACGACTACTCAGACCTGGGAGAGCTTTGTTGTGGAACAATGCTACACTTAACCTGTATATTTAGAGGGATTCACGTGGTAAAAGAATCACCAGCTGGTCAGTGAGTGAAACAATTCCAGCTCAGTGACCACACACTCCCTAGAGGCTAACACCGATAGCCTCTTTTGGCAGTCCCTCGGCCCTGTTCATCAGACATGATGGCCTGCTTTCTTTGGTACCTCCTGCCCCTCCCATTGCTCCTCCTCAGTTTTCTTTGCTGCTTTTCTAACTCTGCCCACTCCTTAAGGGCTGCAGCTTTCCAGGTTTTTGGCCGTTCCCATTCTTCCCTCTGACCTCAAGTTAGTGCATCTAGCCCTGAAACTTTGTCCTTCATTTCCTTGCATATGTCTCACAGATGAATATCTTCCTAATTTTCCTTAAGAACTTCAAAGCTGAATTCCCCCCATAGAGAGAGACTACTGTTAGTGGGTTAGTGGATGTCTTTCCAGTGCCAATATTACATCCCTCAAGCTGGCCTCCCCATCCCTCCCACCCTCACTGTGTCATATCCTTACCCAGTATTCCCACTCTTGCACCCCTGACTCTTCTGGCTGTCACCAAGGATCACTGCAGTTCTGCAGATCCTCCTCTAGTGGATGTCAGATCCATCTTGCTCTTTTAGTCTTCAACTCTATTCTCTGACCTCATAAAGTTTGGGTCATATCATGGTCACTTCTGTCTTCAGATACCTGTGGTGTATTTCTCATAATACCAAGATAAAGTCTAGACTCCAAAGCTAGGCTGTCATTCCTATGATATTCCACAGTTTTTATACACCCTGTACTCTAGCAAAGCAGGCCCACCTAACAGTCCTCCAGCAGTTCCACCCAACCATTTGCTTGTGTTTCTTCCTTTCTTTTTCCCAGACATTAACCCAAGCACACTCACAGATGCCTACATGATAACAATCGCCTTTGGGGGTCCAGATGCTGAAAAAGCCTGGTGTCATAGATGATGCTGGGAGTAGACAGTAATGAGGGCTCTTCCCTGGTCAGAGCCTGGCTGACTTGCTCACAGGCCCACATGTGGGCACATTCGAGTGATGAGCTGATCAGTTTTACTTGTCTGGGACTATGCCCAGGGACTATTTTAATCAGAAAATTTCCCTTTCTGTTGAAAATGGCCCATGAAATAAAAGGATTTAAAATGTTTTTCTTTCTTTTTTTTTTTTTTTGCGATGGAGTCTCACTCTGTCGCCCAGGCTGGAGTGCAGTGGTGCGATCTCAGCTCACTGCAACCCCCACCTCCTGGGTTCAAGCGATTCTTCTGCCTCAGCGTCCCGAGTAGCTGGGACTACAGGCACACGCCACCACACCTGGCTAATTTTTGTATTTTTAGTAGAGACGAGGTTTCACCATATTGGCCAGGCTGGTCTCAAACTCCTGACCTCGTGATCCTCCCACCTCGGCCTCCCAAAGTGCTGGGATTGCAGGCATGAGCCACCACTTCCGGCCTGAAATGTTTTCCTAAGGAGAAAAGTAATTTGAGAGCAGCTGTTTGGAGAAGAATCATGGCTTTATTTAATGAAGATCTGCATATTTGTATCAAATTGGAATCCCCACAATAGGAAATATTAAAAAAAATTGCAGGTAGGTTTACCCTACAATGGTAGGGCAGAACCAGCCCCCTCCTTTTTTGTTAACAAAGCTATGTCTCAAGTATACCGTATCAAAATTTTTGTGGTAATTCAGTGAAGTAATTTCTTAACACTGAAATACACTTTCATCTGTGACTGTGCAACCGGTATTTTTTAAATGGATTTTAAAAATAAATTTTTTAATGGATAGAAAAATAGTGTTTGTTGCTTTCCTCTACCCCCAAATTAAAAATCTCAACATCTGAGTGGAACTGCTTTTAGCATGGCACTAGGAGAGTCACAGGCTGTAACTTAAGAGTGATTGGCTTTAATTCAGGAAGCCCTGGGTTCAAGTTCTAGCTTGGCTACCTATTAGCAGTATGACTGTGGCTAAGTCCCTTGATTTGCTGTGGGTCTTAGATTCTATATTTTGAAATGAATGAATTTGGAGTTTGGAGGTAACTTCAAGTACTAAAAGCTCTATGAATCTGAAATGCAAATTATTTTCAGAAAACTAACTTTTCTGACCCATATAGTAGCTTCTCATTGGACATTGGGAATCACTTCCTCCATGGTCAAATGTCTGCATGAGTCTTCTTAGATTTAAATATTAATTCACCCAGATGAATTTAAATTATTCCAGGGCCATAAGTAAAAGTAACATGGGCCCAAGGGTTTGGGCAGCAGGAATGCTTAATGAAAAAGGAATTGTGTGAAATTAAGTATTTTAGTGAGTGAAATTGGCCCCCTGCCGCCACAGTGCCAAGGATAGTTCAGCGTTTTATATCCAAGCTGAGCCCCATGGCCTTTTGCCTCCAGCATGTCAATCACAGGAGTGTTTAGAGCCCAGGGCTCAAGGGGTAAGCATGCGCCCCCACCCTGCTCCCTACACTTGAGCCTCCTTCAGGCAAAATTTCCCTCACTCAGGGATGCCTGGAGCCTAGAGAACAAGGTCACTAATAATTAAGGAGGGGTGCCTGGCAGTGGAACAGGCTGGGAAGTGCCAGGAAGCCTCAAGGGAAATGAGTAGCTTCTTATAGGCAGGTTCTGAGTAATGTCCTGCAGGCTGTGGAGATGGAGCTTGACAGCTAAAAGGCTAAAAGGCAGTTCACTCCTATCCCTGCCTCAGATGATATTCAGAAGGGCTCCCCCTTCAAAGTCCTGTGAGACTTAAGTATGTACATTCTTTAAATGGTCCTGGCCCCCAGGGGCTACTGTCCCAGGGCATTGCATCTGCCTCTCTGTTCTCTCAGGCCAACTTCTCACCATTGGTCCCCAGTTTGAACTCGCAGGAGAGAGAATATGCCTAGTGGCTGTGAACCCACAAGTCCTAACATCAAAACACTATCTCAACAGGCAGTCCTTTGCAACAAATGTTGGCCTCAGACACATTCAGGGTTCATTTGTTTTTCAGGCAAGAGGATAATATTAATAGATCAAAAATGTTCTAACAAAGCTCCTCCTCTTCATCCTCCTCTTCTTTTCTAATATAGTAGCCCCCAATTATTGAGTACCTTCTAGGTGCCAGGCCCTTTGTAAGTACTTAATAAATGCTAAGTCTTCATAATAGTCTGATAGATAGCTACTATAATTATCCCCACTTTACAGATGAAGAAACTCACCTATGAAGGTGGCAAGTAAGTTGTCCAAAGCCACACAGGCAGCCCAGGAGCCTTGTTGTCCACTGTGCTGTCTCCTGCCATGCCCTCCACTGGGAACAAGCTTACTCTCACTGGTTAGGAACTCATTCACCCACTTAACAGACATTGTTGAGCTCCACCTTTGTGCCAGCCACCATTAAGAGAGGCAAAGCCACCAAAGAGAAAGGGACACACTCCCAAGCTCTTCTCCTATTTAGCATTTTAGACGTATTTTACTACCATACCAGGCATTTACTCCTAGATGGAGAAATCTCATGCGTTATGGAGATGCTTGCTAGCTTCCAAGCTTCTGACCGCTTTCTGGGAACTACTAGCATTATTACACAGTTCTCAGATGAACATCTCTAGTGCTATAATCTCTAGTCAAAAAACTTATTATAAGCTTGTTATTCTTGCATCTACCCCAGAATCACTGCTTATAATGCAAGCAACAAAGACAGATTCCTATGGTATGTGTGGATGTTAGAGATTCTCCAGGCTGGAAGGAGCAATGGTCACTGGTTCATTTAGTCTTTTCCTCATCTGATGGCTCTCCAGGATATATATGTCTGCCAGCAAATTTGTCCCTCCTTCCTCAGCCTTGCTCCTCACTTGGCTTCCTTGATATTATGTTCTCCTGGAGTTTCTTTGCCTCTCTGGCTCTGTCTACTTAGTCTCCTTGTGGCTTTCACTTTCTCTGCCGATACCTTAAATATCCTGGAATGATGATCTAGAATTTTCTCAAAATTCTGCTGAGAACTGGGCAAAGTATGTGGAGGAAAGGAAGAAGGTATTTCCAGTTGGGTTTGGCCTTCCTATAGAACTGTAAATCAAAAGAGGAACAACCTACATGCCCCATAGGATGAGGGGATTGGGAAGTAAGTTGTTGTCAACACAAGTGGCCATTGAAAGAGGTGATTGGGAAAACCAGATGGCCATGTGGAGAGAGGGCTACAGTTAAACAGAAGATGAAAGGAGTCAGCTACAAATCTATGTGATTACAGAAATATCAGTATTAATTGAGACAGGCAGGAAACAAAATAGAGCATATAGTATTGTCAGAGGCGTTAATGGTTATGCAGAGAAACAAAAAAGAGGGACTAGGAGGACAGTAGGGGTGGGAGGACTTGCAAATTTAAATAGCTTGGGTTGAAAGGCCTCACTCTGCGGAGGATACTGTTGAGTAAAGACCTGAGGAGGTGAGGGAGTGAGCCATGTAGATCCATGCAGGAAGAACTCTCCAGGCAGAGGGGACAGCCAGGGCAAGTGTTCTTAGGCAGAAGCAGTGCAAGGCAGAGAGCCTAGGGGGCTGAAACAGAGTGAGTGAGGTGGAAAGCGGTGGAAGAGAAGGTCATAGAGATGGAGTGGAGAGGTGAGAGCATCATAGGCCACTATAATGACACTGGCTGTCATTCTGAGGGAAATGGGAAGCCACTGGAGTCTTGATGCAAACAATGAGAAGACTCAATTACGTTTTAAATGGATCACTCTAGCTCCTGCATTGAGAACAGACTGAGTCATGGGGGTGGGAGGGGCAGCAGCAAGGAGACCTGGACAAGGGTCATTCAGCCCTTTGTGGCCAAACTCTCCATTCCTGAAAGTACTTTGGACTTGTTAGGGTCCTGAGGTTTGGTTCAACTCTAGAGTTGCTTCTGATAAAGAGGGAGTAATGGTTTGGGTGTCTTTATAATCAGTCTGTTCAAAGTACTTCATTTATGAGTATGGTATGTCATGGGAGAAAAGAACTGTGCTATTTTGTTTCTAGCTGATACGAGGCCTTCTTGGAGGTGCCTAGGAGCAGAATTCCAAGTCTTCATCAGCAGGGGCCTGATGCTACCTCATACCTCTCAACATCTGAGCAGAGAGTGAATCACATGCTGGATCTCAGGGTGCACCAGCACAAAGACCCTTCTCATAAACACAGTGCTCAAATCTATCTCTCAGTTATTACTATTTTTATAATAATTAAAGAGCTCCAGATGCTATTTAGAACAAGATAATGTTAATTCTATTTATAGCTGCTTCCCTAGTACCTGACACGGTGCCTGATGTATAATATAGTGCCTAATAACTAGAAAATATTTATTGAGTAAAAAATTGAGAAAATAGAAAATATCGGAAAATAACTTCTACATGTTCCCGCTACTGCATCTCCCAGTCCACCTGCACTGTGCTGTCAACTCCACCTTTTCTCCCGTTACAATGAGTGAAGTGTTCACACTCCTGCTAAGGCCAAGTCCTCTGCTTCCACACTAAATCCCATTCCCTGTTGCCTACTCAGGTACTTTGCTTCCAAAGCTGATTGTCATGTCTCTGGCCTCATCAGCAGCATTCGACATTGTCATCACTCCCTGGTTCTTGCCACAGATACTTTGGCGTCTGGGCCAGCACTCTCTTGGTTCTTCTCTTACTTTAGCCTTCTTTGCTGGATATTTCTCATCTTCCCATGCTTTAAACATTGTTGTGCTCTGGGGCTTGGTCCTCAGTTCTCTGCCCACATTCATAGTTACAATGATGTTATATAATTTAAATGCATTGATATGTCCAAATTTATGTTTTCAGCCTGTCTCCCCTGTGAACTTCAGGCATGTATATTCAGTTGCTACTTGGCATTTCCACATGAATGTCTAAATATGTGTCTCAAACTAGAGTCTTGGTTTCCATCTCTATTCCCCCTGCAAACTGCTCCACCTTGGGTCTTTCCCATCTTAGTAAATGGCTTTCTAATATGCCAGTGCTTGAACTAAACACCTGGAATTGTTCTTGACTGCTCTCTTTCTCTCACATCCCATATACAATCCAATTGTAAGTGTTATTGGTTTTACCTTCAAAATGTAATCACAATCTGCCACCTCCTCAAACCAGCCATTTCCTTCCTGTCTAAATTACTGCAGTGGCCTCCTAATTGGTCTCCTTACTTCTGCTCGTATCCCACAATCATCTATTCTCTACATAGCAGTCAGTGATCCTTTAAAAACTGAAGTCGTATGATGTCACTTTTGTGCTGAAAACTCTCCAAAGGCTGCCTCCTCTGACTTCATCTCTATTTCTCTTCTCCTCATTCATCTACATCAGCCACACTAGTCTCTTTGCTGTTCCTTGAACACGTCCAGCTTGCTCCTGAATCCAGCTTTAACACATACTGTTCCTTCTGCCTGGAATGCTTTTCACCTTATCAGAGTAGAGGGATGAGAGGGCATGCTCTTACCTGCTCAACTACTCTGATAAGGTGAAATTTGAACAGTGATTTGAAGGAGGAGGGGAAGCGAGTCTTGTGGATATTTATTCAACTTACGTCTCTCAATGAAAGAAATTTGGTTATTGGCTGGATATTTGAAGATACTAAGAAATTATTAATTTTCTTTTAGGCTTGATAATGTTTTTCTGATTCTCTTTTAGGAAAAGTGTTCTGATTTCTGTTACTAGCCAGGATGGAGTAACAAACAGGTTAAAAAACAACAAAACAAAAGCAAACATAAATAATATTTTTAGGCATTGGAAATAGGCAGCACGGGACTGTGATCCCTAAGTAAAGGGAAACAAGTGAGGCAAACCATATGACCACCATGGCTTGCTTTCTGGAGGCACATTCCAGTCTGTAGTGCACGGAGAGGGATCCCAGAAGCATAGCAGCAGTCTCACTGAGTTGAAGAGACAGAATGGGGTTTTGGAAGGCTGAGGTGATTAGATGTTGTGCAGCAGAGCTCCAGAGAGAAGGGTACTATGCAAAAACAAGCAAGCAAAGAAACAAACAAACCAAAACTAAACAAACAAAAGACACCAGAAATTTAAATAGGGGTTCTTTTGAATGTTTGTTGAATACCAAGTCATGAATTCATAGAGTGAAACTCCACAAACAACTGCCAAGGAGCTAAAAGCCGAACCGTTTTCAGAGCTTACCCAGAGTGGGGAGATATTCGAGCTCTGATCATCCAGATTTGACACTCCTTGTTGATTACCCAGGGCATTCAATAGAGACCCCAGAAGTGTGTCTCTATAGTACAAAGATAAACAATCTTTATAGTAAGCCTTCTCCAGATCCACTGTGAGAAAGCTTTACATGGATCAAACTCATCACAAGTGGCATAACAGCCTGTCAGAATAATGCCAAAAACTTTGAAGGAAGACAAAATCCAGAGGCTCACAACTGTAACATGCGGAGTGCCCATCATTCAACCAAAAAATTACCAAACATTTCAAGATGCAGGAAAAGGTCATCCATAATTAGAAGCAAGATTAGTCAATAGAAATCAACCCAGGAATGACAGAAATGATGGAGTTAGGAGTCAAGACTTCAAAACAGTTATTGTAAATGTGTCCAAGGATTTAAAGGAAAACACAAAAATGATGAGGAAGGAAATGGGAGATATAAAAGAGAACCAAATAAGATTTTAAGAATTGAATAATATAATATCTGAAATGAAAAACTCACTGATTGAAATTAAAATCACAAAAACCACAGGAAAAAATATCAGCGACTGTGAAGCACAGAAAGAAGAAAGACTGATAAAAGGAAAAAGACATGTTACATTTCAGTGATATACACAAAAATATTTACAGAATAAATTTACAATAGCTGGGGTTTGTTTCAAAATAATTCAAGGTTAGAGAGAAGGGAGGTGGGGGAAGTATAGATGGAGCAAAGATTGGCCATGAATTGCTAACTGTTGAACATGAGAGATAGGTCCATGGAATTCATTATGCTCTTCTCTTGATTTTTTGCATTTCCTTAAAATTATTTGTGATAAAAAATTTGAAAACATTCTCTAGGAAAGAAAAAGTAATTAGAATTTTCCTTCTGGAAAGAGGCCAATGAGAAATAAGTCCTTCCCTCTACAACACTTCTGATTTAACAGTCTTGAATTCTGCTCTGAGGGTCAGAAGCAGGGACTAAGCTATACAAGTTGGGGTTCCTATAGCTAGAGACACATCCCTTATATTGGAATAATGCTCTGACACCCAGGAAGAGAAATATGAGGACTCAGGAGGAAGTCCTCATTCAAGAGGTTCCATTAATAGCAGCCACACCTGTTCAAGGGAAAGTATGGTTGCATTTACCAGAGTCTTCTACCTGGGGTCCAAGTGGGAAAATGGGGTAGGTGGGTGATTGGTGCTGTAAATACTTTAAATTTTATTCATAAATCCAACATGTGAGTTTTTTCTAAGTGCCTAGTGTTAAAATGCTCAATTTAGTTAAACAATGGCGTATGTACTAGGGAGAACTGGGATAGATTCTGAATTGTGAAGTTAAGACCACAGAACTCTGTAACAAACTTTAATGTCCCTTCCCAACTTTAGTGCCAGTGACTGTACTAAATGAGCCTTTGGTCACAGGGTTGCTGTTTTTTTTTTTGTTTGTTTTCTTTTTTAGACAGAGTCTTGCTCTGTCGCCCAGGCTGGAGTGCGGTGGTGCAATGTCCGCTCATCGAAACCTCTGCCTTCTGGGTTCAAGCGATACTCCTGCCTTAGCCTCCTGAGTAGCTGGGATTACAGGCGCACACCACCATGCCTGGCTAAATTTTGTATTTTTAGTAGAGGCAGGGTTTCACCATGTTGATCAGGCTGGTCTCAAATTCCTGACCTCGTGATCCACCCCCTTCGGCCTTCCAAAGTGCTGGGTTTACAGGTGTGAGCCACTGTGCCTGGCCGGGTTGCTGGTTTTATAAAGTCCCTGGAAAGCTTGGTGGGTTGTCCTTCCTATACCCTTTGGATAAAACCATTCATCTCATCTTCCTTTGCCTATTTAGAGATCGAATTTAGAGAGCATTTTTCCAATTGGTCTCAGCTTAGGCATCCATAGGATGTTCTCTAGTGGTTCTACTCTTGTAGCACTCTTGGGCTATATTATTTAATTAGCACAGGCCATATGTTAGGTTACCTTTTCAAGTATTTGTTCTACTGTGATTTTGTTGATTTGACCCGAATACATTTTGACTCATTGTTTGTGAATATAAACATAATGAAAATTATACCAATATTAAAATTTTTGTTCAGAAAGCAAAATCTAAGGTGAATACCATTAAGCCAATTGAATTATTTGATCAAGTCTTGATACTGTACTAATTTTTTGTCTTTTTTATCTTCTGTTTTTCTTGTTTTACTGAAAATATTCCCATCAAATTGACATATTTTTGATGTAAATCTTAAAATTTATTGATAAGGTTTATAAACAGAGTCACTGATTTTAGTTTTTGCAATTTTTAATTTTTTCCTACTAAGACTGATTTTTTTTTAACCAACCAGTTTTGTAGTTTTCAGTGTCGGAAAAATCTATAACACATTTTGCCACGTTCAATTTTAGTCACTGCCAGTTTTATTTTGTTCTGATTATTCCTTCTAGTAATGGTTCTCATAAATTGGGTAAAAGACAGCCTTTCTTAGTTAATCAATGAGGAAATTGGGAACAATTTCCTTGGCAGCTCCAGTGGCAGACTGTGGCAGCATGAAATACCACTACAAGAGGAATTTCATAGCCTTTTAGTACACCCACTTACACAAATAACAAGAAAATGTTACTCCCGTGAATTTTTAGATGTATATTTATTATCACAATTCTACTATGAATATGAATATTTAGTGATAACAGAAATATCTTTCAAGCTATGAAATTTTGTGCCCTTTTTTAGAATCTGAACTTGTTTTCTTAAGGCTTCCAGTAGACTATATTTAAATGATCAAAATAATATGTTTCCCCATGAAACTACTTTCAATACATGTATAATGAATGTTCAATATATGTACTTAAAAAATTTCTGTCCCCCGCCGCCCCAAACATTTCCTTTCAAAATTGGAATTTGTATACAGGTCTGTGTATCTTAAAGACAGAAGTTGACTCTGACTTTCTTGTTGGTCATCCACTCACCATTTTGTCTATCAGGAGTACACTGAAGAGGAGAGGGAGAAATTCAGAAATCAGAGTTTAATAATGTCCTACTATAATTAGCAAGGAGAGAATAAAAATAGAGTGACTTGCTTACCTAAGACCCACTTCATAATGAGCATTTCTGTCCAGGAGAACTGTGTGGTTTTCACTCTGAAGATTTGTTTTGGGTAGTCTGTGAAGGTTTCGTTTGGCAGGGTTTTAACACCTTCAAATCGGTCAGATGCATTCACAACTAATAATCCCAAGAAGATTGTAAAAGAAACTGCATGAGCTACAAACTTCATGAAAGGGCTCCTCAGGGTTCGTCCTAGCTGGAAAGAAAATGTGTTCAAGACATGTTAAACTGTCTCTAGGTGGATGTAGGTCTTTCTTTATAACATCGCTTTCACCAAAGTTTAACCAGAGAATCCTTCATCTTGGACAGAAACTGCTAACTGAACCCATACAACATTTTTTCTTGAACTATTATGTGAGATGCTGCTTGACCAAACTTATTTGGTCAATATTTTCCTATTTAGAAGACTTAGTGGGAGGGCTAAGAGAAATTGATAGAACACACCTGACATAATCATCATGCTACATCTGATTGCACTGATACCTCCAACTGCATGGATATGAAAAAATAATGTCTGCATAAAGTTCACAATTTTAAAAAATGCACTTTGAGTGCTCGGTTTTTGTTTAATCTACTCACTTGGGCTTCATTCTAAGGGTATTTGTTCTCAACCTTTCTTGTATGTTGATACATTTATTTAAAGCTATACATTTCTCACTAGGTACTGCTTTAGCTGTATTCTCCTAAATTTTCACTTGTAGCATTTTCATTGACATTCTGTTATAAATATTTTATAAATTATATTGTGATTTCATTTTTAACTCAAGGATTATTTCATTTCCAGACATAGAGGACTTTTTTTCTCCCTGCTTTAAAAAATTTGAATTTTATTGCAGCATCTTTATAGAACATAGCCTCTATGATGGTATTCTAAAATTCATTGAGGTTTTCCTTTTGGCCTAGTGCCTGAAATGTCACAAGCTGGAAATGGTCCAAAAGATGCCCTATTAGGAGCAAATACTAGTCACATCTTCTTTATCTCATGGCACCCCATCCAAAGGCCACTTGGATCTTTGGGATCGAATTGAGGGCTGCACGTTGAGTACTTGCCAACCTCCTGTTAATGAACTCAGTTGGGACTCTTCCAGCTCATTGCCCTCATCTAAGCACCAAGCCCTACCCCTCATCCAGGTACAATAATAAGGCAAGAACAAAGAGGAACATCTTTTCTGAAGCTCAGTTCCTTTTCCAAGGTAGATATTCAATTATAACCAGTGACTGATTACTTGACATTCACATTCTGCCTCATTCAGGAGTCCTAGAGTGAAATGTTACCCAGGAGATAGACTGTTGGTTCAACAGAAGATCAATTACAGGGCCTTCTCTAAGTAGAATTTTCCTAGTCACATATGTTCAGCACAACATTTATAAATCAGATGGTTTGATAATGTTCTTTTAATGTGCTTCAGTATGTTAATCATCCACTTTAATTACTGTAGTTATTAGCATAACATTATTATGATTCTGATGCTATAGAACCCATTTATTAAAATAAAGTATTAGTTTTTATCTTTTTTAAAAATCTAGGTTTTAAAAAATATCCAAGCATTAGGAGTCCCTGCTTGTGTTAGAATTCATCTGCATATTGTCATATGACACTAGGAATAACTTCAGAAATATAAAGAGATGTTTATCTGACAATAGGCCCACAAATATTTTACAATAACATTTCTGTATAATGTTTATTACTTACAAAAATAGGGACTGTAGATTATTTTTGGCAATAGACAGATGTGCTAGTTATAGAATGCAGTGGCATTCTATAGGGCACTGAAGGTGATAGAGATAGAGATAAAATGTAAGGACAAATAAAACATTTTTATATAAATTCAGTAAAAAACTGAATTAAACCATGTCTCTTTTTTATTTATATGATATTAAATAGCTAGTTTGAAGTTTTTGACATTTTAGCAAATGGTGTTAGCATCTTGGAGCCCCATTTCCCAACCAGGACCTTGGGATATTTTGGCATATCCAGGAGACAGCCTTAGGTAGTCATCACATTGTTTCTTGTCACTGTGTCCTGACTGAGCTGGTGATGAGAGGTGATGGGAGATGGAGAATGACTGCAGGGAGGAGAATAGATGAGGAGAGGGGAGACTGAAGAGAGGGCAAGGGATACCAGGTCTTGTGTATCCCAGCAAGGTTTCAAGAATGTTAGAAAAAGCTGGGGAACTCTGAGATAGACACAGCTCTTAAGGGGTCCATTTTCCCCATCCTTTATCTGTGGTCTCTACCTAATATCTTCAGTGATAATCTGGATGAGGATATGGGGTATACCTCTCCAACTTCTCACCCAGGTGAGGCACCTGATTCCTGGAATTTGTATGTAGCTGCACCCAAGCTGGCTTTGAGTTTCCCCAGAAGACCTGGTTTAAGGAATTTAATATTCGTTTTGTTACCTCCTTCAAGCTGTTATCTTCTAGAAGAAGATGAATCTGCAAAACTTATTATATTTACTATAAACCATAATAAAAAGTCCTGTTAATGCCTTTTGGTGATTTGATGGAAAGTTACCCTGGGCTCAGTTCCCACTTGATCTAGGTCACAGGGAGGAAAAGTGAGGTTGGGAATTGATATTCTTTTCCTATACTTCTGGGTTTGAATGCATCTTTTTATCTGGTAAAACTTTGATAAAGGTCAAATGAGATCCAGTCATTTCAATGGTTTCCTTTTTCTTTATTTGTAAAATTCCCTATTTGACTCACACAGATAATTTTTGAAGTAAATTACCTTTGGGGAAAATTTCCTCCATTTGCAAGGCCATCAGATGAGCCAAAAGAAAGGAGAAAAGTCAACCAATATATGCTAGCAGCTCTTAGCTGCAGAATCGTTAAAGCTGGGTCAGGTATCAGCGTTAGGTGTAAAAAGAGATGAAGATGTGGGCCTTAGCCTGCTGTGCCTGGAGTGCAGAACTGAGAAGCCCAAAAAATGTGGGCTAAAGCAGTTCAGTCATTACTAGGACCTTATGAGCTGAGAACACATCAGGAAATTAAAGCTTGTAGAACTGAAGTCTCTGGCTCACCCGAAGCTTCCTGGCCACTATTCTTTGGCTCTGAGAAATATATGAATGTCAAAGCAACTGAAGAGTGCCCCTGAATTGGCTCCAAGAAAATTGCCTTCATGGACCTTTGGGGTGGGCACCTGCGTTTACTGGTCAGCACCAACTCTGTGTTCCATGCCACTGGGCTCTTAGCCCCCACAAGTGTAAGCACCTAAGCGGTACCTGGATGTGTGAGTCCCCACATCCCAGAAATATAGCCCTGTGGCTGTGATTGTGGTAGATCACTCAGAAAAGGTTTCCAGCATCTTCCTAATCTTTTATGACAGAGTCTCCTTCGCCAAATGCCACTCTCGCTTTCCACTGGGTGCCATGGTCTTAAGCAAGGGCCTGGTTTACAAGTTAGAAACTGAGTGAAAGTAAACTTGGATTAATCATTCCCAAAAGAATCATGCACAGCTTCGGGGTTGGGTGATTCTCAAATGTTAGCGAGATCCTGGTTAAATTAGAGGCAGATCCTCAAGATGCTCCCCCTGAAACTCTTATTCAAAATGTCTAACATAGGGCTCAGGATTTTTCCCTTTTATGATGGGGTGGGATAGTGGTGGTGTTACTGGGTGCCTGTAATCAGTGTTCTTACATTACAATGTCAATCTACACATTGTAACGACTTGATATTTCTCCACACATTTCAATGTGAATCCACACTTTGTCCTGGGGGCTGAAGAGGGATTTACAAAGCAGGACTCCGATGAAAGAAAAGGAAGGGACAGAGTTTGTCATCTGGTTGTTTTGACTTCTTTCTAAAAAAGTCCTACCAACTTTTAAGATCTAAATCAAGTCCATTTCAAGGTCGGTTAGTCAGCAGCTAAGATGTTTATGTTAGGCGTTGAAGGTTGTAATGGTGCTCGTGTAACTAGAGGGATGTGTGTGTGCGCGCACACGTGGGCGGTGCATTTGCATGCAGCCATTAAGTGCAGATCTCTGGAGCCAGAGACTCTAGGTTTAAACCACAGCTTCCTATATTTTTTTAAAAACAAGTTATTTAATCCCTTAGTGTTTCAGTTTCTTCTTTTATAAAATGGGGATAAAAATAGTGCCAACTGCATAGGGTCAATGTAAGCAATGCATTATTTAATACACACAACGCAGTTAGAACAGTGCCTGGTGTATGGGAAGTACTCAATATATGGCACTGGAGGGTCTCAGGGCATTCTCCTAAGTGGAATCTTAAAATAAACTTCACACAAAGGTGGACCCAAACAGAGTCCTTATGTCTTTATGCCACGAGCCTGTTCGGGATATCTCTTATAGACAGCCTGTTGTGCTATCTATATGCAACACGATGCTGGGCACTGGAGGTGAAAGAGATAAAACAAGCTGTAAGAGTTGGATCTTCCCTTCAAAGTTGCTGATTTTCTAGTGTGGAGAGACACAGGCTAAAAAGTGTGATAGGAAATAGATGGAGAGATGGGGAGAAATGTTGCAGGGCTCAGCCTGGGCTAAGTCTGGGCTAAGTCTGAAAGTGATCAGCTTCCGGCACTCTTTAATCCTATCTCAGCAGGGTGACAGGTGCTGGACTAGCCTTTTGGACTTGGGAACAGAAGCATTGGTGACATAAGAGCACCGATGCTGTATTTCCTGACACAAATTTCCTCTCCATGGCTATGCTTCAAAAATTGTGTTGTGATTTTCTTTAATCGAGTGTAGCTCTCTGGTAGAGATAAATGTGGAGAAAAAGAGGTCTCTGGAGGTGCTCTCCTCTCCTGGTTGGCCCCTGAACCACATGGTTTGAGGACCCCTTTCAAGCCATTTCAGCTTTGGTAAGGCAAAGCAGAGATCTTTCAAAGCTGCCCACTCACTCACGCCTTCCTTACTAGATATTCATGTTTGGGATGGTGAAGAGGGGGTACCAACTTTATATTTCTCCGAGCAAGGGTTATGGCAGTAAGGACTGATAGATTGCACACTACAAAGATATAAGGTTGGATTCTAAAGTTGTTTACAGTTCCTCCTGCCTGAGTCCTGGGGTAAATTTTGAAGATAATTGGAACAGTTATAGTTAACAGGTAATAGACAAGGTCAGCTTCTCCTTCCCTGTTATAATTAAAACTGGTGCAGTTCCTCAGCATTTTCATGATGCTGGCTTCTGCCACATCATATAGAGACACTGTTTGAACCTTTGAAGATGACTGTTATTTATTCTTTTGGCTCTGAGATCTTAACAGGCAAACAATCTAACTTACACATCAGAATAGGATAGCAAAGGATGGAAACAGCTTAGGCAGCTATAAAGACCCTTTGACATTGGAGTCCTTGTTGAGAGAATAAAGAACTCTTTAGGCAAACAGAGACCTAACTGCTGTGCATCCATAGGGATTAGAATTCACTGGTCTCCCAGTGGGCTGCCTGAGCTCAACTAAGTTGGTGATGACAATGAGAAATGATAAACAGAATCACTGTTCTTTCTCTTGACCCAGATGAACCTGTCCCATGCTCCAGGCCTGCATTTATCATTATACGTAGCCATCTGTGACTTGGTTATCCTCTTCAACCAACATATTAGTAAGCTGAACTTCTGTTGACACCTTTCACCTTGTAATTTCCTTATTTAACTGTCTTTCTTAGGGACCCTCAGAAACAATATAAAAATAGAATTGACAGCCTTGATAATTCAATAGGAAAGAAATGATGCAGTCATTATGGCTGGCTAATCAAGTAATTTTGATGCTCCTAATAGTCTCTAAATTAGGGCAACAACTATTAGGAAGTAAATGCACCATTGGGTTGGAAACAGAAATCTCAACATTTACTAGACATTGATGGGCATTAGTTAGTTGACGAAGTTTGCAAGTGACATTTTATGAATACATTTATAAAATAATATCAAGGTCTAAGTTTTCAGAAAGAGGTGTAATAATGTCATTAGAATGAGATCTCTGAAATGACATTGTCCTTTTCCTAGAATTACAGATATAGACAGATGTAAAGTCAGTGACCCCTCAGGAGGAGGGCTGCCAGCCCATTAACAGACTTCGCCATTGCCCTCCTTTTGGGAAGACATGGTTTTTCTGGGCATCAGGAACCCTTAGAGGGGCTGGTTTTGTCACATGGCAGATGTGACCTCTCTGTAATTCCCAGTAATATCTCTGCCAAAGTTGAAAAGATTTCTTTCTAAATGGTGAAAGGAAAGACTAAAAATATCTTGACTGTTTTATCTGTCCTTTGGCTGCCTCAGAGCAAGTTCAACAGCTCTTTAATGAGGGAATCTTTGCTTGTAATGAGCAGTGCCACCAAGAGTCATCTCATGCCACAGACTGAGTTATCGACATGCCCTCTACTGCACTGAGCTCAGACTTGGAATCTAGAAAGTCACAGAAGTGACAAGTGGCTTAATGATCAGTTCATGTCTATCTTGAGTTTCTTTTTTCTTTTTTTAGTCTTAATGGAACTTCTGGGGGCACCAAATGTCAATCACATGAGTATCTAAACAGAGGTGAGGAAACCCCTGTTATGGACCAAACTTCCCTGCAACTGTTTCCTCCAGAGTGTTCCAGAAAACTGCCATAGGTCTGACCCCTACATCCCAGGTGCTATTACCTTCCTGGATTTACTAGGCCCAAGAAATTCTAGAAATCCCTCTCTGCAACCACACACTTTTTAATGGGATCACATCTGCATATGTACCAAGATTCCTCTCAGAGCTACCAGAAATCTAAACAATTTAGTCAGCAACTACTCTTTCTGAGTCTTTTCCCAGGCCACTAGGCACTCAGAGGCAAGCCAGTTTGCTCCTGTTGGCAAGTCCCAGGTTCCTGGAAGCTGTCACATTTAGCTTTGCAGCAAAAGTGAGGATTGGCAGCGCTTTCTCCACAAAGTTGCTGTTATTTTAATGATCGAACAGCCTAGAATTTGTTCTGGGGCTCAGAGAAAGTGAAGTTAAGTGTCCCTACTCACTGGGGCTCTGGGTGAAGGCAACTTACAGTACAGACTGTGCCTAAAACCCATGACCAGCTTCAAGCCAGCTTTAAATCTGGTTAGTTTTTTCACCCACTGTGTTTTTTCAGCTCATAATGAAGGACAGAAAAAAATTGCCTTTACCTACATATATATTACTTGGGAAATTCTGATCTGAAAGTGCCTGGCATGATAAACTGCCATAGAAGCAAAATCCTCAATAGATGTAAGGTTGAATACTGTAAAAGTTCAGTAAGAGGGCTTCCATTCTTAATACTACTCTCCGGAAGAAGGATTTGGGGACTTGACCTCTCTCTGTGACCCTGTACCTACTGTGAGGCAGTCAGTTCATTGACTGTCTGGTTAGGTGGCCTCACCAGCAGCCCCGAAGTCTCGCAGCTGTCATTCTGGTATGAGTTACTCCTAAGTGGAGTTGACAAGAGGGTTGGTTCACTGGTGACACTTTTATTAACCACATTACCTGATCAAATTGCCTATGGAACTAATCTCCCTGTAGTCATATTTCTCCTACTGAATGTTGATTACCTAAGCTTAATTCCTTTTTAAATGTATCACTAGGTAAATGCAGCTTTGGAACCTTTAGTGACAATCTTAAACCCATGAAACATACTTCAAAATTTCTGCATGGTTTGGTCTTAAAAGCACTGACTCTTCCCCGAAGCTGGAGTGCTGTTACTTTCTACGGCTTTGACTCATGTGACTGGGATGTGGGGATGGTGGAGCCGCTAGTAGGGCAGCTTGGCACCTGCAGTTTCCACTCCTTCCATCACTGGTGGGCACTGGACACTCCCCCTCAGGGAAATAACACTCCTTTTGAGCTCTTCTTCTCTTTCCTTTGCCTTTTTCCTTCCTGCAACCTAATTAGCTGCCCATGTGAGCCAGAACCTCATCGAAGGGGCCAGGAAAACTAGGAAGATGTTGCAATGTGTCTGCAGTGCCCCAGCATGAGCTGTGTTTGACTCCCAGCCTACTAGTTATTTCTCTTTTCTGGACCTACTTCATAAAGCATACATGTCATAATGTAATTGAGGCTGTGAAATGAGATATTCCATGAAAAGGGCTTAGAGAAGAGAAACTACTCAAATGTTAGCTATTACTATTACCATGATTCTAATTATTATACTGTGGGTTTGGAGGACATGCTTAGGACATTGCATAATTAGAAGAAGAAAAGTGTCTTTATTCTCAATTCTGTTACTGATCTTTTCAAATTATGCCTCTCGTGTTTAAAATTTTATTGCTCCTCTCTCTCTTTGAAAAAAAAAAGATTTAAAAAAGCACGTCTTAACATTTTTCCTTTTATGTGGTTTCCTACTTTCACCGGGTATCTCAGGAATATTTTCTTTAAATATGGGAAAAAATCAGCTGCTAATTTGAACAAAATGGATTTCAGATCATGCTAAGAAGAGAGAAGAAATAACCGCAAACGACATGCACCTTAAGCAGTCTGTACCTTGCTGCACGGAGCAATCCAATAGGCTATGGCGAGAAAAGGGAGGCCTATGGAGACTCCAAAGACAGCCAGGAATTTCACAGCGATAGACTGTTGACGTAAGCCTGAGAGATTTTCATACCACATGGTAAGCAATTGCTGCTGACAGTTAGGATGAGCAACGAACTGTAAAAACAAAACAAAAACAAAAACAAAACGCAAACAGGAAAATGGCATTGATAGCACTTGAACAGTATACAACCTAGGAGTAGCTGGGGGCTGAAATGCTCCACCTGGGGGGTGGTTGAGGAACCTGCAGTGGGTGGGGATGAGGCGTAGGAAGGGGGCCTTCTGACTTGGGGATGCTAAGGAACTTTGTGCTGTGGCCAGAGTCCTTGCAAGACTGGCTGAATTCACACTTTGCAAACTGGGCCTAGAAAAGTCTAAGGCACAGAAAATGGAAGTCAGCTTTTCGGTACATGCTTGTCTTCAATTCAGGCTGTTCAGCTGATCAAGGGAGACTTATCTCTGGGCAGAGTTCACTTGGGAAGGAACACAGAGGAATGGATGGAGCATGAATGGGGTTTTGGAGTCAGACATGGGTGTGAATTTTGTTCTACCCCCTACTAGTTGGGTGACCTTGGGACAGTTACTTAACCTCTCTGAGCTTTAATATTCTTATCTGCAAAACAGAGCTTATCACATTGTCTTGGAGGATTAAATGACATTGTAAAAAAAAAAAAAATCCCCTCTCTTTACCTATGTAGTCTAAGGAAAAATGCTTACAGTGTTTCCAGAGGATGTGTTAAAACTCCTCAATATTTTCTCACTGGATCCCAGTGGTGTTGGGCTTGAATCCAGTTTTTTTGTGGCGTGATGGAGCACCACCACACTGGATCCTCCACGGAGTAGCTTCCTTCTGGGACATCACACACCCTTCTTACCACTACTTCTCTCTCTTGGAACTGTTCTGCCCTAATGCTTAGGTTACAAGACAGACCTCTTGTGGCCATTTTCTATTGTGTGGCCATGTCCTGCCCTCACCCCTGGATTCAGCTTATTGGACTAGGAGTGGAACCCTGACCTAAACTGGGCCTATCAGATTTTCTTTCCTGCGTGTTTAGGACTATGTTGAGAGAGGCAGTCTATTTATTTAGTAGAGAGTTAATATGTAACCTTGGACAATCTGGGTAGCTATCTTCCACTTTATGGACTAAGTAGCAAAACAAGTCTGTTGAAAGCAGAAAGAGAATGGTGTGCAGAAAGAGGCTGAGCTAGTGTTTGACCTCTTTAGGGCCCAGCTCCACTCTACCCATGTGGTCCATGAGACACTTTTATATTCATAAACAAAATGTTTTGTTTTTTGCTTGATCCAGCATATTGGCTTTAGTTGTTGCTACCAGAACATCCCTTTTCTGCAAATAGTAGTTGCTGCTTGGCCATTTTTTAGTTGACTCAGGGTCAACTGGAAACTGGTAATAGGCAATATTTAAGCAAAATTTATGGGAATAAAGTTTACATTTGAAAAAAAATATACTCGTTAGCTTATTTTTTTCCCCATGACAGGAGGAAGCCATTGTTTGCTTTTGACAGGTCTGCCCTTTGGCCCCACTCAGGATACCCATGTGCTTCCAGAGCATGGCTGGACACTATGGACTAGAGAAGATAGACTGGGCATTTTTCAAAGGGACAACTTATCAACTGAGTACCCTGGAACGTCATGTGCTGATTTTCATCTCATTTGCCTCACTGAGTATTAAGGGGACATATACAACGATTCCTGGGAAATGTGAAACATTCCCTTTTCATTACAAAAGCAATATAAATAGAGCTATTTTAAAATTCACAATGTAAGTGACAACATGTTTCCCATTTCTGTGAACTCACGGTAACTCACAGTAACAGCCAAACTATCTTTGAGGACATTACCAAAGGTTTCTTTGACCCTACAGCCCCTGACAATACCATTACTTGAAATATTAGATGCAAATGAGGCTTTTCTTTGTAGCATTACTGGCTTTTCTTTGTGGCATTACTGCTATGCTTTCTTCTAAGAATAGCAATGGATTATCCTCAGCCCAGGGAGGAACCCCCAGGCTGCAGGTCATAAGACATCCTGGGCCCTTTCTGGCTCACAATGAAGAGGAGCAAGCAATGGAAAGTCATGCAGACATTTCTGTAATTCTCAGGGTCTAGTCATAGCACAGTCTCAGAGGGAGTGGTGGGTGAGCATGGGGTGCAGTCACTTTTGTTTTTCAACTGCCAGCCTTCTGTGGATACTGAAATGGCCCTGCTTTGCAGAAACTCGTAGTCTGATTAGAAGACGCGACACATGCTGTGAAATAGAAGACGAGTATTTGACTCACCCTATGGCTCCCTGCACTACTGCTGCCTGGGAAGGATGCCTGTCACAATCCCCATCATTTGCTTCTTGTCTGTATCTAGGAGAGCCTCTCCCATGCTTCTGCTGCTGCCTCTTGGCAGACAGGTCAGCACCGCAGATTGGGCAGAAGGCCAGAAGAGCAGAAGCTCTGAGAGAGAACACAGTGGTGACTATTCCCCACTCTCCCTTGCTTGCCTCAGAGGAAGACAGTGGTCCCAGCTAAAACAGAGGGGTCTCTTGGGGCTCTGTCTTCCTCTGATTGGACCTTTGCTAATCTCCACAGCTGCATTTATCTCTATAATAAAGCAACCTAGCTTCAGACATGCTGTTTATTTGTAGATAGACTTTATGATGTAATAAGATATCAGCTGTGGATAGCTGAAGCCCAAATTGGTGTTTACCTCTATCTGGGAACCTTTCTGCACTTGTGGCAGCCCTTCAAAGACAGTTCAATGTGTATCAAAAGATTTTTTTCCCATGTGATTTTGAAGCATGAAAAAATATCATCCCTGACCCAAGGAGGATGAGAGTAGCAAATGAAGCACACCAACAGGACACAAAGAAAACTCTACCCAAAAGGGCACACAGCTAAGGAACAAAGGCAGGAAGAACTCGGGGTGTGACCAGGATTTTCAAAAGCGGGGTCAGAGAGGAACTGATGGAAGAAAAGCTTATAGCTAGAATAGAATAGGAACTCAGAAAATTGGTGTTGTCTTGGGCTTATTTTCTTTGGCATCTTGCTCACAAAAGGATAGAATGATCAAAGGATGGATGTCACCAAGAGCTAAGCCTAGGCCATTCCTGCCCAGAACATGGCACACTTTTAGGAAAATTCTTGAAGGGAAGAACTGATGTGACTGCCTAGATTTTCCCAGCGACATGATTCATATTCATCATAGTAGGCAGTTTGTAATGGCTGGAGCGGAGAATCTGTGAAGGAGTTTACATGGGGCTGAGCAGGCTCTTAAGAGAAAATAAATCAAACTACATCTGTAACTGAGATGGACTGTCCAAGGACCTGGGTGAGGGAGGGACTGGAGAGGAGTTGGCCTGCAGGGAGAGATAGGAGGGGACACTGAGACAGAATTCTCTGGAATGGAAAGGCTGACTCTGCCCCACTCAGGTGACAGTCTCTCTTTCTTTTCTCTCAAGTAATTCTTAGTCACTCCCTTTAATTGTAGTTATAGTTCTGCATGATCCCCTGCTGGAGAGGAAACTCCTCCTGGAGGGCTCCTGTGGTCTTTAGCGTGGTGTTCACGAATGGGCACTGTTTGAGTAAATGGCATGGCCAGAGTTCTCTGCTTTCAAATTGCAAATCTGGTGCCATCCACAGGACCAAAGTTGCCTTCCTTCCTCATTGCCCCTGTGAGGTGGCTGACTCCCTGCACTTCTGCATGTCACCACATCTGGAAGAGGCCTGTGGGTACCAAAGGCTGAAAGTGGTTTGCTAGGAGACATGATGAACAGATAAATGATTGAATTCATGTCTGCTGAATTTATTTTCACTGTAGAAGTGCCAGGAGATTAAGAAACAACAACAACTTCCTTAATTCCCAAAGGCAGTTGAGCTAGGGGTTTAAAGAGATGGACCAGGAAAAAATTCATACCATCATCTGGAGGGGATGCCCCAAGAAAAGAGCCAAGGAGGGAGGCAGGGATTGGAACTAAGCTCAAGGGGATTTTGGGCTACAACTTGGGGTTATTTCATATGCCCTGCCTAGGCACACCACCCCACTCACCTTTTTGCAGCACTGCCTTCAAAATTTCCCATTTTTTGACCACCTGAGCATCTGTCACATAGCTCCTTCATTGCTTGGAGATTCTATCTGGATGCCTCTATAGACGTCTGACACTCGATTCTACCCTCCCCTGACTCGTCTTCCACTTGTGCATCCCTGATCCCAGCTAACTCTGGAATGCTTCTTGGTTATTTCTACAGCTGGGGGTTCTGCCAAGCAGTTGCGAACTGAGCCTTCCTGGAAGTCTACCGGGCAGCAAAAGGAGATGGGCCTCTCTGCAGGCTCTTCATTCCCACGGATATTCAATATCAACTCTTACGTTAGGTCTCTTGTGCCATTGTTCTCAAAGAGAGCTCTCTGTTCCTGTATGCCAAGGACAGCAGGACACAAAAATACTCTCTGCCACCTCTCTTTAAACAAACCTCCAGTTTTCTAGACCAAGAGAGATTACTTACACAAATGACCTTAATTGTTGGGTTGCTCTGAGAACTGTGCCTGTGACTCAGCAGCATCTCTCTGACCAGAGAATGGTTTTTTGATGAAGAAAGTCCTTAATGAACCAACCTATGTCTCAGTCTCAGGGTGCAGGCACCAAAACAAAGGGTGCTGGACTTCTTCCAGAGCTGGAGGCAAGCCATTTCCTGAGTGCGGGGGTGAAGGCAGGAGCTGTGGCGGGGCTTTCTGGAGGCGGAAGCATTTTCCCCCAGTCACCAGAAGTCCTCTCAGAGCAGAGAGCTCAGAGGGTGCTGATGTGACTGGGTTTCCAGTCTGGTTATGTTGTCATGGCCAGAGTCCCATGGAAGGCTGAGTCAGCTTCCAGCTCGCTCCAAATGACTGCCTCTACCCTTTCACAGTATCACAAAGAGGCCACCCTCCATACCTGGCAGCAACTCTCTCCACCCCACTGGAGGCTATGCCCTAACCTGAAATCAAAGAAGTGGAAGCTATTTCCAGCAAGTTTTCTTGGATTATTTTCAACTCCTCCCCTTCCTGAGCCTTACCATCTAACCACGTTGCTCTACATGCTGTTTCCAAACCTGGCATATGTAGCCACCCCCTGTCTATGTTCAAAGAAGGTCCATCCTGCTCTTCTCTGGTTTAACACCTCAGCAGCCTTCAAGACCCAACTTCCCCTTTGGGAGGCCAAGGTGGGTGGATCACTTGAGGTCAGGAATTCAAGACCAGCCTGGCCAACATGGTGAAACCCCATCTCTACTGAAAAAAAAAAATACAAAAATTAGCTGGGCATGGTGGCTGGTGCCTGTAATCCCAGCTACTTGGAAGGCTGAGGCAGGAGAATTGCTTGAACCTGGGAAGCAGAGGCTGCAGTGAGCCGAGATTGCACCACTGCTCTCCAACCTGGGCGATGGATCAAGACTCTGTCAAAAACAAACAAACAAACAAACAAAAAACACCCAACTTCCTGTCTACCTCCAAGTCCCACCAAGTTCCTCAGCCCCCAAAGACATCTTGGACACCTATGGGTCTTATTCTGTAACCCACTCACTTGGCAATCATGTGTCATAGGTCAAGTTGTGGATAGACATACTCTTGTGACCACATTTGATCTTTTCTGTTATTTTTAATCTTCTTGAAGGAACCAACTGTCTAGGTATCTCCAAGAATGTGCAGCCTTATGTTTTCCATGTAATAGGTGCTCAATAAACTTCTGTTGAGTGATTGATAAACTGAGGGTTTTGAATCCCCTAAGATTTTCTCCATGATTTTCTCATCATCCCAGAATAATTTCTAAATGTAACAAATCCTGTTACTCAGGGCCTGATGAATGCTTAAGTGTCTTCACATCTTTACTAAAAGGCAGACAGGAAGAGGGGATAAAAGCTAAACCAGGTACTCATCTTCTTGTGTAGGAAAATATTGAAATATGAGTCCAAAATAAGGTTTGAGGATTATCTCTTGGATTAGATGAGGATTATTTAATTTTTATGTGTGCCATGTACCATGTAAACTGACATCAATTCAGAAAGTATTTATTTAATAATAAGGAATCACTAATATTTGTTGAGCACTATTCTGTGTCAGGTCCTGTGCTTACCTGTCATTTTATTATTTAACCCTCACATCAGTTCTTTAAGGTGGGGTTGGTAAATCTCTGTTTTAAATATGGAGGCATTAGACACAGAGAGATTAAGTAACTTGTCTACCATCAGTCACAAAAGTGATTATGACGACAGGGCCTGGACTGGAACCCAGGCCAGTTTGACATCAAAGATAGCATTTTGAACTATATTTACCCTATATTTCCTCAAGGTAGATTTAAAATCAGACCGAAACACCAAAGCACAAGGGATTATGGTGATTTTTCCATTTCCCCAAAGACCAGGGGACTCAACATTCGAGATGCTGCTAGAACTCTTATCTCTCTCTGCCCTTCTGCCTATTCATCAGCCAAGTCTCTGTAGAGATAAAAATCAGAAATACACAAGAAGGGCTTGAAGCCCCTTTTCTTGATAACTTCATCCTGTTAAGGATAACATCCTGGGCTCTGTCTTCTACATATAGAGAAGAATAGAAGCAGCTGATTCCATGATGGCTCAAGTGCCTGATCACTTCTTTGCCAGGACCCAGGTTAATGTGGAGGCCACCCAAACTCAGACTTATAGCCTTGAAAAGTGCAGACTCCATTTAAACAATCACTTTGCTGAAGGACCTAATTAGCATTTCAAGTCCCATGAGAAAATCCTACCTGACACTGATATCTTACTAGGAAGAGCAGCAGTTCCCTGAGCCTGAGTTCTGACTGGATAATGTTACCAAGTTGGTTCTGCAACTCTGCAGGCCTTGCTGGTGGCTGTGCTGTGCCTTGGTTGCAAACATTCATGGGGTTGGGAACATGCACAGGCTCTGGGTCAGCCTGCCCACGTGTCAATACAAGCTCCACCACTGATTGGTGAGGAACTGAGTAGCCTAATTCGTTAGGTCTCAATTTCTCTACTTATGGAATGTCCATAATGATGACTAACTCAAGGGAGGTTTCAAGGGTTTAGAAAATACAGTTCCAGTTTTTGGTTTACGGTGCAATTTTTAAACCTCAGCAAACTTCTGTTTACCAACATATTGCTTTTTGACTGGTATAATATTTCTGAAATACAAACCACTTATATCATGCATCAAATTTTTAATCAACCAAAGATGTGCTCACTTACGGAGTATTCATCCACTTTCTATGGCTCTAAAGTAGAGAAACTTGATTATCATTAAAAGCAGTTTTTCTTGCATGAATAATTCTTACTCTAGTTCAGAAACTTTATCAACAAGTAGAACATACATCCAAAGGTATTAATATTGATACAAGAAATCTGCATGGGATTCTGTATCTATAATTAAATGAAAAAAGACAGAGTGGGAATGCTTTCTTTAAATATAAACCACAGTGTCTGACCAGTACAAAAATTGTCATCCTAGGTTGATGGAACTGGGATGGGGTGTGGTGGTCATACATTTTTCAAAGAGATTCCCTCATATTATCAAATAAAATATTAGGTCAGGGCAGGCTGATGAAGGAATCAGAGGGAACTATCTGTAGCTTACTTAGAACGATCCCTTTATGATTCTAAATTTTCTAAATTTCTCTTTCAGAGAAATGCGAATATAACTCAGTAATGAGTTATTTACTTCTCAAAATCACATTTTGTATTTTATTTTTACATAATTATTTTAAAATGACACTTTAAAATTCAGTCTATCTCCTGTAAATTTATATGATAATGCTGATGTAGGTGTAACATCTATATTGCCCATATTTTATTTTTACTTGATGCTTTTATTTGTATATTGTTTTATACTCAAAATATGCTCAAGATTTAGGGTCACTAATTTTAAATTTTAACCTTTGAATTCTTAAAGTTATAAATATTCTTAATACCAGTATTTTGATATTGTGAGACATAAATGTGAAATAAGGGCATAGTCATTGATTCAATCATTAGAAATAACATGTGTGTAACCCAGATGTTCCAGGTCTTGGCAGCTGGTGAGCACAAACCTAGTACCATTGGCAGACAGTGATCCATCCATCCACCAGACATGTATTAAATGCCTATTGTTACCAGGTACCAAGAACTTTTAGGAATGGAGGACACAGTGAACAAGATGGCCATGGTCCCTGCCCTTGGGAAGCCTGATAATTCCTTAATCTTGATGGTTCTGAGTCTTTCCAGGCTGGACGACAGGGGATTGTTTCATGATAGCCTCCTATGTATTCCTACTCAAGTCATTCTACCTGTCACTCAGTGTGCCAAGTGCAGGACATCAGCTCCTTCCTCCTCCCTCCCTGAATGAGCCCCAGGCAGGGCCAGGCCAGTTGCTGGGACACATGCTGTGGTATGACCAGTTTTCTGCCCTCTGCTGTGTCCTCAGGGGCGAACTTTCTTCTGCAGTTCTGTTGATGTGCCAGCGGGGCCCACATGGTGCTGGGTGCTGGGTTCCTTTGGACCTTGATGCCTCCTTGGTGTGTGGGGTGTCTGCTTTCTTTGCAAAGGCAGTTGCTTGCTTTCCATTGCTCCTATCTCACTTGCTCTCCGTTGCTCCTGTCTCTAGATGTCCATCTATTTTCCCCAGAAATGCCTGTCTCTTCTCATGCCCATCTTTTCTAAAAGGGCAGTCCCCCAGCAGAGTTGCTGGAAGTGAAACCCAGAGTGAAGTAATGCCTTCCATTGTTCCACAGATTCTCTTTCCCAGGCTCCAGGCCTGCATGAGTCCACTTCTGATAATTCTAAGACGAGAATTACTTGTCATAGTTAATTTTACCTCCATCTGAGTATGAGTTAGCCTCCCACTAAGGCAGGATAAAGAGAGGTGTAAAATCCTGAATGAGATCCTTAGCTCCCTGCACATAGCTCATCTTGGTTTGTGAGAAAGGAGGTGAAAAGGGTCTGAGGACCACCTCATACTGAGCTTAGAAACCTTGCTCATGACTCACACTTAGGTCTTGACCAGATTTCTTACTTCTGGGAATTTTCAACCTTATTTCCTGCCCTTTCATTTCCCAGCATCAACCTGACCAACAAAGACCCATGTAGACAGAGTTCTAGTTCTTTTTCATGTGATTCTGGGCCTTATGCAAACAATGGGGTGTGCCTATCAATGGACATCTACTCTCCTCCAACAAACACTGTAACTCTTCACATGTAGAGTGCACAGAGCACTTTTAAAGGGCATCTCCTAATTCCATTTATCACCCTGCCCACTCCTACCCTCAAATACTTCTGTCCTCTTGGTGCTATCTGTGCCTACTCTGCCATCCAAGGCTTCAGTTTGGACAACTTCAATTGCTGTCTGCACTTATCCAAGAAATGTGGAAATTCATCATACCCCAAAACTGGGAAACATTATTTCTGGTAAAAGGCATGTTTTGGTCATACAGGAGACCTCTGATTGCCTATTCTCAGATGTCAGATGAGGATATGAATATTCAGCATTCAACGGTAAGGTACCCTGGGCACTTGTGTTTGTTTTTTGCTCCCTTTGTCATCAGGGGCCAACCCCCACACCATGATATGTGTGTATGTGCACACGTGTGTGTGTATATTCACACATGTATATAAATTTCTTAATGGGCTGGGTCAATTTTGGTCATACTTTGAATGTTAGTTTTTATCAACTTATGGCAAATAAAATCTTTCTCCCAGAATGTTCATATTCTTTAGAAGTAAAACTGAATCCCACTGGATATTGTGATATATTTAAAGCCACATCTACCTACACTCAAATCTATCTATGCATCCATTCATTCAACAAATATCTACTGAGCCAAGCACTAGGGACACAGAAGTTGATAATAATGTCTTGGCTCTCATTGCCCTCAATGCCTGTCAGAGAGACAGTTAAATAGGCAAGTTCAGTGTAGCTCCGACAGTGCCCTAACAGGAGTTGACCAGGGGTGTCATGGAACAGCAGAGAAGAGGCACCCAGCCCAAGAAGGGATGTGGAGGGACAGTGAGGAATGCCTTGTTGAGGGAAGGATTTTTGTGCAGAGTTGTGAAGGCTACACCCAGGCCACTGAGAGAGTCAGGAAAAGCATGCTGAGGAGAAGGAGCTGCAAAACATTTGGGCTCCAGAGTTAGTGCTTGCTTTAAATCTTGCCTCTGCCTGTGACTGTGCCTGTGACTGCCTGTGTGAGATTGAGCAAGTTACTTCACCCCTGAGCTGTGTCTATTTCATATGTAAAGCAGAGATGACAATATTGATGACACACGGAATGAGTATATTCAAAGCACTTGGCATGGTAAAGGGCACAGATTAAGAACTTAAAACATTGTTGTTATTATTGCTGTTACTACTGAAGCCTCAGAACCTGGCATGTTAGGAGACATGCAGGTAGCTCAGGGTGGCTGGACCATTGAGGAGTAATGGGTCTTGTGAGTCGTGCTAAGATGAAGACTAAACATGACTTGGAAAAGTACAGTGCCTTAGGAGCCAGGGAGAGTTGTAACAGACTTTTAGTTTAGAAATATGGGCCAGATATGCATAGTGTGGATTTTTTTTGTACATACACTTGCTTTCACTTTTGCCCCCACTGTACTCCCATGTACAAAGAGCAGAATGACATCCTCCATTTAAATTGCAGCATCAGACAGTCTCAAAAAGTTCCAGGGGCACTTGATTCATGGAACCTGCCCAGTGGACAATGATAATTTATTGCAATGTCCAGTATTCTGTTTGCAGCCTCTTTAAATGTTAATGATGACTAATGTAATTATGATTGAGAAAGTTCCTGGGCCAGTGTGGGTCTAATTTAATATACAAAGCCATCTGGAGCTATGCAGGATTTTTTAAACATTTTTTTCCAGACCAAATTTGGATGGCTTCTAGCCACTATAAGTCAAACCTATAGCAAAGACACTACCCTCAGACTCTAAGGATCTAGAAGGGAAGCCCAGTGGCCTGAGGATGACTCAGAGGATGCAAGGCTGATGATAGATTTTGTAATCTCCCGGCTGGACAAGAGGCCAGATGAATGGCTGCTAACTATGCTTAGAAAAAACAATTCACATTTCTTCCCATGCCTATAAGGCTTTTGATAGTCTAGTTCTTGCCTCAGTGCCCCTCCACAGTATTCCTGAAATGCACCAAGGCCTTCCTTGACAACCCTGCCCAAAGTAGAAAGCTTCCTTGTGTCCCCTACTCAGTTCCTCCTGTCCTCTAACCCTGCTTTCTTATATCACTTGGCAACCACTAGAGTTTATTAAGCATTTATTATCTGTCTCTGTACTAGAACATAAGCTTTATAAGATCAAGGACTTTTTATTTTTGCCTCACTGCACCTGTAGTACTTGGAACAGTGTCCAGTACATAGTATAATTTCAAGAAATACTTATCGAATGCGCGAATTTATAAATGAATCCACAAGTCATCTCTTTGATTCCACAGCGTACCCCCACAAGTAGGAACTCTCACTCCTCTCTCCTCCTGAGGTAAACGGCATTTCCAAAGATGGTGACAATAATATGTCCCATCCCACATGCTCTGGAATCAGACCTTGACAATCCTCCATCAAATGGTGGGTCTAAATCGCTGTGGTGGAAGCTGGGATAACTCTCAATGACTTACTTTGATGAGGATGCTGCGACACTTTCCAAGACTGAGCCTTAGACATCTTCAGTATCTCCTGAGACAGTTACCTCTTAGAAGGCAGCTGCCATACTATAGTCCAGCTTCCCTGAGACCCCCATGCTGTGAGGAAGCTCAAAATATCCACGTGCAGGGAGAGAGACCAAATAAAAGAGCATTGAGGTGCCTGCCATGTGGGTATAGCCTTCTGATGTCTTCCATCTCAGCCAAACCACCAACTGAATGTAGCTGAACAAATGATGTTAGCATAAGAACATCCCAGCTGAATCCTGCCTGATTTCCTGACCTACAGAATTGTGAGTAATTAAAATGATTGATTCTTTTCCAAACCACCAAGTTTTATGCACCAAAAGATAAGTCGAACACTGCCCATCAGTTTCTAGTTATCAGCACTCCACATTGTCTCCTTCTCCATGGGACTGTGGGGCAAGAACTCCTTCCTCGGTCTTCATCTCCTCTCTGCCTTGACATTCATCCTCTGCTCCTCTCCCTTCTCAGAGGTAGAAGCATCTCACAAACAACAGCTACACCTACCTGTGTTGTTAGCTGCACTTACCTATGGCCTCATGACCATCTGAAATCTGGCTCTTAAACTCTGCTGAAATTACTGTCTCAAAATCTTGTTAATTTCCTTCTGGTTGTCAGACACACAAATCTGTTCTGTGTCTTCCTTCCCTTTGACAGCACTGTAGTCCAGATGCCGCCTACCGCTCCCTAAGCCATGAACGCTCGCCTCGCTGGACCCCATCTGTATGTCTGGGTGTCTGAATAACCTTCCTGGGAGATGAGCCTGTCTTGTTTTCTTGCCTGAATATTCATCATAGAAGAATGAGTGACGTTTTCCCTTCCACCTCTTTAGGAGGTGGCCAGGAGAGCTCTGTGTTCTGGTGGTCATAGGTGAGGAAGAAGTTAATAGTTTCTTGAGGTTTTTAGGAATGGTTCTGAATATCACATGCAGGCTTTTTGGGGGGATTAGGGCTTGGTGAAGAGGAGTCCTTGGTGTTGGAGAGATGTTTCCTGAGACCAGGAAAGGGGAGTGGGGTTTGAATGTCTTCCGTGGGGTGGCAGACATAAGTTCCAGTTGAACTCCCTGCCTTGGAGGTAGATGGACCCCCAAATGCAGATCATTCCATTGCAGTACTGAGAGGATTGATCAAATGACAAGGGTCTTCTTTGTGGAAATCCTGAAGAGGGCCCTAGCACCAGCCTGGCTCAGGGGTCTTGCTTCATTTGAAGCTCCAGGAGGAACGGGTTAATTCTCTTTTGTTTTTCTGTTTTATTCCCAGCACCTGCTATAGTGTCAGGGACAGAGTGGATGCTCAAAAAAAAAAAAAAAAAAAAAAAAAAAAAAAAAAAAAAAAAACCCAGAAAAAAAAAACCTCTGTTGAATGAATAAGATGGAGCCACAGCTTAGGACAGATTGCGGTGATCAGCACTTGTTAGTGGCATCAGGTATCCATAGGAGAAGGGCATAGACCAAGAGCCCTCCTTTAGGTACACAAGTGAGTCTTCAGGGCCGTGGTACAACACAGAAAAAGGTGCCCCCAGAATAACTGAGACCAAAGTTCCTTCCAATCTGGGCAGGAGACACTGAGCCAGACTTCATATAGTTCAGAAAAATTTTTAAATGCTAAGAGCCAACATTTATTGGATATGATGTGCCAGACATTGTTCTAAATGATTTTCATGTATTGATCAATTTAATCCTTGCAACAATTCCATCATTAGCACAATCACTAGATTTTTTTTTTACAAAGGAAGAAACTGAGGCAGAGGGCTAAGTAACCCATCTGAGGTCACACAGCCAGGATGTGAACCCAGACACGCCTACTTCAGAGCTTGAACTACACCAAGCAGCAGTTAATATGTGAGATATCTTACCAGCAAGAGGCACAAAGCAAATTCATACTGTTTATGCCTGTTTCTCCAGTCATTACACATTTAATGCTGTATATACACATGTATATAGATTATACATAACATTTTAATACTATAATAAAATATTAATTTTGACAGAACAGGTTAAGGTTAGAAGTAGAGATTTTTTTTTTTTTCTAGTAATAGAGTGTAACAACATGGAGTGGGCTGTGCCTTGTCTGCCACCGAGATGATACACACCTGGTCCCCTAACTAGTGCCGGCTATGGAGCAGAATAATTCCTGGAAGAATTTGTCCAGTACTTACTATGTACTGGAACTTTATAAGGCAAGTAGTGTTATCCCCACATTAGAGATGAGGGAAAAGCAAAGTTAAACAATTTGCCCAAGCTGATGATTCTTAACTGCTACTCCACACAGGGCCGTTTGCTCACATCATGCTGAAAGGTCTGTTTTTAACACACAGCCTTTGCTTGTCTGGGAGGGAGTCAATTAATTCAGGAAGAAATCTTTAACAACCATGTAAGGGACCTTCAGGATATTTGTGCACCATCTGTAAATATAATAACCAGTTACAATTATGGCAGAACATGACATATATGTATGTGTCCCCTGCCCTCATAACAAAAAGTCAGATTTCTCTGGGCAGTGGTTTATTATCAGCTAAGGATCTGTAACTGATGCTAATGGATTTGCTTGTTGGAACTTTGTCTTTGTAAACCCTCCCTAATGGGTTTTAATTTCACTGAATTTCAGCCTGATGGTTACTGCAAGCAGCTCTTCCAAATTAGCCAACACTTTAACATCTCCTTTTCACCTTTTCTAATAAGGACTTTGAATAAAGGTCCCAAAATGGGCCCCAAAATGCAGGTCATTCCAGAGTGCTGGGAGGACTGACTGAAGGTCCTTATTAGAAAAACAAGTATTAGGGGGTGGAGCCAAGATGGCCGAATAGGAACAGCTCCAGTCTACAGCTCCCAGCATGAGCGACGCAGAAGACGGGTGACTTCTGCATTTCCAACTGAGGTACTGGGTTCATCTCACTGGGGAGTGCCAGACAGTGGGTGCAGTGCACCATGCGTGAGCCGAAGCAGGGCAAGGCATCGCCTCACCTGGGAAGTGCAAGGAGTCAGGGAATTCCCTTTCCTAGTCAAAGAAAGGGGTGACAGATGGCACCTGGAAAATCGGGTCACTCCCACCCTAATACTGCGCTCTTCCAACGGGCTTAACAAATGGCACACCAGGAGATTATATCCTGCACATGGCTTGGAGGGTCCTATGCCCACGGAGCCTTGCTCATTGCTAGCACAGCAGTCTGAGATCAAACTGCAAGGTGGAAGTGAGGCTGGGGGAGGGGCGCCTGCCATTGCCCAGGCTTGAGCAGGTAAACAAAGCGGCCGGGAAGCTCGAACTGGGTGGAGCCCACCATAGCTCAAGGAGGCCTGCCTGCCTCTGTAGGCTCCACCTCTAGGGGCAGGGCACAGATGAACAAAAGGCAGCATAACCTCTGCAGACTTAAATGTCCCTGTCTGACAGCTTTGAAGAGAGTAGTGGTTCTCCCAGCACGCAGCTTGAGATCTGAGAACGGGCAGACTGCCTCCTCAAGTGGGTCCCTAACCCCCGAGTAGCCTAACTGGGAGGCACCCCCCAGTAGGGGTGGATTGACACCTCACACGGCCAGGTACTCCTCTGAGACAAAACTTCCAGAGGAATGATCAGGCAGCAGCATTTGCGGTTCACCAATATCAGCTGTTCTGCAGCCACCGCTGCTGATACCCAGGCAAACAGGGTCTGGAGTGGACCTCCAGTAAACTCCAACAGACCTGCAGCTGAGGGTCCTGACTGTTAGAAGGAAAACTAACAAACAGAAAGGACATCCACACCAAAAACCCACCTGTACGTCACCATCATCAAAGACCAAAGGTAGATAAAACCACAAAGATGGGGAAAAAACAGAGCAGAAAAACTGGAAACTCTAAAAATCAGAGCGCCTCTCCTCATCCAAAGGAACGCAGCTCCTCACCAGCAGCAGAACAAAGCTGGATGGAGAATGACTTTGACGAATTGAGAGAAGAAGGCTTCAGAAGATCAAACTACTCCGAGCTAAAGGAGGAAGTTCGAACCAATGGCAAAGAAGTTAAAACTTTGAAAAAAAATCAGACGAATGGATAACTAGAATAACCAATGCAGAGAAGTCCTTAAAGGACCTGATGGAGCTGAAAACCACGGCATGAGAACTATGTGACAAATGCGCAAGCCTCAGTAACTGATGTGATCAACTGGAAGAAAGGGTATCAGCGATGGAAGACAAAATGAATGAAATGAAGCATGAAGAGAAGTTTAGAGAAAAAAGAATAAAAAGAAATGAACAAAGCCTCCAAGAAATATGGGACTATGTGAAAAGACCAAGTCTACATCTAATTGGTGTACCTGAAAGTGACGGGGAGAATGGAACCAAGTTGGAAAACACTCTGCAGGATATTATCCAGGAGAACTTCCCCCATCTAGCAAGGCAGGCCAACATTCAAATTCAGGAAATAAAGAGAATGCCACAAAGATACTCCTTGAGAAGAGCAACTCCAAGAAACATAATTGTCAGATTCACCAAAGTTGAAATGAAGGAAAAAATGTTAAGGGCAGCCAGAGAGAAAGGTTGAGTTACCCACAAAGGAAAGCCCATCAGACTAACAGCTGATCTCTCAGCAGAAACTCTGCAAGCCAGAAGAGAATGGGGGCCAATATTCAACATTCTGAAAGAAAAGAATTTTCAACCCAGAATTTCATATCCAGCCAAACTAAACTTCATAAGTGAAGGAGAAATAAAATCCTTTACAGAGAAGCAAATGCTGAGAGATTTAGTCACCACCAGGCCTGCCCTACAAGAGCTCCTGAAAGAAGCTCTAAACATGGAAAGGAACAACTGGTACCAGCCACTGCAAAAACATGCCAAATTGTAAAGACCATCAAGGCTAGGAAGAAACTGCATCAACTAACGAGCAAAATAACCAGCTAACATCATAATGAAAGGATCAAATTCACACATAACAATACTAACCTTAAATGTAAATGGGCTAAATGCTCCAATTAAAAGGCACAGACTGGCAAATTGGATAAAAAGTCAAGACCCATCAGTGTGCTGTATTCAGAAAACCCATCTCATGTGCAGAGACACACATAGGCTCAAAATAAAGGGATGGAGGAAGATCTACCAAGCCAATGGAAAACAAAAAAAGGCAGGGATTGCAATCCTAGTCTCTGATAAAACAGACTTTAAACCAACAAAGATCAAAAGAGGCAAAGAAGGCCATTACGTAACGGTAAAGGGATCAATTCAACAAGAAGAACTAACTACCCTAAATATATATGCACCCAATACAGGAGCACCCAGGTTCATAAAGCAAGTCCTGAGTGACCTACAAAGAGACTTAGACTCCCACACAATAACAATGGGAGACTTTAACACCCCACTGTCAACATTAGACAGATCAACGAGACAGAAAGTTAACAAGGATATCCAGGAATTGAACTCAGCTCTGCACCAAGAGGACCTAATAGACATCTACAGAACTCTCCACCCCAAATCAACAGAATATACATTCTTTTCAGCACCACACCACACCAATTCCAAAATTGACCACATAGTTGGAAGTAAAGCACTCCTCAGCAAATGTAAAAGAACAGAAATTATAACAAACTGTCTCTCAGACCACAGTGCAATCAAACTAGAACTCAGGATTAAGAAACTCACTCAAAACCGCTCAACTACATGGAAACTGAACAACCTGCTCCTGAATGACTACTGGGTACATAACGAAATGAAGGCAGAAATAAAGAGGTTCTTTGAAACCAATGAGAACAAAGACACAGCATACCAGAATCTCTGGGACACATTCAAAGCAGTGTGTAGAGGGAAATTTATAGCACTAAATGCCCAAAAGACAAAGCAGGAAAGGTCTAAAATTGACACCCTAACATCACAATTAAAAGAACTAGAGAAGCAAGAGCAAACACATTCAAAAGCTAGCAGAAGGCAAGAAATAACTAAGATCAGAGCAGAACTGAAGGAAATAGAGACACAAAAAACCCTTCAAAAAAATCAATGAATCCAGGAGCTGGTTTTTTGAAAAGATCAACAAAATTGATAGACCACTAGCAAGACTAATAAAGAAGAAAAGAGAGAAGAATTAAATAGACGCAATAAAAAATGATAAAGGAGATATCACCACTGATCCCACAGAAATACAAACTACCATCAGAGAATACTATAAACACCTCTATGCAAATAAACTAGAAAATCTAGAAGAAATGGATAAATTCCTTGACACATACACCCTCCCAAGACTAAACCAGGAAGAAGCTGAATCTCTGAATAGACCAATAACAGGCTCTGAAATTGAGGCAATAATTAATAGCTTACCAACCAAAAAAAGTCCAGGACCAGATGGATTCACAGCCGAATTCTACCAGAGGTACAAGGAGGAGCTGGTACCATTCCTTCTGAAACTGTTCCAATCAATAGAAAAAGAGGGAATCTTCCCTAACTCATTTTATGAGGCCAGCATCATCCTGATACCAAAGCATGGCAGAGACACAACCAAAAAAGAGAATTTTATACCAATATCCTTGATGAACATTGATGCAAAAATCCTCAATAAAATACTGGCAAATCGAATCCAGCAACACATCAAAAAGCTTATCCACCATGATCAAGTGGGCTTCATCCCTGGGATGCAAGGCTGGTTCAACGTATGAAAATCAATAAATGTAATCCAGCATATAAACAGAACCAAAGACAAAAACCACATGATTATCTCAATAATGCAGAAAAGGCCTTTGGCAAAATTCAACAACCCTTCATGCTAAAAACTCTCAATAAATTAGGTATTGATGGGACATATCTCAAAATCATAAGAGCTATGACAAACCCACAGCCAATATCATACTGAATGGACAAAAACTGGAAGCATTCCCTTTGAAAACTGGCACAAGACAGGGATGCCCTCTCTCACCACTCCTATTCAACATAGTGTTGGAAGTTCTAGCCAGGGCAATCAGGCAGGAGAAGGAAATAAAGGGTATTCAATTAGGAAAAGAGGAAGTCAAATTGTCCCTCTTTGCAGATGACATGATTGTATATCTTGAAAACCCCATCGTCTGAGCCCAAAATCTCCTTAAGCTGATAAGCAACTTCAGCAAAGTCTCAGGATACAAAATCAATGTGCAAAAATCACAAGCATTCTTATACACAAATAACGGACAAACAGAGAGCCAAATCATGAGTGAACTCCCATTCACAATTGCTTCAAAGAGAATAAAATACTTAGGAATCCAACTTACAAGGGATGTGAAGGACCTCTTCAAGGAGAACTACAAACCACTGCTCAATGAAATAAAAGAGGATACAAGCAAATGGGAGAACATTCCATGCTCATGGGTAGGAAGAATCAATATTGTGAAAATGGCCATACTGCCCAAGGTAATTTATAGATTCAGTGCCATCCCCATCAAGCTACCAATGACTTTCTTCACAGAATTGGAAAAAACTACTTTAAAGTTCATATGGAACCAAAAAAGAGCCCGCATTGCCAGGTCAATCCTAAGCCAAAAGAACAAAGCTGGAGGCATCACGCTACCTGACTTCAAACTATACTACAAGCCTACAGTAACCAAAACAGCATGATACTAGTACCAAAACAGAGATATAGACCAATGGAACAGAACAGAGCCCTCAGAAATAATGCTGCATATCTACAACTATCTGATCTTTGACAAACCTGAGAAAAACAAGCAATGAGGAAAGGATTCCCTATTTAATAAATGGTGCTGGGAAAACTGGCTAGCCATATGTAGAAAGCTGAAACTGGATCCCTTCCTTACACCTTATACAAAAATTAATTCAAGATGGATTAAAGACTTAAATGTTAGGCCTAAAACCATAAAAACCCTAGAAGAAAACCAAGGCAATACCATTCAGGACATAGGCATGGGCAAGGACTTCATGTCTAAAACAAAAAGCAACGGCAACAAAAGCCAAAACTGACAAATAGGATCTAATTAAACTAAAGAGCTTCTGCACAGCAAAAGAAACCACCATCAGAGTGAACAGGCAACCTACAGAATGGGAGAAATTTCTTGCAACCTACTCATCTGACAAATGGTTAATATCCAGAATCTACAATGAACTCAAACAAATTTACAAGAAAAAAACAAACAACCCCATCAAAAAGTGGGCGAAGGATATGAACAGACACTTCTCAAAAGAAGACATTTATGCAGCCAAAAAACACATGAAAAAATGCTCATCATCCCTGGCCATCAGAAAAATGCAAATCAAAACCACAATGAGATACCATCTCACACCAGTTAGAATGGCAATCATTAAAAAGTCAGGAAACAACAGGTGCTAGAGAGGATGTGGAGAAATAAGGAACAATTTTACACTGTTGGTGGGACTGTAAACTAGTTCAACCATTGTGGAAGTCGGCATGGTGATTCCTCAGGGATCTAGAACTAGAAATACATTTGACCCAGCCATCCCATTACTGGGTATATAACAAAGGATTATAAATCATGCTGCTATAAAGACACATGCACACATATGTTTGTTGCGGCACTATTCACAATAGCAAAGACTTGGAATCAACCCAAATGTCCAGCAATGATAGACTGGATTAAGAAAATGTGGCACATATACACCATTGAATACTATGCAGCCATAAAAAGGATGAGTTAATGTGCTTTGTAGGGACATGGATGAAGCTGGAAACTATCATTCTCAGCAAACCATCACAAGGACAAAAAGCCAAACACTGCATGTTCTTACTGATAGGTGGGAATTGAACAATGAGAACACATGGACACAGGAAGGGGAACATCACACACCGGGGCCTGTTGTGGGGTGGGGGGAGTGGGGAGGGATAGCCTTAGGAGATATACCTAATGCTAAATGACGAGTTAATGGGTGCAGCACACCAACTTGGCACATGTATACATATGTAACAAACCTGCACGTTGTGCACATGTACCCTAAAACTTAAAGTATAATAATAATAATAATAAAGAAAAACAAGTATTATGTTGCTTTTATTAAAAATAATCTGGGGGAAAATGTATAAGGGCGGCTACCTGTGGATCTGGTGAGAGGTTTAGCATCTCTGATATTATCTGTGGACTGGACAAGAACATTGTGCTCTGCCAGTTCATTGGTCCTTCCCTATCTTGGGAATTCTGGCTGCCTGCTAGGCAGGGTGAGCTTGGCTTAGCCCCAATAGTCCCCAGTGCCCCCAGTAGTCCCCAGTGCCCCAGTCCCCTCCCCGTCCACTGTGGCCCAGGCCTCCTCCAGGCTGCTAGAACTTGTCTGCCTCAGCTTAACACCACGTCCTCTAGGCTTCTCAATGGCCTCCAGTTCCCTCCCTCATCTAAATCAAATCTCTGTTAGGGTAATCTAGGGAATGCCCCTAATCTCTGCAATCTCTGTAGGAGAATCTGAGTAGTTTATCCTATGGTTGATAGGCCATACTCAGCCATAGAAGCATGTAGGCTGAATTTGTGTCCTAAATTGCAAAGCCTTATTTTCTACCTCCAAAATGACGGATATACATATTCCTTCTTTGAACTCAGCCATTGCCTTTAGGCCCTCATCACTTCCTACTGGACACCTCTAACGGTATTTTAGCTAGTTCCCTTTCCTGTATACGCCATCAAACCTTACCACTAGAACTGTATTACTGAAGTGAAGCTACTTACAGTCCTAACATATCATTAACTTGGCCACAAATGTGTAGAAAGTTCTATATCACACAAGAATCATACAAGTTGACATGGAAAGTGGTAAGGCTCCGGTATGGAAATGCTAAGGATATTTGTGGTGTGGTGTGGTATGGTGTGGTGTGGTGGACAGCTGGGGGTGGGGCAGGATTCACACAGAAAAATACTCATCTGCTTAGTAACCAGAGGAATGCATTTTAAAATATGCAAAAATAGTATTTTACATCTATTAAGTTAGGGAGGAATAATACTAATAATCTTAATAATACTCAGTGCTTGCAAAGTGCAGATGAAACCAGGTCATTCTTATACCACTGGTGGCACTGAAAAATAATATAGTCCTTTGGGAAAATAATTTTGCAATATATTTCAAGAACCATAGCAAATATTTATGCCCTTTGACTCAGTAGCCCCACTCTCAGAAATTCAACTTCAGGAAATAACAGAAAAGAAGGAAAGAAAACTTTATGCAGATAAAAGTAAATAGAAATACATTTTAAAATGAATGCTCAACAGTAGAGAAAATGTTAACAATGGTACTTCAATCTCATGCTAGCATCAACAAAATAATTATAGGAAACATAGATAAATTTTTACATTCTACTGCCAGGTGGATCAAATCACAAAATTATTTACCCTATAGCTGTATGTACGTAAATACATGTCTGCAAATGGGAAAAAAATGGAAACCTGTAAACAAAAATAATTGATATATGGGGCACATGATTGTACACTGTCATTTTTCTTTTAAATAGCTTCCTTATTTTTATAATGTTTTTTCAGTAAATAAAATCAGTGAAATCAGAAATACAAACTGCAGACAACCTGGAGGCCGTGTTCCATATGGAATGGAGCTGAGCCCTTTGGCCATCTTCACAGCCCACATGCTGGCCTGGCCTCCCCAGCCAGGAGTCCTGCCCCTGCCTGGGGTTCCTGTTCTCCTACCTCAAATTGCCTCCTCTTCCCAAGCTCCTTTCTTCCCATAAATCCAATCCCAGGACACCTGCAAGTCCCTAAACGTGATCGCACCTTTATAGGTCCCCCACTGCTTCCTCTTTCTGGAATGTCTTTGTTCCCCCTTTGCTTTTGAGCTCTGATCCCCCTTTCATGGCCTGGCTCAGAAGCCATGAACCTCCTCCTGTTCCATGGTTTCCCACACCATTTTCACCTGAATTAGTCTTTCCTTACTTGTTTGATAAAGGGTTGGATTCAGATCTCTGTAACCTGTTAGGATGAAAGTTCCTGACAAACAGGGGCTGGGTCTTATTTATTCTATATTGTCCACAGATGTAGCTGATAATGGGTGTCACAGGATGATCCCCTCCTTCTTCAAGCTTGGATCTGCCTAGCAACACCTATCAGAAGAAGAGTAAGCATAGCAGTCAGGCAATGAGGCATCTGATGGGTTTAGTAGGGAATAATAAGCATAAAAAAATGAATTCATTTGTGATAAGTATACTTACTGCACAAATATACATATATATTAAGTATGTAATAGCTATAAAAATATTAATTTGTAATACTTATACTTCTGTAATAAGTATACTCATTACCCAAATATATTATTATAATTATACTAATCTTTTTCTAAACATTAATTTGTAATTTATTCAGATGCAATTTGGAGACCAAATTATTAATAATTTTATTAATTAAACTATATTTTGTATGTAAATGACTTCTTTTTAGTTGTTGTTTTTAAGTAAATTAAGGTCATAAGTCATGTTCTGAGTTTCCACGGACTCAGTGACAATAGTCATAGGACCTCAAGCATGAGACAAATGACATCTAATCCACTATCACATCATGGACTGCTTTCCTATTCATCTCATTTTGATCCTCAAGAGAGCTCTGTGAGTTTCCTCAACAGCATTTAGGAATGCATCTCATCTTGAATTTGGAATTTTGTTGTATTTCCAGAAACAAAACTGGAAGAAGACTTAGGTGCTACACATTCATTTATTTATTCCATTTTTCACTTATTCAGAAAATATTTTTGAGAATCTTCTACTTGCCTGGGTATGCTCTATGCTGGGGATACAGTGGTGAGTTGCTGCTACAGAATTAAGGGAAACAGACAATAAACAAGTAAACAAAAGAAACAAATGATATTCACTGGGATAGACAGTGGCTGATGAGGGAGGGAGCAATGTGGTGACCACATTCAGATCGGGTGGTCAGGAGGTCCCTCTGAGAAGCAGTCTATGGATCTGAGACTCAAACACTGAGGATCCAGCCAGCAGAGACCTGAGGGAAAGGGATCAGTAACTTCCCTGGGCGGGAACTAGCATGGAGTGCTGAAGGAACAGAGGCAGGCAGGGCAGCTGGAGATCAGTGAGCAGGAGGGAGTTTGGTGTGAGGTGAGTTAGACAGGGAGGCAAGGGCCAGGTCATGCAGCACTTTGTAGGCCATTGTTAATAGTTGGATTTTAAGTGCTTTAGGGGGCAAAAAGATGCTAGTGTCCTGCCAAGATCATTAGAAAGAAGGTGCACCCACCTCCAGCTACTAGGGACTCACAGAAACACCCATCTCCAGAAATTCCCCAAAGCCAGAGGAAACCACTCTGCCCAGAAATGCCTAGGAGGTGATGCCCTCCCCTTGGGGCAGCCTGCCACTAATGAGTGGCTGGTGTAAGTGTACAAAAGGCCAACCCCCTTGCCTTAACATGGGACAACTCTGTGGTGCTACTCCTATTCCCAGGCTCCTCACCAAGTCAAGCTGAAGTTAGACTTTTCTGAAACCCTCTCTTAGCTTACCTTCTTCTGCCCCATCCTGCTTCTGCCCCTTCAATGCAGGTTTCTCCTGAGATTATGCTTTTGATGAATCACTTGCAAAAACAAATAAAAACAAAAAATGAAAAAACCCTTGTTTCAGGCTCTGCTTCTAGCAGTGATGATTATTAGACTATGAGCTTCTTGAGGGCAGAGACTATGCCTGGCTTGTTCATGTTTGGGTGGAAGATTTAACTGTGGGCATGACATGATCTGATTACTTAAAAAAAAAATCAGGCTGGGCACAGTGGCTCATGCTTGTAATCCCAGCAATTTGGGAGGCCGAAGTTGGGGGTGGTCACCTGAGGTTGGGAGTTCGAGACCAGCCTCACCAACGTGGAGAAACCCCGTCTCTACTAAAAATACAAAATTAGCTGGGCGTGCTAGTGCATGCCTGTAATCCCAGCTACTCGGGAGGCTGAGGCAGGAGAATAACTTGAACTTGGGAGGTGGAGGTTGCGGTGAGCTGAGATCACACCATTGCACTTCAGCCTCGCAACAAGAGCAAAATTCTGTCTCAAAAAAAAAAAAAAGAAATTTCTCTGACTGGGGTGTGTGCGTGTGTGTGTGTGTGTGTGTGTGTGTGTGTGTGTGTGTGGTGGAGGAGGAGGAGGGGAAAAGGAGAGGAAAGAGGTAGGTAGACCAGTTAGATGCTATTCTAATCATCCAGGCAAGATATGACTGTGGCTTGGATTACATAAATTAAAACATAAATTAAGCAAAAATTTTCAACTACAATTATACTTACAAAACTCCCCTTCCATCAAGAAAATTTGCAAGTGACCTTAGGCAGATGAATGTTAATAAAAGAGTAATGCATGTGGTACATATTGGGAGGAATATTTGAAAGATCAAATGCTCATTAAAACTCTAAATTCATATATGAGCATCGAATAATGAGATAGAAATGTGTAGATGGTCTTTAGCTGAACTACCAGAGTTAGTCACAGATCCTTGGGGAAGATTGTAATTTCTAAGATCTGTTTGACTTTGGGATAAAAGTGACAATTTGAAGATGGCGCTTGTTGTTCTTTCCACTTTGGGCTAGTAAATGCATCTGATTTGTATCTATTTCTTGTGGGGCATTGGGGGATTTATGTTCTGCCATTGAATGCTCCTCAAATTCCTCTCTTCCTATTAACCCCCAAATCATGTAATAATCCTCAAGCTCTGACTATCTTAGCAAATGCAGTACAGTAAGAACATAATGATTAGTATATAAGCTAAGTCTATGTGGCTTAGGAGACATGATAACCAAGAAGAAGAAAAATGCTTTAAAGGATTATCCTTTCATGCAACTACTTAGGTATTGAAACAGCTGAACAAAAGGTAGCAAAACAGGCAAAAAGCAATAGTTTTCTGTCCTGTCATGACAACTCTTACTTTGAGGATCTGAAATATCTTTTGCAAATTTACAGTACCATCTGCACATTAGGGAAAGTTATGTCAGGTGATTTACAGAATGCCTGAAGAAAGGCAAAGAGGAGCATCAGACATTTTGTCCTTTTCCACCCTCTAAAGTTGAGCTGGCAGGGTGTGGATATGGGGCAGCAACTCAGGCTCATGTGTGGTGGGAGTACTCCCGAGACCCATTGTGGAGCCCTTAGCAATCTGAGCTCCCCACAGGAGGCAAAGGCCCCACTGTTTCTCCCTGACTGTACAGGGCCACACTGGAAGCTACTCGCCTCTCTGCTTCATCTCTAATACAACCAGGCTTATGGTGGTAATTTTAGAGATGGACTACCACCATAAGTGGATGACTGATGCTTTCAACACCAGTGGATTCTAACAGTGTTTGGCAACTACCGGGCAACTACCAGGCCAGAACTGGCATTGGGGCTTTCCTGGATAGCTCTTTTCCAGAGTGACAAACCCCAAAGGGACACGGGTCAGCAATGAAGGACATGGAGATGATAGCCCTAAACTCTAGGGCCAGCCTGGAACATCATCTGGATTGTTTACATAGGCTTTTAATCCCAAGGGGCAGTTACAGGTACTTAGAGAAGCATTAAAGCCTCCAGCTTCCCACTGAACACACCATCTATCTATTCACTCCATATGGAGGCTGCACATTGCATGCAGGGCATGTACTGTTCTCAGCCTTCAGAGATCTAGATGAACCAAGAGTCCACCATCCAAGAGCTTCATCTCTTCAAAATGTAGAATCATTAAAGAGCCTTTAAAAAACACCAATTGCTGTGCTCCCACCCAAAAGAATTGGATTACAAATTCTGTGGATGTGGTCCAGGCATTTTTCTTTTTTCTGAGGTGGAGTTTCACTCTTGTTGCCCAGGCTGGAGTGCAGTGGTATGGTCTCAGCTCACTGCAACCTCTGCCTCTTGGGTTCAAGCAATTCTGCCTCAGCCTCCCGAGTAGCTGGGACTACAGGCACACACCACCATGCCCAGCTAATTTTTATATTTTTAGTAGAGATGGGGTTTCATCATGTTAGTCAGGCTGCTCTCAAACTCCTGACGTCAGATGATCCACCTGCCTTGGCCTCCCAAAGTGCTGGGATTATAAGCTTGAGCCACTGCACCCAGCCCAGGCATTTTTTTTTTTTTTTTTTTTTTTTTTTTAACAAATCATAGTTGTCAGGCCTCTGAACCCAAGCCAAGCCATCACATCCCCTGTGACTTGTACGTATACATCCAGATAGCCTGAAGTAACTGAAGATCCACAAAAGAAGTAAAAATAATCTTAACTGATGACATTCCACCATTGTGATTTGTTTCTGCCCCACCCTAACTGATCAATGTACTTTGTAATCTCCCCCACCCTTAAGAAGGTACTTTGTAATCTCCCCAACTCTTAAGAAGGTTCTTTGTAATTCTTCCCACCCTTGAGAATGTACTTTGTGAGATCCACCCCTGCCCGCAAAACATTGCTCTTAACTTCACCGCCTATCCCAAAACCTATAAGAACTAATGATAATCCACCACCCTTCACTGACTCTCTTTTCGGACTCAGCCTGCCTGCACCCAGGTGAAATAAACAGCCATGTTGTTCACACAAAGCCTGTTTGGTGGTCTCTTCACACGGACACGCATGAAATTTGGTGCCGTGACTCGGATCGGGGGACCTCCCTTGGGAGATCAATCCCCCGTCTTCCTGCTCTTTGCTCCATGAGAAAGATCCACCTACGACCTCAGGTCCTCACACCGACCAGCCCAAGAAACATCTCACCAATTTCAAATCCAGTAAGCGGCCTCTTTTTACTCTTCTCCAACCTCCCTCACTATCCCTCAACCTCTTTCTCCTTTCAGTCTTGGTACCACACTTCAATCTCACCCTTCTCTTAATTTCAATTCCTTTCATTTTCTGGTAGAGACAAAGGAGACATGTTTTATCTGTGGACCCAAAACTCCTGCACCAGTCACGGACTGGGAAGGCAGCCTTCCCTTGGTGTTTAATCATTGCAGGGACACCTCTCTGATTATTCACCATTTCAAAGGTGTCAGACCACGCAGGGACGCCTGCCTTGGTCCTTCACCCTTAGCGGCAAGTCCCACTTTTCTGGGGGAGGGGAAAGTACCCCTCAATCCCTTCTTCACCCTTAGGGGCAAGTCCCGCTTTTCTGGGGGAGGGGCAAGTATCCCTCAACCCCTTCTTCACCCTTAGCGGCAAGTCCCGCTTTTCTAGGGGACAAGAACCCCCAATCCCTTATTTCCATGCCCCGACCCCTTTCCCACTTTTCTGGAGGGTAAGAACCCCTGAACCCCTTCCCTCCATGTCTCTATGCTCTCTTTTCTCTGGGCTGGCCTCCTTCACTATGGGCAACCTTGCACCCTCCATTCCTCCTTCTTCTCCCTTAGCCTGTGTTCTTAAGAACTTAAAACCTCTTCAACTCTCACCTGACCTAAAATCTAAGCATCTTATTTTCTTCTGCAATGCTGCTTGACACCAAAACAAACTCGACAGTAGTTCCAAATAGCTGGAAAATGGCACTTTCAATGTTTCCATCCTACAAGAACTAAATAATTCTTTTCGTAAAATGGGCAAATGGTCTGAGGTGCCTGACGTCCAGGCATTCTTTTACACATCAGTCCCTTCCTAGTCTCTGTGCCCAATGAAACTCATCCCAAATCTTCCTTCTTTCCCTCCCACATGTCCCCTCAGTCCCAACCCCAAGCGTCACTGAGTCTTTCTAATCTTCCCTTTCTACAGACCTATCTGACCTCTCCCCTCCTAGCCAGGCCGAGCTAGGTCCTAATTCTTCCTCAGCCTCCGCTCCTCCACCCTATAATCCTTTTATCACCTCCCCTCCTCACACCCGGTCTGGCTTACAGTTTCATTCCGTGACTAGCCCTCCCCCACCTGCCCAGCAATTTACTCGAAAAGGTGGCTGGAGCTAAAGGCATAGTCAAGGTTAATGCTCCTTTTTCTTTATCCCAAATCAGATAGCTTCTAGGCTCTTTTTCATCAAATATAAAAATTCAGCCCAGTTCATGGCTCATTTGGCAGCAACCCTGAGACACTTTACAGCCCTAGACCCTAAAAGGTCAAAAGGCCGTCTTATTCTCAAAATACATTTTATTACCCAATCTGCTCCTGACATTAAATAAAACTCCAAAAATTAAATTCCGGCCCTCAAACCCCACAACAGGACTTAGTTAACCTCACCTTCAAGGTGTACAATAATAGAGTAGAGGCAGCCAAGTAGCAATGTATTTCTGAGTTGCAATTCCTTGCCTCCACTGTGAGACAAACCCCAGCCACAACTTCAGCACACAAAAAATTCCAAATGCCTGAACTGCAGTGGCCAGGCATTCCTCCAGAACCTCCTCCCCCAGGAGCTTGCTACAAGTGCCAAAAATCTGGCCACCGAGCCAAGGAATGCCCACAGCCCGGGATTCCTCCTAAGCCGTGTCCCATCTGTGTGGGACCCCACTGAAAATCAGACTGTTCAACTCACCTGGTAGCCACTTCCAGAGCCCCTGGAACTCTGGCCCAAGGCTCTCTGACTCCTTCCCAGATCTTCTCGGCTTAGCGGCTGAAGACTGACACTGCCAGATCGCCTCGGAAGCCCCCTAGACCATCACGGATGCCGAGCTTCGGGTAACTCTCACAGTGGAGGGTAAGTCCGTCCCCTTCTTAGTCAATACGGAGGCTACCCATGCCACGTTACCTTCTTTTCAAGAGCCTGTTTCCCTTGCCTCCATAACTGCTGTGGGTATTGACGTCCAGGCTCCTAAACCTCTTAAAACTCCCCAACTCTGGTGCCAACTTAGACAATACTCTTTTAAGCACTCCTTTTTAGTTATCCCCACCTGCCCAGTTCCCTTATTAGGCTGAGACACTTTAACTAAATTATCTGCTTCCCTGACTATTCCTGGACTACAGCTGCATCTCATTGCTGCCCTTCTTCCCAATCCAAAGCATCCTTTGTGTCCTCCTCTTGTATCCCCTCACCTTAGCCCACAAGTATAAGATACCTCTACTCCCTCCTTGGGGACCGATCATGCACCCCTTACCATCTCATTAAAACCTAATCACCCTTACCCCGCTCAATGCCAAGATCCCATCCCACAGCACTCTTTAAAAGGATTAAAGCCTGTTATCACTCGCCTGCTACAGCATGACCTTCTAAAGCCTATAAACTCTCCTTACCATTCCCCCATTTTACCTGTCCTAAAACGAGATAAGGCTTACAAGTTAGTTCAGAATCTGCGCCTTATCAACCAAATTGTTTTGCCTGTCCACCCCGTGGTGCCAAACCCATATACTCTGCTATCCTCAATACCTCCCTCTACTACCCATTATTCTGTTCTGGATCTCAAACATGCTTTCTTTACTATTCCTTTGCACCCTTCATCCCAGCCTCTCTTTGCTTTCACTTAGACTGACCCTGACACCCATTAGGCTCAGCAAATTACCTGGGCTATACTGCTGCAAGGCTTCACAGACAGCCCCCATTACTTCAGTCAAGCCCAAATTTCATCCTCATCTGTTACCTATCTCGGCATAATTCTCATAAAAACACACGTGCTCTCCCTGCTAATCATGTCCAATTAACCTTCCAAACCTCAATCCCTTACAAAACAACAACTCCTTTCCTTCCTAGGCATGGTTAGTGTAGTCAGAATTCTTACACAAGAGCCAGGACCGTACCCTGTAGCCTTTCTGTCCAAACAACTTGACCTTACTGTTTTAGCCTAGCCCTCATGTCTGCGTACAGCAGCTGCCGCTGCTTTAATACTTTTAGAGGCCCTAAAAATCACAAACTATGCTCAACTCACTCTCTACATTTCTCATAACTTCCAAAATCTGTTTTCTTCCTCATACCTGACGCATATACTTTCTGCTCCCCGGCTCCTTCAGCTGTACTCACTCTTTGTTAAGTCCCACAATTACCATTGTTCTTGGCCCGGACTTCAATCTGGCTTCCCATATTATTCCTGATACCACACCTGACCCCCATGACTGTATCTCTCTGATCCACCTGATATTCACCCCATTTCCCCATATTTCCTTCTTTCCTGTTCCTCACCCTGATCACGCTTGATTTATTGATGGCAGTTCCACCAGGCCTAATCGCCACACACCAGCAAAGGCAGGCTATGCTATAGTACAAGCCACTAGCCCACCTCTCAGAACCTCTCATTTCCTTTCCATTGTGGAAATCTATCCTCAAGGAAATAACTTCTCAGTGTTCCATCTGCTATTCTACTACTCCTCAGGGATTATTCAGGCCCCCTCCCTTCCCTACACATCAAGCTCGAGGATTTTCCCCCACCCAGGACTGGCAAATTAGCTTTACTCAACATGCCCCAACTCAGCAAACTAAAATACCTCTTAGTCTAAATAGACACTTTCACTGAATAAGTAAAGGCCTTTCCTACAGGGTCTGAGAAGGCCACGGCAGTCATTTCTTCCCTTCTGTCAGACATAATTCCTCAGTTTAGCCTTCCCACCTCTATACAGTCTGATAACAGACCAGCCTTTATTAGTCAAATCAGCCAAGCAGTTTTTCAGGCTCTTAGTATTCCGTGAAACCTTTATATCCCTTACAGTCCTCCATCTTCAAGAAATGTAGAACAGACTAAAGGTCTTTTAAAAACACACCTCACCAAGCACAGCCACCAACTTAAAAAGGACTGGACAATACTTTTACCACTTTCCCTTCTCAGAAGTCAGACCTGTCCTTGGAATGCTACAAGGTACAGCCCGTTTGAGCTCCTTTTTATTAGGCCCCAGTCTCATTCCAGACACCGGACCAACTTAGACTGTGCCCCAAAAAAACTTGTCATCCCTACTATTTTCTGTCTAGTCATACTCCTATTCTCCATTCTCAACTACTTATACATGCCCTGCTCTTGTTTACACTGCCGGTTTACACTGTTTCTCCAAGCCATCACAGCTGATATCTCCTGGTGCTATCCCCAACCTGCCACTCTTAACTCTTGAAGTAAATAAATAATCTTTGCTGGCAGGACTATGCTGAATCTCCTTAGGCACTCTCTAATCATATGTCCTAGGTCCTCCTAATTCTTAGACCTTTTCCATTTAGTTTTTCAATTCATACAAAACCATATCCAGGCCATCACCAATAATTCTTCAAGACAAATTTTTCTTCTAACAACCCCACAATATCACCCTTTACCACAAAATCTTCATTCAGCTTAATCTCTCCCACTTTAGTTGCCCATGCCACCTAATCCCGCTTGAAGCAGCCCTGAGAAACATCGCCCATTCTCTCTCCATACCACCCCCCAAAAATTTTTGCCACCCCAAGACTTCAACACTATTTTATTTTTCTTATTAATATAAGAAAGCAGGAATGTCAGGCCTCTGAACCCAAGCCAAGCCATCGCATCCCCTGTGACTTGCACATATACATCCAGATGGCCTGAAGTAACTGAAGATCCACAAAAGAGGTAAAAATAATATTAACTGATGACATTCCACCATTGTGATTTGTTTCTGCCCCACCCTAACTGATCAATGTACTTTGTAATCTCCCCCACCCTTAAGAGGGTGCTTTGTAATCTCCCCCACCCTTAAGAAGTTTCTTTGTAATTCTCCCCACCCTTGAGAATGTACTTTGTGAGATCCACCCCTGCCCGCAAAACATTGTTCTTAACTTCACCGCCTATCCCAAAACCTATAAGAACTAATGATAATCCACCACCCTTCGCTGACTCTCTTTTCGGATTCAGCCTGCCTGCACCCAGGTGAAATAAACAGCCATGTTGCTCACACAAAGCCTGTTTGGTGGTCTCTTCACACGGACATGCATGAAAATAGTTGTATGTATTTATGGGGTACAATGGATGTTTTGATATATGTATACAATATGTTATGATTAAATCAAATTAATTAACATATTTATCACCTTGCTTACCTATCATTTCTATGGTGAGACATGAAAATTTACTTTCTTACTTATTTTGAAATATATAATACATTTTTATTTATTATAGTTACCATGTTGTGCAATAAATCTCAAAATCTATTCCTTCTGTCTCTCTGAAACTTTGTACTCTTTGATTGACAACTCCCCATTCCCTCCCTCCCCACCTCCTCAGCCCCTGGTAACTGTGATTCTACTCTCTACTTCCATGAGTTCAACTTTACTAGATTCCATAGATAAGTGAGATCATGTGGTATTTGTCTTTCTGAGGCTGAGGCACTGGTGCTTTTTTTGGTTTGTTTTATGCAAAGCACCCAAGTGGCTTCATTAATCAGTTAAGTTTTGGAACCCCTGGTCTAGAGCAATACAACACATCCTTGGATAACTATAATCCTTGCATTCAGGGGCTGACAGTTAAGAGGTTATAGCCTGGATCCTGAAAACAGCCAAGAGGTTCTCAACAGGGAATTATTTCTCCCCCTCCCCCTTCCTCCAAGGACATTAGAGACAGTGTCTGGAGACGTTTTTGGTTAACGCAAGCTGGGGGTAGGGTGCTACTGGATAGAGTCCAGGTATGCTGCTAAACAGCCTATAATGCACGGGGGAGTCCTCACAGCAAGGAACTCTCTGGCCCAAAGTGTTAAGGTGTCGGGCTTGAGAAATGTTGACTTAGCCTTAAGTGTAATTCTGCTTAGAAATCAGTATGGCAAACAGTTTCCATTGGCTACTTTGTTATGCACCTACCATGTTCTAGGTACATTGCATGTGTTCTAAACATTAACTATTATTTATTAGACACTGTAATTTGTTTGTATTTTATGGATGAGAAAATCAAGGCCCAGAAGACAAATAACTTGTCTAAACCAGATGACTAGCAAGTGAAGAACTTGGGACTTGAACACGCACAGTCGGGCTCCTGGACACGACACTATACTGCTGCCCCACAAGTTCTATTTTCCTTCTCCTGGGAGTTTTTCCAGGCAGAAAAGGGATCACAATCCATATTTACATATATACATGCTGGAATTCTTCTTTCTCTTCGGAAGATTTGCTTCTTGAGAAAACAAAACTTCCTCATGTAAAAGCCCTTCTGAGCCAGGAGATTAATGGATATTGATCACTTTTGTGGCATGTGGCCAGGCGAGATCCACGGAAGTGCTTAGAGGAATTCCCAAAGAGGAAGATGATTGATGCTTTTGACACCAATGGATTCCAACAGTGTTTGCCAACTACCAGGCATCCTGCAGTGCAGTTTGGGGTAGTGCCTGACCAGCCAGACTGTGTCTGTGACAACTCTGATCTTCTTAAGTCTGAGCATCTGTTAAAACGATGCCTCAGCAGGAAAACACAGTAGGAGAATGTCTGCTCAGGGCATGTGAGTGTCTGACTGGCCTCTCAGACATCCTCTAGAAAGCCCTGATGTCCCCAGGTCCCCTTTGCTCACTGGCCCTGCCTGTGCTTTGTGCAGACAGAGGAAATGAAACAGAGCCCAGCAGAGGGCATCTGCCCTCTCTTGAGTGTTCCTACCCATGGTCACTGCACTAGGGAGAGGATGTCAGCCAGTTGTGCAGCTACGGCTGGCATTGTTCTCTCTCTGAGCACATATTTAGGCCAGAAGGCCCTTTAGGATTGGAGCAGTGTCCACTGTGTCTGTGAGCTCCCTGCAGGCCAGCAGACTGAGAAACTTATTTTATGTCCCATATCAGCAGGCGGAGGACTTGAGCAGTCAGGCTCCCAGCCATAATACTATACTGCTACCTGACAAGTTCTATTAATAGTTTCATCTGCTAGGAGTTTTTCCAGGTAGAAAAATGGGCCCATTCATGGCATGACTGTAAAATGTGCACAAGGTGGTCATTTTTGGAATAGAAGGAGGCAAGGGACTTCTGATAGAGTAAGAGGTGCTGGCCCAACTGTAGAGCTAGGGGCAATGTGGGTTGAAATGGTCCCCCATCCCCTCCTCTCTAAGCCTGCCCTTTTCTCCTTGGCATTCTGCTCTGAGGGTAACTTTCCAAGTGCTGTGCCCTGTGGGCACATTTTGTGTGCTCCCAGCCCATGTCTATGAAAGAATCTTGAAGTTGATGGCAGGGAACTGAGGTTTATGGAGGACACTGACTTTCTGTGTTACCATCATTTGTGGAGATCTTTCACTTTTATTAAAAATGCAGTCTATTGCCAAAGAATTTCAATCCCCAGTCTTGGCAGGACTATCAGACCTACTGCTCAGCTCCCTCTCCCATCTCCCACATAATTTTTCCCATTTTTTTACTTTCTTCAGGCTGCTTCTACCTCAGAGGGTGATTCTTTTTCCTGTTGACAGAGAAGTTGAAGCTATCAATACGAATTCCCTCAACTTTTCTCCTGTGGTAATCATTAGTGCTAGCTGCCAAATAGCGCCGGGATTATGCTTTCTGGTCCTTCTTGTGAAGGGGTGGGAGGCATGACTAACTCTTCACTATAAGTGGCGAGCAGAAACAATGTGTGACACATCCAGGTGAAAGCACACAATTGCTGGAGTGCAATTTCCCAAAGCCGAGTGACCCTCTGGCATGCAGGAAACATTTAAGAGGGTGGTTCTTCTATCAGCCGGGATTCCTGAGGGAATTCAGTTCCAAATGGAAATAAGATGAGCAATAAATAAACTTACTTTTGTTAAAAGCCACTATGACTTTAGTTTTGTTTGTTAACACAATGTAACAGCCTATCTTGGCTAATATCCTGTCCCTTTCACACAAAAAACTTGCTCCATCTTCACCCCTCCTGTTTCCTTTCCAGCTTTTTCAGAGGAAGAGCTGTCTCTCCATCTATCCTAATCTTTACAACCACTCCTGATTAAGGTCCTTCAATGGCTCCCCATTGTTCTTTAGAAAAATAATAAAAAGATTAAAATCCTTAGGGAGATCTACCAGGCTCACATGGTCTGTCCCCTGCCTGCATCCTTACAGACTCAGTCACACCCAGTCCTCCCAAGGCCCAGCTTGGCCCGTTCACCCTCTTTCAGTTCCTCTTATACACCATGTCTCTTCTCACCACAGGGCTTTCAAACATGCTTTGAACATGTCCTTTCTATCAGAAATGCCCTCCCCACCTCAGAGGGAACCTCTGAAGTTCCAGGGTTTTGTTCACTTTCCTCATTTTTTAGCTTTAAGAGCAAACATGAACTTTTCAGTGAGTGAATGAATAAAAATCATAGGGGAATTTTTTTTAAAAATACAACAGTGTGAAGGAAAAGGGAACTATGTAAGTGAGGGAGAGCGAGTGGGTCCTCTCCACCCTCTGCACTTTGTTCCCTTCCCATGGTCCTGTCCCAGGTCTTTATTGTACTTGAGACTAGCTTTCTGAGCCAGGAATAACCCAGGGAGCCTGGCAGAGCCAGGAAAAGTCACCTCAACATTTCAGGGTCTGGAAGGCTCAGGAGGAGTGGAGCTGGCTCTTGAGGAGGGTGGAGATCTCCTCAGTTGGAAGGAAAGATGGCTGGCACCAAGAGCAGAGGCCCCCAAACCAAGCTGCATCCCAAGATGCTAGAACTGGGACCACCTGCACATCTGAAAGAGGTCACAGGTGTGAACGCTACTTTGCTCAGCTGGTGAAGTACTTAAGAGACTTCCCCCACCCCACTGCAAAGGCTGCTGCTATTACAGTTATGAGACACCTGTCCCATTTCACTCACTAGACTGGTAACTCTTTGAAGGTATGACTGTGTTTTATTCTGCTTGGGTCCTTGGAAGGCCGAGCTCAGTGTCTCTAGACCTCATAGGTGGTGGTTAACACAATTTGTCAGATGGAACTAATCACCCTTGCTGGTGATACAGCCATGCCTGCCTGATAATATATGTGCTTTCTGCCATGAAGTAATATATTTTGGAAAACAATATTCACACATTTTTCTTTTTTCCCCCAGTAGCAGGCCTTTGCTTAGTAGTGTCCAAAAGATGCTCCATCTCCTTTATAGGTAGAGTTAAGGCCTCTCTCATGCAAAACCGGACTCTCTGGGTCTCTTTGTCCCACTCTCCTAGAGGACTGATATGCACAAAGTTTTCTTGCAGTGACTGGGAGATCCCACCTGATCCTCATTAAGGCAGAGTGGGGTCAGGAAGGAGGAGGGAATGGTGTAGGGGAAAGAAGGGAAAAGATCATCCCTGTAAGCCCAGAGATGAGGAAGCAATCTAGAGGAGAGAGAGGGATGGATGAGAGTGTGTCTTCTGTTAGACAAGTTGAGTAGAGTGCCAACAACTCTGTCTGGGTCTCTGTTCCCTGTCACTAAGCACTGACCACATGGCAGACACTGGGGTCCCTTCATAACTGCAGCCTGAGTCCAGCTGGGCCTAAACTGGGATTCAGAGGCTGGTTGGGTTGGTTCCCAGTTGTTGGGGCTGGAAGTTTCCTCAGCATGTGTTTAGAGTTGATATGCAGTGGAAGGAAAAGGCCTTTAAGAAGGATAGTTAGGCATGATTCCCAGAGGACAGAGACAGAGTTAGAGAAGATTGCAAGGTGTTTGGCTCTGCAGGGGAAGGCCAAGGCCAGTTTATGTAGAGAGGCTGCAAGCCGATGCTGGAGGGGTGGTTTTCTTTAGCTGCAGAGCATAAGCAGAGTCCTTCTGATCTTAGGTGTGACTCAATATGGGGAAGAGTCGTATCCCTGATTTTTCATGAGGCAAGCTTGGCTTCTTCAGGGACTGTGGCCTAGAGGGGCTGGGATGCACTGAGGTGGGTAAGAGAAATGTCCTAAAGTAATGTAGGCATTGACTGTGAGCAATGTGTGTGTTAATACTGCCTCATTTATACCCATCGGCTACTGAAGCCTGGAGATATTTGAGGCACAAATGCTTTATCCCATTTAATTTTCATTATAACCTATGACATAGGCATTATTATTCCAACTTTCCTGATGAGGAAAGTGAGACAGAGGCAAGGCTGAGTAATTTGCTCAAGTGACCACATTAATAAGTGTTTGGACCTGGGACTGACTTCAATAGGCACCTCTCAGCTACATCTCCAATTCTGCTTCCCAGAAACCCTGCTTGACATTTCGAAGACACACCCACTTGGGTTACTGGGGAGGCTGAGCGCCCTCTTAAGGCAGAAGTCACGGGGGTAAAACCATGTCCTCATAACGCCTTTGGTATTTTGGAAGGAATTTTAGGCTTTATGAATGATGTCTTTTCCCAGGGAGACATTTCTAGCATTCTCTGGGGAGATAACAAAGGACCAGCTAGGGAATTAGAAGAACCCTAGAGTCCCAAGAAAGGGAGTCATCACTGAATGACAGCAATGATGCTTCCTTTTGGAGCTGCAGAGAACTTTATAGTTTCTAGAGCATTTCCTCTCATATCAGTTCATTTGGAAGTTCACACACACACACAAAAAAAAACCTCTGTGAAGCAAAAGCTCATATGTCCATTCTGCAAATGGGGAATGAAACTCAGAGAGCTTCAATGACTTGCCCAAGACCACAGGGTTAGGAGAATCAGGCTAGAAACCTGGTCAACAGAAACCCAGTTCAGGATTCCTTCCCTTTAACAGGTACTCCCTTGAACCATGGTGGGTGACTTATCTTCATCTAATGGAGGCTGGTGCTGTGACTCAGCCAGCCAGAGGTCCAGACATTAGGGTGGTGCCTGAAGATAATCAAACATTCATATGAGAGACATGATCCAGAGTGCAGTACCAGCCACAGAGCAGCACCACCTTCATTCAAATCCTGGCATTTCATAGACATAGAGGCTGATTATAGATTAGTTTCCCGAAGACTGATACATGAAAAACTAGTTTCACCATGAGAAGAAGCCTGTGGTCATGTAATACATATTGTATCCTTTATCTATTAGAGTAGTGATTCTTTTTTTTTTTTTTTTTTTTTTTTAATAGAGACAGGGTCTTGCTATGTCCCCCAGGCTGGTCTCAAACTCTTGGCATCAAGCAATCCTCCTGTCTCAGCTTCTCATAGTGTTGGCATTACAGGCATAAGCCACTGCGTGATGCATATTGAAGGCTCTGTAATATCTTTAAGAAAAACAGAAAACAAAAACAAAAGCTGTTTGACTGTTTAACTAAAGGTTTCCAAATTTATCTGAGCACAAAATCTTTTTTTTAAGGTAATACTTATTAGCAGCCCATGGAACTGCTAAGACCAACTTGTTTTCTTAAGTCGCTGAATTAATGGGTTGATTTTATGCCATGTGGGCAGAATCTTGGAAATGTTTTATAGTTTTATATTCAAGCCTGAAGCCTCAGGAGATGTCTGTCTATCTATCTATCTATCTATCTATCTATCTATCTATCTATCTGTCTATCAAGTTGTAAAGGGCAGTGCATTTAAGTAGGTCTTGCTGCTAGTTATTTCATAACTTGAATACTCAGGGATAGATTGTGCTCATGCAAGTATGCTAAAATTCATAAATTAAAAATGGAAGCCCATTGTAATATTAATAAGACTTTTAAATATTGGTTAGTTTCCTGGTAATTCATGAAGAATAAATGTCAAGGAGAGCTATGAGTCTGTCTGCTGTCGCATGATGGCATACAAGGTTTGAGAAAATGTATCCCTTGAAGGTCTTAGAAATGAGCAGGTTGACATTTTATGCAGGTCATTTATCATCTTCCTACCTATGGATTACAGCAGACACTTGACATTCATGTTGATTTCCTGAGACCTTATGACTCCCTTAATTGGCAAATACCACTGGAGCCAATCATTTCCCTCATGAAACATTTTAATTCTGATCCAAACTATCATGTTCATGGAGGGCTTCATTTCTTCCTTCTCATTCATCCCCAGGGCCATTTTGAACTTGGTAATTGACAAAAGAGGACATATAGTTATCAGGTGGGGGCCAGACTTCTGCACTAACTGAGTAACTCCAGCCTCCATGTCAGTTTTGCTAGGAGATTTGAATTTATGTTTCAGAAAAATGGTGAATGCCCACATGCCATGGACTGTTGAAGTTGTGCATAATTAGCCCAAACTGTGAATATAAATCTGCAAATGCCAAGCATCTTCTTTTGTGTGGTTTTTAGACAACTTCCATCTTCACCATGAGCTGGGAGGCAGGAGGATAATCTGGCTTCAGGAAGGAAGAAAATGTTTGTAGTTCTGGGAACTCCAGCTCATTTTTACCACTGCCTGACAGCCTCCACAGCAGGGTTTGTTTGAACCCCAAGGGAAAGGATATCTCAGCAGCTTCAGGGAGTGACTGCGTACTTTGGTGAAAAGCCCCAGCGAGCTCTTGGTTTAAGCTAAAAGGTGAGTTTTCCTGAGCTGAGTAAATAGTATTGTACTGTACTTGAAACTGCAGCCTGATTCTCCCAACTTCCAACAACACTGTGCTTTCTAATATTAATCTCAAAGGCCACCTTTCCCATGAGTCATCAATTTCATCTTTGAGCTCAGAGTCTTAGGCAAAGTTGTTTTTCTTAAAATTTGTGATTATTATAATATCAAAGTAAAAGGGCAGGAAGATTTTATCAAACTTGGAAACTCTCCCTGGATAAATTTCACAGATATATATATGGTTGTTGAAGGCACAAATTAAGACACACACAAATTAAGATAATCAGGAAACAGAAGGAATACCCAGAGGCCAGTCTGGGGGCTTTAAAAATACCATTCAGTTTTGATCAGGTGAAAAAGCTTAAAACATTAAAACCCCTCAAAGACCAAACAGCTCCTTTGCTTATGTGGAAAGCACATTGATATTTAAACATGTGGATCTCTGGAATGCTTTAATTTTCATCAGGATGAGTAATGTCATCTAATAAAAGAGCAGATTCTAAAGCATCCAGAGTAGATCCAAAGTGGGAACATAATTTACTTTTGCTCCTTATAATCTTAATCTGAGTAGCCACTACAGGTCTGAGGGCTACTGGTGACCACAGCCATTAAAGACACTTGGATGTCTATTGAGGAGGTGGCATGAGTTTACTTTTGGGAAAGTCTACTTGAGCTTCCTTAGGGCTTTCATATGCCTTTGGAGTGCAATTCTTCTATAAGCCTCCCAGGGCTGTTGATCCCATAAGCTCTTTACATTAATACATTTTCTACACAACTAGTCCTCAGGCACACAGAGGAAGCTCAATAAATGCTTTTGAAAGATCTGAGTTTTATGTTTCTCGAGAAGACTTGGGAACTGTGTTGCTAACTGATAGGAGCCCTCGCGGTGACATTGTCCCTGCCAGTGGGTTGAGGCTGAAGATGTCTTCTGCTGTCCAGGCTCAAGGCCTGCTCAGGAACTGACTCATGCTTCTGCTCTCTCTCCTGGTGGGCTGGGGGCTGAGGTGGGAAGGGATGGTGGAGGGGATCCTAGCAGCCCTGTGAAGCTGACAGCTAGCTCCCTGTCTAAAGAGAATCTGGGTGTCATCATGGTCACCCTGTGGGAACATAAAATAGACATGAGCAAAAAGCAAGGCCAGCAGCCCCGAGAAGAGAGGTGAGATGGGAAGACCAGGAGAGATGGGGGAGCTTACCTTCTTGACTTCATATTTAATGGCGAGTTTGATCCGGCTCAGACTTGGACGGTGGTGGTCGGACCAGACTTGGAAGTTCACATCACCGTTTAAAATTGCTTCCACCTCTTCTGTGTCTCGGCACAGGTCCAGCACGCCCACTACAAAATCCTTGCATTGCATAGATAACTTCCTGTAATCGTTCTAACAGAATAGAGAGAAATCAGCGGTATGTCACATGGAGGCCCGCAGATTGGCTTGCCCAGCATAGCAGTGTCGATCAGCAACTGCTCACCACATGTGACCTTATGGAGCACATTGGATGCACTTATGGAACGCAGCAGGATGTGCTGGGTGCAGAAGGCGGGGCAATTTCTCTTGACACGTGACCTGAAGGACATTTTCTCTAGGTCAGCATGTGTGAAGGTGTGGTCCATGGGCCACCTGCATCAGAGTCACCTTAGCTGCGTGCTAAAGTTGCAGATTCCCAGGTCCCACCCTAGACTTACTGAGTCAGAATACCTGGTGGTGGGGCCAAGAAATCTGTCTTTTAACTTTGCTCTCTAATGATGTGGATGCCTGCCACAGCCCATCCTGGGCTCTTTCAAAATGGCATTTTTCTATGCCCAATTCTGAGTCAGTTCTGAGGGAGGAATAATAAGGACATGAACTTTTAGGGCTGATGTAAATAACACTTCGCTCATTTACCACTGATCTATATTGGTGACTGCTGCACACAGGAATTTTACTGGAAAGATGGATAATATGCTAAAATTGGAAAAAAAAATTGCACAGGTGTGCTTTTTTGTGTGCCAGAAAATCGGCTTGTAAATTATACATTTAAAAATCAAATGTAATTTAACTTTAACAGGATCTTTTCTTCCTAGAAATCCTTTTGTATGGCAAATCATGGCTCCTTAAATCACCTGCCTGTTGAATAAACATTTTTAGCCCTTGACCTTGTTGTTGTTGTTTCGTATTTTTAATGAGCTGCTTCCAGATTTCTCTCTTCCTTTCCCTAGGTATACCTGTCTGAATGTCTTTGAGAGGCTAACTTCCTTTCCTAGTGACATGTCAACTTCTCTTTCCCCTAAACAAACTGCTTAAGTTCTAGATAATGATCCAAAATGTTGGACAAAGAATGTTTGAGGTTACCTCATACCTCTCCTCCCCAAAAATATTTTCCCTCAGAGGCCTCCTTGCTGGTTTCTTAGTTGAAAAGAGTCTATTCAGAAAGTACACAAGAGCCAAATGTCACTTTCAATGTTAATCAATGTCAACAACCCTCAGACTGCTAGATAGTAGTTGGTAAAGAGGACTGTGGTTGTGCTTTTCCAGAACATGGATTTTTCAGCCAATAGTTGGAAGCCTGGCAAACTGCAGAAGCTCAGCCATTTTTCTGAGTTAATGATTCTTATCTCCTTCCAGGGTTGCTGTATCAAAATGTCACTTTGCATTAGAGAAAGAGGTAAGTAACTGCTTGTTTGCTGGGAAAAGGGAAAAGATCAAGAAAATATTTTCAGGTGAGAGTAGCTGTCCTTCATTTTTATATATAATTTAGGTAGAAGAAGGGAGTTTCAGAAATTCTGGGTGGAAAAATGACCTCTCGGCTCAGGCGTGTAAGAAACTTTTGGGGTTCTAGGTTTTGGTATCTAGCACAGAGCTGGCCTGAAGTGTTAGGATTGGAAGAGCCATGCTCTACACTCCTCCAACCCTAACACTCACCCATCTGCCATTCACTCATTCATTCATTCATCACTGAGAACCTACTATGTAGCGGACAATGAAAAATTAGTGGTGAACAAGGCAAGTCTCTGAGTAGTGTGAGGGAAGAGGAGGGGCTTGAGTTCCACCCTCAGATTTGCACAAGGCTAAGTGAAACTTGCTCAGATCTTTTCCTGGCTAATATATTCTGCATAGCACTGGTAAGCCAGAGGTAGGAGGCTCAAGGTACACTGGGCTCAGCAACATGGACAAGGTGAATCACCTCACCACATGGACCCATTCAACTCTGGCATCTCCTCTGTGGCAACTCAGGTTCCTTAAATTTCTGGCCCCAACCCCGTAACTTTATTACCCCTTTTCTGAGAACAAGGAATCTCTGGATGTTAATGCCTGTTACCAGTAAAACAGACACTGCCCTGTTGGCTAGAACATACCTCATTTCTTGATGGAAACTCCTGCCTAGAGCTGAAGTCATGGGTGGGTATAGGAGAGAAAGTGAAAAGGACTTGATCCAGCTCTTGTCCCAGGCTCCCCATGCTAGGAGCTAGTCAGGCTGTATTGCCCAGAGCTTCCTCACATATCTGGGTTCAGTGCAGTTCAGAACAGAAGGTGACACTTCATTAGAGACTGTCACTTCCCTGGGCTCTTTCAGCCAGCCTGCCATCAATAGGAGAGGCAACAGAGCAGCCAAAGCAGGTAATTTGCATTTTTCCTTCTGCATTAGACACTTGGGCTGGAAGGCAATAAGCGTTCTGCTGTCTGCAGTTGGCTAGAGGGGATAGAGAGAACCCAGGCCTGCGAGGAAGAAGATGACAGGTACATGAATGGAAGCAGAGAGGGCCATTGATGAACATCTCTTGGGAATTGTGATGATTATAAGTCATTGAGCCAAACCTGAGCTCAATTAGCCTTCCAAGACACACTCCTCACTGTAATTGGAAGGAGATGACATACACCCTCCAGACTTCATAGGTGCCCTTTACATTTTATTTTAAATATTCCTGAACACTGAGGTCTGCCAGATCTAATGGGTGACAGGTGCTCTACCTGCATTATCTCATTCAGTCCTTATAAAAACGCCACAATGGAAGGCTGATCACCATTCCCAACTTCCAGATGAGTAAAGTGAGACCAGAGAGATAAAGTAACAGGCAGATCTACGCTCTTCCTTATATCTGCCACTGATCTCTAGGTCCCTCTCTCACCTTCCTTGGATATTTAGCCTGTCTCACATCAGTCTCCCAACATGACTGCATTGTTATTCTTGATGGTTTCACTATCTTGGAAGATGACCCTCACATTCCCTGCCCTTTCATTTCCTTGACAGCCCATTTTCTGATGACCTAATTCCCAACTCAAACTCAGCCATTGACTCTCTTAGTTATTCCAATAACTGCAGATCCTTCCCTACTGCAACTTCAAGTGTCCCTTCTCCAACTACCACCTCCTATATGTCCAGCTCACTCCCTCTAGGACCCCTACTCCAGCAATCCTTTGATTCCACCTTCCTTACAGCCACTGACTGTACCTCCTTTTCACTGTTGTTTTTTTTTTACCCACCTTATGTCACTGTCTCTCTCCTTGCAGAGCTGATATTTCATGGTCAATGAAATGGTCTCTTGTCCTTCTTTTATTCCAATGTCCCCACTGGATAAAAGCCTGACCTTGGTTGGGTCTAACTCTCTACCAGTGTGTTCTTGCCTCTGCACAGTGAATGTGGCTGAGAACACACAGCTGATTATTGTGCTGTAAACTCACTACCTCCAGCCTCAAGTCATCCTTAGTGCTCTTGGGCAGTTTACTCTCCTACTCTCCTAAATAGTCATTTCATATATTCTTCTTTCCTCAGTCCTCTAATATCTCCTTCTCCTCCTCTCAGATGAGGACCTTATTTCCTATTTTATCAAGAAATAGAAGTCATCAGAAGAAAAGTCCCACATGTTCACACCTACATGTGTCTCTGCTCCTGCACTCTGTGTTCCCTCCTCTGGCTGTGAATGAACTGCCCCTGCTCCTCTCCAAGACCATCTCCTCTGCTTATGTGCTGGATATCAACCTCCTTTGGCTACTCAAGGATGTGGCAATCTTCCTTTCTCTCTCCTGAATTCTCATCTTCTCCCTTTCCCTACTTGCTCATCATACAAACATGCTGTTGTTTCTCTTGTTTTAAAAAGAAATTTCTCTTGACCCCACTTCTCCCTTCAATGACTACTCTAATTTTCTGTCTAATTTTATAGCAAATCTCTTTAATAGGGTTGTCTACATTCATGTCTCCATTTTGCCCTCCTTGTACCCTTTCTTGTCCCCTTCAGTAAGGCTTTCCTCTCCACTGACTACTGTGACTTTTCTTGTCAAGGTCATAAATCACGTTCATGTTGCTAAATTCAATAGTTGGTTCCCAGTCCTCATTTTACATGACCTACCAAGTGCTTTAACATGGCTGATCACTTCCTTCTCCTTGATACATACTCTTCACTTGGCTTCCAGAATAACATACTCTTCTGTCTTTATCTTTTTTCTGAATGACTACTTTTTGCATTCTTTGTTAATTCATTTTCATCTCCCTTACAATTTAATTTTTGGAATTCCCCAAACTGTGTCCAGCCATTGGAATTCTTCTTTTATCCATTTACACTGATTGCCTTATTGATGTTTTCTAGTGTTATGAATTTCAATACCACCCATACACTGGAGAGTCCAAAATGTGTATCTTTCACCCACCTTTCTTCTCCGTATCCAATTACCAACTTTATATCTCCACTTGGATGTCTAATAGGCATTTTGAACCTCATAAAATTAACTCTGGATCTAGTCTCCTACCTTATTTAGTATTCCCTATTCTTTCAGTTGTCCTAGACAAAAAAAAAAAATCTTGAATTTATCCTTGATTGCTACCTTCCTTTCATAACCCACATATAATTTGGTAGCAAATCCTGCAAGTTCTACTTGCCAAATATATCCATACCCTGACCTCTTTTCACCAATTTTACTATTTCTACCTTGGTCCAAACCATCATAATGTATTGCTTGGACTAACCCTAGAAACTCCCAACTGGTCTCTCCGACTCTGTCCTTGTCCTGTGTAGTTGATTCCACCAGGCAGAGGAATACTTAGAAAAAGTAGTCAGATCCTGGGACTTCTCTGTACACCCGCTCCAAAGGCTCCCTATCCAAAGTAAAAGTGGGGTCGTCAGTCACTGATCTCTGGGTCACTCTCTCACCTTCCTTGGAGATTTTAGTTCCTGTCCTACATCATTCTCCCAACATTACTGCTGTTGTTATTCTTGGTGGTTTCAAAATCCTGGAAGATGACCCACTACCTACACTATCCTCCAGCCTCCCCATTTTCTCCCTGGTTTTATTTACTGGGGGTCTCCCCCGGATTCAGTCTACTCCAGCCACTCTGGTGCCCCTGCTATTCTTCAAACACACTTAGTGTGGACCAGACCTTTACACTGGCTATTCCCCTTGCTTGGACTCCTCTTTCTCCAGATATCTACATGAACAACCCTTAAGCCTTCTCTGACTATCTTTTTAAAAAAGTGTGGCTCCTCCACTCCTCATTACCGTTCCCTGCTTTTCCTTTCTGTTTTCTTCATAGTACTTATGACTGCCTGATGTACTATATATTTTACTTATTTTTATATTTATTGTCCATGTCTCCCACTAGAATATAATTTTCTTGAGGGCATGGATTTTTTTCTGTGTCATTCACAAATATATCCTGAGATCCTAGAACATTTCCTGGAGCATGGTGGGCACTCAGTAAGTTACTTGTTTAATTAACTGGAACAGTGAACTTCCCTAAGTTGACACAGCTACTAAGTGATATAGCCAAGATTCAAAACAGGTTGGTCTGACTCAAATCCTGATCTTTCCCTCTCATCCTGTTGCCTCTTGGGGAGCAGCGTGTTTCCTTCTATTTGGCACACTTGAGGCTCAATTGTGCTGACTCTCAACTAACTTGGGGGAAACAAAATGTGGGTAGGGATAAGGATATATGAATCCCTGACAGATTCTATAGTATAGTCAGTAAGTGCACAGGTTTTGCAGTCAGGAGGACCTGGAATTGGAATTCTTATTTTACTACTTGCCAGTTAATTGATAAGTTTCCTATTGATAAAATTGATAAGTGGAGAAAGCCATTTAACTCTTACGCATCGCAGCTTTCCATCTGTACTAAGGTACACACTGTTCAATCATTCGGAGAATTCAACACCAAACTCATGTCAAATGCTCAGGATAGTTAATAATAAATAACACAAATAACAAGATAAAAACTTAAAAACTGATAATAAAAATAAGCATGTAAATGGCAATTTACATGATTTCAAACTCCTGATCTCTTGCCATTTGTGGTTTATAATTACCGGAGTGGGAGTAAGACTGGCTCATGGGTAGGAGGAAAACAAAAAAATACTGGATAAACTCTTGACTCATCTTTCTTGCACTCCAGATAAAATCTGTAAATTGAAGTGCCTTACAAATGGACTGATGTACTATATAAGCTTTTGAGACTGGGTCCTTTCCCTCAGCTTGATCACTTTGAGATTTATCCATGATGTTGCATGCATCAATAGTCAATTTTTCTATTTCACATCCACTATATGGATGTATTAGTTTGTTGATCTATTTACTCACTGAAGGACATTTTGTTGTATCCAGTATTTGACATTTGGGAATGAAGAAGAAGGCTGCTATAAATATTCCTGTACAAGATTTTTTTTTTTTTAAGACGGAGTTTCACTCTGTTGTCCAGGCTAGAGGGTACTGGCACAATCTCAGCTCACAGCAAACTCTGCCTCCAGAATTCAAGCAATTCTCCTGCCTCAGTCTCCCAAGAAGCTGGAATTACAGGCACCTGCCACCAAGCCCTGCTAATTTTTGTATTTTTAGTAGAGACAGGGTTTCACCATGTTGGTCAGGCTGGTCTTGAACTCTTGACCTCAAGTGATCACCTGTGTCAGCCTCCCAAAGTGCTGGGATTACAGGCATAAGCCACCATACCTGGCTAATATTCCTGTACAAGTTTATTGTGTGAACATAAGTTTTTTATTTCTTTAGGGTAAATGCCTAGGAGCGGGATTGCTGAATATACAGTAAATGCATGTTTAACCTTGTAAGAAGCTTCCAATTTGTTTCTGGAAAGGTTCTACCATTTTATATTCTACTAGCAAATTATGAATGTTCTAATGCTCCATATTTTCACCAGCACTTGGTATTGTTAATTTATTGCCTGTTTTTATTTTCATTTTTAGAGTTGGGTCTCACTATATTGCCATGGTCATGAACTCCTGGGTTCAAGAGATACTCTTGCCTCAGTCTCCCGAGTAGCTGGGACTACAAATGCAGGCAACTATGCCCTGCATGTCAATTTCTTTTCTGTGTCATGGTATCTCATTGGGATTTTAATTTGCATTCCCTAATGGCTAATAATGCTCCACATCTTTTCCTGTGCTTATTTGCCATCTTTGTATCTTCTTTGATAAAGTTTATATTAAAATCCTTTGTGCACTTAAAACATTGTTTTTAAGTTGTTGAGTTTTGAGAGTTCTTTATATATTCAGGATACAATTCCTTTTTAAGAGATAGGATTTGTAAATATTTCTCTTAGTCTGTGGCTTATGTTCACATTCTCTTAGTAGTATAGTTCAGAGAGCAAACATTTTTAATTCTGATGAAGTCTGATATGGTTTGGCTGTGTCCCCACCCAAATCTCATCTTGACTTGTAGCTCCCATAGTTCCCTTGTGTTGTGGGAGGAACCCAGTGGGAGATAATTGAATCATGGGGCGGTTTCCCCCATACTGTTCTTGTGGTAGTGGATAAGTCTTACAAGAGCTGATGATTTTGTAAGGGAAAACCCCTTTCACTTGGCTCTCATTCTTCTCTTGTCTGCTGCCACGTGAGACGTGCCTTTCACCTTTGGCCATGATTGGGGCCTCCCCAGCCATGTGGAACTGTGAGTTTATTAAACTTCTTTTTTTTCATAAATTGCCCACTCTTGGGTGTGTCTTTATCAGCAATGTGAAAACAGACTACTACAAAGTCCAATCTATTATTTTGTCTTTTTGTTATGCTTTTTATGTTACAATTAAGAAATCTTTTCTTAATGCAAGGTCATAAATGTGTCCTCCCCTGTTTTCCTCTAGAAGTCTTATAGTTTGTGTTTTAAATTTAGGTCTACCACCCATTTTGTGTTAATTTTTTGTATATGATGTGAGGTGTAGGTTGAGGTATCTTTTATTGCACATGGATGTTCATTTGTTCCAGCCCCATTTGTTGAAAAGATTATTCTTTCTTCATGTAGTCTTTTTTGCACATCTGTCAAAAATCATTGACCACATTTGTATGAGTCTATTTCTGCACTCTCTGTTTCCTTGATCTATATGCTTATCCTTTCACTAATTCCCACTGTCTTTATTTCTGTAGCTTTATGTTATCTTAAAACTAGGTACTTTGAGTCCTCCAGCTTTGCTTTTCTTTTTCAAATTATCTTGGCTTTTCTCATTCCTTCCCTTTACGTATAAATTTAAAAATAAGCTTGTTCATATCTACAAGAAGTTCTGCTGAACTGTGTTAAATCTATTGATCAGTTTGGGAAAGAACTGACATTTAAACTCTTTTGAATTCTCCAAACCACAAAGATAATATGTACTTCTCTTATTTAGGTGTTCTTTGATTTATTTCATTCATGTTTTATAGTTTCCAACATACAGTTTTCACATATGTTTTATAAAATTTATATCTAGTATTTCATTTTTTCAGCTATTGGAAATATTTACAAATTTTTCTTCATTTTAATTTTCATCATTATATATAGAAATGTTGATTCTTGTGTGTTGTCCTTATATTCTGTGACCTTGCTAAACTCACTTACTAGTGCCTTTAGATTCTTTGGGATTTTCTACATAGACAAACATGTTGTCTGAAAATATGGATTGTTGACCTTGAATAAACACCTAGTTCAAATGTATTTCTTAAAATGGTGAGAAAATGCTCAGAAATGTGCATTTACATTGCTTTGAAGATTGATAAGTTTTTCTTTCTAGGAACAAAATTTTGTCAACAATTTTTTGCTGGTTTTTAACCCAAATTAATGGCTCAGAGCTTTTTATGTAGTCAATTCAGTAAGCAGTTTTGTAGCATATTCACTATTTATTTCTTGCTCTCTGTTCAACAGAGGTATTAACTGAGATTCCTTAGTTCTCAACTATTTGAGAATTTCTTTTCTTTCCTTTTGATCCATAAATCTCCCAAGTTTATTTATTATTGACATGAATTTCTAGCCCTAATATGGAGGATGACTCCAAACCATCTATCAAGACATGTTGATACCTTTAACTTTTGATGATAGGGCCATTGTTTTGATAACATCAATTTCAGGAAATTATTAGTTTGCTTGACTTTCATTAAAAAGTTCAACTCCTCAATTTTTTCAAAGGTATTGACAAACTTAAATTAGAAGAGAAAGAGAAGCTCATTATCCTGATCGGTCAAAAGTTAAATGAATTTCTCAGAGAGATGTTGTAGAGACATCCATACAATACAGGATAATTAACACTCATTCCTTAATGGAGATCTTAGAAATTAGATTTTAAAAGAGTGTGGACTTCAAATTCACTCCCCCTCCCTCCCTTTAGGGCTGCAGTTATGGGGAAAGAATGTTTATGGAAAGCTCCAATTGAAATACTAGTGGAGCTAAGTCAGCAGATGTGTACAGCTGTAAACCTGGGAGATATTTCTGCTTTTGACATTTAGGATGAGTTTTTTTTAAGAAAGAGTTGCACTAACAGTTTACATAAAAGTGTTTAAAACATTTTAATTGTTCATTAAATTGTCACAACTATTCTGTAGAGCTGATAGTATTATTATCCCTAAATAAGAAGACTGAAAGTTGACCACTGGATTGAGCAAATTGGAAGTCGTTGATCACCTTGACTGGAGCAGTTATGGAAGAGTGGAGGACATGCCTGGAGAGAGCTAAGAGAGCAGAACAGGTATTGTGCCACTGATATCGACAGCTCTTTTGAGGAATTTTATTGCAAAAGAGAGCAGAGAAATGGAAAAGTAGCTGATGTGAGAAGTAGGGTCAAGAGAAGCTTGTTTTTTCCCTTCTTCCCTCTCTCCTTCCTTCCTCCCTTCCTTTCTTCCTTCCTCCCTCCTCCTTATAGGAGAAACTATGATATTTTGTATGCTGATGGGAATTTTCTAGTAGGTAGATACGCTGATCATTGTCTATGATATCAGTAGATCATTACATTAATCCAGTAGTTCAGAAGCATATATGAGGGAGGATTGAATATAGTGTATTGAGGCAGGAGAACAGGGTCTGGAGGCAGGGAACTTAAGGCCAATTCATGCTGAATCAAGGAAAACATCAAGGTCTAGGGGCAGATAATCAGAGGCCAATTTGTGCTGACTTCCTAAAAGAAAAAACACCAAGGTCTGGGGGCAGGGAATCTCAGGCCAATTTGTGCTGACTTCCCAAAGCTGGATCAAAAGGAAAACACCTGGGTCTGGGGGCCGAACACCTAAAGCTTCTTAAAGCTAAACCAAAAGGAAAAACCCCATCTCTCCACCTGAGTAACAAAGGATCAAAGGCTACTCTCCCTACAACCCTCTCCCTTCCACCAGTGTCAGATGGAAAGGGAGAGTGCCTGGGATTGGTTGCAGGCCAAGGCAGGACCATCCCTTCATCTGCACAGGGCACCAATTCACATCAGCCTTTAATTAGCCACAGACCAAATCCTTCATGCAGATAAGGGGCAGCTGGTAAGAACTGAAAAATGAGTGCTTAAAACCCAGAAAACTTTGTAACTGGGCCCTTGAGTCACTTGCTCAGGCCCATGCCCACCTTGTGGAGCGCTTTCTCACTTTAATAAATTGCTGCTTTCACTGCTTCATTACCGTATTTCTTTCCTCTGCTACTTTGTGCATTTTGTTCAATTCTTTGTTTAAAATGCCAAGGACCTGGACAACTCATTGTCAAGACCCTCCACCACTAACAGTATGAGTAGAGGAATACATGTATATATAGAATCACATATGGTTTAGCTACAGTAATAGGAGGAAAGGTCAGTATGTAGGTGAGGATGCTATTCGGTGGGTGCATGGATGGTGGGGTCCTGTAGACATTTTCCTCCTGTTGCTTCAATTTTTTCTTTCAGTGCAATAGAAATAAAAATTATCAGTTGAAAGTAAGAATAGGGGAAGAGGTGGTGGAAGTTTGGGGAGAGGAGAGAGTAGATCTGAAATAGCTTTTAGGAGAAGATGAGAAGAGATGGATTAGAAAAACCGGATATGATTGCTGGAGAACAATAGAGCCCATTTGAAGTTCATGGTCATAAATTTAGAATGAGGTCAGTTAATGTGGTTGTTTTTTTTCCTAACCACATTCACCTTCCTGGGTGCTAGCATGGAGCAGATAGAGAATTATATTTTACCAGGGTTGTGTTTTTGCCAAAGAGTGCAACAAGTCAAGAGAGGGGCAGAGGAGCTGAAGTGTACCTGAGGGAGTGATCACAGTGACAGATCATGGAATTGAAGCTGATATGAAAGGAAGACAGGACTTTGATGGGGAGAGGGAAAGTGAAAAGATGGCTTGATCAGTTCTGAGGTTAGAAGACCTGGGGGGAGGTGAAAGATTGACAGAGTTGAGGCATTCAAGGGAGATGGAAAAACTGGAGTCAGAGAGTGTGATGTGCAATGCTTAGATAATGGAGGGTTTGCATTTATTGGTCATGGCAAGTGTTGGCTCACATAGGCTCTCGATGACTAAGGTACAGAGGAGGTTAAGACTGCTAGAGGAGGTAAGTCCATAAAACTGAGCCAGCGTGTTGGAATGATGACCTGTGTATATATTGAGGTGCCAAGAATTTAAACAGCAAGAACCAAAATTGTGATAGAGTGACCCAGTGTTGCAGACTACAACAATGAGAGATAATGGGTGATATAATATGTTGAAATATAATTCAAAGGTAGATGTTCTTAGAGAGGAGAGAAAGGAGAAGAAGAGAAACTTCTTTCTTGGAATTGGCAAGAAACAGCAAGGGGGATGCCCACCCCATCTCCAAGCCTAGTGCTCTGAAGATTGGGGGCAAAACCACCTCCACTTGAAAGGGCTGCAGGAACACTGTGTCCTCAGGGCAGCCAGTCTTTAGAGAGGGCAAGAAGGTGGCACATCGCTCAGAGAAGGGGTTCAGTGATGGGGGCTTTGCTGAGGAGGGACTGTGACTTCCATAGCATGAAATAGGAGAGCATTTGGAGATGAAAAGGAAGGTATGAGGATGGAGGAAGGGATCTGACAGTCTTCTGGAGAATCACGTGCAGGTTCTGAGGGGTGACTTGGGAGACAGTGGCTTCCCACGGTGAGGACCCATAGAGGGATTAAAACGTGTAATTACAGGATGTTGAGAGGATTCAACGCGGTAAAGTGGGGAAGCACACAGCCCAATGCTGGGCGCACAAGTCACCTTCAGTACCCTTTGGCTAACACAGGACTTAGAAGTTGCATCTTGCCCAAGTGTTTTCTTTCTGCACATCCCCAACTCAGCTGATGGGTAAGAAAGCTCTGGATGTTAAAATTTAACACACATGGCTGAATTTTTATTAATTAAAACTGGAATCATTAAAACAATTAATAGATGTGAAATACTGGGTAAGAACCTGAGCCTAGTGCTCGTTATGGCAGATGAAAATTGAAAAGCTTCAATCCATGTTTTAGCTTCCATGGATACAATTAATTGTTTCATTAACCTTCACCGTATCAATAAACTCATGCTCCAAAGGATCAAGGCAAGTACCCTTTGGCATTTCATCTCCATTTAGGAATGCAGATCCAAGGAAGGTGGTTCAAGTTTAGTGCAGAGACCGACAACATTTATTGCCTCAGCTTTCTCAGGGGGATTTAGGCAACTCCTGGGTCCTCAGAGTCCAGGGTTCTGCCCCAAGGGTAGAGCAGGATAGGGCTGGCTCTTTGTCTCAGTGATCCCCTGAGAGGTCTGACACTCCAGCTCTGCCACTGGTTACCTGCTGCTTCCCTGACTTTATATGCTCTCTGCAGGAGGCTTTCCTTTATTAATCCCAAACATACTCCCTGCTTTTCCAAAGGGATCGCTGTGTCCTAAGTGTTTCAGCATTCAGGAAAGATGGCTGTGCATTGGTGATCTTAGAATTTTTCGTCACAGGCCTGATCAGTTTTTGCATGAGAAGGATGACTGGGTGGTCAGTATTTGGGTTCAAATCACAGCTCTGCTGCATCATGGCTGTATGATTTTGAGTGTATAACTTAATCTCTCTGTGTGCTCTAATTTAGTCTGTATAATGGGGCTGATAATGCCATCTACTTTATAGGGTTGTTGCAAGGAGCAAACTGAAAAAGATAACCCAAATAAGGTGCTTCACACAATATGTGGCAAGTATTGACCAATATTATGATGACCTAGAGTGTATAGGTTAGCAGAGAGCATAAGCACAGATAACTTGTCTATTTGGGGGTTGATCTTCAAGTGCCTCATCTAACAAAGCTGGCAAACCTCCTCATTGGATTTATTTCCAGAGCTTCACCCTGTGTGAGTCCCAAGGTAGAAGGTGCAGGCAGCAGGGAAGAAGTTTGGGGCACAGAAATTGGGGCAGGGTCCTGCTCACTTACCCCTCAAGTGCAGGCGCCTGGACGCTGAACACTGAGTCTGCAGGTCACTGCGCACCACCTTCCTCAGCCAGGCAGTGCTGACAGTGCTTCTGCTGGCACATTGGTCTCCAATCTTGTTTTTTGTTTACTTAATTGTCAGCTACTGACATTGTGAGGGGCCCATAGCACATTGACATGGCATTTGTGAAATCCCAGAAGTAATGGATTGCTCTGCTTGTTGTTTTTTTAACAAGTCCCCTCTGTTAGATTCAGAGGCTTGCTTGAGGACAAACACTGTCTTTCAAGGAAACGACTCAGGTATTTTATTAGCAACTCAGGTATTATATCCACTAATTCAGCAGACATATTTGGGCACCCACTGTATGCCAGGCACTGAGAATGTAAACCTACTAAAAGAAAGCCCTTGCTCTGAAGGGTCTCAGAGTCCTTCTAGAGACAATACAAGTAGCCAGATGAGGACCACAGGGTGATGTAAGTGCCTTGCGACAGGGTTGGGGCATGCTACCTGAGTTTCGGATATCACGGGGTTTCCAAAAGGAGGCAGAGTATGAATTGAGACCTGAGGATGAACAGAAGCTAGCAGGGGTAAACAGGTATGAGGAGAGGAGGTGGCAGGGAATGGACATTCCAGGAAGTGGGACCAGCAAGTGCAACAGGAAGAGATCATGTACAAATGTGTGGACTGTGATGAATACGAGCTGACTTTAATCACAGCATGGTCATATGCGTAAGTTATGCACATAATTCAATATTTTATGTATTTCTCATAAATAGGCGTGGATATGCTTATTTACCAAGAAAGGAATTCATGTGCACTCTCTGCACATCCTTAGCCAGGTTAAAGATGCTGCTTGGTTCTCTCTCGTGGAACTCCTGGAAGAGCCTCTCCTCAGCTTTCTGCTTTTCCTGCTGGTTCAACTGCGGTAAAACTGGGAGTCAGGTTTGCCTATATGAACTTAGTCTTGTCCCCACAACCCACCCCTCACAGCCACCCAGCATTCTCTGTTTTCTCTCTCTCTGACACACATACACATACCCACACACCACCTTATCACCCACAGGTTAGTGCTCCATGGTAGAGTGCTTCCTATAGGCCGTGACTCAGAGAATCCTTCAGGACATGTGAGTTGAAAGAGAAAGAGGGACCTTTGGGAAGCCCTGTGGCTCACATACATGGAAGCAGTCCCACCTGTCCCCTGCCCACCTGCCCCGCCCCCACATGGGGGTGGCCAAAGCATGATTGATTGGTCTGTGCACCCATTAGGATGTAAGAAAATATTAAAAGATATAACTATTGCTGTTATTACTGCCATTGGTTATCATTTATCAAGTGCTTACTATGTCCAGGCTCTGGGCTAAGTGCTTTATATATTTATCTCATTGAATTCTCATGACAAACCTAGGAAATATATACTATCATCATTTTTGTCTTATGGACAGAGGAACCGAGGCCCAGAGACTTTGGTGGCAGCTGGGATCTGGATTTAGGTATAGCTCACTCCAGAGTCCATGATCCATGATCGTAATACTGGTAAGTACTCATTTGCTAGAAACACTGACTGCCCTTGTAGTGCTCTAAAACCCTGAACATGCCCTGAAGGGCAGGTGTGGGAGGAGCATTCAAGGACCTCTCTTTGAAAGGGAAGAGAAAGATGAGGGCCTCTTGTTAAAAGGCAAAAGTGCTGAAACTTTAGGTAAAGCAATACCCTGTGTTTACACACCCGAGGGAAGGACAGGAGATGAGACTGGCTGAGCTCTGGGAGCTGAGTCCACCCCACGCTAAGTCACCAGCAGGTGTGTGGCAACAATTGGAAAATCAGGGTAGGAGTTGTCTCTAATGGAACAGGCGGCTCCTATTGCTCTCAAGGTCCTAAGCCTCTTAGCAAAGTGCCAGACTCTCCACTCCACCACACCCTTTTTGGACTCTCACCCGGAGATCATCACCCCCTTTCTGAAATGAGTCCTCCAGCCCCAGCTGCTATCACTGTTTCCATGGTGAGAGGTTATGGGAATGGGTGGGTAAGCAGAGGGTTTATGGAGTCCCCCCGCCAGCAGTGGCTGGGGGAAACTTGCAGCTCATTCCTCAGGTATAGAGAGAAGAATGTGGTGGGATGAGGCTGCATTGCTCATGCCAGCTAAATTCCAAAGGGGGTAGCATGGTGACTGCTGCTCTGAGTGCACTGGCTTTTAACAAGCACATTTTCTGGGGTGTCTTTGCCCTGTTGGAGCTGAAGCACACATAACAGCTACACAGTGTTGCAGAATTAAGCACTCTCTCTACCTGGATCCTTCCAAGGCTTCATCCACAAAGTATGCCTAAGCCACTTTTGCCCAAGGATTGGCTCATGGAAGATCTCAAGTATACATTCATTTACTCATTTAATCAACAAAAATGAATAGAGCATCTAGGGTGTGCTGAGCTCTGTGCCAGGGCCCTGGAGGTACAATGGAGAGTGAGGCAGGCATGGTCTTGCCTTCATGGAGCTGACAGACCAGAGGAACACGTAGATGATAAAGGTCCTGCAGTTAAGTGGGATGAGGAACTCTCCTTTTAGTGCAAATTAAACTTGAGTTCCTTTACATCCAGCTTCATAGTTATTCCTGGGGAAACATTTCTTTCCAAATAAACCCAACTGGTAAGCTGCAGTAACTGGATATAATTCTGTTAGCTCAAAAGCTTGAGAGGTTTCCAGAAATCCACTTTTACAAAGTTGTTCCGCTCAGTTCAGCATGTGCTTACTGAGCCTTGTGTGCGCCAGAGCTGTAGCCGGCACTGGAGATTCTAGGAAGAGTGAGCTGGGTTATTGCTCACCCAAGGGGGAGATAACACACAAGTCAGTCATTTCAGTATTCCCTAGTGAGAGCAAGTCACTCACTCACCAAGTATTCCCCAGGTACCCACTCTGTGCCAAGGCTGTCCTAAATCTGAGATACAACCATGAGCAGAATGGACAGTCCCTACTCTCATGGAGCTTATATTTTATTGGGGGTATAGGAACTGCAGAGGTAAGCAGAGGGTTTATGCAGTGGCTGGGGGAAACTTGCAGCTCATTCCTCAGGTATAGAGAGAAGAACGTGGTGGGATGAGGCTGCATTGAGAGAGAGTGCTATTTTATATAGATGTGAACCAGGAACTCCCTGATGAGGTGATTTTGAATAGAGAGTTGAAGGAGGTGAAGGAGAGAGTTACCCAAATATATAAGGAAAGAATATTCCAGACAGAGGGTCCCCGTGCTAAGAGGAAGAAGAGTACAAAGCCAAGAGAAAGTGAGTGTCTGGGGTTTTTGAGGAGTAGCTAAGAGGCCAGCCCTAGGTGCAATGTGGGTAGGAGTGGAACAGGAAGAGATGAGGCTAAGGGAGCAGCAGGAGCACGATGATCAGAGCCCCGACAGGCACCTGCACGGACTGTGACGACTGCAGCTTTTCCTATGGCGAGATGGGGAGGCACTGACTGGAGGGCTTCAAGGAGGAGAGTTGACATATGATTTATGCTGTAAGAGGATCCCTCTGGCTGCCAGGATGGAAGAAACTGTAAGGGGCAAGAGCAAAAGCAGGAAGAGCAATTAGGAGGCTATTGCAATTACCCTGAGGAGAGACAAACGTGACTTGGACCAGAAGGGAATTGAGTAAGGAGAGGAGGAGTATAAAATTCTGAATGTCTTTGAAAGATAGAACCAAGAGGATTTATTGATGAATGCTAAGTAAGGAAAAAACAAACAAACAAACAAACAAGAATGAATCTAAGGTTTTGGCTTGAGCAACTAGAAAGATAGAGTTACTATTTGTAAAACATGCACTAGGAGAGGTTTCACAATTGCTTAGCAAATACTTCCTCTCTCCCTTTTTGTCTCTATGAGAGAAACACACTTTCTTCCCCATTGATGTTGGGTTTGGTCATAGGACTTGCTTCAGCCAGCAAAATGTGGGTGGAAATGATAGCATATGTGTTCTAAGCCTAGGTATTAAGAGGCCTGCATCTCGCAGTTTTCTTTGTCCTTCGAGGAGCTGCTGACCACTGCCAAGAGAAGAATGTGCCTAGGTGGCCACTACTTATACATCTTGGGCCCCAGAATGAGATACATAGAGCAGCCTCCTCCACTAACCCTCAGAATTGTGAACATGAAAATAAATGTTAATTGCATAGACTATTGTGTTTTGGGGTGGTTTGTTACACAGCCTGACTGTGGCAGTAACTCACTGATAAAGGGAGGAAGGTAGGCTCAGTGCTTTGGGACATCAACATCAAAGACAGGCTCTTAGCCCTATCTGGGTGCTCAGGGATGTTGCCCCAGAGGTAATAAGTTGTTGCTGAGTCTGAAGGCTAAGTCAGTGTTTCCCAGTTCAAGAGGTTGGAACAGGGCATTCCAAGCTGAGGACAGCGTAAGTAAAGGCACAGAGGCACAAAAACATGATATATGATTATACAGGGAACTATGCAAGTAGATGTATAGGTTGTCAGAAGACGAGTTAGGAGAAGTTAACAGGAGCTGGATCATGGAGGATTTTGTATTCTTGTGTAAGGAGATTGGACTTTATAACATAGGCAGTGAGGGCCACGAAAACCTTTTCAGCAGGAGAATATCATGGTCTGATTTATATTGACATGCTGTCCTTCTGGCCTTATGTGGAGGACAGCTTCAGTGTTTCAGATTTCATGGCCTGGAGGCAGAAGGATAGGTAGAATCTGTTGGAATCATCTGGTCAAGCGCAGTGGTGGTAAGGATACAGGGATGGAAATGGAAACATTCAAATTTTAATACCAGCAGGATTTAAAGTACAGGGAGAAAGTGAGAGCTCAATATGTGGCATGCTTGGAACAGCAAACATTGGAATGGATTTTCCTAACATGTTAATGTCTGATGGAGTTATAGATGATTTTTCTTTTCTTCTTTTATACAAATTTATTTTCTACAGTAATCATGCATTGCCCATATAATTACAAAAACATTTTGGATATGTTACAGTGTTTAAATCTGACTGTTTTCCTTTGGATCAAGTTTGCTGAACCCTAGAATTTCAATGTTGGAGAGGGATACCCACCCTTGATGCTCTCTTGGCCAGGGTTGCTGTCTTCTCTGAAAATTTGATTTTTTTTTAAAATAACAAATTGAAAAATTATCCAAAAAGAGGTTCAGAGTGAATGTGACCTATGCATCTTATTTGTACTAATTTTATACTGTGAAAACATTTCAGAGAAACACTAATTCAGAATTGGCATCATCAGATAACATGCCCTTCCAGAAGATTGTGTCATGACTCATCTGATTATGGATTCAGAGTAAGAAATGTGCATGAGACTCATTTAAAAGAGTAATTAAAGAGCACCATATGTATAGAAGTGACTTTTTAAAAATTGCTGTGATTGCTGAAAATGCTATTGATTAAGATGGGCTAACAGCTAAATGGCGAAGTAGCAATTAAAAAATGTAGATCCCTGCTAACAAAAAATACAAATCAAGTTAGGCAAATCAGTACTTGTGATTTCTCTGCTCAAGGAGCACAACACACATTTCACTTTGGTGCTTCTGTCCATTATGTTCCCAAGTCTGGGCTGACACTCCTCTTTGTCACCTCTGAGAACTCTACTCCTTCTCAAGACAAGCTCAAAAGCAACTCCAGGATGGCTTTTCTGTATCCCTGAGGAAATCCACTCTTTCACGCTCTGGGCTCCCACAGCCTTTTATTCTTTGGGTCCAATAGCCCTGTCAAAGTGCTCTCCATATTTTTAACACTTATACTTTATTCATTTGTAATTTCAGTGCAGAGAATAACACACTACAAGACTTAATAAATGTTGTGTCAATTGAAATGACTTAATACATACTCTGAGTCAAGTATCTTATTTATAAGGAAGCTGAGGAACAAGTAAGTGCTAGCATGTGGCTACCAGGGAATTGATCTAGAAGTGGTAAGAGGGTATACTTGGCTCTAAGAGATGGCCTTGAAGCCAAGGCTGACTGTTCAAGGCCCCTTATCTTGTATATAGGTCACTGTAGCAATTTTCTAAAAGCCCCGGGAGACATAGGTAAAAGATGAATAAGTGATTGCATTTAAATAAGTTTAAATATAATCAGGAAAATCAGATTACAGTTTTTTGCTTTAAACTGATTTATCCAATGAATTACTGGATAGCCCTTGGAAGTAAGATTGATATCCACTTTGTAAATGAAGAGACTGAGGCTTGACATGATTCCATTGATCTCCACACCTTCAACAGACACCTATCTGCTGACAATTCCCAGGCTTTTACCTCCAACCTCAAACTGTATTCTAACGAGCTGATTTGAACTCCCAAGTGGTCATCTACCCTGGTAAGTCCTGCAGACATTTCAAAATCTGCAAGCTGAACATGTGGTGCTTACATCCAACATCCAAACCTGATCTTCTGCTTGCTGTTTTAGGAAATGGAGTTCCCTCCACTTAGCCCTTGGAGCTGGAAACCCTATGTTCATCTTTGTCTCTGCCAATTAGTTACCAAGAGCTTTGGATTCTAATCTACAGTGTCTCTTATGTCTGACCCCTTCTCCCCATACCCACAGGCATGGTATTAATTTAAGTCCTTATCATTTAGTGTGTAGACTTTTGCAGTGGTTGGTACGTTTACTGGCAACAGTCCCATCTTCCATCCAGATGCCAAACCATCATTCCCTTCATTAAAAAGCTACGAGAGGCCAGGCGCGGTGGCTCACGCCTGTAATCCCAGCACTTTGGGAGGCCGAGACGGGCAGATCACGAGGTCAGGAGATCGAGACCATCCTGGATAACACAGTGAAACCCCATCTCTACTAAAAATACAAAAAAATTAGCCAGGCGTGGTGGCGGGCGCCTGTAGTCCCAGCTACTCGGGAGGCTGAGGCAGGAGAATGGCGTGAACCCGGGAGGCGGAGCTTGCAGTGAGCCAAGATCACGCCACTGCACTCCAGCCTGGGCGACAGAGCGAGACTCCGTCTCAAAAAAAAAAAAAAAAAAAAAAAAAAGCTACGAGATAAAACTCAAGCATCTTTATTATCAAACCTCCACATACCTCACTAACATCAACCCCCTTCCCACAAACCCAACTTCCCTCCTGCCACATCTGTCCACTGAGGACACTGAGCCCGGTCACACCTCTGCACATCCTCATTCTTCTGCCTTTATGTCTTTTTTCTCTTCTCCACTTGCCAAACTCTTACTCATTCTTCAAGGACCACTTTAAAATGTCTCTTCTGAGAAGCTTTCTCTCACGTTGCAGGCAGTTCATTGCTGTCTCCTCTGTGTTCTCACAGTATTTTGCTTATACTCTATTCCACTGTGATAATCTCTTTACACTCCGGTCCCCCACTTGCTTTGAGGACAGGGTCTGGAGCTCATTTTCACCGGCAGCCCTAATACCTGGTACAGTATCTGGCACACAGAAGGAAGACTACCTTTTGTGGGTAACTATTTAACCACTCTCAGTCTATTTCTTCACCTGTAAAATGGTAATAAAAATCTCTCCTTAAGATTTCAATTCAGATGTTGTTTATGAAAATGTTTTGTAGAAATGAGAAGCAGAAAGGGCTAGGGAAAGGAAGGTTTTTTTTTTTTAATATATATACTTTAAGTTCTAGGATACATGTACACAACGTGCAGGTTTGTTACATATGTATACATGTGCCACGTTGGTTTGCTGCACCCATTAACTCATCATTTATATTAGATATTTCTCCTAATGCTATCCCTCCCCCTTTCCCCCGATCCCAGGACAGGCCCCTGGGGTGTGATGTTCCCTGCCCTGTGTCCAAGTGTTCTCGTTGTTCAATTCCCACCTATGAGTGAGAACATGTGGTATTTAGTTATCTGTCCTTGTGATAGTTTGTTCAGAATGATGGTTTCCAGCTACATCCATGTCCCTAGAAAGGACATGAACTCATCCTTGGGAAAGGAAGGATTATTAAGGGATTATTTAGTCTAAGCATCTGCCTTTATTCATCAGAAAGATGAACCACAGAATGGTGACAGGACTTGGCCAAGGTCACACAGCAGTTCACATTGTATAGCCTGGGTCTGCTGACTCAATGCCATTTCCTTCCACCTTTCTGATTCTGGAGGCTCACCTATTAAGGCCCCAAACTAGTAATGCCTTGAAGGATCTTCTTTTATGATGCCATATCATCTGTGACAAAGGCCATGTCCTGGGAAGAGTCTGTCCACAAGGCTTCAAGCTATTTGGTTCCCTTACGTAACCTCTAAAATCTTACTACCATGAGAAAACTCCTCAAATATTTGCTTTGGGTGATGCACAGACTCAACAGTATGCTTCAAATCTGGTTTCTAAATTTGCAGTCTTAGAGGAGATACTATTTAGAGGAATAAACTCTTGCTCCTGATTTTTTTAGCTTAATTAAAATATTTTCTCTTCCTGAACATTTCCTGGAGCTCACTTTCATGTTTATGTTAAAATATCTGTTTTAGGGCCAGGCGTGGTGGCTCACGCCTATAATCTCAGCACTTTGGGAAGCCAAGGTGGGCGGATCCTGAGGTCAGGAGATAGAGACCATACTGGCTAACACGGTGAAACCTCGTCTCTATTAAAAATACAAAAATTAGCTGGGTGTGGTGATGAGTGCCTGTAGTCTCAGCTACTCAAGAGGCTGAGGCAGGAGAATCACTTGAACCTGGGAGACAGAGGTTGCAGTGAGCCAAGATTGTGCCACTGCACTTCAGCCTGGGCGACAGAGGGAGACTCCATCAAAAAAAAAAAAAAAAAATCTGTTCTAAGGACAGAAGACTTCAAATTTCCAATGTGCTATGAGAAAACATTGGGTGAATTATTTAGAGTATGAACTTCAAACAAAATTAACAATTACCAGAGAAGAGAAGTTGTCATCAGAAAGACTCTTGGTCCAGCATTCCGAAATGAGATGGAAAAAGGCCCAAACCACTGTTTTCAAAGAGTATGTAGAAGAAGCTGGGAGAGCTATTAACTCAACAGGCAAAGACCTAATCCCCATCATGCAGAAGGCTGGCAGCTGCATGCTCCTGTCCCAAGAATGCAAACATGACCTCTCACCTCCCAGGTCCAAACAACTGCATTGTGAGTAAGTGCGTCGTATTCTAACCATGGGAGGGAATGGTGGGGAGAGAGAGAGAGAGCAGCGATACTTAGCATTTCAATGTGGCCCTTCTGAATTTTCAAAGCATTTACCAATCAGTAATTAGCAGTCTCACTCTGGAGCTGAAAAAAACAGGACGTTATTGTAAATTTCACACTTTAGGTATGGGAGATGGAGAGATCATAGTAACGTAAAAGACGATCACACTACTAAGCATTTGGGCAGTCGTTTTCTGTTTGAGAATTGACAGTACTTAGAATATGTTCACACCATTCTTACATCACTGTAATTTTAGAAAAAGGCATATAATTTTATCTATTTTTTTCTTAGTTTTCTCAGATCTTACAGCATACTGCCTCTACAATAACTAGAGCTTGTATCTCACCTCTCCAGAGTTCTTGACCATATAGGGAGTATGAAAAAGTATAGATGGTACCACATCACCTGATCCACTTTATTGAGAGCTGGTGAAAAAGTACATAGTGTCCTATCGCTCAGGCGGGACATGTTTTGAAAGAAAGCCCAAGCCAGATATTCAGAGTGTTTATCCCTATACTATGTTTGAGCCTGTGACCTTTATGTCAGATACTCATCACCTAGTTTATGAATAGAAAAGAAAGAGAGGCACACTTAGTTCATCAATGCCAAGTGAGATTTATGGCTTGTTGCATCTGAATGATGGAGATTTTTTCACTTTTCAATCAAATGCAGTGCTCTCAGTTTTCTTGATTGGCATTAAATGGGACCCTATCTTGGATCCCAGGGCTACAATGGCATTTTCCAGCTTCTTATAACTCATGGGCTGTTGGGAGAAAACAACAACCATGAATTGTTACCACTCTACAGCCTAAAAACCAAACACGAAAATCATCCAAAACTTGAAAAAAAACCACAAAGATAAATGAAAAATAAACTGAATGTAGATTTTGACTTCTGTTGTGGCTGAAAAATACGTATCTGGGGTTTGATGGGGAAATGAGTAATCACTTCCACTGGCAACCATTTTCATTCTGCTTAATAACATTAAGTTCTTTTCATTGATATTTTCAGAAATGGGAGTCTTAGACTATGCAAATGGAATCAAATCTTGATAACTACCTGAAGGAGAAGAGGAATGTTTCTATTATGTTCCATCTTGCTACTAACCTCACAGGCTGGCTGTTCTTGCTCATTCCTGGGTATAAGCTAAGCCAACTATGGGAGGAATTGGTTTACAGTTTAACTTTAAAACAAGATGATAAGAGTCCCTTCCTGAAACTAACCCCCTCTTTGCTCAGGGACCAAAACTGCCTTTGTAAACCTAATAAATTGGCCACAAGGTTAGAATTATGGTAGGGGCCTAAATTCTGTTAGAAGGCAGGCATAGTTAAATTCTAACCAGTCATTGTTTTATCATTTGTCTTTTTATAACTGCTTACTGATCAGGTGTCATGTAACTGGAGGTTATTTGTAAATTCCCCAATTGGTCCTATAGATAACATCACTATTGTCAAACCTAAGACTAATGTTTGAGATCTTTTTCAGACTTTTGCATTCTGGTGACCAACTAACTCCACTTGGACCTGTGACTTATACCAAGAAACAGACTCAAAAGGTCCTGTGTCCCCCACCCAGAAATGGACTCAGTGCATGAAGACAATTTTGACATTCCTATGATTTCATCCCCAACCTATCAGCAGTACCCATTCTCTAGTCCCTGCCCACTAAATTATTCTTAAAAACCCTAGCTTCTGAGTTCTTGGGAAGACAGAATTGAGAAATATCTCCTGTCCTTCTGCTCAGCAGCCTGGTGATAATTAAACTCTCTCTACTGCAACAACAACAACAACAACAACAACAACAACAACAAAGTGAGAGGATGTCCTCTTTATAACAGAATAAATTTCAGAGGAATTAAAAATAAAGCCATAGAAATACTAGAAGAGAACTCAGGTGCATTAAAAAAATAACCTTTGAGGAATTGAAGTCAGTACATCAAAGAGAAATCTGCACTCCCATGTTAATTGCAGTATTATTTGCAATAGTGAAGACAAGGAGAAAACTAAAAAGCCATCAATGAATGAATGGATTAAAAAATGTGGTATATATACACATTGGAATACTATCTAGTCTTACAAAAGCAAGAAGTTCTTGTTATTTGCCACAACATGGATGAACCTAGAAGAATTATGATAAGTGAAATAAGCTAGGCACAGACAAATACCACATGATTTTATTTATATGGGATCTAAAATAGTTGAACTTGTAGAAGTAGAGAGCAGATTGGTGGTGGGTGGGGTGGGTAAGGAAATGGGAGATGTTGGTTCCAAAGTACAGAGTTTCAGTTAGATGGAAGAAATAGGTTCTGATGATCTATTGCACAACATGGTAACTATAGATTATAATAACATATATTTAAAAAAACTAAAAAAAGGACTTTAAGTATTTTCACTGTAAAGAAATAAGTATTTGAGGTGATTAATATCTTAATTAACCTGATTTGATCATTATATAATGTATACACATATGAAAACATCACATTATATACCATAAATATATACACTTATTATTTACCAATAAAAATAATTGTGGAGTAGCCTTTTAAAGCATGACATGAAATCCATAAGCCAAACTGAAAAAACTCACAAATAAGAAAGCATAAAATTTGAATAAATTTTCCGTTCAGAAAAGAATACCATAAAGGAGATAAAAAGACAAGTTGAAAAAATATTTGCAACACACAAAATAGACAAACGTCGATTTTTTTCATAAAATACAGTAAAAACAGTAATGAGCCAAGAAAAAATGGACAAAAGACACCGGAAGACAATTCACAGAAAAAGAAATACAAATGAACATTAAATAAGAGTTGTTTAGTCTTACTTATAAAAGAAATTCAAATTAAAATGGCACTGAGATACTGTTTCTCTCCTACAAAATCAGCAACCATTTAAAAATTTGCTAACACACACTGTCTGGAAGGAAGTGAGGAAAAGAGACTCATTCTCTCTGTCAGTGAAATTTATGATTTGAGGCTGCCTTCTGGGAGGGCAATTATCAATCTCTTATATAGTTTTCAGTGCCAGTGCTCTTTGACCCAGCGACTCCATTTTGGAGAGTTTAACTTACAGATGTGGTCACAGAAGTACAGAAAGTTGTACATATTAATGAGGTTTAATATAGAACTGTTTATTAAAACAGAAAACTGGAACTAGCCTAAAGTTCATCAATAGGGAAATGATACATAAATTACAGTGCATCTATCTTGTGGAACACTACAGCTATTGGGGAGAAAGAGGTAGACTTGGACATGCTGATGTGGACAGATATTTCTGCCAGATTTTATTATTAATTAAAAAAAAGCCAGTTGGGAACTGAATGTGGGGTATATTTTAATAATTTTAAGGCAAAAAGTAAATAAATTAACATATATACATATATTTACATACACATACATATACATATATATACACACACACACACACACCTATGTATAAATAAAAGATTTATGCCCAGATATAAAATAAATTATTAATAAGGCTGAGTCTGGGAATTGACACTGGGGCAAAGAGAGGGTTAAGGAAGAGGAGCTTACTTCTTGCTGTCTATTTTGGGTCCTATTTGGGTGATTTTTCATATCATATATTCCTTTGATTAAAAAATTGAAAAGAAGATGAATGATTTCTTCATTTATCCCTTATTCCTGTACAACAGTCGCTATTCAGGTAATTCAAGGAGAAACCAAACTCTTGGCTGCTCCAGGCTTAGCTCCTGCTTCTGACAATGAATTTTTCAACCAGTTACAGATCCAGCAGCAACATGGGATCTCAGATTATTAGCACAGTTCGGTTCCTGTCCATATTGTGGCTTAATTCACCTGAAATATATTATGCATATCTGGGCCATGTTGCTGAAGTCGTTTTAAGAACAAGTCTCTGATCTTAGCCCTCTTCTCATTAATTTTTAATTCCAGCTCCCTCTTGTTGATCCTTAGGAAATACAAAAAACAGCCCTTACCAATTTTTTTTTAGTAGCCTTTCAGGTAATTTATTCATGCCTTGTTGGCTTTCTCCATCCGCTACTCTACCACTTCCTTTCTAACCCCTAATGTGTAATTTTCACAGGCCTTTTAAGTGTTTTTGAAATATAGCCTCAACTAAGAATGGTAAAAATTCCATCAAGGTAACAGGACATGAAGCTGCCTGGGTCCTGCATGGTCCCCCCAGGGGCTGGGCTGGTACGTAGATGTGAGCTCACATGCCTCCCTCTGTTCACCAAGCCCATCCTGGAGAGCTGGCCAAGAATATCAAGAATCCCAGGGATCTGTATTCAGTTCTGCTGAGGGGTGCAGACTGCTGGGTGTGTAAGAGAAAGATCCTCTTGAAAAACGAGGAGTGTTCTTCTTCCTTCTAAATGGATCTTCACTGACCCCTGAGAGTAGGGGTTGTGTTTTGGAAAGAATGGCTGAAGCTGACCTATGGAAGCCAAGTCTGGGCCCAGCCATCATCTGTCTCTCCCTAGTCAGGGATCAGAACACCTTATCCCATCTCCTGCAGACTTGACCCTGCCTCAGTCCCTGGGGCCTACCCTCATCTTATATTAGGCTGCAGAAGTTGCTCTATGGTGGAAACACACTGGATTGTGAGATTTGGTTTTATTGATGGTGACACTATATTTTCTAGGAATTGATGTTTATAAAGTGTTGACAAAACATGGGAGGAATGCCAAAATTAACAATATTCAGTGAGAAAAGCAGGATTCCAAATTACTATACAGCCTTGTAACAATTGTTTGAGACAAACAAATCTATGCACAGAAAATATAACTGGATCTCCCCACTTCATCATAGGTCACAAAACAAAGTCCTATGATGAAACTGTGGAAGAAAGAATGGAGAAATAGTCAGATAGAACACTGGAATGGAATAGAAAACAAAGAAACAGAAACATGTATTTGGGAATTGGTATGTGATAGAGGTGGATAGAGATTAGTGGGGAAAAGTTAGATTATTTAATGGATGAAACTGGGAAACTAAACATACAGAGAAAAGCAAAAACTGAAACAAACTCACTCTGTATACAAAAGCAAACTCCAGCTGTACTAAGGACTTAAAAGTGAATGGTAAAGCTAATGAAAGTAATAGAAGAAAAAAAAGATGTAATATAGAATAATTCTTCATAACCTTAAGTGGGAAATAATTTCTTAACAAGACTAAATGCATAAACCATTTCAAAAGCAAGGTTTTCTGTTCAACAAAGAATGACAGACAAATATAACTGATGTTGGGGCCCAAAAATGCTACTCCAAGGCACTTTGAACTGAAGGAGATTGGTAGGGCCTTAGTAGTAAGAAGGTCACTCTGACCTTCCCCAGCCTTTGTGAGAGATGTCCTTGAAATTCTCTGACCTACTTTGCTAGAAAATAGGAAATAAGATCCTTAATCCAAAAGGGTCCTTCCCTATTCCTTGGGGGAAGGAATACTACACAGAGAAGCTGAGAAGAATCTGAACAGACAGGCCTTGGTCTATTACAATTAGATCATACCCTTTTGTCTAATCACATTTTTACATGGCTGTCTGTTCTTCAACTAAACTAAGCCTAAAAATAGACATTTCTTCCTGGGTCTTAAGGTCTTCACTTCTGAAAGCATCCATGTCATGTAAAACTTTGTTAAATAAATTTATGTTTTTCTCTTGTTAATCTGTCATTTGTTACAGGGGTGAACATTGTGACAGGTGATGGAAAAGGCATTACTCCCTTTTTGCCCCTACACAGATGAGTGACACACTGGGAAAAGATATTTGCAATGTCTGAAATAGAGAAGGAACTAGTATTTAGAATACATAAAGAACACTTGCAAAAAAGGTATTTTTAATACCTCAAGACAGAAATCCTGTTAAAAAGTGGGTAAAGCATTATTGTGTATATACCCAAAGGAATATAAATCGTTCTACCATAAAGACATACGCATGTGTATGTTAATCACAGCACTGTTTACAGTAGCAAAGACAGAGAATCAACCTCAATGCTCATCAATGCTAGACTGGATAAAGAAAATGTACATAAATACCATGGAATACTACGCAGCCATAAAAAATGAGATCATGTCCTTTGCGGCAACATGATGGAGCTGGAGGCCATTATCCTAAGCAAACTAACACAGGAACAGTAAACCAAATACTGCATGTTTTCACTTACAAGTGGGAACTAAACACTGAGCGCAAATGGACACAAAGAAGGGAACAACAGACGCTTGGGCCTACTCAAGGATGAAGGCTGGAAGAGGGTGAAGAACAAAAAACTACCTATCGGGTAGTTTTTACCGTGGTACTTATTACCTGTATGATGAAATAAACTGTAAACCAAACCCCTGTGACATGCAATATACCTACGTAATAAATATGCACATGTATCCCTGAACCTAAAATAAAAGTTAAAATTTTTTGAAATGTGGGTGAAGAAAAGATCAAAGTAGGCAATTCATAGAAAGGAGAAACCTACATGTCTAGACAGTATAGGAAGTGGTCAGCCTCACTAGCAATTAGAGAAACACAAATTAAAATGACTTTACATTTCTCATACTGGCAAACATTAGACAGCAGCACGTGGCACATCAAATCTCCTGAGAGAGTGTAGACTAGGGTGGGTCTTCTGGGGATTAGTCTGCTGTGTTCACTGAACCTAGCCATGGGTATTCCTTCCTGAGTCTAAAACACAAGAATGCTTGAATAGGATTGTAAGGGGGTATAGGGATGTTCTTTGCAGCCTCCTTTGTGGTAACAACAAGTGAGAGGCAGCCTGGATGTCTATCACTAAGAGAATGAGCCAGTCAAAGACTGTAGGTGCAGGAAATAGAGTAGTAGGTAGCAGACAGAAGCAATAAACTAAACACATGTGCAAGCACACACGCAAAACAACCACCATATTTTTTCATAATTTCCATTAGAATGTAAGCTCCATGAGGGCAGAGACTACAGGGTTTTGATGGTCTTTAAGAAGTCCCACCCTCTAGAATCTTGAGAACATAGTGGATGCAAAAGTCATATTTCTTGAATTTTTGATAGATACATACTTATACATCTAAATACATTAAATATATCAAAAAGGTTGCTTTTTGGAGGGGAAGGATAATGGAAGTAGGGATAAAGTATGAAGGGAAATAAAAATATGTTGATAATGTTCCATCAACTGAGTTATAGTATTAATTCAAATTTTTGTACCTGGAGGTTGGGGAGGATTAGGAGAAACACCAAAATATGAACTATTCTGGCCAGGCACGGTGGCTCACGCCTGTAATCCTAGCACTTTGGGAGGCCGAGGCGGGCAGATCACCTGAGGTCAGGAGTTTGAGACCAGCCTGGCCAACATGGCGAAACCCCGTCTCTACTAAAAATACAAAAATACAAAAATACGGGCGTGGTGGCAGGCGCCTGTAATCCTAGCTACTTGGGAGGCTGAGGTGGGAGAATCATTTGAACCTGGAAGGTGGTGGTTGCAGTGAGCCGAGATCAAGCCACTGCACTCCAGGCTGGGTGACAGAGCGAGACTCCGCCTCAAAAAAAAAAATGAGTCCTTTGTAGATTCTGGATATTAGCCCTTTGTCAGATGAGTAGATTATAAAAATTTTCTCCCATTCTGTAGGCTGCCTGTTCACTCTGATGGTAGTTTCTTTTGCTGTGCTGAAGCTCTTTAGTTTAATTAGATCCCATTTGTCAATTTTGGCTTTTGTTGCCATTGCTTTTGGTGTTTTAGACATGAAGTCCTTGCCCATGCCTATGTCCTGAATGGTATTGCCTAGGTTTTCTTCCAGGGTTTTTATGGTTTTAAGTCTAACATTTAAGTCTTTAATCCATCTTGAATTAATTTTTGTATAAGCTGTAAGGAAGGGATCCAGTTTCAGCTTTCTACATATGGCTAGCCAGTTTTCCCAGCACCATTTGTTAAATAGGGAATCCTTTCCCCATTTCTTGTTTTTGTCAGGTTTGTCAAAGATCAGACAGTTGTAGATGTGTGGTATTATTTCTGAGGGCCCTGTTCTGTTCTGTTCCATTGGTCTATATCTCACACACCGAGGCCTGTTGTGGGGTGGAGGGAGGGACAGCATTAGGAGATATACCTAAAGCAAATGATGAGTTAATGGGTGCAGCACACCAACATGGCACATGTATACATATGTAACAAACCTGCACATTGTGCACATGTACCCTAGAACTTAAAGTGTAATAAAATATATATATAAATAAAAAATTAAAAAAATGAACTATTCTTAGATGGTGGAATTAATGCTAATATTTTTGTTCTTCTGCTCTTCTATATTTTTTAAAATTCTATAATCAGCAGTGTTTTACTTTTATTATCCCCAAACCCAACACTTTAAAAGGTTTTTGTCATACTTGAGAGGGCACTGTCCCCAGTACCAAGTTTCCTCTCTCGGCTGCCCTCCCTCCTTTTATCTGTTCTGCTTTTCCCAACACCATGAGTGCGCACACACACATATGTACACATACGTGGAACACATACACCATGTACACATACAACACACACATGTACACATACACACAACACACACGGACACACACATTTATGAAGTTCCCATATCACTGGCTTGGTTTGTGCTTGGTCAATAACCAAGAAATTAATAACCTCCGGTTTTCTCCGGACTGACCTCTTAGTTAGGATTATCTTTGGCTTCCTAGAATATATGACCCATGGTATGACTCACTGACCTCTGGCCTAGTTTGCCCTACTGGAGGTCTTCCTGGATTCCTGGTCTCAGCCTTCACCAGGTTATCTCAACCTGGTGCTTACCCTAATGTACTGAGTTGAATAGCACCCCGCAGCCCAATGCATGTCCTTCCTGGTACCTCAGAATGTGACCTTATTTGGAAATAGGATATTTGCTGGCGTAACTAGTTAAGATGAAGTCCTATTGAAATAGGGTGGATCCTCAATCCCAAATGACTGGTGTCCTTATCAGAAGAGAATTAACATAGAAACACACAGCAAGAATCCTACTGCATTATAACAGAGGCAGAGACTGGAGTGGTGCGTTGACAAGTCAAGGTTTGGCAGAAACCACCAGAAACTAGGAAGAGACAAGGACAGATCCTCTCCTAGAGCCTCCAAGGAGGGCATGACCCTGCTAATACCTTGACTTTGGACCTCTAGCCCTCAGTACTGTGAGAGAATAAGGTTCTGTGGTTTTAAGTCACCACGTTTGTGCTACTTTGTTATTGCAGCACTCAGAAACTCAAACAACCACCCATACTCAATTGAGTATTTGCCAAATGAGATTTTGGGTGGCCAGAAAAGCCTTGATTGCACCCAGTCTCTTCTTGGCATGGCATTTTGAATGTCCAAAGTCCCATGAAGGCAAGGAAAAGGAAGGAGAAGGGGAGGTCTACTCCATATCTTTATTTATGCTAAAATGAGCTTTAGTTTAACATAAATCAGATAGAAGATTCAGTCATTTTCCTGTACCTTAATGAAAAATTTACTTAGTTCATGCAGCCAACAGAGAGAGAAAGATGTTTTTAGAATCTTGGAAATGCAATGGGAAGATTAAAGTCCACTGGAATCCTTTCCATTCTGGAGTTATCACTTCTGAACCCACTTTCCAATACATCCGCTTTGCAAAGAACAATTTGGCTGAGCCTGGGACACACTCTCTTCTAAGGTCAAGGTCAATTTTCCATCAAAGATCAAGGTGAAAAATTGGAATTGACATCACTCTCCTGTTCTCCTTCTATTTTACTGGGCTCCTGTCTTACAGGAGAAGTTAAAGAGCTGTCTCTGTTCTGCTTCCTGTCCCTATTCCTCTCCACTGCCTGGAGCACCACTGTGAAGCACTGAGAGGTCCCAGAGATAGGAGAAGCAGGGTCCTGGGGAGCTTAAAGACAAAACGGTGGTCCTGGAAGCAGCCAGGAGCCAGTCACCTGCTCCAACTGCGCTGTGGCTTCATCTGCAATGAAGCACCTGCTGGTGGAGATGCACTAGTCCTTCTGCATTCATATGTCACTCACCCCTTCCTGGGAGGGTCTCTTCTTCCTACATAGGCCTTCCAACTCTTTCCATTCTTGTGCTCTCCAGTCCATTTTCTATAGCAGGTAGAGTAGATCTTTCCAAACTGCATATATGAGTCACTCACTCACTTGCTGAAAACATCCGATGCCTCACCATTCACCCTACAATGAAGTCCAACTTCTTACACGGCCACTAATGGCAAAGCCATGGCTAAGGTCTCTTTAGCATCCATGTCACCTGCCACTTCTGTTTACTCCCTCCAGTAGATCCAGACCATGTTACTCACAATTCTCTGAATGGGCTTCTTTTTCTCCTTCCCTTCACTGGGCTATTTCATGTGTCATTTCCACACTCAGAGCCCTCTTTCCTATTCTCTGTTGTCCATTTATCTCTTTTATTCCATTGGGTTTCATTTTAGACATTGCTGTAAGCTGCCCCATTGAGACAACTCTTTTAGAATTGCATTTTTATTTTCTAGCACAATTGTAATGCTGTGTTTATTGGTATGATTACATGGAGGACACCTATCTTCTCCCCTTGACAATAAGGTCCTTGAGGGCAGGAACTTTATCTTGTTCATTTTATGTCAGCATCCAACTCAGAGCCTTGTCCAGACTAGAAGATTTATATGTATTCATTGCATGAATAGGGAATTTTCAGATGGCTCTGTTACTAGGGCCTGCCTACCTCTGATATTCTGTGAGTCTATAGATCTTGTCCCCATCCTGATAAATATTTTCTGTATTTAATCTGAGTGTGAATTTACTGCTAATAAAACATGTGCCTCCCTGCAGATGGTGTGTGCAGCATACTTGATTAATGCTACTCTACTGTGATTAATGTATATAGCATTGTAATTATTTTTTTCAGAGAAAAATCTCTGCATTGCCATTTGATTTAATTTGTGCTACTACTCATTGGCTAACATCCTCAAAGAACTGTTTCCATTTTCTCCATATCTCTGATATTTCAGACTGATAGTTGCACTTGTGTAGGAAATGATTTTTCTCAATTTTTTTATGTGTAGTGATGAATCTTTTCCACGGAGATATTTTTCAAAAAATAATCTCTGTATTTGTCAGGATCTCTGCCTGCCCATTTCCTCCTCCTCCTCTTTTGCTTCTCTATCTTTCCAGCCCATGTCGCCTCTCTCCACAGTAATATGTTAGCAGCACTCTAAGCTTATTCAGTTTTAGTGTTCTGCATTTTTTTCAATTGGAAAATATTCCCTTGGCCTATTTTTAACCATGGAGCTCACACGTACAGCCTAGTTGTTTTCTTGTGCTGGAAAAATCTGCTATGGGAATGGGAAGCTTAACAGAAATCAGCAAGACCCTCTGAATAGAGGAGGTGCTGAATTTTAAGCCGTGTTACTGGGAGGAAAAGTTGTGGTGCTGAAGATCCAGTGGGTGCTGAGAAACAGAGAGATCTTCATGGAGCTCTCTGGTGAAAAATTAATAGTGCTTATTGTGTATATCAGCTTCTCTGTAAGAAGTTATGTATTTTTTATCTCATTTAATCCTCACCAACACCCTGGGAGGTCGTTATTCATTAATTTGATCACTGATTTATTTGTCTATTTACTGAACTAATATTTACTTAATACTATATGTGCCAGGATTTTCTGGAGGTTAAATGGGATGAAGTGTAGAAATTTCCTAGCAACTTGATGAATGGCAATGTCACTTACAGAGTTGGACAGATTAGGGTAAGAGCAAATGTTTGGGTGGAGAAAACAAGTATTCCAGTTTGGTCAAGTTACAACTGAAGTACAGTCATGCATGGCATAATAGCATTTCACTCCAGAATGGACTGCATATATGACAGTGGTCCCATGAGATTATAATGGAGCTGCCCTATACAGGTATATCATTAAAAATTTTATGTGGTATTTTACTGTGCCTTTCCTATTGAGATATGTTATATACACAAATTCTGACCACTATATTACAGTTGTCTACAGTGTTCAGTATAGTAACATGCTGCACAGGTTTATAGCCTAGGAGCAAGAGGCTATCCCATATAGCCCAGGTGTGTAGTGAGCTGTATCATCTAGGTTTGGGCAGGTACACTCTGTGATGTTCACACAGTGATGAAATTGCTTAAGGATGCATTTCTCAGGACATATCTTCATTAAGTAACACATGACTGTATCCTACCCTCCATTTTTCAAATGAGGAAACTACCTTCCAATAGATGCCCAAGATTACATGGTTGGTAGGAGAGAGAGAACCAGGTCAGTCTGGTTCCAGGGCCAACCTCCTCGCTGTCCACTTCTCAGCCTCAAGGAGATGAAGCATGGTGCAATGGGTGCCCTCCAGGGCCTGCCCCTCTGCACTTGTCTCTTTTATCACACTCAAATAACTGTCACCCAGAGCATACAGTCTCCCTGTACCTTGGAGGCAGATACTCATGACATAGACCCTAGAAGAGAAACATCATCTAATTTTAGGCACTATTTGTGACCCAATGAAAAGTTGTTATTAAAGGACACATTAATTGACTCATTTTCCTGTGATGACTCATTAATGAATGGTCTGGGAAAAGCATTCCCCTAGACACTTAGGCAGAAAAATAGAAAAAAACAAAGCTAACATAAGCAGAAGTCACTTTGTCCCTTTTCTGGAGATAAGCCAGTCCCTGGGTCTTGCTCTCAGGTATGGGGTCCTGTGTCCAGACCCTAGTGTGGCCCTGAGGAAAGGCATGCACACTTTGACTACATTTCACCTGTGTATGCTTATTGAGTGGCAGTTCCATCAACTCATCACCTGATATCCATCAGCTTTCTTTCCTCTACTCACACTTCTGCATCATCAGATGCTCAAACACAGGACTAGAGGGACACAGATCCCTGAGGAGATTAGGGATGGTATACAGTCATCCCTCAGTATCTGCAGATGATTGGTTCCATGACCTTCCTCCCTACCAAAATCTGAGGGTGCTCAAGTCCCTGATATAAAATGGCATCATATTTGCATATAACCTATGCATATCCTGTATACTTTAAATCATTTCCAGAGAATTTATAATACCCAATACAATGTAAATGCTATGTGAATAGTTGTTCTACTGTGTTTTATATATTTGTATTATTTTTATTGTATTGTGATTTTTTTTTCCAAATATTTTCCATCCACAGTTGGCTGAATCCATTGATGTGGAACCGTGGATAGATACAGCCAAATGTATAAGCTCATGCTTTGAGGACTTTTCTTCTAGATTCTGTCTTACACACACAGGCACACATCACACACATAAAACTTCCCTTTAAGACCTGCAGCCTTCATAGCTTAAAAAATATTTTCCCAATAGAAAAGGAAACAATTTTCAAGTCATTTCCTGCATGTTAAGCAGGCATTTGTTTATACTACCAGCCAAGCTTTCAAACTTCAAGGAAATGTATAATATTTTTCCCAGGGTGTTGGACTATAACATTTAAAAATTCTAAAATGATTGAAAGTATGTGAGAAACTGGTGCAAACACTGAAAGCTGGGGCAATAGGCTTATTCAGCGGCAGCCCAGGTGGGGGCCTTTCCCCAATTTGTTGTCTCCCTGGCTGCACACAGCCAGAGGTTAGATGTGCTCTGAGCCCTGGCACAACAAGACAAAGTCACTCCTTCTCCTCACTCTTCCCCTTTCTATTCTGATAAGTTTGCAAGCAGATTACAAATTATCACCTAAACATCTTTACCTTCCACAATGGGATCTCTCTAGATATCATAGCAGGTGGCAAATTGGTCTGATTTATCATTATTTGCATTTTTAATTTGTAGTATTTTAGGCCCAGAGAATTTTCATGAGTCTTAAAATGATAGCACAAACATTAATACATAATTCATCAGCTATTTTTCATAATACATGTGGTTAGCAACCCATTGATAAACAGAAAAATCATTACCACTTTAAGTAGGATAAAGTTAGTTCTTGCCCCCTATTCTTCCCCTCTGAAGTCTCAAAGGATAAATTGCCTGTGACTGAAACACCATCGACAGCCTCCGTGCTATTTTGTCAACAGGAAGAGCCTTCTTAGTTGTAGCTTTGTTATTCTTTAGAACCACCAGATGTTAAATAACTGCAATACGGTGTTTGTGGGGCTTCCACAGTCTCTGATTTGGGCACACTGGATGCTTTCAAATGTAAGCAAAAGATGAGAAAGCAAGAGAGATACCCCTACCCCATACTGCTTTCTCTTTCCTTCCAAAGTCCTAAACCTCACTCTACAATATTCCCTTGTCATCCTTTCTTTCCATGTCCCCGCCCTGCCCCACCAGGCATTGCTGTTTCCATAACTCAGTTGGAAGAAATATTAATTCCTCTAATTGTTTTGAAATAACAGCTCCACAGAAAAATAAAATGCATAGACAAAATGCCCAGGAATTTGACTGGGAAGCAAATAAAGGAGACTAGCAAAATAAAATGGACCCTAACCAATTTTATCATAAAGATGATCAGTGAAGAAAACCAAGCAGATTAATTCAGGAGAGCTTCAGACATCACATTGTGTTCTTGGTGGCTGTTACCCAACTGAGGTAGACAAATTTTTTATTTTTCCTGGCTACTCTAGGTGCCTCTACACAGAGAGCGCATATTCCACAAGGATGAAGCACTTCTGAGAAGTCCAGCTCACACCAATCTTCCCTTTCTCTGGCTCCTACTGCATAGATAAACCAATCAACCAAAATGTCATTTGTTGGCAGTGCTCCCAAAACCCATTTTAGGTACTGTGGGGAAGATCAAGAAGACACACTTTGCCCTCCATACACATACAGTGAAGCAAATGATTGGGAACAGCTATTTAATGTGTATGGACTTTGTGCCCCCAACCAGCCTGTAAGTTTCTTTAGAGCTTCCTCGTTTCACTATATCCATCAAACGCCGCTATTAAATCCACCCACGTAGGAAGAGTTTAAACCATAAAGAAAAGGAGTCACTTGCTTCATCAGTTGAAATGATTATTGTTTTAGGATTTACTTTATTCCCTTCATCAAGTATTTCCGGAATGCTCACTAGTTTATTGGGTACCACACAAGGCACTGGGGAGGCCCCAGTGACCACATCAAGTTTTAATATCTTTCTAGATCCAAGATTAGAGAGACATAAGAAAATCCTTGAACAGCTACATGATTTCCACACCAAAAATAATGGCTTGCTAGCGGGCATCTAACTCCAGCCACAATTTGCTGAAGACCTTGACATTGGCTGCAATTTTTGTTAATGACTAGTGTCTATTCTGGTGATAAATTAAAGTGACTCCAAAAACAATAGTCTGGGAAAACTAAATCCAGGCTTTTCATGGATGATGCTTCCTAGTCAGGAAGAGTTTTTCCCTGAATGAGTATTTTAGGGGATGTGGAGGATGACATATGACATTTCCAATGAGAATCTGATAGTTTTTTACACAACTGATGGCATCAGGTCATCTCCATAATATGTGACTACAAGCAGCAACGTGTGGTCCCTTGAAAGCAGAACAGATTCAGAAAGAGTGCATTTTAGAAGACACTCTCTTGCTCTTTATTTTCTTTTTTATTACAATTTGACTTCTTTCCTGCTAAGCTGCTCTCCTCTGAGAAGATTTATAATGTCAGGAATGCACATATAAGGCTAACTGAATAACTAATAAAGTTCTAAAGGAACAGTTATGTTAATTTATACTGTGCCATTTGTCGACAATCCAAAAGACATTACTTGAAATAAAGGTAACTAGGTGGATGTTAACAGCAAGCAAATGTATTGATGCAAACTCTTATTCCAAGTAAGTCACTGAATTGTAGAAAGGATTTTTCATCACGTTACTGGTGTTCTTAATTGTCCACAATTTTCATATTTACTTTTAAAATCAAAATATCATAGTAGATGCTTTCAAACGAACTTCCAGTTTTAGATATTGCAAATACTGAAATATGCCAGATTTGAGTTTTACTAAAAAAAATGTCTCAGATGTAATTCCAAATGTTAGTTTAGTATCATTTTATTTAGTAAGGCTGTCATGCTCCCACATATGGTAGAGAACTGTGCAATTTTCCAGATAATCTGATCCAAAAAAATATTTTTTTGCTTGAATTTTTAAAAAACTTTTTGGCTTGAAATATCTGAATTAATTGGTTTAGCTGTTCCTTTCGCACGGCCAATGCAGAATAGGTCAGAAGACTGAGCAACAAGCAAAGTTCAACCAATTCTCCTCAGCACATCCTTGACCTTAATGTTGGTAGGTAAGGTTTACTGTACAGAAAAAAACAAAAAAGAGGCTATATTCCTTAAGACTTTCTTTCAGTAATCTCTACCTCTACATCCACTAAGTTTTTCAGATGAGACCATACAATGTAGGATTTAGAGAAGTGGCTTCAATTTAGTGGTTGGGTCTCAGATGGGGGACAGATGACATAAAGTAAACTTTTTAAATAATTATTATCTAGTCCCAATTTGTGGGCCCCTGCAACCTCCTGTTGGCCTGGCCTTTCTGTCCCTGGCTTATGGCATGAACATCTTCCTACAGAGGCTTCCATGGCCTCACCTACATACAACAAAATTTTCTCTCTCTTCAGTCCCAGTGCCTCACACTCCAAATTCTCCAATTAATCTTATTTACCAGACAAGTTAATTTCCCAAACTCTAGTTTTCATCACTTTAGTTCCCTAATTACTTTCCATGGCTTTCCCTTTCCTACAAGACAACCTTAAAAGTGCTCAGCCTGACCTGCTGGGTCCTTTGAGATCCTTCCCCAACTGATCTCTTCAGCTTTCCTCCTGAATGGCCTACAGGAAGCCTGTATTTGAGTCACATGGAACTACTCATCCTCCCTGCTCTGGCGCATTCTGAGACTCATCTTCACTTACCTCCTCCAAATGCCTACTCTCTCTTCGTAATGACCCAACCACTCCTACTCATTAAGGCCCAACCCAATTACATCTCCTTTGAGCCCTCCCTGAAAAACGTGTCCCAGGAGAGCCTTCCTTGGTATGAGCTGGTACCCATTCTTGGCTGTATAATTGTATGCCATACAGGGGCAGCTCCCCCAATGACATCTAGTTTGGACCATGAAGTTTTCACTTGCGGTAACAGCTCTGTGTGCAATACCTCTTTGTATGTCATGTAGCACATGATAGTCTCTGGTTGAATGGCAGCATGAGAAATAATGAGCCCAGTTGTGGTTCCTACTCTTCCAGCTATACCTTCTGCAGTGGGCAATCCTTTATCATTCAGGTAAAAACAAGTGAAACCTCACAAGCTCAATATACAAGCAAGGCTCTGGCCCTCAGTTTCCTGAAGTGGCCAAGAGTTGACTCTGGGGTCTGAGTGCTTAGATTAGAAAAATGGTTTCGCTATTTACTAGCTATGTGATCCTCTCTCTACTTCTGTGCCGTCATATAAAATGAGGCTGATAACAGTACTCATGTCATATGGTTGCTGAGAAGATTAAATAAGATCATATAGATAAGGTGGTTAGTGCTAGGCACACAATAAGTGCCCATTAAATATTTGCTCTTGGCCAGGTGTGGTGGCTCACGCCTATAATCTCAGCACTTTGGGAGGCCGAGGTGGGCAGATCACGAGGTCAGGAGATCAAGACCATCCTGGCTAACATGGTGAAACCCCGTCTCTACTAAAAATACAAAAAATTAGCTGGACATGGTGGTGGGCACCTGTAGTCCCAGCTACTTGGGAGGCTGAGGCAGGAGAATGGCATGAACCCAGGAGGCAGAGCTTGCAGTGAGCCAAGATCGTGCCACTGCACTCTAGCCTGGGTGACAGTGCAAGACTCTGCCTCAAAAAGGAAAAAAAAATTGCTCTTATTATTATTAAACACTGTGTGAAAAGAATTTCATACTTTAGGGCCCAGTTGTCTCTTTCAGGTGGAATGTCTGTTGACAATAAAAGCACAGGCCTGCTATTGAAAAATGCACTTTGGAGATGCATCCTCTAGGCTGACCTGGCAGGTCAAGGTGTTCTCAGAGTGATTTAATTAGAGCTTTCGCCTGAGCTCGTCTACTAGGTTGACACACTCTACAGAGACAGTTTCATTCTTATTTTCTTAAACCTCCTCCTCAGCCCATTGACAAGAAAATGGCAAGAACTTCCCAGGTTTAAGAAAAGCTGCAGCCAGGTCTTCCTATTAGACTGAGACTGATCAAGACATTCCAGGATGAGAGAGATGTGAACAAGACAAATCAAAGCCACATAGGTGAAATAATCAAGAAGTCTAAGCCCTGCACTAGGAAATAACCACAGGTCCTTAGGTGTCCTAGACACTCCTGAGCTCCCTGAGGCGGAGCTAAGGCATTGACATCAGAACCACAACATAATCCTGCCTGCACTCGCCTGTCTTTTACTGCATGCATTTGTACTCAAGTCACTTCTTACCGCATTCATGTAGTTTAAAGCATTTCACCCAGAGGGCTGCTTTTCCTCAGGCCTATCTCTGATAAGTGAGATGTGTTCCCCTCCTCCCCTGGGCCTGCTCAGTAAGATCCTGAAGCTTCCCTCTTTCTTAGATTTGAAGACAACCCATTTCACACTGGACACACGTGGAAGAGCCCCCTGGGCAACCTGCCTGCAGGGTGCTAAGTGGAAGAGTTACCTTAAATTCAGTCTCAATGTTGGCTAGTCTGGCTAACTCGTTGCTGAGCTCCAGGGCGGTGAGGACAGGGTCTTCGCTGGACAGGGACAAGTAGGCAGCACTCGCCAGTCCTTTGTAGGCGTTCATGCGCGAGCGCGAGTGGCTGAAGGAGTCTTTCCGCTGTTTCTCGGTGCACTCATTGCACTTGCAGAAGTAGTCGTGGGGCCGCTCGATGCGGGCGCCCTTGAGCAGCAGGATGTGCACGATCTCATACTCCTGGCAGTGCGCCGCCAGGATGATGGGCGTGATGTCGTGGGAGAAGCGCGTGCCGTCCTCGTCGTAGGCATAGAAGTCGTCGTCGCGCAGCTCCTGTTCCAGCGGGCTGAGCGTCAGGCGCTGGCCCTGCGCGAAGGCCGGGTGGTTGAGGATGGCCTCCACGATGCGCACATAGCCCTTGCTGATGGCCAGCAGCAGCGCGTCCCCCACCCGTGCCAGGTTCTCCTTCTTCAGCAGCAGCTCCGTGACCTCTAGGTGCTCGTTGCCCACGGCCAGCTGCAGAGCGTTCTGCCCCATGTAGTCCACACAGTTGAAGTTAAGGGTCTTGGACTCCTCCAGCATTTTCCGGACCACCGGGATGTTGCCATACTCAGCCGAGTCCAGGAAGCGCTCCTCCTCGGGCGTCAGACTGGTGCCCTTCTCGTTGAACATGTAGGCGGGACCCCGGATGGCCTGGCGACGGCCCTTCTCCCTCAGCGTTGTGTGCCGGCGCTGCATGTTTTTGAAGGTGCTGTTCCTCAACCTATGGGACAAGGCAAAGATGCCCTGTTACTTTCCTGCGGATTCCCTAGCAGTAGAGCACACAAAAATGGTTGAGATACACAAAGAATATCATGCTTGGAATCTTATGAGGAATTGTGCAATCTTACAAATCATTGTCTTAATCATCAAGATTCAGACACACTGGGTTACCTGTACTATTTCTTTCAAGTGGTAGAATATGACTCAGTTGTCTGCCTCTATACTCCTTGGGTGGAGACGGGGTGGCAGAGCTGAAAAATGGATTTAGAAGGACCCTAATAAGAGATGGAGGCTGGGGCGTAGGGTGGTGGTATGGCTGAAGCAGGCAGGAGGCTATTGGTTTTATTTCCGTTTATATAAAGTCGAGAGAGCCACTAAACCCCTCTATGCTTTAGTTTTCCCACCTGTACAATGTGGATAACTTACATGTGCTGCAGAGTCTGTAGGAGGATTAAATGAAGTAATTTGTAAGTAGAAAGTATAAGTCAATGTAGGTTTTATTCTGTTCCCTCTTGCCTCTTTTTATGCCCAGCTCTCCAAGGGCTGTGCCATAGAGTTGGCCATCACAAATATGGCTGCCTTCGGTTCAGATGTCTCCCCCTGAATGAGCTCCTACACCATGGCAAAACTGCAGCAATATGCATGCATGCATATCACACGTGTCCGTTTCTACATTCTGTGCTGTTCTTTATGGGGACAGTGCTTTCTGGTCCACACACAACCTAGGCACCTATTAAAGGGCAAGATGTGGCAGGGAGCAGGACTAGAATCCTGTCACTTTCTGATGGCCACTGAAGCAACCCTTCTGAGAGAATTCAGCCTTAGCTTCTTAAGATTGAGCCTGGATTTCTATATGGATGGAAGAAATAGCTCAACTTATATGCTGGGTCCCCTTCTTACTTATTGCTGTTTCCCAGTGTGGCCTAGTGTAGAGCTTAATACTAATGCTACTAATAATAGCAGTTAACATTTATTAAGCACCTAATATATGCCAGGTATTATACTAAGAGCTTCACATATATTAACTTGTGTAATTCTTGCATCAAATCTGTGAGGAAGGTGCTATTATTCTCCTCATCCTCAGATGAAGATACTAAGAGTAGGGGGGCTGAAAGACAGACTTTGAAGTTAGAAGGTTTAGAGTAGGAATCCGGGCTCCATCATTTGCCAGTCTTGGACAATGTAAGTTACCCAAACTTACATTACCAAAGTGTTGAAACAGCAAACTAGAGACAATAACAGCTACTGTGTAATTTGAGCTCAAGTCAGGGATATGCCATCTCCAGCTAGCCTTGAGACCTTGAGCAGGTCCCAGCTTCTAGATCTCAGATAACTATGAAATAGAGGGGCTGGACCAGGTGTTTCCTAAGCCTCTACCAACTTGCACATCTTAAACTTTTTTGATTCTCCAATTGGTTCTACCTGTATTTTCTATTTTTCTTTTCTACTCTACCTCCACTCACATTATTCAGAGAATATTAGAATGGCATAAATTTTATCAAGAGTGTATCCGTTTTAAAGAGTAAGTACTTGGATATTTGTTTTTAACTATTTTCTATGGTCCCAGAGAATTGTCTTTTTTTAATTTGTTATGTCTTCATGCATAAACAATACTCAGTATTTCACTTTAGCCATTTTTAAAAATAGTCAAACAAAAATGATCACAGAGAAAGGCTTTAAAATTAAATCCAATTTTTTGAGATTTTTAAAAAGTTATGCAATTAGCCTTGTGAATGTTTAAATTGGGGACTCCATTTAGTTTTCTGCTCATTGTACCTTTCGACCTGCTCAAACCTTTTTGGTTTTAGCTCCTTGGGGGCCGTATGTCTGGTATAAAGCAAATAATGCAGATCAGATCTTGGTACTCTAATCCTGCCTGGAGCTGAGTCACACTTCCCTTGGGAAAAAGCTCCTAAATTATATATGGAGCAACTTCTTTATCTGCACAAAATAAAAAGAATAATTATGGGCAACTCCCTCAAAAGGCAACTGTGGGTGATAAATCCTAATAGAGAGCTCTGTACACCTTTAGGAAGAGCGTCTGAACCACCATCCACTTTTTTAAAGTGCACTTTGATAAAAGATTGCTGGGGAAAAGACTGTCAGAATTCAAATTCATGAGATCCTTCTGAGCCCATTCCTTTCAACAATGCCATCATTCCAGAGACAGTCTGCTCAATGGTACCAAAGGCAGACTGTGGATTAGGAGTCCCAGAAAAACCTTTACAGGAGAGAAAGATTCACAAATAGTGTGCAGGCACTTATTATTATAGGGTTTTCAGAAAGAGAAAGTTACTGAGTCGAAAGCTAAGCAGTTACCCTATTTGTATTCCCAAGAGGCTTTGTTTCAGGAGATGTAATGAACTCAGTTTCAAGGCCTGTCATCTGGGCACACACACACACACACACACAGGTAGAAGATGAGCCCAAAGAAGACTAATAATAATCTTTTTCATGGAAGTACTCAGCCTGTCCTACAATAGGCTTCTACTTCTCTCAGAAACACTTTTTTTTATTCTTAGCCATCACAACTCAACCTGAGAAAAAGCAGTTTACACTCAAGAGCATCTGAGCAGTGTGTCAGATACGAAACAGCAGCTGTCCGAGAAGAAGCTGCAATACAGCTTGATTCCACGGCACTTTTCCATTAGAGGTCTGCTCAAGAGGGAGAATAGGTCAGACTACAAGGTCAAGGGTACCCAACTATTACACAGCAACAAGCCATGGAGAGATTAACTCAAAGGAAATTTAATGACTACTGAACCAAGTCATAGCAGAGAAATATTTCACAAGGAACACGTAAGTACTCAATCTAAATTCAGAGTCCCTGTGAATATCATAGACACTGCAGCCTACAAACTTAAAGGATATTCAAGCATTGTTTGTTAATTCCACTCATTACAAAACAAAACAAAACAAAACAAAACATAAAAAGCAAAGTATTAGCATTCTCATCTTTTAGGTGAAGAAACTCTGGTAGGTCAAGTGAAAAGACTAAATCTTAAGTCCTAAGACTTTGGACAAATAATTTCTGCACAAGGGTAGGGCATCATATAAATCTTGATGTTTCTACAATAATTATGTTTTATCAAAAAAAATATGTGTATAGCTAGTACTTGGCAGACGTTAAAATGTCCTCACCATTTGACAAGCATTTTTCTGAATGACCTTGAAAGCAGACACCCAGATGTAGTAAGAAATAAACAAGACTCTTTCGCAGCCTTTAAAACCTCAGCCTTGAAAAACATTTGGATGCTCACAAAATCATCAATTCTGTTCCTTTCCTAGCAGAATTTAGCATTAAAAATGAAATCTTATGAGCCTTAGAGTCATGTATGCATATAAGCAGATAATGGCATGTGCTACTCAGTGAAATTGCTTCCAATGCGAGGGGCTTCACAATAGACTATGAAGCCATGAGAATTGATGCAGATATTGATGGAGGCCTTTTAACCTCACTGTGGCCTTTTTATTAGCTCTGACTCCCTCTTACCCTAATATCCCTCTAATGATACTTTTTAGACATTTATGCACTTGTGAATATATTCAGCCACCATATCCTTGCTATTTAATTTTGATATCACAGATATTCATGTTTTAGCTATACATATCACACGGGTTGGAAAGAATCCACAAAAGATGCTGTGTCAGAAAGATAAAGTCACATGTCTCTCAATAGTTGGTGGCCAAAGCTTACACTCATGAATCAGATGTGCTGCCCTGATGAACTCTGGAGATCTTATCACAGTTTTAGGGCCAATGATAAGCAAAATGAATCTCCCTAAAATGCAATTGGCATTTGATTGCCCTTATTTTAGTATTTTTCTTAAAAATGAACTTTGAATGCAAATACATTTTTATTTGCACATATTATTGAGATAATGTGTGATTAAATACCCCAATTAAGACACTTTGTTTTACATTTTCCAGAAATGCATACAATTAACATTTGATGTCATTTGGAAGAAGGATTCCAGCGGAAACAAAACCATATATGAGAGGAGGACTGATTATTAAACTCCCTCTTGATCCTTCAGTTGTTATTTTTATCAAGCTGCTCTTACAGATGCATCAGCCAGTCTGAAGGAAGCCAGATGTCATTGACCCATGAAAAGTATAAATCTTGTGCCCTAAGTCCAGCTGCAGATGAGCATGGCCATAAAGCCTTTTGGAGACAGAAATTGTGGTTAATTACTGAAGAAGAAAAGGCCACTTAATCAAAATGTTTTTTTAGAGATATTTGTTGTCTCTTTTCTAAAATGCTACATGCATCAAAATTCTCTATGGAAATTATCCAAGCTTAAAATCAATTCAGCCTGTAATATTCCCCAACTGGATATAGAACCAAACAGAATCTAGGAGTCAGATCAAACACCCAGGAAAACTCAGCTTTGATCTGTGCATCTTCTCCCAAGAGTACATATTCTGAGTATTAGTCTAGAGCAACAGTGATGAAATAGTCATTTGGAGTCTTCTCCTAAACCACAGTTCTCTTGCCAAAATAAAGGGAGTAATAAAGCCCATTCCTCATGTTCCTCAGGAGCACAGTGAGGATTAAATAATGTCTACCAAATGCCCTGGATACCATAACACTTTATACAAATGTTCATGACAATAATGATCAAAATCTTACCTATCAATGCACTTAGGTACACAATTATTAGAATTGTCTCACATTTTACTGTACATTGATATACTCAGCTTAGCTATTTTTCTAAATGACTATACAATAGTTATATTTAACATATATTACACATTTACCATGTAGACACTGTCCTAAGTGCTTTACATAAATTACTGTTTTAAATAAATTATCTTCTGATAAGGTTAGCTATTTTCCTGAATGACTATTTAATCATAGTGACTAACATTTGTTTCACATTAACCATGTGCCAGCCACCATGCTGAGTAATTTATGTACATTGTCATTTATATTTATTTATTCATTTATTTTTCAAATAAGATATAAAGAGAAATTTAACATTATAGATACTCAACACAATAAAGCCAGCCTGTAAAGACAAATGGCAATGTAATGATGAATGAATTGTAAATATAAACATATAAAAAAGGAGGTAAGTACATAAATCATTAAGCAAAAATGATTAGAAATGTATAGCGAACATGACACATTTGAGAACATGCATTATCATTTTAAGTTCTCACAAACTATTACATGGTTTAGGTGCTATTGTCATTCCCATTTAACAGATGATGAAGTGATGGTCAAATTAATTAACCACTTTTCCGAAGCTACACAATGTGTCAGTGGTGGACTCACTATTAAGGATCTAGTCTGTCTGCTTTGAAAGTTTGTGCTTTTGGCTAGTATGCCACTGCCAGCCATCTTCTTTTTGTCTTTCTGTTTTTTTGTTTTGTTTTGTTTTTTGTTTTTCTGAGTTTCTTTAGGCTATAACTTTTTCCATTAGAGTTCAAGATCCTTGAGGGTAGGGAATACTCGTGTATATGGCATATGCACCTGGTGCCCTGTACTCCTGATGCCTTGCATATGGTGCTTGGTCAATCAACTTAATTCATTCCTAAATATTTGAATCTGGGTTGATCATTTAAGAAGATCAGTACACTGGAGCTGTTGGTGTTTACCAGCATCTTCCTTCTCACAAAATGCAGGAGCCATATAATTCTATGACTGTTATTTCCTACTTATGACTGGCAACATTTAAAATAAGGTATGAATTCCTAAGTAAAATCAGTTTCTAATTAGCTCCACTATAAATTATGGCCCATAAGTTGCTAGATGAAGCAGCTAATATCAGAGGGCATATGATGTCCCTTGGTGACTGAGCAGAAAATTGAGACATTCTCACTTCTTCACACTACTCCTGAAAATTTTTACATATTTCCCAAGGCATCCAACTTATTTCTAAGTATCACCTTCCTTTTTCTGTTGAAATTGAGGTGAGATAGTGAACGTAAACTATTTATCATTGCCTTGTAAGTGCTCTAGTGAAATTGGATATTATTAGCTCTATTTAACTTATTACAAATATATTAATTGTGGGTTTAAGGCATTTAAGTTCCCATCTAAGCTACTGATAATAATTTGCTTGTACAACATATATACTTTAAATAAAAGAAAAAAAAGATATATACCTAACTACCCCAAGGTATACACGAGTTCATACATTTCACCAGTTAAATCCTACAGGAAACAAGCAAAGTATCCTTCTTTTACTCATTAAAATGTTTTATATTAAGATATACTTTCCAAATAATTCTACTAATGTGGGATGGTTTTTCCATTGCATCTTGGAATAAAAATATTATCTAGTGTTCCTGAATGTTAATAAGTGTTTCTATTAGTAATTTATTTTCTACCAAGTAACATCATTTAGAGAAGAAGTTATCCTCAGTTTTTTCAAACTGTCCTAGGTACCACCTATCCAAATATAACTAGTGCTTTGTATGTGCTTCTATTTTTCTTTTTACTTTTAAAATCCTTATTTTCCTATTTGGAAGTTGGAAGTTATGAAACTGGATGTCTATATCTCATTGTGTATAGCTCCAGGTGGAGCTGAAACAAGTTTTGATAGCTTTATTTTTAAAAAAGATTTTTCTTGAAATAAAATAGATATGTGTAACCTTTTGATGATTTCACTGACCTCTATGATAAGAGTCTGAAATAAACATCTACTACTGAGAAAGAAAGAGAGGCCCTTATATTATGAAATGACAATACTGAAAAAAAGTAACATGCTTAATATTTATATGGAGGGAAATGTTGATTGCCTTTACTAAGCAAGAGCTCCTGGTAGCTCTCATCCAAGATACCGCATGCATTCTGCAATTAGCCTCAATGAGGCTCCACATAGTTCTGATTTTTTTCTGGGTTAATTACTGCCTAAAGGAGTTATCTAGTCTACATGCACCTAAGTTTAGGAGCAAGTGTTTTTGGAAATAAATATTTATGAAAGGGTAATTGTGACATAGAAGTTTGGTAAGCTTTTAAATAATTGAATCAATGTCATTGTTAAAAAGATCTTGGAGATTGGGTTTGCATCACATCCATAATGAATATTCTGGATTTAATGTGAATTCATTCATAAATTTGATGTGTACTCGGTGCTTCAGAAATAAGACCCACCAGCAGGTGGCATTCTGAGGCAAAAATTCACTGAGTGCCACCAGACAGGGTCAATCATTATTGCCTTTTCTGAGTCTACCCTGAATCCATTACGCCTCTAAATTATAATTAATAGCAATAGCATTTTGGTTGTGTCTACTCAATCATAGGTAAATGAATTTACAACTTCAAACTTAAAGGGGAGATTATGAGAGTTTCAAAGCTCTGCCTAGATTACACCTCTTTCATTAGGAGCATATTTGTTATTTTGAAATGGATGTCTAAAGGAGATACATAGCTCAGACCATATTTTCAACAAGAAGAAAAGAAAAATGACAATCTCTTTCTTGCCACCTGTAGTTCTTTAACAGTGGCTACTTATTAGAATATAACCCTCTCCCTTCTCTCACCCCTATATTTATATTATGATAAATACAACCACATAAATACATTAGAAAGCTGTCAGTAGTGAAGGGAAAGAAGAGACAACACCTATACACTCATCTAGGAATAAAACTATATTACTCTAGCACAAAAGGAATAGGCTACCGACATGAGTTGTCCGTTTCTAAATGGCTTTGAAAACTTAGACATTCTATAAAAGAAAAAAAAAATTTCTTCTACCAACTCAACAAATAAGAAAGATCTCAGATCCATCTAAAAATCTAAGCAGTGCACTAGAGGAAGAAGGCTGATAAATGAAAGTTCAATTACATATTTTAGCGAGAACACAACCTCTACTGGAAAAAAAAATCAATATGAAAGAACCATCATAGCTGCTTACATTGAGGGTGTAATACGCAGGCTTGTTCCTCCTCTAGATGACCGGAATCCGGTGTTGAGTCGCCAGAAGCTGGCTCCCCATGGGTGGTAGCCAAGGATGTACCGCTCTCCGTGGTGCTGAAGTATAGAGCTGGTCAAGTGAGTTAAGTTGCAACGATGTGAAAGCGCGCTCCTCTGTTCTTTGTGTTGCAGTGGTAAAAACTCGCCTTCCGAGGCAGAACCGTGTTACCGTCCTTTTCCTAATCGGGGGGAAATTTCCCAGAGAACATGACGGAGAAGCATCTGTGTGAGAGTGGCATGCGGCGTGGTGATGGGTTGGTATAGTCCCCACCCCCTCTCCCCGACGTAGCTTGAAAGGGAGGTAGCAACTCTTTCTTCCTGCCATAGCTCCTCAGGATTTCTACCTGCCCTTTCCTCTGCCCCAGAATAGTACATCACACACACACACACACACACACACACACACACACACACACACACCTCGTTATATAAGGCAGCATGTTCTGACTTCTGAGGCAGAATATTCATTGGTTTAAACAAATGAGGAATGAGGAATGAGGAATGAGCTGGTTTCCTACCTGTTGTGTCTGTGTGTTTACAGAGGGAGGGGGTTAAGAAGAAAACTAAAACCAGAGAAGCCTAAAGAGCGATAGAAGTAGTTTTCTTCCGTAAGTCTCATCACCACACCACACTTTGTCTTCTGTGAGTGATGTATCTTCCAACTTTACTATTTTGGTTCATGATCTTTTAGCATTATCTAGGATCAGGAAGAGGTCAGTGGTGTAGAACAAGTCTCACATTAGTAACAAGACTAAAAGGGTTAGCTTTCATTTGCAACTTTCCATTTTTTGAAACGAAATTCTCAATCCAAAATACCATTTCCCCAACAGTTCCCACGCTCACCAATTGCTATGTAACCAAATGGTCTATGATTCTTAAACACTGAGGTACTTTAATGACATCATTGGAAAGAAACCGTCTTAACTGAAATATTGCCTGTGTATGAAAAACCACAGTTGCTTCTACAATCTACCTGGGTTACTTACCAATAAATCAGAGTGGTTATTTTCTGAAATCAACTCACAGCTTAATAACTGACACTCTGTAAAACTGTTGCTGTGTGCACTTGCAATACTTAGGGCTAAGGAGTTGCTTATAATGTATTGTACACATGACCATTCTAGTTTTACATCCAAATGAGATTGCATTGGTTTGTTAATATGCTACTAGTATTTTCTCTGAAGATAACATGATATGTGGGAAAAGACCTTGGGATTTTGATTCACTTATTAACTGTGTGACCTTAGACATAACACTTAACCTATTGAATCTCAGTCTTCTCATATGTGAATGGTTGGTAATAATAGGGTTTATAATGCCTTTTACCAATTGTCGTGGTGATAATTAATTGAAAAATCATGTACAAATAACTCCAAAGAGCTGGCATTTAAGGTGTGCATGATAAGTTTGAAAGTTCGTTTTAATTTTTTAAAAATTTGAGACAGGGTCTCACAGTGGTACAATCACGGATCACTGTAGCCTTGACCTCCCAGGCTCAAGTGATCCTCTTGCCTCACCCTCCACAGTGGCTGGGAATACAGGCACATACCATCAGACCTGGCTAATTTTTAATTTTTTAGTAGAGACCTTGTCCCACTATGTTGCCTAGGCTGGTGTCGAAATCCTGGGCTAAAGCTATCCTCCTGCCTCGACCTCACAAAGGGGTGGGATTACAGGCATAAGCCACAATACTCGACCCAGTTTGAATGTTCTTTCTCCTCTGCTTGCTCAATAGAAGTTAAGGTAGTTCTCTAGTTGTGGGCATGGTAGTGTGAACCTGTAGTCCCAGCTACTTGGGAGGCTGAGGAATAAGGATCACTTGAACCCAGGAGGCTGAGGTTGCAGTGAGCTGAGATCATGCCACTGCACTCCAGCCTGGGTGACAGAGTGAAATCCTGTCTTGAAAAGCAAGCAAACAAACAACAACAACAACAAAACCCTCCAAAAAGACTGGCAACAAATGCATTTTATTCTTATAAGCCTCCACGCAAGTTTTACAATATTAATAATTATGTTTCATTGGATAAAATACCATTCTAAAAAGAAATTTTCTAATATCAAGGCTTTCTTAAAAAAATTACAGGCTTGAAGGATACAGAAATTTTATTTTTTATTAGAATCAGAAACAAGTAGATTTAATGCATTTGAATAAAATGCTAATGAATTAAGAGCTCTTTAGTATTGCAATGAAGTGGAACAAAATATAAATGTGAAGCCAATAAAAGTGTCTTACACAACCACAAAGTTAGAAGATTATCTCTGACAAGTGATAATATCCTTTTGATTGGGATCCTCATCATCATGATTAGTGAAGTAGTGTAGAATGAGATAACTCTTAATTATACAATACTTTTAAAAGAATACTGGTTTATGGCTTTTAGTTAATGACGGAATTGAAGTCTCATTATATTCTGTTTTTAATAAACAGCCAAGAGTGTATTTTCATAAAACTCTGACATGAATAATGTCCTTGTTTTCAGTATTGATAAGCTCATTAAAAAATTAAACCATATTTCAGAAAGTTGTGCCAATGATGGTATGACAGTCAAATGTATATATATATATATATTTTATATCTCTCATACACACACACATATATATATGTATGAGAGAGAAAAGAAATGAGTTAATTGTTTTATAGATGTATTCATTAATTGAAGACAAGTCAGAGTCAGGCCAGACAGCTCTTCAAAAGTGATAAGATGACATTTTGCAAAGGATCCAATCTTCGGGATCCTTATAATTGGAGTACTTTATCATTTCCAGAGCATATCATACACAGATATTTGGTTCAATGGGGCAAATACTTGTAATCTGAAAAAATGTTGCATCCATATCAAATTATCATTTTCAATATATAAAACACAGAAGTAATTAGGACTTCACTATCAACAGTGAAAGTTCAGAAGGTGCTCAGCTTTTGGACTAGAGGATGTCTAAATTTCCTGCATAAGGACTTGAGTTTTGCATCTCCCAGTCTCAACCCAACATAGGCTCACAGTAGAATTTAGTGGTTAAGAGTGTGTACAGCTTCTAGTAAAATTTTCTGTTTTAATTCCAAATTTCCTATTCCCCAAGTGTGTCCCTAAGTTTTATCACCTGTGAGATGAAAGTAACAACAGTTTCTCACTTGTAGAATTATAGCGAAGATAAAATGAGACAACACACATGAAGAGCTTACAGCAGAGCCTGGCACATAGAGCTCAGCCTATGTCAGCTTTCACTATTGCTTAACAACTCACCCTGTGACTGAACAGTGAACATACTATTGATCTGTGGTTCTCAGACTTTGTGTGCTCCAGTATCGCCTAACTAGCCTGTTAAAAATATAAACATACAAATTTCTCGTTCCCTAGAAAAATAAGCACTTTATCTCCTTAAGAACCTAAAGTGATTCTGATGCAGATGATTCATAAATCACACTTTTGGGAAACACTGTTATTGTCTATTGAATGACTAGGTCGTTTTAGAAACCAAAGCCATGAATATGAAGGTTTATTTCAAATAAATGAATCTTTTGGGAGACTCATTCTCCCTTTTCTCCCCTCTCAGAATGTTCCTTAAGTCTATGCAACTTTGTGTGGTTATTAGTCAGGTCTGGCTCTTTCTCCTAGATAGAAATATATTGAGCAGACTTCTTAGGCATTAGATTTAAGGAATTAATGTAAATCAGTTTCCATAGAAAAATTCTGGCTGAAATTGCTAGAAGCCACTATACTGAACCCACTTAAAAAGTAGATCTCTCTCATTTTGATTAATGACAGCATCACCGTAAATCTTCTTTAGAGTGAGCACAAAATCTGGGGAAAAATTTTGTGCTGTAGACTGTTCTCAAGTAATGAAAAATTGTGTTTTTATTTACAAACAGGGAGTGACTGGAAATAGCACTATGTCTCAAAGTGATGATAAGAATGATGCCAATTTAATTCTATTCCTATTTATGTGTTTTATGAAAAATTATTCATCTTTCAGTTTGGGCTATAACTGCAGATTTCAATGGTTATGCTTTTACAGGATTTATGTAAGCTATAATTGGCTTGTAACCTATTAAAGGTTTCTTACAAAAGCAAACTGAAACCCATATGAAATATTTATTGATTGCTATTGTTTAAATGTCTCCTCCAAAACTCATGTTGAAATTTAATTATCATTGTAATAGTATTAAGAGGTGGGACCTTTAAGAGGTGATTCATTTACGAGAGCTTCACCTTCATAAATGGATTAACACCTTTATGCTGGGAGTGGGTTACTGGGGGAGTCCAGCTTCCTTCTCTGTCTCTTGAGCTTACTCTTTTGCCTTTCACCAAGGGACAATCCTTTGCATGTGGTGCCTTCTGCCCTGTTATGACACAGTAAAAAAATCCCTCACCAGATGTGGCCCTTGATCTTGGACTTCACAGCCTTCAGAATTATTAGCCAAATAAATCTCTTTTCTTTATAGATTACCTAGTCTGTGGTATTCTATTACAGCAGCAGAAAACAGACTAAGACATTTGTATTCTGCCTTTAAAAAAAGATTTAAGATGGTGTGGTCAGAATGGAAATCCTCCTTCAATGAAAGAAGTGTGCAGGAATGGCAGTCAGTGGATAGCCTCCAGCTGCCATATCCTTCAGGGTGTGCCTCAGGTACAAAGAGCCACCTTTCCCAGGGCCACACCCTTTGCAGGATAGACTGTATTTTGTGACTGAGCAAGGTGAGAGAATACAGACCATTTCAGGAACATGCTTACGTGCAATACTCTTTCCAGGGCTTGCTGCTATATTGCCCACATTATCATAGCTTGATTTCTTCCTCTCCCCAATACTGCTTCCTCCCTTTTCCTTTTAAAAATGTTGAACCTTAATGAATATTTTTCACCTTAAACTCTATATCAGTGTCTACTTCTGGAAAACCTAACCTGTATTAATTGATATCAGGAATGGATTGAGCAACTAGGTGATAAAATGGGATGTTTGAGCTGGATTGCCACCATGTAGTTGGCGCTGACCCTATCACTGGTCATAAATGGAGCACAGATGGCCCATGAAACAAGGTGATGGTCCATTTAAGTTTTCACCTGTGGTGAATTGGGATGTTATGCTTGTGGAAGAGAATGCATTGGTAAGTGGAAAATATGCATTTGAAACTCACCAGAGAAATAATAATGACAAGCACAATGGCTTTGGATAGCTATCATTAAATGCCACCGATATTCGGCAGAAAGATGAGTAGCTGAAGATGCGTAATAGGCAATAGAATTCCAGGTGTAAAAGCTGGAGGACATCTTGGTTGCAAAGAAGCTCTTAAAAACTCTGTTGGGAGAATATAGAAAGTCAAAGTCTCAGCCTGAGAAATCATATTCAGAGTGACTGAATTTCACAGATAACCAAATGGCCATCTAAGGATGGTCTGTCATGTCAGATTATCACCATGTTTAAGAAAGTCCAGAACTCTAAAGAGATAGAGATATCTACATGATGTCTCAGAAAATTTTGTCTCCCAGTTGACCCTCAATCACTAGAGTGATTGGTTTTAAGACCCCCAAATATACAAAATCTGTTCGTACTCAAATCCTGCAGTCATCTCCATGGAATCTGCATATAGGAAGTCAGCCCTTCATATATGTGGGCTTCACATCCTCTGAATACTGTATTTTTGAGCTATGTTTTGTTGAAGAAAATCTATAATACATATAAGTGGACCCACATAGTTAGAATCTGTGTTGTTCAAGGGTCAACTGTACATCTGAACCCTCTGAGCCTGAAGACATGGTCCATCCATCCATATTAAAAGCTAGCAGCTGTCACCTCGTGGAATACATTATATAGGTCTCACCCCCATGAGGTACACATGCCTGCCCAGAGTCTATACTACATTCCTTCCTGCCCACAAGGCCTGTAACTAAGGTTAAGTTGTACTCAGGGTCTGAGTTGACATTAATATCCATAGAGCCATAATATAGCAGAGGATGTTCTAAACCTGATTAAGTCAGGAAAGGGACAATTTCCCAAAAATGCTATAGGAACTAGCCAACATGTATTGGAAAAAGCCAGGGGAGTATATTTGGAATGGGATTCTGAGGATGCTTGACCAAGGGGCCCTGTAATACAAATTAGATGGTGAAGAGTTTATTGACTTGGTAATGTTCTCTTCAATTGTAGGATTTCACATCTTGGCACGGTTCTGGGGGATGGTGTGAACTTACTCCTAGAATGGTCTCTGGAAACATAAAAAAGGAATAGTTCACATCACACAAAGCTGGAGTGACATAATTTTCATGGCAAAAGATGAAGGAAAGAAATGAAAAGTTTATAGATGTGAGGATGCTAGAATCAATATATCCCGTTTGGCTAGAAGGTCCCTGAGGTGATCATGTTCATGGGGCCCAGAGGACACATCTTTTTACCAAAGGCATCATAAATGCACTGACTAAATGTCCACCAGGATCACTGAAATTTTCATTCATGGTTCTCTTTAAGCCAAGGTTGATGGTGGGATAGTCTGTTACAGAACTTACTCACTGGTAACAATGGGCATCAGAGAACCCTGAAAAAATAGAGGCCAGGTGGAGGTGCTTGAACATCCTAAACCAGACTGTTGCAATTATTGTAATGACGAGCAAGATTGGAGGGTAAGGAAACATGACTCTCAGAGTTATGAAAATGGTTAATAGAATATAGCATCCCTAGGGACAAAAAGAGGCAACTGACTAGGATATTATTCAGTTTGTGCCTGTAGAAAAATCAGGAAAGGATGACTGGCAGGCTGAGGATGTCATTCTGATAAAAAGTTGTAATTCCACACCATAAATATGTATTACTAAATGAAAAGGCCAATCTGAAAAGGCTGTATACTGTATGATTCCAACTATATGACATTCTGGAAAGGGGAGAGCTATGCAGATAGTAAAAATATCAGTGGTTGCTAGCAGTTAGGGGAAGGGAGAAATTAATAGGAACATCACAGAGGATTTTTAGGGCAGTAAAACTGCTCTATATGATACTATAATTAAAAGTAGATACAGGTCAGGCGCAGTGGCTCACACCTTTAATCCCAGCACTTTGGGAAGCTGAGGTGGGCAGATCATGAGGTCAGGAGATTGAGACCATCCTGACCAACATGGCGAAACCCAGTCTCTACTAAAAATACAAAAATTAGCTGCACACGGTGGCACGTGCCTGTAATCCCAGATATTCGGGAGGCTGAGGCAGGAGAATCGCTTGAACCCGGGAGGCAGAGGTTGCAATGAGCCCAGGTCATGCCATTGCACTCCAGCCTGGGCAACAGAACGAGACTCCATCTCAAAGAAAATTAAAAAAAAAAAAGAATGGATACACAGCATTACACATTTGTCAAAACCTGTAGAGTGTACAACAACTTAATATAAACTCTAATGTAAACTATGGACTTTGGGTGGTAATGATTTTTCAGTGTAGATTCAGTGATTGTAACAAATGTACCGCTCCAGTGTGTGGTGTTTATAACAGGAGGAGACTATATGTGTGGGGATTGGGGGTATGTGGGAGCTCTCTGTATTTTCTGTTAAACTTCACTGTGACCCCAAAATTGCTCTAAAAATATAGTCTATTAGAAAAGTCATCATTCCTTGCCAGTTTGTGGATCTGATCTTGTTTTCAAACCTGGAACGGATTGAAGAGATAGACCAATTCCTAGGAGAAAGAACCCTAGGTTCTTTACATGGTAATACTTTCTTCAGTCACTCCCCAAAGGATTGTCAGTGGTAGGCAAAGATGTCAGTCATAGTTTCATCAAGTACTAGTGCGAGAATCACATGTGGGCCTTGAGGTTCTGGAGCACAGCCATCCATTTGAAGTGGAGAATTATGCACCATTTGCAACAACTTCTGGCATACTACTGGATCCAAGTAGAGATGGATCACCTGACCATGAGAAACCAAGTGACTATATGTCTAGAACTGTCCATTATGAGCTGGGTCCTGTCAGATACACTATGTTATAAGGTCAGCTAAGCCCAGGCACAATTAGTTATAAAATGAAAGTGGTATATCTAGGACTGAGGGCTGGGTAGACCAGAAAACCCAAGCAAGCTTGAGCATGAACAGGAGGCTCCAGTCCACGTGGCACCCACCACTGTGGCACCAGCATACCTTCCTCAGCTCATATCTATGGCTATGTGGAGAATTTACTACACCAGGTAAAGGAGTACAAAAACCCTGAGTTTGGCGTATAGATAGGTTGGCTTAGTATTTGGGTACAAGTCAAAATGAATGGCAGGTATTCAAATCTCATTCAATCAATCTCATTCAGAGATGGCTTCGAAAGACCAGGAAAAACTCCCAAGGCAGAGAGATGGACCTGCTTATTTCCTTTCATAGAAGGAGAGCTAACTTGAGGTTAAATTCATACAAACTCATGGACAGTGATGAATGGCCTGCCCACCTGGTCATGAACCTGGAGGGAGAAAGAATGGAACACTGGTGACTAGAAAGTGAAGTAGAGGCATGTGGATAGACATACGTGAATGGATAGAAATTGTGATGATCTTTGTATCACATATTAGTGCCCACCAGATAGCATATGTCACGGAAGTGACACAACCGATTAGACAAAGTGACCTACCCAGCCAACATCAGCCGGCCTGTCATCAGCCACACCAGTGCTGGCCAAATGGATACATAAATGACAGCAGCAATGATGAAGGATTTGCATGGCTCAAATAACCTGGACTCCCACTTACAAAGGCTTATCTAGCTATGGTCGCTGCTGAATATTTAATATGTCAGCAACAGAGACCAATGTTAATATGACACCATTACTCACTCAGGAAGAACAACTGGCCTCTAGATGGCAGGTTTACAACGCTGGGCTCATTTCGTCCTGCAAGGGTTAGTGGTTAATTTCACGTATCTCACAGGAATGGACATGCATTCTGAGTATGAGTTTCCCTTTCCTGTACAGATGACCTCAGCCAGCACTAGTATCCAAAAGTTTATCGAGTATTTGATTCACTGGCATGGGATCCTGCATAACTTTGCACCAGACCAAGGGATGCACTTTATAGCAAAGGAAGTTCATGAGTGAGTCTGTAACCAGATAATTCACTGGTCATATCATATACTCTGCTCAGAAACTACTAGCCTGATAGAGCATTGGAGGTTCAGAGGTAATACTCTACACAGACAGATTGCCATTATGTAAAATTCAGTATTTGGATCAAATAAATGATCTTTATATGGTGCTGTGTCCCTGAAGGAAGACTACATGGACACAGGAATTAAGGAGTGAAAACAGTAGTGGTCTCACTTACTATCACTCTCAATGACCCATTGAGGGTCGTTGTGATTTCTTTCCCTGTAATTCTGGGTTCTGCTAGATTAACAGTCCTGGTCTTCAAAGAGGATAACACTTTCCCAAGAGGACATAGCAAAAGTCCCATTGAATTACAAGCTTTAGTTTTCACTTGGGTACTTTGATCTCCTTGTTTACAGGGACCAAAAGCAAGAAGAAGTCACTATCTTGGCAGGGTAATTGACTCCAATCATTAAGAGGAGGTGGTGTTATTGCACAATAGAGGCAGAGAGGAATTTGTGTAGAACTTAACCCATCCACTTGGTCCTAACTTAGTACTCCCTTTCCCAATTTTGACTGTAAATTGATTGGCCGAGTGACTGCAGCCAAGGAGGATGGTGGCCAGTGACTCAGGTCCTTAGGGCTGAAGGTCTGAGTCAGACTAACAAGAAGGCAGCCAGGCCAGTAGAAGTGGAAGCTGAGGGTTAATGGAACTTAAAATGCCTAGGGAAGAAAGGAGATAATGAGTATTAGGTGGAACCCTGAGACCCACTCCAGCTTTGGGCACTACTGTTTATCTCACCAACGTCTCTCTTCTAAGTCTCCCTTCAGGATGAGAGGCTCGCCAGACATCTGGAGGATCTGATCTTCCATCCCATATAGAAACATGGTTCTAAGCCTAAAAGAAGGGGACTGTGGTAGACTCTGATGTACCTCCCAGCTTCCCCCGCGAGGAAGGACCTGCTGCTCAGTGGAGGTAATTGCATCGCAGATCATCTCCATAGTTCAGCAACTTCAGATCCTACCTCAGCTCAGAGACTCACCTTGCCTGAGGTCACATTCTTGCTGAGACAGCCTGTGTCGGTGACTGAGTGAAGGGTGTGTATGCTGGGCATTTTGGCTTGACATAGGCACTCTTAATGATCAATGGTTACTTCACAGTGCCCTGTTAGGTTGACAAAATTTTGATCAGGCCTGCCTTCTTCTGCTGCCCAATCCCACTTCCTCCCTTTTCTCTTCCTCAGTGATAATTACAAATAAACAACTTGAACTATAAAATCCATCTCTGCATCTGTTTCCAGATTACTCAACCTGCAGCAGATGGTCTTATAGGAATGTAGAAAATACAAAACAAATTGGAAATGGGTGAAAAAGAATAGATCAATAATAGGGAGAGGGACATAAAATTGCTTGATTTAAGCCAACCCATATTTTCTTAGTCCTACCTACAGGCTATAGACAGCCTCCATGTTTTCTAGAAGCTGGAGTAAAACAAAACAAGCCAAGTGATCAGTGGAAATCCTCTGACCAGGTAAAGAACAATGATTCCTCATCCAAGGAGCAGATTTTGTTTTTTTCTTTTTCTGGGAAAGGACACTGTGTAATGAAATGAACAACCTTAACAATTAAGTTGTGCTGCATGGTTAACTAGATGGCTCATTGCTGTTTGTTACATTTATTTCAAATGGAATTACAATCAATCACGTTATCCCAAGCAGGTTTATTGTTTGTCATTCACACTCCTTAGGCTCTGGATCAGTGGCTATGTATTAGTCATGGGAACCAATTATCCAAGGGTGTTTGGTTAAGATGGTTTTATTGGTGCTGGAGCATGCAGAATGACAATGACTAATGGTGTCCCACATACTATCATTATTTACTTCGTCCTCCCGTGTGCCAGGATGTTTTTGCTTGAGCTGACTTGTTTCCCTTTTTGACTCTCCTTCCTGAAAATCATGATACCATCCAGTGCAGAAGAGGACGCTGGCGTGTAGAAGAAGAGAGGGAATAAGAGCAGAAAAAGTAAGTGGAACACTGAAGGGCCTAGAGAGTCCTCCAACTGCAGAATTCATTCTTGAATCACTGAATCGCAAACTAGCAAGGTGTTTGATTTTGAACCCTTGATTTTCTAAGAGATTATACAGATATGCCACTGGTACAGATAAGCTACTGGTTTCCTTTACAGGTTCCCTTGAACCCTGGAGGTTGCAGTGAGCCAAGATCACGCCACTGTGCTCCAGCCTGGGCAACAGAGTGAGACTCAATCTGAAAGAAAAAAAAAAAAAAGACATCACCAAGGGTAAAAGAGAAATTTTTTTTTTTTTCTGATTATCTAAACTCCTGCCCTCCTGCCTTCACTGTATATGGCTCATTATTTTTTTTGTTTGTTTCAATTTTATTTGATTTTCTTTAATTGTTTTTAAACAAATTTGAAATTTTTTCATACAATTGTTTTTAGTTTGATTTGAGTCTTAGTCTTTTGGATGCTCTGGTTTCTGCAGAACTAATTCTATTTTTTAAAAAATCTTCCTAGCTTATCTCTACGCTCTTGGTTTCCTCAATCCTTCATAAAACAAATACACATAATAAAAGTCTTACAGATTCAGATTATCTCTAGGAGAGATGGTTGGAACTAATGGGAAGACTGTATTACAGTCTATCTTTAAACCAATATATACCTTTCTTATTCACTTAGAGATATTTGTCTACTAAAGTGTTAATGAGTTGCATGATATCTTCTGAGAATTTCCTATAATGAGAAGATAAAGAACACTCTTCTTCCTTTTTTTTTTTTTTCTTGAGATGGAGTCTCACTCTGTTGCCCAGGCTGGAGTGCAGTGGTGCGATCTCGGCTCATTGCAAACTCTGACTTCTGGGTTCAAGCAATTGTCCTGCGTCAGCCTCCTGAGTAGCTGGGATTACAGTCACCTGCAACCACGCCTGGCTAATTTTCATATTTTTAGTAGAGGAGGGATTTCGCCATATTGGCCAAACTGGTCTCAAGCTCCTGACCTCAGGTGATCCACCCACCTTGGTCTCCCAAACTGCTGGGATTACAGGTGTGAGCCGTGGTGCCTGGCTCTTTTTACATTTTTTGTTGAGTGTTCTGCTGGTTCTTTGCCCTGAGAGAAGTCCCCTCTCTTTTCCACACATCTCTGTTACATTTTGCCAGAAGGCTAAACTCTAGGATGCATTTCTCAGGCTCCCTTATCAGTTGGCTTCCATCTGGGTTTTGCCAATGGGAATCGTTAGTGGGAGATTGGTGGGCAGAAGGAAAGGAGGCATCTCTACACCTTTCTCCATAGGTAGCTAAGCCGCTGGAGCTCTGCTATGGCTTCAGATCTCATTGGATAGACTACCATGATTTTAGCATTTGCTTGCTGGGCCCAAACCCAGGACTTCAGGAACATTTTTTTCCTGCCTTGGATACTTTAGCCTAGAGGTAACAGTGGTTTCTTGTCACTGCCAATCTGTGGATTGGCCCATTGCTCCCTGTTTGGCATCTCAGCTCATCCATCACACATAGAACAAATTCCAGGCCTCAGATTCCATCTGTTTTGGAAAAAATGGCTTAAAAGTAAATGATGTTAGGACAACTGGATACTCATTTGGAAAAAAAGTAGTTTCATGTCTTGTACCAATCACCAGAACAAACTCCAAATGAATCAGACAACCAAGTGTAAAAAAATAACCCAAGTAAGTCATAGAAGAAAACAGGAGTGATTTCTTTCTTGAACTGGGCATGGAGAAACCTTCAAACTATAATCCAAAATCTAGAAATAACAAAAGAAAAGATTGATAATATTAATTACATAAAAATAATAAAAATATTTTTACATGACAAAGCACCACATGCAAAGTCAAAAGACCAATGATACAGCAGGATACTTCTCTTATGATAAAAGACTATTTTTTCCAAGAAATAAAGACTTTTTTTAAAATCAAGAGAAAACTGCAAAATAGGATATAACACGGAAAAAGCCGCCTAAATAGTTCACAAAAGACATTGGAATGGCTCTTAAATACAGAAAAAATATTCAGCCTTAATCATAGTAAAATACAAATTAGAACATTAGAAAGAGACCATTTCTCATCTACCAGATTGGCAAAAAGTTCAAAATTTAGATAACACACTTGTCAAGGTTGTGGAAATTTAGATACTTTCATACTCTATTGGGAATGCAAAAGAATATAATCCCTCTGCAAGGGATTTGACAGTTATCTAACAAAACTATATATACACTAATCTTTTGACCAAGGAAGCCCACTTCCAGAAATGTTCCCTGAAGACACACCTTCACAAATATGAAACAGCATATGTGCAAGGTTATTCATTAAGAAATCCTTTGTGATGACAAAATATTACAGTCAGTCTAAATGATCACCCAAAGGAGAATGGTCTAATTAAATATTATACTCCACACTGTGGTGTATAATACAGCTCAGAAGGAAGGATAAGGAAGCTCTCTGTGAATCCAGGATATATTGTTTAATGAAATAAAGCAGGTCTCAATGGAGTGGACATAATAGGCTATTGATCATGTGAGAAACAAGGGGAAATTGCTTATTCTTAGAAAATGAAACAGAAAATATAAACCAGCAATTAATGAAAATATTTACATACAGGGTGTGTAAAGACAATATAGAGGGTAGAGGAATATATGAGATTTCTCTTAGCAGACATTTTTATATAATTTTAATTTTGGACCATGTAAATATTTTAAATATTCAAAAATATAATACAAAGATGAAAAGACAGCCACTAAGCTTGGCAACAGAAAATAAAAACAAACTCGACTGCATATCCAGTTGACAACAATCACACAGAGAAAATAATTGAGTCAAGTAACTTTTGAGCACAGGGCTTTGACTGTACATGCTCAATAGAATATATTATAAAGTCAAAAAGAAACACAAATAACTACTGACATCTACGTAGCAGGTTTGTTCTTGGTAGTGGCATGGGTGGTATACATCTAAAACTGTGTGTTTAATAGGATAAAATAAATGTGTAAATATACTGATGTTTTGGTGAAGCAAGGTTTTTACTTTCATAGGTGAGGACAAACTACATAGGGTTTTATTTCAACCAGAGGGTTAAGGATGAGATTTGCATACATAGATAGATGGAGAGATAGACAACACAGACATACCTGCGAACTTCCTAGCTCTGTCTGCTGAAAGGACGTCTAAGCAAAGCCACTTTAATTGCAGCAAGCACAATTGGCACTTAGATCTGGATTGCTAAATACCACTCACTACTAAAGTACTCCTTAGAAAAATGACTATTTCCAGACCCAGAGCAGGGAATTTACAAGGTAAGACTGAAAAATCTCACGTCAAAAGGCAAGTAAGTGCACAGAGACTAATGGGTTCATTAAAAAGAAAAATACAAAAGCTGTCTTGGGACAAGTTACACATCAAAAAGAATGATGATAATTGATTACAACACATTGAGTAAAAACTGAATTCATAACAATAAGATGAGAGCCAGGAGAAAGGCTCTTTTAATAAAATAATGCTAGCTGATAAACGTACATGGAATAATACAATTATAAAATTAGCACTTTCAACACTAATGTAATAATTGATTCAAACAAGAATGGTCAGTGAATGCCAAAACCATTGAGTGAAAGGTTGCAGAACAGGATATTTATGTGGTCTGAAAGTATCCCCCCAGAGATTATTTGGGGGTAAAAGGAAAAGTATACTTTTACAATAGACATATCTTCATAACATTATCTTATCATCCTCCTAGCATAAGTAGATTTTTTTAGTTGGGCACCCTTTTTATTCATAATATTAGTAATTTGTGTCTTCACTTTTTCTCTGTGATTAGTTTCAGTGAATGTTTATCAATTTGATTAATTTTTAAAGTAATTTTTTACTGCTGTTTTTCTCTCTTTTGTTTCAGGTGGGGGAAACAGAAAAATGTACTTTTACAATGGACATATTTGATATTCCACACCTTAACTAATTTCTACTCATATTTGTTATTTTCTTCTTTACATTTACTTTGAGTTTAACTTGTAGCTTAGCTCACTGACTTGAGCATTTCCTTCTTTTTGACTATATCAAAGTTATAAATTTCCCTTTAAGCAATGCGTGGCTGCATGTCACAAATTTTGAAATGTTTTCAATATCATTCAGTTTATTTCCTACTTTTTTTATTGTAACTTCTTTGACCTCCTCTGGATTATTTATATATGTTGCTTAATTTCTAAATATCTGGAGATTTTCTAGATACCTTATTTTATATATATATAATATATATAATATATAATATATATACACATATGGACAGAGAGAGAGAGAGAGAGACGGAGTCTCACTCTGTTGCCCAGTCTGGCATGCAGTGGCTTGATCTCAGCTCACTGCAACTACCGCCTCCCAGGCTCAAGCAATTCTCCTGCCTCAGCCTCCTGAGTAGCTGGGATTAAAGGCATGCACCACCATGCCCAGATAATTTTTGTATTTTTAGTAGAGATGGGGCTTCATGTTGGTCAGGCTGATCTCAAACTCCTGACATCTTGATCTGCCCGCCTCGACCTCCCAAAGTGCTGGGATTACAGCCGTGAGCCATTGTGCCCAGCCATTACTATTAATTTCTAATTTAATACTGATATAGTCAGAGAACATCCTCCATAAGATTTTAATCCTTTGACTTCTTTTTTTCAGGGATGTACAAATGTCTTTTTATTCAAAGAGACAAAATAAATTATCTGTAGGCATGGACAACAACAGTGGTAAGCCATTATATATTTTGTCAACTGAAACCAGTAACTGATGGTTACAGTGATTTCTTAAACGTCAGCCAGCCTTTTCTTCATTTTCTCCAACCGACTTCTCTGAAGCTATTGGTGAGGCACACTGCCTTGGGCTTCCTGCCACAGTTCATTAATAAAGGTAAAGCCCTATTCTGGGAATTAGAACATGCCACCTCCCATCCACCTCCCATTGCACCCATTGCACCCATTCCAAGGCCTGTCTCTTCTTTAGGAATTTGTGTGACTGCAACTTGTGCTGCAGTTAACAGAGAGGCCACCCCAGCAGCATCCAGTAAAGCAGGTCTTACAACCTTTGTTGGGTCACTAATTCCTTTTTCCACCATATTCGCAAAATCTTCAATATAGCATCATAACCAACTTCTGAGGAACTTTGCATGATTTTGACATTTTTGATAGTTGTTTTATGGTTCCACAGATGGCCTATCATCATGCATGCTCCAAGTGTATTTGAAGATAATATGTATCATGTAGTTATTGGGAAACTTGAATCTAGTGAGAAAAATAACAGATGTATCTAGAATCTGATTTATTCTATAGGCCTGAAGTCTTTCTAAAAGTCAGTGTCATAAAAAAACAGACAATACACAAAAACATGCAGACTTGCCTAGGTTTAAAGTGACAAAAGAGGCAGAACAATCCAGAAAGCATATGAACCTTAAATGGCTACTGGATTAGAAAATAAAAAGCAACAAAAGATATTTTGGGACAGCTGAAGAAATTTAAATGTAACAGACAATATTATTATGCATGTAATACCCCTAACATACAGAACATCATAGCTTAGACCAGCCTACCTTAAATGTGCTGAGAACACTTACATTATCTGACAGTTGGGCAAAATCATCTAACACAAAGCCTATTTTATAATAAAATGTTGACTATTTGATGTAATTTGTTGCATACTGTGCTGAAAGTGAAAAGCAGAGTGGTTGCATGGGTACTGAAATATGGTTTCTTCTGAATGCATATTGCTTTCCCACTGTAGTGAAGTCAAAAAATCCTAAAGAAAACCTAGTAAGTAGGGGAGTATTTACATTTCAAAGAGATGGCTTCCGGGTCCTTGAGAAAGACATTCTAGGGTTGTAAAACTGGTAAGAAGCTTTCAAAAAGATTTACATCTCAAAGGAGCAGAGAAAGGATCTACAAATACAAGTTTTCTAAAGTAAATGCTCTAAGAAAAGGGAAGGAGGGCAATAGAATCAGGAAAAAGCCTGTCTAAGGTTTAGGAAATGGGGGAATGTTAAGGCCCTCTTGGTCATGACAATACACATTTACAGAGGTTTGACTGAGAGATGTGAGACTTGTGTCTGGCCTTCCGTAAAATTTCTAACTTTCATTTTATCTGCTCATGATTCTAGACAATTTTTTTTTTGACAATGCATGTGTACTTTTCTTCTGCTCACACACCTTTTTTCTTCCCACCTTTGTTCTGAAGAACATTTCCTTTTCCTTTTCTTTTTTTTTAATTCCAGCCTATGATTTTTATTTTTTTAATTTTTTTCCCTTTAACTTTTATTTTAAGCTCTGGGGTACATGTGCAGGATGTGCAGGTTTGTTACACAGGTAAACATGTACCATGGTGGTTTGCTGCACACATCATCCCATCACCTAGGTATTAAGCCCAGCATCCATTAGCTATTCTTCCTGATGCTCTCCCTCCCACAGCAATCCTCCCTCAACAGGCCCTAGTGTGTGTTGTTTTCCTCCCTGTGTCCATGTGTTCTCATTGTTCAGTTCACACTTATAAGTGAAAATTGTCAGGCCTCTGAGCCCAAGCCTGCATGTATTCATCCAGATGGCCTGAGGCAACCGAAGAACCACAAAAGCAGTGAAAATGGCCAGTTCCTGCCTTAACTGATGACATTCCTCCATTGTGATTTGTTTCTGCCCCACCTCAACTGATCAATTAACCTTGTGACATTCCTTCTCCTAGAAAATGAGTCTCAGAACTTCCCCACTGAGCACATTGTGACACCCTCCCGCCGCCCCTGCCCGCAAGAGAAAAACCCCCTTTGACTGTAATTTTCCACTACCTACCCAAATACTATAAAACTGCCCCACCCCTATCTCCCTTCAATGACTCTTTTTTCGGACTCAGTCTGCTTGCACCCAGGTGATTAAAAAGCTTTATTGCTCACACAAAGCCTGTTTGGTTGTCTCTTCACAAGGATATGCGTGACAAAAATATGAGGTGTTTAGGTTTGTTTTTGTTTTTGTTTTTGTTTGTTTTTTGAGACAGAGTCTTGCTCTGTCACCAGGCTGGAGTTCAGTGGCATGATCTCGGCTCACTGCAACATCTGCCTCCCAGGTTCAAGCGATTCCCCCGCCTCAGCCTCCTGAGTAGCTGGGAATACAGGTGCATAAAACCACTCCCAGCTAATTTTTTGTATTTTAGTAGAGAGGGGCTTCCACAATGTTGGTCAGGATGGTCTTGATCTCCTGACCTCATGATCCACCTGCCTTGGCCTCCCAAAGTGCTGGGATTACAGGTGTGAGCCATCGCGCCCGGCCAGGTGTTTGGTTTTCTGTTCCTGCATTAGTTTGCTGAGGATAGCTGCTTCCAGCTCCATCCATGTCCCTGAAAGGATGTGATCTTATTCTTTTAATGGCTGCATAATATTCCATGGTGTATATGTACCACATTTTCTTTATCCGGTCTATCACTGATGCACATTTGGGTTGATTCCATGTCTTTGCTATTGTGAACAGTGCTGCAATGAACATACATGTGCATGTATCTTTAAATAGAATGATTTATATTCCTTTGGGTTTATACCCAGTAATGGGATTGCTGGGTCAAATGATATTTCTGCCTCTAGGTCTCTGAGCAATCACCACACTGTCTTCCACAATGGTTGAACTAATTTATACCCCCACCAACAGTGTGGAAAGTGTTCTTTTTTCTTGGCAACCATGCCAGCATCTGTGGTTTTTTGACTTTTTAATAATAGCCATTCTGACTGGTATGAGATGGCATCTCACTGTGGTTTGGATTTGCATTTCTCTAATGATCAGTGATGTCAGCCTTTTTTTTCATGTGTTTGCAGGCCACAACATTTCCTTTTTTCAAGCCAGTAGTTCTCTTCTCTCAATTTCTTTCTGGGCTTTTAGTATTTTTCTCTTCCCTACTCCTTCCTCATTTGTGAGGGTAGAACATCTATTGATTCCCTTCTAGATCTAATTCTCTGTGGGTCTCGGATTGTCTCTCAGTGTCTACCCAGGAAAAAGTGGGGCTACACTAATGTAATGAAGAGTCTGGCTCATCTCACATTCTCATAAAAGGTGATGATGATTGAGAAGATTTTCTGTGACTAGTGCCACAGGAGCACTTAGGTTTTGGAATTTAAAAAAAAATTACACCTCTTATTTATTTACTATTTTAAAATTTATCATTTTATCACTAACAGCAGAGAAAACTGGTGACAGATAGGAACTCTGGAATCAGTCTCAGATTTGCAGCTTACTGTGTGGCTTTGAGCAAGCCAATGAATGTCTCTAAGCTTTAGTGCAGTTACTTGCAAAAGAGGGGACCTAATCATTAATACCACCCTTAACAGTTAACTGGGTTAATGAATGTAAAGCAGTGAACCTAGTGTCAGGTACTTAGTAAATGATCACCATTTTGTTGGAAAAATCCTAAGTCTTTGCCTATATGATATCAATGGCTGCTTTGAGCAGATCTGAGGTGACATTTTCTTAGGCAGGACATCTGGTCACTTCCCTCTTGTGCTAGATCTGCCCTCAGGAATAGATGTGATACCTTTGTATTTGTCAACTTAGCTAAAACTGCATTGCCCAGATTTCCTTTCCCTGTGGAATTCTAAGTCAGTTGGGCGGGCCACAAGAGGCATTTCACAGGAGATGTAGCAATGGAAGTGAAGCAGCAGCCAGATTCCAGATGCCCAGAAGGTCAGGGCAGGTCACGCAGTGCTGTTGCACCCCATGGCATGCTGTCCTATACAGCAGCTGATCTGCTGGCTCACCTCCAGCTCCTGCTGCATTTTTGCCTGCCACTTCTCTGACTCTTGGACCAGGTGTGTGCTTAGTTCTGTGATGGAGGGTGCCAGCTTCCCCTGCAGGACACCTCCATTGAAATAGAAGGCTTGGAGGCAGTGGGTACCAGTCCTTTTTAGCTCATCCTCACAGATTCCCTTTTTTCCTTCCCCCATTTCATATCCATCTTCTCTTCCTAATGGCCTTGGCTGAGAACTGCTGACTTCAGTACCAGAAACAGGTGGCATAGCTTCATATAGACTATTTAACCAGCTATACCAATTGTGTAAAGTCAAATCCCTTAATGTATCTCTTAGTATATCTAATCTGCTTTAGTGGTTTTGCTTCCCTGAGTGAATTCTGTCAGATACAATAGATAATGAGTTTTATCAGAGTATCTGCATAGCTCAAGGTTGGCATCTCTCAGTTCCTAGGTTAATTCAGTAAAAGATGACCCTTTCCTGATTAATAAGAAATGGGATTCTGTATCTTGGCTTTTAAGTTCTTCTTTCTGGTGGAGCGTGCATGCACACACACACACATATATGTATTATATATGTTTATGTAACACACATACACACACACATACACGTACATATATGTTTCCCATTTCTAACTTCTTTGAGTCAGACTAATCGTAGGATGGTGTTTTCTTTCCATCAACAATTGTAAGCTATAATGATAGCTTTTCCTAATGTAGTGACAAAATATCACATAACTTTGCAAATGTTACTTTGGTAATTTCTAATACAGGCATTGAATGATTTATAAAAGCAGTGTGTGCTACACTGCCAATCTTCACATTTTAAATATAACATGCAAAAATAGTACCTTTTAAAAGATAACATACCCAATATAAAATAGAATACAAGGATGTGGGTGGAAATGCAAGCTCAGAGAGGCAGCAGATTGTAGTAGCTGAAAATGTAGCGTAGGACCAGGCTGCCTGGAGTTTTGATTGTTGGGTCTAAGCTCACTAATGATGTGACCTTGGGTGATTACGTGGCCTCTCTGTGCCTCAATGCCTCATCTGCTGCACTGGGGCATTATTGGGTGGTTGTGGTAATGAGGTGAGGAACATAAAGTGTAGTGCATCGCACAATGTAGGCATAAACTTTGGTTTGATTGGACTGGATGCTTTTTTATAAAGAGAAACTGTTGATTTCCCCACTCCATGAGGGCCAGGATGAGGTCCATCTACTGCTGGACCCCTTTACATGATCACTGGAGGAGGATGCTGTGGTGGCCCACCCAGACACTCTACAGGATGCAGGTTCTTATGTCCACAGCTGCTGCAGTAGCACCTGCGGAAGCTCACAGCTGAGTCCCTCCCCAGGAATTGCCTTGGGCCAAAGGGATCTGCCAAGGTTTAGGTCCCCCTAGGGGAATGTCCCTATCCCATGACTAATGGACTTGGGGATACAAAGGCTGTACCCCTTTGTCTCAATGTGGGGCAACTCTGAAAGACAATGCCAGCTACAGTGTTCCACATGGGCTGGGCCAGCTCAGGGCCTCTGTTGTACATGCTTCGCAGTTCAATCCCAACTCTTCCCTCTCTCCAGGCCTGCTGCCCTCACTCCTGCACAGGTGGTGCTCCTGAGAGCGCTCCTGGATAAACCCCACACGGAGCTCCATCACCAAGCCTGTTAGAGGCCACGGCGAGAAAATTTTTTGGGGGGGTGATGGGTATGTTTATTATGTTGGTTGTGGCAATGGTTAAATGGGGGTGTATATATATCAAAACTTGTGAAATTGTTTGATTTAAATTATATACAGTTTAGGTCAATTATACTTCAATAAGGCTGTAAAAGGGAAAAAATCAGAGGAACAGTGGGAGGAAAAGGTGAAGGGCTCTTTGGTCACATCCCACCAGTGGTGCTTGTCTAACATCTTGTTTACGTTGTTAGATATGAGTTCTAAATTTCTTTTCAAAGAATATGTCAGTATGTTCAATTCTTTACCTTCTACTTTTAAACTTAACTTCCTCATAAAGCAATCTTTTTTGATTACCTGCTCCACCCTGACTCATTTCAATCACCTGCTCCACCCTGACTCATTCCGATTACCTACTCCACCCTGACTCATTACCTGCTCTGTCATAACCATTTTTCCCGCCAAACCACTCACCCCCTCACTCTCTTTAAATTAGCCAATTGGAATTAGTTTAGCCTGTGCGGTCTAACCCTAGCCAATAGGGGAACCACACAACAGCGGGAAGTGGGGGGTGGGGGGCACAAGCGTCAGGGATAAGAACCCGTTCCCCTCCCTTGTCCAAGTGTGCGCTCACCATTGCTCCCTCTGTAAGGGTTCACCCTTCTACAGAAGTACCTTGCCTTGCTAAGAATGAAAAAGAATTTTTTTTTTTTGAGACAGAGTCTTGCTGTGTAGCCCAGGCTGGAGTGCAGTGGCTCAGTCTCGGCTCACTGCAAGCTCGCCTCCCGGGTTCAGGCCATTTTCCTGCCTCAGCCTCCCGAGTAGCTGGGATTACTGGCACCTGCCACCACACCCGCTAATTTTTTGTATTTTTAGTAGAGTCCGTGTTAGCCAGGATGGTCTCGATCTCCTGACCTTGTGATCCACCCGCCTCAGCCTCCCAAAGTGCTGGGATTATAGGCGTGAGCCACCTCATCCGGCCTTAAAAAGAAAATTTTATATTCGAGTGCTATTTCTTTTGTGGCACTGAAACTTTATATATAACAACATGTTTCTCTTTATACTGTTCTCTTGCTTATGAACCTTTTTGCTCAGCAAATTCAAGGTCTTCTTCAGTTCTTCCTTCACTCATATATTCGTATAATCATTTGTTCTCTCGGGCAGACATTCTCTGAGCATTCTCTAAGCCCAGATCCTGTGATAGGCACTTGGGATACAAAGACGAAAATGAGACACAACCTCTCTCCCTAGTGAGTTCATGATCCTATAGAGGATTCTGAACCACAGACCATTCCAGTGTCTAACCTTGACAGTCACAACCCTTCATAGTTTGACTTCAGCCTATGACGCTAGAAGAAGCACATCGTTATGGAATAAAATGAGACAGATACAGAATGAAATAAAGAAGGAAACAGTGATCAGATCCCACTGTCAACTTACAGTGTTTTTTTAGTTATTTTATCACAAGCTTTCCTCCCACATCACCAAATCTGTGAGGATATGATTTTGACCAGGAAAACTATATTTTGTTATGTGAACATGCATGTTATATTTTAACTGTTTTCCTCTGTGGCATCTGTTTGGATGCTTCACCCCTGTGTCTTTGGCATTATTGCCAGAGGTGCCTGGATAAGTCCTATGGTGCATTCATGATCTGTGCCCTTTTCAAGTTCCCTGGATGCTATCCCTCCTCCATAATTCCTGCTAATTTGATTGTATGCAACACTTTCCATCTTTTTGAACTTTGTTCCATAAAGCACCTCTTTCTCTTTCTCCCTTTACATTTTTATGCCATGATATGAAGAGAGCACAAAACAGTGTGAGGGCCACAGCAGGAGAGGAGGAGCTGATGCCTCAGCCAGCACAGGGAAAAGCCATTTCACATTCCTTTGCCCCATAGTGGTATTCAGCATTTCTCTGGCAAAAAGAGGCTTGCCCTGTTAGCCTTCTTTAGGGTCAGCAGGCAACTCAATGAGGCATGGCTGGATTTCTAACCCAAGTCACTTTGTCGCTAGTTCATCAGCACTCCACGCATCCACAGCTCCGCACCCATCCACAAGAGACTTCAAAGGATTTCAGGCTGGGCACAATGGCTTATGCCTGTAATCCCAGCACTTTGAGAGACCGAGGGAGGTGGATCACTTGGGTTCAGGAGTTAGAGACCAGACTGGCCAACATGGTGAAACCCCGTCTGTATTAAAAATACAAAAATTAGCCAGGCATGGTGGCACACACCTGTAGTCCCCACTACTTGGGAGGCTGAAGCACGAGAATTGCTTGAACCCTGGAGGCGCAGGTTGCAGTGAGCCAAGATTGTGCCACTGCACTCCAGCCTGGGCAACAGAGCAAGACTCTGTTTCAGGAAAAAAAAAAAAAAAGGATTTCAAGCAAGAAACTAAAAAATCATTAGTTCATCCCTTTGGTAAAAGGTGGCCAAATCTGAATTACCTCTTTAAACGTTTTAAGCAGGGAAATTGAAAAAGGAATCTCCTTGGCGTCATGAAGATCTAAAGAAACCAAGTGTAAGAAACTCAAAGAGAGTTACTTTGCTTGGCCACTTCTACTGCAAGGTTGTCTTTGAAACTGAATTAGCAGTTCAGATTTGAAAAGGATGCCATGTGCTAGGAAAGAAAACCTAAGAGATATTCACTTTGTAGTGCTGAGAAACAAATGTTAATATGATCATAATAATGAAACAAAATTAAATTAAAAAACTCAATAAAAATAAGACCTAAAACACCCCCAAATATTAGATATTTCTGTGTGGCCATGCTTTATGCCAAGAGCTATGTATTATCTCATTTACCCCTCACACAGCCCTGTGAGAAAGGCATTTTCCATTCTAAATGTGAGCACACAGTGCCACTGAAAACCACTCACTTATCCACGGTCCCACAGCCAGTAAGTAAGTAATGGAACTGGCATCCCCATTGGGGACCACTTGGCTCCCCAGCCTACATTGTTAAGTATTTTATTTATTCTTAGGGGAAGGGTCATCTCCTGGGTCTCTTTCCAAGAGCTTGGCAAGCCGTGAGAAATTCTGAGAGTGACAAGTATATATTTTTAAAAGCTGTCATTTGGCCATTGATTTCTAATTTTATTGCCTTGTAGTTAGAGAGTTCAGTGTTTGGTAACAGTTGCTTGGTTAAAGCTTCTTTTATGGTCCAGAACATTGTCAATTTTTGCAAATTATCCATGTGTGCTTGAAAAGAATGTTTACTCTACTTGTTCAATATGTCTGCTAGATCAATATTGTTTATTTTGTTCAAATCTTTTATTGCCTTACTTTTTTTTGCTGGCTTGATTTGTCAGTTTCCTAGAGAAAAGTGTTAAAATATCCCACAGTGATTGTCTCATCAATTTATTCTCTCAGTTCTAATTTCCCTTATATATTTTGAAACTGTGTAGTTGCATTTATATTGGATCAGGACTGTTATCTGTTTCTGGTGAATTTTTTTCTTTCAACATTAAGACCCTATTTTATCCCTAAAAATACATTTTGCTGTAGTATGCTTTAATAGTATCACACCACCTTTCTATTAGCATTTTCTTTCATTATCTTTCTTACTAAACTTAATATAAAAAGCAGATTTCTGTGTGTGTCTTTGTGTGTAAGAACTGTGTTTTGCTTGGCTTTGGTAATTCAGTTAATTCTAAAATTTGTGCAGAATAGTAAAAGGCTGATGATGTCAAAGAAATAAATCTCCTCAAAACATCTCAAAGAAAAATATGATGGAGGGGATTGGTCTAACAGATATCAAGATTTATTTTAAAGCTAAGAAATAAGTAGTGAGGTATTAATAGATGGATAAAAAATAGGCCAATGGATCTTAACAGAAATAGATTTCACATACATGGGAACTGAATTTCAGATGAAGTTGTAATTGCAGATCAGTGGAGGAAAGGGTGAGCTTTTCAATAAATGGTACTGGGGCCATTTACATATTAAGTATATATACTTGGATTCCTTCCAAAAATCCAACCAAAAGTTAAGGTGAAAAGTTCAAACCATAACAGTTTAGGAGACAAAATAGAAAAATAGGTTATGATCTTGAAGTAGAAAAGTATATTTTAAAATAGTAGCAAAAACTCCAAACTACAAAGAAAAGGTTGTTCCATCTGACTACAGTAAAATTAAACAATTAAAACTGTTAAAAATAAGGTTATAAACACCAAGAAAATGAGAGAAGATATTTATGATACTTGTCTCTGAAAAAGAATTATTACCTAGAATAGATAACTCTCTCAAAAGAATCAACATAAAAATGAACAAAAGGTATAAATTGGTATTTCACAGAAAGGGGACCTCAGATGGCCAATACACATATGAAATGATGATTAATCTCATTAGTAATCAAACAATTACAAATTAAAAAGCACAATAAATACTATGTTTCATCCATCAGTTAGTAGCATGAAAATATCACATTTCATAAACAACTTATAGTACATTATGACCTAGCGATTTCACTCCTAGACATATAATCTAAACAAACGATTGATTTTGTATACCAGGAGGGTTGTTTAAGACTTTTCATAGCAGAAATGTCTGTGTTAATAAGGACCAGAAATATCCCAAATATCTATCAACTGGAGAACAGTCAAATAAATTAAGTACATCACGGAATACTATACAGCAGGGATTCTATATCCCTGTGATGGAGGTGTCTCATGTGAACCCATGTTCCTGTGGAGGCCATGTCCCGTGCGATATTGTATCTCTACAATGGCTGTGTCTTGTGTGACTCTGGCAGTAGCTTCCCTTCTGCTCTGCCTATTTGTTTCTGGCATTTGGGAATTTCCTTTTCTTTCCTTTATATTTAGCTTTGAATTTTATATTTTGTGAAGAATGTTTTACCAAGCATTTCTGTGACTTTGTGGCAGGAGGAGGCCTCTCTGCATCAACAGTGTCACAAGAAGCCACTGTCTGCCATCTGTATCTATTCTGCCTGTTGCAGGATTCAATGCTTTGCCAAAATCATGTTGCTTTGCCCAAGTTTAGCTGTTGTCTCTACCAGCAGACAGGAATGGATTCTTCATGAAACCCTTTTAGAGGCCTCTTTTATTTATAACTTTGTTCCTCTTGCTCAGAAAGGACACAGAAAAATTATACAATTTAGAAACATAATTATTTCTGCTCTCTTTTAGATCTAGCTCTGTCATTTCCATACCAGTCTGCATGATGACTTATCACAATAAAGGCATTTTTAAGTCTTTTCTTATGTTAGCTATCCTGGTGCATCTGAAGACTCATCCTCAGCAATTCTAAAGGACTGAATGCAGACTTGTGAAAAGGGACCAAGAATGATTGCAGGGGTATTCTGAAGCTATGTTTGTAAAGCCAAGATCTGAATGAAGTCATAAGGCCTGAACATTTGGGCTTTTCTTTTCCTCCTCCTCCCACTTCTCGTCTTCCTCCTTTTCTCTTTTTTCTTGTCTTCTCTCTTCTTTTCCTTCTCTTTTCCTTCTTTTTGCTTTAATGTTACTTTGGTGTGCTCTAAAACTCTTAGAAAAGGCTAAACAATAGAACAAAACCATCTGAAAATTATGTACATTTAGCGAGACTAAGGAAGCATTTTTGAGGCATCTTAGGATAAATTCCATTTGGTGTACAAAATTGACAGAGTTACTATTTTTCACTCTGAAATTAGCATTTCAGACAAAATACATTTCAGAGTAAGAAATATTAACTGGAATAAAGAAGGTAGTTTTATAATGATAACGAGGTCAACGCATCCAGAAGACATAACAATCCTAAATGTTTATTTACCTATAACACAGCTTCAAAATAGGTGAAGCAAAAACTGATAGAACTGCAAAGGGGAATAGACAAAATCATAAGTATACTCAGAATTTTACTAGCCTCACTCAGTAATCAATAGAACAAATAGGCAACAAATCATCAAGGATATAGTAGCCTTGATCAACACCCAACAAACATGACTTAATTGATATTTATACAGCTAGTCTCTCAACATCAATGGAATACACATCCTTTTTCAAGTGCACACAGAAACATTTACAAAGATAAACTATATACCTAGGCCATAAAACAAGTCTCAATAAATTTAAAAGTATTCCAAGGATCACAATGGAATTAAATTAGAAATTAATTATGGAAAAATCTCTGGAAGATACTAAAATGGTTGGAAACTAACACACTTCTAAATAACACATGAATTAGGCAAAGACCAAAAGAGAAATTAGAAAGTATTTGAAATGAATTAAATGAAAACATAATGTGTTATAATTTGTGAGATGCTGCTAAATAAATTTAATGCTATTTATATCACTAAAACACTATATTAGAAAAAAAGAAAAATTACAAATCAATGACCTCAGCTGCCACCTTGAAAAAAACAGAAAAAGAAGATCAAATTAATGTATGAGGAAAAAAGAAAATAATAAATTTCAAAGCAGAAGTCACTGCAACTGAAAAAAGTAATAGAGAAAAATTATAGTGAAATAAAAAGCTTGTTTTTTGAGAAGATAAAGAATATTATATTTGTAGCCAGACTTATGGTAGTGGGAAGAAGAAAACAAATTGTCAGTATCAGGAATAAGAGCGGTAACATCACTACAGAATCTACAGCTATTAAAAGTCGAATACATGAATAGTATTAATAACTTTGTGCCTATAAACTTCACAACTTAGATGAAGTGGACAATTTCTTTGAAAGTTGAATGTTTAAATTACCCACATTCATTCAACAGGAAAGTCGAATGTTGAAATTACCAACGTTCATTCAAGAAGAAACAGATAACTTGAATACCACTACCTAGGATACTAAATTTTTAAGTTAAAACTTTAATATAAATAAAAGTCAAAGTTCAATGTCTTTCTGATGAATTCTACCAAAAGTTTTAGAAAAAATATTACCAGTTTTACACAAACTCTTTCAGAAAGCAAAAGGGAACACTTTCTAAGAAGTTTTATGAGGCCAGCTTTAATCTGATAGCAAAACCAAAGAAGGTCATTATAAGGAAGAAAAACTACTTATGAATATACATGTAACCATTTCAAACAAAATTTTAGCAAATTGTTACCCCATAATATATAAAAAGAGTAATACATCATGATTATGTTGGTTTTATCCCAGGAATTCAAAGTTGGCTTAATGTTAAAAAATTAATGTCATTCATTATATTCACAAACCAAAACTGAAAAAGCATAAACAACCTAATATATGAGAAAAAGTATTTGACAAAATCCAAAATCTGTTCTGTCAAAAGCTTTCCTCAAAGTAGAAATAGAACACAACTTTCTCAATTGAAAAGGTATCTGCAAAAAGCCCTCCAGCCTTAAAATTTGCCAGGCATAGTGGTGTGTGCCTGTAATCCCAGCCACTCGGGAGGCTGAGGCAGAACTGCTTGAACCCAGGAGGCAGAGGTTGCAGTGAGCCGAGATCACACCACTGCACTCCAGCCTGGGTGACAAGAGTGAGGCTCTGTCTGAAAAATACAAAAAAAGAAAACAAAAAAACAAAAAAAACCTTCAACCAGAAAATACTTGATGATGAAAGACTGAAAGCTTTCTCCCTAATGTCAGGAACAAGACAAGGATGCATGCTTTTATCATATCTTTTCAATATTGTACTAGATATTCTAGCCAGTGCAAACAGGCAAGAAAAAGAAATGAAAGTATGTATACTGGAGAAAAAGTACAGCTGTCTTTATTTAGAGATAATATTATTATCTTTGTAGAAAATCCAGTGGAATATATACTACGGATTTCAAGACTTACTATAGAACTAGTATGGTATCAATGAAAAGATAGACACATAGAAAAATGGAGAATAGAGACTCCAGAAATAGACCCACACACAGATGGAGAACTGATTTCTGACACAGATGCAAAGATAATTTTGTGAAGATACAGCAGTCTTTTCAACAAATAGTGTTGGAACAATTGGATGTCCATATGCAACAAAACAAAAACAAACAAGTAAAACAACTTTGGTCCTAACTCACGCATGCAAAAATTAACTCAAAATGCATTACAGACCTAAATATAAATCTAAATCTATGAAACTTATGGAATAAAATATAGATAAAAATCTTTATGACCTTGGATTAAGCAAACATGACTTAGATATAACACCAAAAGCATAAGCCATAAAATAAAAATATTGATAAACTGGACTTCATCAAAATTGAAACTCCTGCTCTTTGAAAAACACTGTAAGAGAATGAAAGCATCTGAGAAAAAAATAATTACAAAGCCTGTGTCTGATAAAGAGCTTATATCCAGACTATATAAAGAACTCTGAAAACTCAAAAATAAGAAAATACAGCAAAAGACTTGATCATATGCTCTGATGAAGAAGCTATATGGATGGCAAAATAAGCACTTGAAAAGATGATCAACATGATGAATTGTTAGGGAAGTGAAAATAAAGACCAAGATGAGGTACCACTATACACTGATTATAATTGGCTAAAATTAAAAAGACCAACCATATCAAACGTTGGTGAGGATGGGGAGGGTCTGAAACTCTCAAACACTGTTGGTAGGAATGTAAAATGGTACAACCACTTGGGAAAACTGTTTGGTAGCATCTTCAAATGTTAAACATCACCTACACTATATGACTCAGCCATTCTGCTCTCAGCAGTAGAATTTACATGACAAGAATAAATGTATATACATATAAAAGCTTGAATTCAAATGTGTAAAGCAGCTTTATTGGAATAGCCTCAAAGTGGAAACGACCCAAATATCTATCAACAGGCAAAAAGAGAAATATACTGTGCTATATCCATACAATAGAATACTACTCAGCAATACAAATGATCAACTATGGATATACATTAAGATGTCTCAAAATAGTTATGCTGAGTGAAAAAAATCAGACAAACATACAAACCGTATGATTGCATTTATCTAAAATTCTAGGAAATTCAACTAATGTAAAGTGACAGAAACTAAATCAAAGGTTGCCTGAATTCATAGGTGAGTGGTGGGGAGAGGTAAGAGAAAGATGCAGGAGGTAGCTTTGGGGGAACTGATGTATGCAGGTTTATTTTCTTGATTGTAAAGATGGCTCATGAGTGTATACATGTCAAAACTTATGAAATCATACACTTTAGGGAGATGCAGTTTATCATATATCAACTAGACTCAATAAAAGTATTTTAAAACCCCAAGAGATGATTTTAATCCTCAAGCTCATGAGGAAATCAATGTTCAGAGGTTATTTTGCTTAGTGTCATGTAGGAAAAAAAAACCCCAGCTTACGTGCTGCATCTTTTAACTTAATCCTGATAACAGTTCACAAAGGAGTATATTACATGTCCCATTTACAGAAGAGAAAAATGAGACTGATGAAATTTAAGTAACTTGCCTGCCATCACATAATTTGTGGTTCAACTAGGCTCTGACCTATATCTAATCTGATTCCAAGGTTTATATCTTCTTACTACTGAGCATCTTGGCATCTTTGAACTCTAGACATGATCTCTGAGTCCTTATACTTTAAAAAAAGATGGAAGGAAAGAAGGAAGAATGGAAAAGAGGCAGGCAGGCAGGAAGAAAGAAAATCACTGCTGTACCTTGAGAATTCCTTCTGAAGCAATGCCTCTGGATTTACCCAGAGGAGGATGTCTGACTCTCCCCATCCACCAACAGCAGATGATGAATGATGTTTGTGTGTGCACAGATTCTACCTGGTATTCCAAGATTGTGAACAATTTCCCCTGCCTAACTACAACCCCAACCTTTCCCTATCATTGTAGAAAGCATTTTAGAATGTGGGTTATGAAAGTAAAGCCTTGTTAATTTGACTTTATAAAAGTAAACAATTTATAAACATTACTAATTAAAAATAATAGATAACATTTATTGAATGCCAGATACTCTGAGTGCTTTGTGTCTATTGTCCTATTTAATCTTCATAATTCCTAACAGGCAGGTATTAATATTATCTTTTTTTTTAACAAATGAAACTGAAGCTCAAAGAGGTGAAGTCACTTTCCCAAGGTCATGCAGCAGTCAGTGTAGAGACCAGGAATAAAAATCAGTCTAATTCCAGAATGTGCCTATCCTCTATACTAAATTACCTTCTGGTAATTTAACGCTTACTAAAACAACTTCTTAATGATTTGAAACGTACCTGACAATAGATCATGGCAACCCACGATGCTTGATCTTTACCATGGAAAGATCTCTGGATGGTCCACAACCCCCAGCAATCCTCAAATGGAACTCCACAAACTGGGTAAAATACTGCAAGCTCCCTAGGAGGAGGAGATCTGTAACACCTGCTTGATTCAAAAGTACTATCTCAGCTGCGAAGGTGAAACATCAGCGACCTCTCTGGGATTACTGATTCTATCAGCGTTAGGATGGATTAGGGGAACAGAGCAGATGGGCATCATCTGTGTAAAAGCTTAGAAAATGATGTCAACACTTTTCCCACCTTCTGTACACACTCCTCTAAAGTTAACAGGCTCAATTTCTCAAATTAGAGGAGGTAGAAAAGACAGAACTCCTCTCTCAAAACAGCAGAGCCTACAGCTTCAGTTCCTTGCTGCTTCTAGAACTGAACTCAATTCCCCTATATTAAAACAATTAAAAAGTTAAAATTTTAAAATATTAAAAAAACCTACCACAATTAATAATTAATACTATTGTCATCATATATTGAAAATACTGGACAAGAGTGCCAGCAGTTCTTGAGGACATTAAAGTTAATTATCAGCTGCATGATAGAAAGCAGTGTTTTTCAAACTTGTATTTTGTTTTGTTTTGTTTTTAGCAGTGGGACTCATTTCCAAACAAGAGCTCACACATTTTAAAACAATTACAAAAGTGACCATGTGTTGATACAGATTGATCTTACATTTCTATTTATACTACTCATTTATAATGATACAGTTGATCAATGTGGCTACTTCCATGAACACAAATATTTGGAAGGTCTGGTGGCATGTTCAGGCTCACATTCACTCCAGCATCTTATGAAATTAGAAGCAAACCTTGGTGGGATTTTTGCGGCATCCTTGCACGATACTTTGTGAGACAGTTTGGAATTGACCGAAAGTGCTGAATGATCTGAACAAGGGAGTGGTTCCTGAGGTTGGAAAATCCAGAAAAAGCTTCAGAAGGAGTTGCAATTGAGTTTGGAGGTGGGGAATGATTTGTTGGTGAAAGGGATAGGTGTGGAGGAGGTGGTCCACCTGGACCATCTTTCTCCTCGGTGCCCTCATTGACATTTGGCAGCTGATGCAGGTGGAGCTCTGGTGCTTTGTGCTGGCTGAGCAAAAATCTACTATTCACGTGCACACATCTTCCCTGCAGGTCGGGGTCTGGAACTCATTTATCTTGGCCCTATGTTCTCTTCTGTACTTTGTCAGAAGTCAGTACAGGCTTATTCCATGGGAGGGAGAGGGGCACAAGGTGCGAAGCAAGAGTTCATCTTTCTCCAATTTCAAAAGGATCACTAAGTCAGGCCTCAGGCTCCTGTGGTCCCTTGGCTCACAAACAGCTCCTCAGAGCTGCACTGTGAAGTTCATAGGGGCTCAACAGGACACTGCATTTCATTTTGCAGCAGCCTGGAAAGTGAGCAACACACAGGCATGAGCCACCACTCAGACTCTGCCCATGCAAGCACCCTGAAGTGGATATTTTAATCAATTAATATGCGAATTCTCTTTTTGCTCCAGGTTTCTTCACAATCACCCCAGAACTTTCAACAGGCAATTTGCTCTTAATCAGAAGTCACTACCACATCTCATGTGATTCTCCAAATAAATCCACCTCACCTCTTCTAGGTGCCAGATACTGGGCTAGGTGTTGGGAGGAGGGTCATACAAAAACAGCAAGGCAGGTGCACACACAGGTGGGCATAATCAGTTCAACTACAATAAGGGAACAGTGATGAGGCACAGCACGCTTAATTGCCAAGTGAATTATGCTGACAATCAATACTCTAGGGTTCAAAAGAGGAAGGCAAGTGTTGTCAGAGAAGGATTTACAGAGCATGCAAGAACTGAGGAGAGATTTGGATCATGGGAAAGCTTTAAACTACTCCAAAAGGAAGTTAGAGGATGCACTAGACAGGCTGAGCAAATACTCAGAGGGGCAATGTGCACTCCATGTTTAGCAGGCAATGGGCAAACTGGTTTGACAAGAAGGGGTTACTTTTTGGTGGGGGAAGATTAGAGATCAAACATCGTTAACAATAACAACAGTAATGATGATGGACATTTATTGAACACCATCCTTGTCAAACCCTGTACTTAGTGCATAATAATCATAATCTCAGTTAATTCTTACAAAACCTTATGATGTAATTAGAGCTTTGCTAGCCTATACAGTGGTTTTGGGAGATCAGAAAACAGTACCTCCAGGGGCAGACACACCTCGTGAGAACATGACTTGGAGGGAATGAGCAACTTTGAGCAGTGTGCAACTGCCCAACTGCACATGACAGTAGAAACAGTCACAACATTTATCAAGTGCAGACTGTGGACCAGGCTCTGTGTTAGTGCTTCACACAGATATTAACTTTCTTACTCCTCATAAGTACTCCCTAGAGTATGTGCTGTTCCTTTCTCTATTCCATGAATTTCCACTTTTGGGGGGATGTTGCTGGTAAAATCAATGGAAGCCAAATTGTGGAAGGCCTTCACTGCTAGGCTTGGGGAATAAACTTTATAGGGTAGGCTTAGGAGACTTTCACCCCTGACACTCAGTGAATTAATTGCTGGACAAGCTGCCCTGATCACCCAGGGTGTCAAGGTCTAGCCAGGGCGGACTCCCTCACACACTTCCTATATTCTTGACAAGAGTACCTTCATGTCCTCCATCCTGCCGTTCCTAACTGGAGGCTACCCTTCAACCTCCCTGGACACCCCAACTTAAGGCTGGGGGCAGCCAGCTTTCTGCTCGCCATGCACTGGAGCTCCTCAAAGGCAGGGGTGGTTTCAGGTTTCACTTGTCTGGGCCTCCACATATGTAAGCACAGATCTTTGGACCAAGCAGCGATCGTGTGACTCTTTCCCAAGGAATCTTCCTTCCCTGTTCATTTACTCAGTTTAAAGAGCTCTACCTCCTCAGCTTGACCTGGCTTCTGGTACTTTGTGTTTGCGCTTCCTAAGTTTTATCCATATCGGAGCCTTTGGACACTCCTCACCAGCTCCCTTTGATGCCTGTTTTCACTTGTTGTTTCTTGACTGCAGTTTTATGCCATTCTAGTGGCATAAATGCTAGTTTTTAGGCTATCATATGCAGGGTGTGGGGAGCTTACAAAATTGCAGGATTGTATTCTTTTTCCCTTGTTTGAATAATCATTGATTATCAATTGTTCTTTAAATATCACTCTTTCAGACAGGAGGGTTGAGATTTTGGCTCCTCTCTTCCAGGCTGGCTGCACTACTTAAATTACCTGCACAAGGCCTTGTTGCTTCTTGCTCGCAGGTAAGGTTATTGTTCTCGCTGGTCCACACATGTATGGCCATATTTGGGATTATAAAACTGAAATATCTCTATTGGTAAATAGATATTGCTCCAAGCCTTTCACAGGCTCTCTGCCACCCAGCCTGCCCCGACCTGTCCCCTGGGATCTCCTGGACTTCCCCCAAATCCAGCAACTCAAGGGTTAACGCTCAGCATGGCAGGAGGGCTCAGGCTCCCCCATTGCCACCAGCCCTAGTACTGCCTTCAGTTCTGACTGGCTGGTCCAGGGCTACACAGGCTATTACGTATTTTGAATCTCACTCTTGCTTCTCTAGACCAAGAAGTGCCCAGCCTGTCTTCTAACACCAGGTTTCTCCAAGATAGGAGGAGGATTTTCGTCAGAGGAAGAAACCTCCACTCCAGATGAAATAGGGAGCACTCACCCCTGATCAGGTATGGTGCTGAGCACTTTACCTGAAATACTTTAGTTAATTCTCACCAAAGCCTTGGTGAGGCTAATAGTATTTCACTAATACTGTTAATACTGTATTTCCCCCTTTTTGGGCTTGAGAACAAAAGGCTCAGAGAGGTTGAGAACTTGCCCAAAACTAGAAGTAGAAAAACTGGGATTTGTATCCAGCTGTGTCAGGCTGCCAAGCCCATGCACTGGGCTTTGAATGAAAGTCCTTGCTTTCACCAGCATTGCTCACTAGACTCAGGGTGTGCCTCAAGGAGTGCCTTCTCCAGTCCTCCTTGCCTGGATCCTTGAGTTCTGATAGGCAGACTCTGGCTTGTGAAGCTCTGTAGATTGTCTCTCATCAGGATTTGGAGGGGGTGGGGGGTGCCTCTTATCCTCATCTAAGTAATTACATCCATTGATGTAATTGACTGGATCCTTGAGTTCTGATAGGCAGACTCTGGCTTGCAAAGCTCTCCAGATCACCTTTCACCCGGATTTGGAGGGGAGAATGCCTCTTATCCTCATCCAAGTAATTACATCCACTGGGGATAGCAATGAATAAATTATGCCTTCTTTTGTCTATACCCCTTTCCAATGTGACTTTGCTGTTCACCCATTGAGGGGTGAAGTCTATTTCCCCACCGCCTGAATCTGGACTGATCCTGGGACTTGCTTTGACCAAGAGAATGAAGTGGAAGTGATGTTCTGAAATTGTCAGACCAGGCCTTAGGAGGCCTTGTGGATTCAGCCCTTGCTCTCAAAACTCATCCCTTATGTAAAGAAATCTAGGCAATCCTGCTTCAGAGAGACCACTTGGAGAGGGAGACCATTTGGAGGAGAACTGAAGCACCCCAGCCCGCTGTCAGCAGCAAGCTTCCAGACCTGTGAATGAGGTTCTTTTGGATCTTCTATTGCTAACTGTGTTTGTCTCAGCTGACCCCATGCAGAGCAAACACAAGCCATCCACACTGAGCCCAGACAACTTACATAACTGGGAGCAATGGCTGTTGTTTTAAGTCATTAGTTTTAGGATGGTGTGTGATGCAGTGATAGATAAGCAATACAGTACATCAACGGAGAGGAAAGCTGTATTAAAACCTAAAAGAATGATTTACTTTTCAATAACTTTTTAAGAGTATAAATTGACTTAACAATTCCACTTTTTTTCTTGGCTGAGGGTTAATTTGTTAACAAAGAAAAATGTTATGAATGCAAAGGAAATTGAAGAAACCACTTAATCTAAAGAAATTATTATTAAAACAAATCCATTCATACCCAGCATTTCCCTAAAGTCAACAACTAAGCCAGAATAAAAGATGTTCTTGAGAAAATTAGCAAATAATTTTAATTACTTAAACATTTCTTTGAAAATAAACTGTTTCTCTCTTAGAGCAGTTCAAGATGAAAACATAAATATGGGATCCACAAAGTAAGGTGGGTAAATGTCTCCATTGCTGTCTTTGAAACAAGAGTTTGGAAATATTACAAATCATTGTATATATCTATATATACATCATACATATGTGTACCTTTATTTAAATTTAGCAAGCACTTATTGAGCTCTTACTATAAGTGAAAGTAGTATCACACCTATGATAAGCACAGGATATGCCTGGATAAATTAGATCTATGCAAATTCTCCAAAGCATTCAATAACATATAGTGAATTTTCACCTTCTTCAGAACTCTTAAACATTTCTAATGTCTTCTGACCTCAATTTCTGGAGTGGATCAGCTGGGTGTCCAGTTATTTAGTGAAGTCTCCATGAATATTTGTTGAATAAATGAGTTGATTAAACGACTAAAGAAGATAAAACAGGGTCTAAAGGAAGGAGAAGAGAAGAATCAAGGAGGTTACAGGGGATGAGGAGGGAGAATAATTTAAAAAATAATAATCAACCTCTCAGTGATGGAAGTTAGCTGAGCCTTCCTCTATTAGGAAAGTTTTTCTCTACTTTCCTAACTGGGCATCCATATCTTACAGCCTTCAAACACCAGGTCTGAAGAAAGTTAAACTCAAATGGATACATCAGTATGTGAAATTGAGCATGATTTTTAGGTGTGCTGGTGGTGCATGGTGTACAGTCCTGGCTACAGGAAATGGCGGTCCTGGACTCTGTCATAGGTAGACTGCCTTTGTGGTTGTTTGTCTAACCATAGACAGCCCATTCCCAGGTGACAAAATCAAGGAAACACAGAGGCAGTTAGTGAACATCTGGAAAAATCCTAGGAACATCCCATGAGGTAAAAAGTTGAGTCTTTGAAAGGCTCACAGAGGATTTGAGGATTATCTTCAGCATGACTGTACCCATGTGGATGGGACTCATCTTGCTCTGCATGACCCCAGAAAGAAGAGAGTGGACCAGCAGCAGAAGTTATACCTCTATAGGACCTGTAAATAAAGTTCTAAGTGGGGTAGTGGCGCCAAATCCCAAGGGAGACCGGTTCTGGAGTGATGTACTTCTTTCAGCTGTTTAATGACTCAAAGCAGTATGGTTTTACACTAGATCAGAGGTTACAGATGTCTGAGGGGAGGCTGGAGGTGGATGGAAGTCATCCTTACCAAGGACATGAAGAGCCAAGATTCTGTAGCAGAGGGCGTGGGTTAGAATCCCAGCTTTACAGTTTACTATTTTGGGCAAATTACTTAGTGTGTCCATGATTCAGTTTCCTTATCTTTAAGATGGGAGTAATAATAGTACCTTCTACAATGGGTTGTTTGAGGCTTCAGAGAATTACCACTTGTAACCACTCAGAGCAGTGCTGGTATGTGGAAGGCACCATGGAAGTGCTGGCTGTTAATCTCATCATTTCTGCAGGAGGGGCAGGAAGTATATGCCTGGCAGTCGGGGTGCCTTCTCTCCTTTCACATGGGCATGGTGTTTTATAGTACACAACATTCTTTCACATGCACCAGTGGATTTGATCCTCACAGCAACCATGTGAGGACCAAGGCAGGGTCGAGGGGAGAATTGAGAAGACAGGTTTGACCTTGCAAGTGAGGAGGGAGAGAGTCCTGGCTTGAGCTTGAGGTTTTTGACTAAGTCTAGCAGTTACTTCCTTGCACCAAATTGCCTCTTCCTTAGTTTCCAATTTGACATGATAGCTGGACAGCAATCACTTTAGTATGAATCTGAATAAATGACTACATTTGGCTTTAGAGAGCACAGTCATCTCCATACTCCAGCCAGAATCTAGGAACAATGTACCTGTGATTTATGTTGCAATATTTCTCTCTAAAAGTAAATAGTTAACTCAAAAAGGAGGTTTTCTCCCGGTACACACACTTTTCTTTTGCTATAAAATTTTCATGCCACGTATTTCAGCTGTGTTGATTGAAACTCAAATTATGAGCCTCAGGGCAAATGTAATATGAGATTTCCAAGAGCCTTCCTGAAATTATTACCAGTTTCCCCAAATTAACTTCCATGAATTTATCTCAGTGCAAGAGTTGATCATACAAAACATGAAATAAAATGATAAAATATGTTCCCAGATTTTTTTGCTTTCAGATTTAATGGAGTCAGTGCCACAGATGCCAGGAAAGATGCTCAGCTACTCTGACTTCTCATGTTCTATGTCTTGCACTACCTGAAGTGACAAGTCTTTGAGTGTGGCGGCCACTCTATGGAGGAGGAGAGTCCTCCAATCGCATCATGAGACAAGTGGGCCCCAAATACTAGGGATATTATAGCCTGAACCATTCTATTTTTTTCCTCTCTAAGATGGGAATTAAATGAGATAATGTATGGAAAGCACTGGACAGTGCCTGACCCATAGTAACTGCTTAATAAATGCTTAAAAAAAAAGTTACACAGAAGAATCAAGGATAATTATTCCTATTGGCTTCACCATTCTGACAGCTTTTCCAGGGAGCTTTGTGCCCTTCGTAATATTGACTAAAACTCCATTTAATCATCAATTGTATTGTTTATTCCTTGAAATTCAAAACACTGTGAGCAGAAGTCAATCATTTCATTTATTTCCAAGAAATAAAAATAAAATCCCAAGCCCCTCAACCAACAGAATGCCCCTCCTCTCCACCTAGGGGATTTCAGAGAAACCTTAAAAAACTGAGTTCTTGGCCACGACTGATTGGGAGGTTGGACATGCCTCGGTAACTGCCATTAAGCTAACTGCCATTAAGCTTTCTTTCCTAAGGTTAAACAGAAACTAGCCTTTTGAAAGACTTGCTCCACCACTGATTTCAACCAGTTGCCTGACAATGCCTCTCCCTTTTGCAGTTTCAAAACAGCAACTGACCACGTTTCTTCCTGACAGGAGACCACTGGCAGTGGAATAGTTCTGGCCAGTCTATGGAGGCTGTGCACTGAGGGCCTTTGCATCTTTGGCTTCACCTTTTAATGTATAGGCTCTAATTGTAATACATTGAAATGTTCAGTCTCCACCCCAAAGCAAACACAGGATGCATGTAACATACATGTTAGCTTACTATGCATTTGTGTGCCTCCCCGTCATGGATATTCATCTCCTCCTATAACCTGCTGAAATATATATACTTAGCCAACACATTAACCGTAAATTCCTGCCTCCTCCTTCCCTCCCTCGAGGCTCTTTCTTTTAGGTTTCAACTGGAGGGTCCATTTCCCACCTGCAGGTTGTGGTACCCTCCATTAGAAATAAAGCTCTCCTTTCTAAATTTATAGATTTTGTAACTTATTCAGTTTACATTTCCAGCTTACATTCATTGTACAGATAGTAAGCATTATTGAAACAAAATAATTGCTTTCAGAGAGCTGGGTCTGTCGGAAAATCAGACAAGTTAACAGAGGAAGTGGGATACGCTTTCCATGTGTTTACTACTCTGAGTTCCTACTTTTTTCTTTTTTTATGTCCTGTGGAACATTCCCTGTTCAAACCAGACCTTTAGGCATTCTTTGCCTCAGGGAAGTGTTGTTACAGCAGAACACAGAAAGATGTAAGAGTCAAGTCTTGGCTTTTGAGTTTCAAAATATATTTGAAAACTCAAACTGCAGACAATAGCTTGAAAGAAAAGACTTTAGGATTCTAAGAGGTTAGGAATTTGGGACTCCAAAAGTCTTTGCCTTGAGGGAATAAGGGTCTAGAGAATATAATATCAGTCAGAGATTTTTTTCCGCCCCCATAAAACTTTGGAAAATTTGGAGCATTAAAAAATATTTTATTTTATATTTAAATATTTTATTTTCCAAATTTTTATGCTCCATAAAATGCTTCCTGGGCTGGTGGAAGACAGTTGGAGGGAAGGCAGTAGAAATGAGCACCTTAGAAACAGTCCCACGGTCTCAAGGCTGAGTTCTAGGAAGGATGTGTGAGGCAATGGATAGCATATCCAGGTAGGTTTGGGGACCACCTGGAGCAGAGGGTATCTGCACTTAACTTTCTGGGTAGAGCCTGAGAAGATGACAAGACCTTTGTTTATCCGGACAGTCCTTTGTTTATCCGGACACATAGGGGGAGTGGCAATGGGTATCTGGAGTATATATGTGTGTAAATTGCTTGGAATAGCACCCTACAATCCGTTATTCCTACAATTTTTGTGGGTTCCTATTTCCATTATAATGACCACTACCTTCATTATTACATTTACTATTCTTTTTGTGGATCCTTAGACACAGCTGTGAGATTAGACTGGGGCATCATCTTGTCCTCTATTTGGGCCCGAGCCTTTCCTTGGAGCTGCCTTTAGAGTCAAAGGTGGCATCCCTCCTCTTGGGAGGAGGGCTGGCCAGATGGAGGACAGGCTCTGAGGACCTAAGACTGTCCTGGTCACTTTGCAGTGAAGACAGAGAGTGCTTTACCAGGGAGGCCTCTTGCGAGCAATAGGAAGCATAGCTGGAAGACAGCAGACTGCCTCAGGAGAAATGACACTGCTGGCTCCGTGTGGATACTCCACTAAGGGCTTATGCTGATTATTAGGCAACAGGGTGTCAGAGAAAAGAGTCAAACTCTGTAAAGCATTTGAAGAGACTTATTCTGAGCCAAATATCAGTGACCATGGCCCATGACACAGCCCTCAGGAGACCCTGAGAACATGTGCCCATGGTGGTTAGGGTGTGGCTTGGTTTTATACATTTTAGGGAGACACGAGACATCAGTCAAATACATTTAAGTATACATTGGTTCAGTCCAGAAAGGTGGGACAACTTGAAGCAGTTGGGTGGGGGGCAAGGGGAAAAAGATATCCAGGTTATAGGTAGATTTAAAATTTTTCTAATTGGCAACTGGTTGAAAGAGTTATCAATAGAAATAAACATCTGGATTGTGAAAAGAGGTTGTGGAGACCAAAGTTTTATCATGCTGATGAAACCTCCAGGTAGCAGGATTCAGAGAGAATAGATTGTAAATGTTTCTTGTCAGTCTGTGTTGATGTTCGAGTTGGAGGGGTATAATGAGGCATGTCTGACCCCCACTTCCTGTCATGGCTTGAACCAGTCTTTCAGGTTAAATTTTAAAGTGCCTTGGCCAAGGAGGGTGTCCATTCAGATGGTTGTAGGGACACTTTGAATTTTATTTTTGGTTTACAAGGATCTGGCCTGAGACCCTGCCTGAAAGGAACCAGATGTAGGTTAGTCAGTCCCATGTCTGGGGCCAACTCAGACAATCTGCAGCACCAGAGGTTCTTACAAGACACAGCCTCAGGTATCTGAGGGACTTTATGGGGAGGTAGGTACTAAGTGAGGTCTGAGACAAACTTTCCAAGATACAGTTCTCCAAAACTTGGGTTGAGAGGCCAGGATGGCAAAAGAGCCAAGGGCATGGGCTTTGATGCCAGACACACCTGGATTTACCTCCTGACTATGACATTTATCAACCATGTGATCTGGTGAGTTACTTTCCTGAGTCTCAGTTTCCCTGGCTATAGGCCAGAAATGATTTTAAACTGCCTGCCTTTTGAAACTTTGGTGAGAATAGTGCTTGGCATAAAGTAAGTGCAAATTAAACAGTACCTAACATGATACAGTCATCTAACAAACACTTATGTGATTCTTACTATGTATCAGGCACTTTTCTAAGCACTTTGCAGATATTACCTCATTTAATCTTCTAAGCAAACTTATGAGGTAGGTAATTGGATTGTCTTTGTTTTCTGTAGGTAGAAACTGAGGCACAGAGAGGTGAAATAATTTGTTCAAGAACCCCACAGCTAGCAAGTGGATTCAAACCCAGGCATTCTGGCTCCATATTAGTCTATGCAGCCTCATGATCATAATGATGTTCTATAAATGACAATGGCAAGGGCCGTGAGGAGGTATAAATATAATGCAAAAGGCCCCACATCCCTAGCCAAAATGTTGCTAGCATTTACTGTGGCAAGTCTTGTGTTCCTTTAGGGACAGAATTAATCCACATTTCTGTGATCAAATACATGATCCCCTGCAGACCTAGCTACCCCTGCCCCTGATTTCTTTTTAAGAAACTATTTTTCTTGAATGGTGGTTCAGAAAACAGAACACCATGGGCTTGGTTTGTGCATTTCACCTTGTTTTCAAACTTATTTGCTTGTGGGTTGCATGGACGGAGGCTTAAAATCCCCTCCTCCACAGTTAGAGCTCCTGTGGGCCTGGGACAGTGAGAAAGCCCAAGTCTATAAAACAGAGACCACTTCAATTCCTGCAACCAAGTGTCTGCTTGTTCCTGAGCTGAGCGTCCACCTCTGTGGCTATATACCTCCTTGGGCACGGGACATTATCCTCGTCATGGCACTTAGCAGAGCAGTTTGAAATGATCTACTTGTGTGGTGAAATGAGGTGTTTCTTTCAATGAAAATCTCTTGCAAGAAACACAGTCACAGTGAGAAAGGACTATGCTTCCCAGGGGTTCCTCTCTGGGCAGAGAGGGAGGACTGGGTCATGGAGTTGCTGGGCTCCCCAGCCTTCCCAGAATGGTCCGGGAGTAGGCTTGGTTCTAGCAGGCACTTGTGGTAGGAAAATAATGTTGCATGTTCAGGGATGAGAGAAGGAAGAATATCTTTTATAGGTAGGGTGCCAAAGAAGGCTTGGGGACAGAGTTGGGTACAAGGACAGCCCTAGAGCCTTGGGCACAAGTTGGGAGAGAGAGATATAAGAAAAGGAGATTAAAAAATAAAAAAGAATGTGAGTAATGAACTGAATCCTCTTTGATATTTTCTGAAAGATATAAATGGAGATTAGAATTATGTTTTAATTACTTTTAGTCATTGGACTTATTTCTTTGAACTCACCACTTAATCAAGACAGGCCTGCATGGGGGTCCCAGGATTTATTTTGGTTACATGTTTCTCTTTTCCACTATGTTGTAAAATTCTCAAGGGCAGTAACTTTGTCCTTTCCATCTCCATGTCTTTGATGCCTAGACTGGGGCCCAGCACAGAGTGGTGCATTTGTATTAGGTGGAGCTAGGGTGATCAGCTCATCTTGGTCTGTCTGTCATTTTACTGCATTTAGCCCTGAAAGTTCCCCAAAGTCCTAAATCCCAGGCAAACTGGAATAGTTGACACCCTAGGATGAATCAACAAATCCTGACTTGCTTTCTTGCCTTTAGCGAGCAAGAGCTTGTGCAAGACTAAGTGGATGGCTCAGTAGAAATCTAGCCCCACCTCTGGTCAAAGCCTCCAGCAGGGAGTCTACTGGAGGCACCATCAGTGGGAATGCTGTTGTTTTCCTGTATGGCTCAATCTCACTTGGTAATAAATTTGTAATGAGGCCATTCCAGCTCCAGGCCCAGCCCAGCAATTTCTTGAAAGGCCCTCACTATGTTTCCCACAGAATCCAGCAGCTGGTGGGCACTCATCACTGCTTTCTCAGCTATGCCAGAGGCCCACAAGGATGGCCCTTTCATTCTGGAGAAAACTGGCTCCCTCTCAGTGTAATATGAAACAACTTTTTGGGGGTATCAGGACATTAAAGGAAAAAGAAAAAAACTTAAAATCCAAGATGAAAGATTTTATTGAGTGTCCACCAGTCTCAGAGTCTAACAGAACTTAAATTTCAAACTGGTGGGGTAGCTTGTCTGTCCAAAGTCTTGGGGAGAATCCCAAATGGCCCTGAGCCAAAGGAAATGACATATGTATAAAGGAATTGACTATTTACCAGGGGGCAAAAAATCAGGATGTAAATAAATATACAAGATAAGATGAGATACGTGCTACAGGAGAGGTTCAGATGTATGCTTATGAAGGTTCAGAGAAAGACAGATACATACTTCATAGAAGATGGACATTGAGCTAGTCTTAAAGGATGGTTAAGAATGGCCCAAGTAGAGTTGGGAGCATTGGCGTTTATTCTAGGCAAGATAGTACAGGAATAAAGTCATGGAGGCAAAAAAATAACAGGGGACCAGTTCAGTAAGAGCACAGGATTCATGAGCCAAAATGAGGCTCAAAAAGAGGGTGGGACCAGGTAGATGAGGGTCTCATCTGCCAAGCGTGCCAAAGCATTTGGCATGTAACAGGGAATCATTGAAGATGCTAGGGAAGGAGGGAGCTGATGTGCTGAGGACCTTAGTTAACCATTTGAAACCATTAGAGGTCAGTAGATGGAAGAAGAGAATTGAGAGTTAAGAAGGAGGGGATGGTTCCAAGTCTTTGCTATTGTGAATAGTGCCGCAATAAACATACGTGTGCATGTGTCTTTATAGCAGCATGATTTATAGTCCTTTGGGTATATACCCAGTAATGGGATGGCTGGGTCAAATGGTATTTCTAGTTCTAGATCCCTGAGGAATCGCCACACTGACTTCCACAATGGTTGAACTAGTTTACAGTCCCACCAACAGTGTAAAAGTGTTCCTATTTCTCCACATCCTCTCCAGCACCTGTTGTTTCCTGACTTTTTTTTTTTTTTTTTTTTTTTTTTTTTGGAGACGGAGTCTCGCTCTGTCGCCCAGGCTGGAGTGCAGTGGCGCAATCTCGGCTCACTGCAAGCTCCGCCTCCTGGGTTCACGCCATTCTCCTGCCTCAGCCTCCCAAGTAGCTGGGACTACAGGCGCCCGCCACTACGCCCGGCTAATTTTTTGTATTTTTAGTAGAGACGGGGTTTCACCGTTTTAGCCGGGATGGTCTCGATCTCCTGACCTCGTGATCCGCCCGCCTCGGCCTCCCAAAGTGCTGGGATTACAGGCGTGAGCCACCGCGCCCGGCCGTTTCCTGACTTTTTAATGATTGCCATTCTAACTGGTGTGAGATGATATCTCATAGTGGTTTTGATTTGCATTTCTCTGATGGCCAGTGATGATGAGCATTTCTTCATGTGTTTTTTGGCTGCATAAATGTCTTCTTTTGAGAAGTGTCTGTTCATGTCCTTCACCCACTTTTTGATGGGGTTGTTTGTTTTTTTCTTGTAAATTTGTTTGAGTTCATTGTAGATTCTGGATATTAGCCCTTTGTCAGATGAGTAGGTTGCGAAAATTTTCTCCCATTCACAATAGCAAAGACTTGGAACCAACCCAAATGTCCAACAATGATAGACTGGATTAAGAAAATGTGGCACATATACACCATGGAATACTATGCAGCCATAAAAAATGATGAGTTCATATCCTTTGTAGGGACATGGATGAAATTGGAAACCATCATTCTCAGTAAACTATCACAAGAACAAAAAACCAAACACCGCATATTCTCACTCATAGGTGGGAATTGAACAATGAGATCACATGGACACAGGAAGGGGAATATCACACTCTGGGGACTGTGGTGGGGTCGGGGGAGGGGGGAGGGATAGCATTGGGAGATATACCTAATGCTAGATGACACATTAGTGGGTGCAGCGCACCAGCATGGCACATGTATACATATGTAACTAACCTGCACAATGTGCACATGTACCCTAAAACTTAGAGTATAATTAAAAAAAAAAATAAAAATAAAAAAAAAAAAAAAAGAAGGAGGGGAGACTGACTCCATCATCAACATCCAAGTGCTCTGTTGGGTTTGCCTTCCAATCCAAACTGTCCCAAGTTTGAAGCTCCTCCTCTCCCCAGCACTCTATTCCTCTCAAGGTTGACATTTTTATTTGCATGAAGCCTGATGATAGCACTCCTTTTCCCTCAGGAAAAAATCCACACTGCTTAGCTAACATCCTTTGGACCTCACTTCTACCTACTTCTGCACCTCATTTCTGGCACTTTCTCCTCAGTCTCTATGCTCTTGCCATTGTTGATTTTTTAAAAAAATATTTTTTTGCTTCTCAAACCCTCTGCTTCTTTTACCTCTGGGCCTTGGAATGTGCTGTTTCCTGATCTGGAACTTCTTCTTCCTTTTCTTTTTCTTTTTCTTTTTCTTTTTTCTTTTTTCTTTTTTTTTTTTTTTTGAGACAGAGTCTCGCTCTGTTGCCCAGGCTGGAGTGCAGTGGCACGATCTTGGCTAACCGCAACCTCTGCCTCCCAGGTTTAAGTGTCCTCTTCCTTTTCTTTACCTGTTAGACTACTCCTCAGTATAAGTGGCTTCCTCCAGGTAGCCTTCCCTGACTGCCTCTTCCATTAAGATTAGACCTGCTGCAATATATTCCACTAGAATCCTGTGTTTATCCTTTGGCAACCTGTTTGCATGCACACTGCATGTACTCTTCTCTGTACCGTGAGACTCTTGTGGACATGGACCTTGTCTGAGATGCTCTCCTCTGAGTCAGTGTACCCAAGTGGGAGGAGTAGGGTGCCTTGTGTGAATGACAGGACAACTTTGGAACATGTCATCTCTCAGAAGTCTATTGAATCACCTGGAAATGAGTTTGCCAAAGATGATTACGATTTGAACAGAAGACTTGGCTAAGCATGAGCTGCAAATGGATGACAGAGATGTGAAAAAAGAACAGCCAATTTATCAGAGGGAGCTTAGAGTCCAAAATTCAGATTACTAGCAGGTATAAGATTAAAAGCTCCGTTGACATCTGTCTTTGGCTGGTCCAGTATTATTCATTCATTTTCTGGTGATGGAAAAAGCAAGTGTTGCTTATGGGGACTCTGCCTATTATATAAACATGCTATTTTTATTTCCTTCTTTAGGCACAAGATGGAAAGGGTCCAAGGAGTTTACCAGCTACTCAGCTAAGTTCTAGAAGAAAAAAAAAAAAAAAGCAGCCACATAGAAGGTCTTTGGGCAGAAAAGAACCTTCAGAAAGAGCCAGAATCCATGGTTTTACACCTGGCTCTGTAGCATCCCATGACCTTGAGTAGTCTTGTCTCTGTGTGTGCTAATAATATTCATTGTGTGTGCTAGTCATCTCACATGTTTTATCTTATTTATTATTTAAAAAGAAAATATGTCGACAAGTAACATCCCCCTACTTCATAGATGATGAACCCATGGTTAAGTGACTCTCCAGTCAGGGTTTGGGCCCATTGTCACAGAAATAGTATAAAAAGATAAGGCTTCAAACTCAAGTCCATTTGCATCTACAGTTGAACTCTTAATGACTACACAATATTTCTCTTGGCTTCTTTGTCTGTTAAATGAGGTTTCTTCCAGCACTATCATCCTCAGATACATGAGGACAAACTGATTATCCAAATTTTTAGCCATACTCACAGATGGGAGCCCTATCAGAAAATAAAATACTACACTCACACATTTTAAGTTGGATATTTAATGTAAAAGTCTTGGAAAAACACCTTTATTTCTTTTTCCAAGCACATCTAATATTTAATCTTTTTGCATATCATTACTGTGTCTGATGAAAAAAGGAGTCAGTTATGTTGTTCTGAGATGGCTTAATGAAGTCATGCAATAGGCACCTTGAAAATGAAAAGGCAATGTGTGGGAAAGTAGAGTGAAATTCTTCAAAGATGATGAAAGATGATACCCACCCCACCCCTTGCAAAAGGACTGATCTTCTGGATGGAAAACACTACTTCTCTGGTGTTCACTGAGGATTCTCCATGGCTGTGTCAATGCTAAGCAAGCTGGGAATATTCTCTTTTTTTGTTTTTGTTTTTGTTTTTCTTGTGTGGCATCCAGAAAACCTAAAAGGATAACTCTAACTCTCTAAGCCCAGTAGAGTGGGATGATTAAAGCACAGATTCTGAAGTCTGACAGCCAGGGGTTCTGCTCTCACATTCTGTGTATTGGCTCTCAGAATCAGCCCTGTCCTACTAGACCCAGGGTAATTAATGTTTCTGTGCCACAGACCTTTCAGCATCTGGTGAAGCCCGTGGACCCCTTTGAGAGTAATGTTTTTAAAAGGCTAAAATAAAATAGGTTTCTTAGGAAACCAATGACATTGGCTATGAAAATGTATAAAGTAATAAATTTGTGATATAGTAATATATATTGTGGGGGAAAGAAAGAGAGATCAGACTGTTACTGTGTCTATGTATAAAGAAGTAGACATAAGAAACTCCATTTTGTTCATCTTGCGAGTCGATGGTGCTCGATTGCGGTGTTTCCATCTCCGCGGAGGCGCTTTTCTTTGCATCTCTGATGGGTTCATTGTAGAACTTCAAATGTCTAATGGGTATCCAAACAGAAGCTGATTTTCTACTGGTGAAACACAAGCAAAACCTCTCCCCCACATTACCACCTTCCCTATTTCCCATGTTTTATTTTTGTTGTCTTTCCACCAGATCAGTTTTCCTTCATGTGGACTGTTCTTTTTACCAGTAAGATGTTGTTCTGCAGAGGTAGTAGTCTGATTTCTATAAATGTTTAAAAATTTAAAGTATAGAGTGCCAGATTAAGTTGCATCTGAGGAGTGGTACACTCCTTACTGTCTCCCCCTTCTTTTTGTTTAACCAATTGAGTTTTGAGTGTTCTATTAGTTCTTTCAAGTATGGCCTGTCCTTGGGAATTATATGGAATTCCTCTTGTATGTGTAATTTTCCACTGATTTAAGAATTTTTGGAATGCTTTACTACAGTATCCTGGTCCATTGTCAGTTTTAATTTTTTCTGGAACTCCCATTACAGCAAAACAAGATAATTAATGTTTTTTAACATGGGAAGTACTTTCTCCTGTCTGGCAAGTTGCCCATATGAAATGTGAATAAGTATCAACTGTTATATGGACACATGATAATCTGATCTCCCTTTCTTTCCCCCACAATATATGTTTATTAATGCCTACCTGTAACTTCTATGGGTAAAAATGTCATAATACTGTTAATTCTTCTGTGAGTAGTGACCTATACTATAATTGAAATATATGCTAAATTTCAGCAAGTTGTTAGGGAAAATGGTGATGTTATTATTTTCCCCATCTCAGATCATGCATACCCTGAATTCTATCCATCATCCCCATAGCCCTCTGTACCACAAGGGTTGAAAGTGTATAAACTACATTTTCCAGACCTTCTTGTTAGCAGAGATCTGGTTTGGGCTCTTCCCATGGGACAATGCTTGGGCACTTAGGGGCAGACAGGGAGGAATGAACTTCTTCATTCAGTCCTGGCAGCAGTGGCACCAGCAGATGGCTGCACACCCATGAAGGCAGCAGTGGAGGCTTATGGCCTCCTGCAGCAGCCACCTGGGCAGCACAGGGGCTGAGGGGCATGGAACAGAAAAGTGCAGGCTCTGGGGTGGGCAGTGATTTCCTATAGTTCTCATCTGTGGATCATACCATGACTCTCTTTTGCTTCTCCAGCCCTCTTGACAATTTTGTAACTTAATTCTGTGTACTAAATCTCTCTCTACTTGAAGTGTCTAGAGTGGTTTCTGCCTTTAAGATTAAATTATGGGCTCAAGAAAATCCCTAAACCCCAACTCTATCTCTTCCTAGTTCTGGTACTTGGATAAGTTAATGGACCTTTGCCTTATTCACATAATACCTAGCTCAAAGGTTTGTTGTACAAACTTAATGCTGCAGTACATATGAAGTATTTGACACATAGAAAGGTTTCTTCCAGTATTAGCCAGGAATCTTTGGCCTGATCAACTATATTTATGTTGGGATGGCATTTCAGAGAAAGCAGATTCGTTTTCTGCAATTGGTATGGGAATCTGAAATGGCTTGAAGTGTCCCTTGGATACAGTTAACTGGATCATTTTATTTATTTATAAGGACAGTTTTAAAAAATGATGAAAAATGCCATTAGAAAAATAATTAAAGCTCCTATGATTGGTGTTGCTCCATTGCTTTTGCTAATCTCAACTGTGATTCCTTGAGCAATTATGCTATAATGGCCCATGATCAGCCTAAGCTCTAGCGGAGTTGTACATAATAATGACCCTATATTTCCAAGTCTCCTTAGAAACAAGTCATTATGGATGATCTCTCCCTCATTCCATTTTAAGTAGGAATAAACGATAATACTAAACCTCAGGGCAAATTGCCTTCGCCAAATTCTGAAGACAGACTATTGAACCAGACTATGAAGAACCTGTGAAATATCTCAGTTGAATTCTTTGGATAATTCTACAGATTTTCAAAATTTTTTTGTGGGCAAAAGATTTGTCAGAATGAAAGATATTTTATGTTGGGGGGCAATAGTGCCCATCACAAACTAGGAAGTGAAGAAGGTAAGACAGTCCCTCCAGAGGAAAATGTTACAATCAATGCAGCCTGGTCATAACAGAGACAGATTGAGACCTGAAGGAGAAACAATGATTTTCCATTCAGAAAGACTGTCTTGAATGTTTGATTTATTAAAAAGGAAAGAAAAGCAGAGGAGAGAGGCAAAAAGATGCACAAACAGTGTTCATCTGACCAGAATGAAAGAAGCTTTCCACACCAGACTCACGCTATCCTGGCCCCATCGTAAAACCTGCCCCATACCATAGAAATGGGGCAACAGGCTTTCTTGGCTGGTGTCTTTAAACACTGGATTTATTCCCATGTGCAGACCCCACACTCACCCAGCAACACTACTATGATGATGTGGTTCTCCCAGGTGGTTCTGCCTACAGAGGTAGTAAGGGATGATCATAAAAGTAACATCAACAGCAATCGCTGATATTTGTTGAGTGCTTCCTATGTGCCAGGAACTGTTCTAATGTATGGTCTTATTTAGTCCTCATAATAACCCTACAAGGAAGATTCTATTAATAGCTCCATTTTACAGGTGATGAAACTGAGGCACAGAGAGGTTATGTAACAAAACTGAAACCCCGCAGCTTGATCCCAGAGTTTATTAACAATTGGGACAATGAAGGGAGCCCCTGATATGGGCCCAGTTGCATTTTCTCTTATCCATGTGCTTTAAGGCTTTGATCTCAAATTGCTTTATTCTTTTTCATGCTTTAGCATGTATGCTGACACTAAATCGCCAAATTTGAGTGATGAAAGTCGATTTTATTTTCTTGAAATACAGATTACATTTCAGTTGGCTGCTTCAGAAATCCATTTAGTCAGTGGAATTGACAAGTGGAGGAAGCCCATACAGACTGTATTTTGAAATTCCTTATCTGTAATTCCAAAAGCAAATCTAACAGGCTTATTTTTATCTCTAATTAAGGTCTACTTTTATCTACTTCACATGACTTCCTTTAGCTCTGTCTTACCTTAGATGAAGTCACCTCTTTTATAGAACAACCTTCCATCTTTGTAGCCATGGATCTTGTGTCTGTCAAACTGTAGAGGCTAAACTCTTGGGCCAAGCAGTGTACTCAGTGTGCTCCTATTGTAAGAAATCGTTTAGGCCTAACAGCTCCAAGGATGAGCAGACCTTTAACACATACTCCTACTCAGCATCCTGGATTCCTGAAGATGCATAGAACTGTTAGCTGCTCACTTGGGAGCAGGCAGAGCTGGGGCATGCCATCAAGCAAGAATGAGGGACGATGGTATCCACAACCAAAGCCATTTGCTATGAGATATTTGCAAAATAGCTGGAAAGCTCAACTTGATTTCTTTGTCCATTTTTAAAGGTTAGAAATGATATTGTTCCAAGTCAATTTAAATACCTGGCAAGCATACTATTAACAAGGAAAGGATAATGCCTTGGGTCCCACAGTGGTAAACCTGACACAAATAATAACACTTGTCCCTAACTGTTCTGAAAAGACTGGAGTGGCTTAACACTCAGAAGAAAGAGTGTGAGCCAGGGATGAGATGAAGGAGCAGAGGGAATGAGCGAGAAAATGTCACGTCCATCCACTAAGTGGTCTAAAGAAAACACAAGCTGCCTCATCACAGTGGCACTTTTGTGGTAAAAAGCCTCTGAATTCCCAACAGGGTTTTAAAGTTCAGTTCCATTAAATCAACTTCTATTCAGTAGAATTCCATGCCCACCAAATAACCCAAGAGAACCTTACGTGTTCACAATTGTGGGATTTTATCCTATCATAAATGTTCTAAATAATTTGTCCACATAGGGTAAGGTGTACACTCCTGAGAATTGAACTCAATTTTCAGATATTGAAGTCTTTTGTCTTTGTCTCCACTCTAACATGTTTTTAATGTCAGCATGCATTTCAGTGGACTTGAAAATTCTCATTTTATAGCTCAACATCAGAGATCAAGAACAATGCAGTGATTTATTTGAGTGGGGCTGTAGCTATGTAATTAATTTTGAAGGCGCTTATACTCATCTCAGACAAGGATATCATATCTTTGGAAATTTTGTTGTTGTAGTTTTACTTTTCATTAGTTTGTTTGCTTTTTGCTAACTGGAACTAAAAGCAAGTTAGTCTGAAAATACCCATTAGCTTATGTCTTGGAAGCAATGGACACCTGGCAAGAAAGGACACCAGAAAGGGAGCACGTAAATGCCACGTTTTAATTCAGGAGGCTGTGTGGAGAGTAATTAGGGAACATTGATGAAGAAGTGCACTTGTAATATATGAGTAACAATATGGGAGTTGCCTCTTTCTGCCAAGTAACACCAAAGATGCCTGCATTATTTAATGAATTCAAACTTTGCTGCTTAAAACAACACACATTTAACGTTCACAGTTTTTGTGGGTAAAGAATCCAAGAGCAACTTAGCTGGGTGGTTCTGACTTGGAAACTCTCAAGTCAAGCTGTTGACCGGGGCTGCAGTCTCTGAGGCTTGACTAGGCTGAAGATTCCTTTTCCGAGCTCATTCATGTGACTTTGCAAGAACCTTCAATTTCTCACCATGTGGGCCTGCGAGTCACTCAGTTTAGCCTGCAATCAGAAGGAGGGGAGTTAAACTTCACCTCTTGAAAGCTGGAATATCAAATCATTTGGACATATTTTTAAAGCCAAGGCAGTGTCTAAGCTTAAAGTAAACTTCAAAAAAAATGTGAAGCATAAGTGCTCAAGAGGCTCCGACAGTCCAGGAGAGACAGTCCAGGAAAGGAGAGAAGCTGTCTGGACCTGTGTAGACAGCGTAGGGTCAGTGTGGGCACAAGCTGTCCTCATGGATAAAAGAAGAGTCAAAGCAACAGTCAGAGTCCTGATGAGAGAGGAAAAGTTCCAAAGCAGAAGGAGCTGAGATCAGAAAAGACAGGGAAGTCCAGGCACGTTATCTCATGCCTGTGATCCCAGCACTTTGGGAGGCCAAAGAGGCAGGATCACTAGAGGCCAGGAGTTTGAAACTAGCGTAGGCAACATAGTGAAACTTAATCTCTACAAAAAATTTTAAAAAGTTAACCAGGCATGGTGGCTCATGCCTGTAGGTCCCAGCTACTCAGGAGGCTGAGATGGGAGAATCATCTGAGACCAGGAGGTCAAGGCTGCAATGAGCAGAGATTGCACCATTGTACTGCAGCCTGGGTGACAGAGCAAGGGTCTGTCTCCAAAAAAAAAAAACAAAAAACAAAAAAAAACAGAAAAGACAGGAGACAGCTGTGATGGAGTGGTCAGTGAGCAGGGTCTGCCAAGGCGAGGAGGTAGACAGTGCAGGCCTGGCTCACAGGCCAGTGTCGGGGTCAGAGGAGCTGGAGGCTGATCTGTATACCTGGGAGGCTGCAAGAGAGGGGAAAGGGTTCTGGAGGCACAATGTGGCTCAGCCACTTACCTGCTCTGAGGCTTGTGGAAAATTATTAATTTGCCATTTTTGTTGGATGATGATGAATATTGACAGATTCATGTGGTTCATCTGAATATTTTGCCTCCTTGAACCTTGGTTTCTTTAGTGCTGAGATGGAGATGATAGCATGTACCCCGAAGTGTTGACATTGAGATTAGAGATAACACGTGCCAAGGGCCTAGTCCCATGTCTGGGAATTGGGAGACACAATAAATGGTAGTCCCTTTTGTTACCAGGTTGGCCAAGGTGGGCACAATGGCTGAGACATCACAAGAAGGAACTCGGGATCACTTAGCTTAAGAAACAAAGAACCATATTCATTCCTGACCCTCTCTAATTCACTTAAGCAGCCTCCCTTCCTATCTGGGCCTCTGAGTTCCCATTTTAAAAATGAAGAGATTGGCCTTAGAAAAACTCTAATGGCCAATGAAGCTGGGAGATAAATGAAACAAAATACTCACCCCCCTACACGGTATAAATTGCTGTATTTTCACTAGGAAAGTGGAGCATCAAGCTGATGAAATAAGTAATGGTAATTCTAGCCCTACATTTTGTTATTAAGGTTAAGTTGTCTCTGTGTGTGTGTGCATGGGGAAGTGGGGGAAAGGGGTATATGTGAACGTGTAGTGTGTGTGTGCCTGTATTATGTTGTGTGCATGTGTCCTGTTAGGTGTCTGGCTGAGTCTTTGGGTGTATCTGTGTTTCTCTGTCTTTGTCTATGGGTAGAGGGATGAGGGAAGAAGTGAAGGTAGTAGCCAGAGGGGAGAGACCATGAATATTTACTGTGCTTCTCTCAGTGCCAGGGGCTCGGGATCTAGCAGTCACAGGTGGGGGTCTCTGTCTTTGTGGGACTGTTGCTTTAGTAGGTCCAACACTGCTTCATTCTGCACTCTCAGAAACAGAGTGACCCTCGGTTTCTGAGTTGGAGAATGGAGTTTCCAGAGCCTTGGAAATAATATAAGGCCCATATTGCAAATGTTTATCTTGCAGTCAGAAGCTGCAGGCCCCTGAGGAGGTCAGTGTGGATTATTCCTCTTACTGGGAGTTCTACTAGAGAAGCCTCATCTCTGGGTAGGACTAGGGGCTGCAATGATTGATGTGGCATAGGAGCAGGGGGCAGCTGGCCTTGAGCTTGCGTGTAGAGCAATTAACATTTTTATTGCTCCCCCACCCCTGACCCCTTCAGAAAACAACACTTGGCTAAAAGCCGAGCTTTCCAATTATGCCATCTATAAATTTAGTGACATTGGCAAGAGAAGCAAAGAAAGAGAGTGTTTGCTTTGGCTCAGGGCTGATTTCCATCCTCTCACTCTGTCCCTCCTGCTGAGAGCTTCCCCATGGAGCATTTGAGGAAAGATAGGAAATAATCATTCAATGGTTACAATGGAGATTGTTGGTTTACGGAGCTAACATATGCTCCCATATGTACTTTCTTTATTGGAAGATTATACCTCATCAACTCATTTCCTTGTCAACCCAGGCAGAAACTAAAGTGCACCCAGATCTCATCAATAAAAGGGGCAAAATTAAATTCATCAAAGAAATGGATGAAACAGGGTCTGAAAGCACATGCCCAGGATCGTGGCTATGCTTGCACTAAGGCGAATATTCTGGCTACACTGGAAGTTGCTTTCCTTGAAGATGTCTTCTGATATTTATCTCAGTAAGGGTTTCTGCAGCTTTGTCTGTGTATCTCTTATATTCTAAGTTCCTTGAGCCTGGGACTGCATGTATATGTTACCCAGGAGGGCTTAAGAAATTCAAGAGCTCTCTGGATGAATGGACATGTTGGAGAGTGGGCATGCTTGGGTCAGGGCTTGTTGTGTGCCAGGCACTGTGCTCAGTTCACCATATAGGTGAGGATCCATGTAGGATCTCAACTCTTCCCGAGGCAGCAACCAATGTAAGTTGTGGCTCACAGAGAATCAGTAGAGAGGAGTAAGAGAATGAGCAGCTCTCATCCTCCCTTTGAAGAGGGTCCTAAGGCATGCAGTCCCAACAGCTGGCAGAAGGGATGCCCCAGCGGCCAGCCATCTTCTTCGCCATCCTGGTTGTTGAGTTCTGAACCTTATCGTTAAACAATAGTCAATTCCACCAACAGATGTCATGCCCTGAGATAGAAATGGGTACTAAAATGAGAAGCAGGAGGCCAGTGAGTGTGGGCACATTTTGGATGACTGCACAGGGCAGACATAGTAGCTCTACCCTCCAGGCTGGTGTGTCATCTATGTCTGGGGGGCATGGAGCTTAATGCCCACTGGGCATCAGGCACAAGTTGGTGTATCTGTTAGATCAGGAAGTGAGCCAGCCGAAATTCTCATTGCACCAGGCACTAAGGAGCCTCCTGGAGAGAACTTATCCTAACGGCAGAGGAACCAGGCAGGGCAAACTTGAGAAGTGTCAAGTGTTATCCAATGAAAAGACCTTCTTCCTTGTTTATCTCTGATCTTGTGCTCTGTCTGATGGATGACTGAGGTCTGTGGTGAGCAGGCTGCTGGAGGGGGCTCTAAGGGAAGTGACCAAGGAACATTGCTTCTGGGCCCCTCTGAGAGCATAGGAACCCCGCCTCCAAGAGCATATAAACCATGCCACTCCCCACACACCTCTTCATGATCTTTTGCGATTTTGAGCACCCAGGGACCTCTCAGAGAGCAGCAGCATCTGGGTTTGGCACTGGGGCCTTCAGAGCCACTGATATGTCCAGTAGTATGGTGCTGCCCAGAGAAATGATGGCACCAGGGGAAGTAGAGGTGGAGCTCACAGGGTGGCCTTGACTCAAATCACATGGTAGTGTGGTCTCAATGGTGAGATTCTACTCTCCTGTGCCTGAAACTAGGTGAGTGCCCTCTTAATATTTCGCGCATTGTTGAATGCAGAACTCACCCTTTCTTGGCTGTTCATAATACAATAGTAGGTTTTTATCTCTTACTAATTTGGGTCCGGAAGTCCACTTCTTTATTTGGAAAGAAAAAATCGAAGCATTTTCAAAGAACTGATGTGCTGAGTTGGGCCATCATGTTTATTATATCATTTTCCCCTAAAGGCTTCAATTTACCAAAAACTGTACTTTAATACTTGATCATGCTGTTCCCTGTCTTAATTTTTTTTTAAACATAGCTGCATTTGCAGAGAACCCCTTGTGGATTAAGAAGCCTAGAAACATCCATGTTGGTATCTGCACTGAGAGGGTCCTCTGAATGCATCAGAGGTATGCATTGGTACTATATGGCAGGTACTATATATTTTTTAGAAGTTGGAGATGCTGCCATTTGAGGAGTTGAAGGCAATTTCCACATTTTTGAATGAACACTGCAACTTGTCTTTGGGGGTAGATCCTCCTACGTTTCCGCAAGCACTCTCTCCGGTGGGGTTGGGAGGGGCTTCCAGTCATGCAGATGTTGGGTAATTAAAAACCACCTCATTTTTCTTGGGGAAGCTCCCACATGTACCAAACAACAAAATGGAAGTCCTACAAACTGAGATTCTGAGTGTTCTGTTCTGAAAAGACAGCTGGTAATGCTGGCAGTGTGTCCTCTCTGAGCTGGAGCTTGTTCAGTTTCATTCTGTTTTGTTCTTACCTCTGTGTTTGACCTGCCCATGCCCAGTGTTAGAAAACACATGTGTCTTCTCACTCTGGCATCTGCTGACAGAAGAAGGGAGCTAGGACCAGATGAGGGCGAGAGGGGCACCTGTCTGAACTCATCTCTTTCCGGTGAGGAAAGACTATGAACAGGACCAGGGTCAAGCTTAGGCAGGGTAGATTGGACCATTGTTATAGTTCTTGGGCTGTTATTTTATTTATTTATTTTTTTGAGACAGGATCTGGCTCTGTCACCTAGGCTGGAGTGCAGTGGTACGCACGATCTCTGCTCACTGCAACTTCTGCCGTCCAAGCTCAAACCATCCTCCCACCTCAACCTCCTAAGTAGCTGGACTACAGGTGTGCACCACCACGCCCAGTTAATTTTTTGTATTTTTTGTAGAAACAGGTTTCACCATGTTGCCCAGGCTGGTCTTGAACTCCTGAGCTCAGGTCATCAGCCTGCCTTGGCCTCCCAAATTGCTGGGATTATAGGCGTGAGCCACCATACCCAGCTTTGGGCTGTTATTTATTGTAGTAAAAAGCCAGATACTGTTGGGTTTTATGACTTTTTTTTCCAGGGTGCACTTGCGGGTGGCTTCCTGAGGAAGTAGAGGTTTCCATTGTCAACCTGAGAAGAAGTTAATTCTAGAGCAGGAGGGTTGCTGGCATTGGATAGAGGGTATAGAAGGACTATGTTCCTAATCTGGGGCCAAGAGTGCAGAGGGGCTTGGGAGACAATGTGCATGAAGATGTCTGGAGCATCCTGGTGGAGGCGATGAGTCAGGTCCCGCCATCGGGGACAGGCTGGGAGGTGCACAAGGACCAGCCTCTCTACACACTCTGTGTGAGGCAGAGCCCATGGGCCTTTGCAATGGCCAGCTCCAGGAGAATGGAGTTGCCTTTTGGGAAGATGTATGCTTCCCTAAATCTGTGCAATGAGAAATTGAAAAGCAAAATGTCCTCATCCCAAAGCTGGGATGATGTGGTCATCAGCAGCCAGACTAGGAAGAAGCAGCAGCTGTGTCTGGCCAGACAAGGAGGTCTGAGAGGAAGAGCCTGGAGCAATTACTGGGAATTTGCTAGAGAGATTTCTATAAACAGGGCTTAAATGCTAATCATTTAGGTATAAAAATAGTTACTTTGATGTGTGTCATGGGTTGGTGAGGATATGGATTCCTGGTTTCCATGGGGATCCCCACAAATCTCAACAATACGTTGTTTTTCTTTATAAAAATTAAAATTAATTATATTAGTGTGTGGGATTCATGCCAGGCCTGTGGAATGGAAAATGCAGGGAGTACTCTTTGGACCAGAAAGAAAAAGGCTGGGAGGGGTTAGGACTTATGTGCACAGGGTCAAACCTATGCAAGTGTAGACACAGGGAAATAAATTTGTTCTGTACACTTACACACACTGGCACTGGAGGGTGACAGGGCTGAGTCTGTCATTCTCCTTTACTGTAAACCATTGTTCCTGGGGCGGGATACCTACAGGGCTGACCACCAGGTTTTTAAAACAGAAAAGAGAACCCAACAGTGTGGCATTCTTCAAGATGATTTGATGGAAAATGTAAGAGATGAAAGGTTCAAACATTTTGCCTTTTCAGACTCTGGTATGAGGAATCAGTAAGAAAATGAAAATAATGGGTTTCTGAAATTAGCACTGAAGTCTGATTTTAGTCCAAGGTGAGATTCCAATTTCCTGTTACCTTGACCTGCCCCCACGACCTCAGTTTCCCCTCAGTGAAATGCCGGGTTATACTAAACGCCTGCTCCTTTGCAGTTGTGATGCTCTAGGCCTCTGCGATGGGGCTACCACTTGCCTGAGACTTGGTCTCTCAAATGGAGATGCTTAGCCTGCTGCCCTTGGCTATGCACACATTGGTGGCTTAAGCAGAGGAAGGCTGTCTTTCAGTCGCCAAGCATGACAAGGAAAAAGGCCTTCATTGCCTAGACAGCCTGCATGCCTGAAGGCCCTTTGCCACCCTGCAGCGCCCCCTGGTGTTTCTAGGTGTCATGCATAGGCATCCTCCCGAGTCCCTTGCATGAAGCCAGGAACCTATTCTATAACGCAGAGAATCCAAGTTGGGGGTGTCAGGATTGCTAGGTCATTTCTCTCTGCCCACCAGATAACAATATTAAAATCCCGGTTATCCCCAGTAGAAAACCAGAAAGGCGCATTAAGCATGAATGCTGTCATATTTCATTTCTGTGTTATACTGAATTCAAAGCACACAAAACATGAAAAGAACAGAACTTCTTTCTCTAGAAACAGCTATTTCTCATCAGCTTTAAATTAAAAGCATGTTCTGGGCAGTCCTTGGCCTTCGACAGCCTGCGTTCATATCAAGTTCTGGTTTACAAGCAGCTGCTGTGTGATTCTGGGTATAACAGTTATCTGTAATTGAAATCACCATAAAACAAATCCCCCCTTCACTGGTGGAGTCGGTAATCAACATCAGGAATGCAGCATTCAGGACCCATAAAATATGCAAGATTAATTTGCTGAACTCCGTTCAGGCTTCCAACAGCTCTGTCACCTGGGGCCAGAGGAGCAGCAAATTCATTCTGAACCTCCACTAGTTTCAAGATATCAAAAGTGGCCTCCTTCATGTCGCTGTCTTCTGCAGTGCGTCTCTGCCTTTGCAGATACTTTCTGGAAAAATCAAACAGTCTGCCAAGGTTATTTGGCTGTGGAGATGCTGAAGTGCTCCATCTAGTTCCTTTCTTCCCTCTTCATTTCTTCCCATCTCAGTAATCTTCCTGCAGACTTCTATAGCCCCAGACTAGGAAAAACAGAAGATCCTGACTTTGGTCAGTGCACCGGACATTCCTGCTTAGATATCATATCAAGGAAGAAGAAATACCTAATGGCAAAGCATTAGGATTTGAGTTAGGTCATCAGCAGCCAGACCAGGAAGACGGCTCAGTGGGTTGCAGTATCTTGCTCAGGCTCCCCCAGAAAGACTCCAGAGCTGGTTGTTGGTTGGGTTCTAGTAATGGTTAAACAGTGTGTAACAGGTGTCCACAGTACAGTCAGGCCCCTTTCCTCTTCGTATTTTTCATGCCCTTGCTACTCCAGCCAAATGAAGTGACTTGCAGTTTGCAGCATGACTGGTCACACTTTGCACCCATATTTTTGCACATGCTGCTGCTTCTCTCTGGCATGTCATGATCTAATCTGGTCTCGTTCCAGCTCTGCTTCTTGCTGCCATGTCTCCCTGAGCAAGTTGCTGTTCTTTGAGTCTTAGGTCCCATTTTAAAGAGAGAACCTTGATTGCCAAAATACCTTTTAATTCTTTTATACTTGGATTTTACAAGAAAGTCTGGGTAGACATTTTTAGGTTTCAACTTCCTCTGTTCAGTCTGGTCTGTTACTTTGTTACTTCAGCAATTTTCGATATTCCAAAAATCTTGTTGATGCCACTCTCCCCTTTTGCCTACTCTGTTTTCTTTGGGCTTGCATGTAATACATCCTTTGTTCCTTAACTATTATCTTCAAAAAGTTTTGAGAGTAGTCAATATCAACATACTTGTTAATTGCCATGCTTATCATGAAGACTCCCGACATTTCTTCTTTCAAATAAGGTGATACAGTAATAGTCTAATTATTACAGATGAGGAAATAGAGGCCCAGAGAGGTTTAGAAAATTGCCCAAAGCCACACAGGTAGTAAGTGGCAGTAGAAAGATTAGAATCTAAAGGTTGCCTTTTAATAAAACCCCTGTTCTTAGTGACTAGGTTGTGCTGTCATGAACACATGACAAATGTGTTCATCTGTCGATACTGTGAACTGGGCTCCTGTTTGTCCACCTTTACATGCTGCTCAGTTCTTAGCACACTGACAACACCAACATTCTGAGCTAAAAAACGAAACAAAACAAAACAAAAAACAAAAACAAAACCCAAAAAAACACATGGACCAGGCAAAGAGACCAAAGCAAAGGATATTCTCACAGGCCCTTGAGAGGCTGATTGCCGGCCTTTCCCCCTCAAGCGCCTGTCAGAATATCCTTTGCTTCAGTCACTTTGCCTGGTCCATGATATATTATGCACAGACAGAAGTGTGCCTTTTGTCATAATTTTAATTTCTACATATAAAATATATACTCCTGTGTCCCCCTGATGTGGTGGTTGAGATTACAGTGAGGAAGACAGTGTAGGGATTTTTTTCCCCCCAAGAACACACTATCATTTTTTTTTTTAAATTGAAATTTCTACTGATGCACTTATAGATTCACATACAGCTGTACAAAACAATACAGGGAGATCTTCCTGTGTGCCCTTTCTCGCTTTCCCTGGATAGTTACATCTTGCACTTTATTCATTCTTTTAGCTGCCTAAATATTATATTGACATATTTTCATTATCAAAGATTCAAATAATATGGAAGCATAAAGGAACAAACATGGAGGTCCTTCTTTAACCACCTGGCTCTTCTCCTGGGCTCTCTCTTCACCCCAGGTGCCACTTTATTCTGCTCTGACTTCTTCTTCCTTCACACTCCTTCCTTGTTTTGTTATGATGGCCAACATGATCCTGGGGCAGAGTGGGATCTGGGGATTTCTGGCTGACTCATCACCTTCAACACTCCGGGGAATCCGGCCTCTCTTCCATGATGATCATAGGTGGCATGGGCAACCTTTGATCTCAACTCTTCTTCTAATTATCTGGCATCTTTTCAATTCCTGTTGCCATCCTTTTCTCTGTACCCAGTCAGAAAGGAATAATTTCTATTCTACAATAGATACAATAATACATTTTCTATACCTGGTAATATTAATAACAAATAGTACAAATAATTAATTAGTAGAAGACAGATATTTTATTTGTTTTATTTGACAGATATTGCCAGACATTGTTCTAAGCACTTTATAAAATATTAATTCATTTAATCCTATAGCAACTCTATGAGGAAGGCATCATTAGTATTTTTACCTTGCAGGGGAGTATATGAGGCAGAGAGAGGTTAAGTATTTTGCCCAAGGTCACACGCAGCTAGTAAATGATGGAGACAGGATGCAAACCCATCAGTCTGGCTCTAGAGTCTGTGCTCTTAACCCCTTATCAGACTCACTGAGAGTTGGAAGGTTCACCCCCTTTCCTTCCCTTCCCTTCTCTCCCCTCCTCTCCCCTCCCTTCCCCTCCCCTTTTTTAATATTGACACATTCCCCCAACATTGACACCTATCTTGCAGGCTATAAATATGTTCTAATATTTAAACCTTGAAAAGGCACATACCCTAACTTATCATTTGTCCCTGTGCACTGTCTCAAGCTCCTACCCCATCTCTCTCTTTCCTATGCTATTTCCTACAAGCCTGGAAAGACTCTTCTATAACTGCTGTCTCAATTCCTCATCTAATTCACCCTTGGGCTCACCGCAGTCAGAGCTTCTATCTCAGTCACTCAGTAGAAGCTACTCTGCCATGATCAAAACTGTCATTTCCTTTTATCTCTCCATATATTGATGTGATTAATTATATTAATGCATTTCCTACCATGGAAACATTCTGCCATTAACATCAGTTTTCATTATTTAAACTCAGTGCTGGATTCCATTTGCTAATATTTTATTTATGACTTTGGTTAGTATCAGATGGACAGACTCCTTTTTGAAACTCGGGAAACATAGGAAGTTCTTTCTAGTTCATTTAGTTTCCTTGTTAATTTATAGGGGTCAGTTTCCTTGTATAAATGGTTTTACTCTGTATGTAGTTCATGTCTCTCCCCATGGGATGTCTACCATTTACCGTTTAAAAGGTAAACAGCTTTCTGCCTGTGGATGACACTGAGGAAATATTGTTAAAGTCCCTCTTCTGACTGTCATTGTGTCTAAGTCAGAGTCTCCTAAAGAGGCTGAACAGCTGCAGAAGCTCTCCATCAAAGAGTTGGGCTTTGAAACAACCGATGAATGTATGAGGAGCCATTTTGAGCAATGGGGAACGCTCACGGACTGTGCGGTAGTGAGGGATCCAAACACCAAGCACTCCAGGGGCTTTGGGTTTGACACATATGCCACTGCGGAAGAGGAGTGGATGCAGTCATGCATGCAAGGCACACAAGGTGGATGGAAGAAACACGGAACCAAAGAGAGCTGCCTCAAGAGAAGATTCTCAAAGACCAGGTGCCCACTTAACTGTAAAAAAGATACTTGCTGGTGGCTTTAAAGAAGACACTGAAGAACATCACCTCAGAGATTATTTTGAACAGTATGGGGAAATTGAAGTGATTGAAATCATGACTGACAGAAGCAGTGGCAATAAAAGGGGTTTTGCCTTTGTAACCTTTGATGACCATGACTCTGTGGATAAGATTGTCATTCAGAAATACCATCCTGTGGGAATGGCTACAACTTTGAAGTAAGAAAAGCCCTGTCAAAGCAAGAGATGGCTAGTGCTTTATCCAGCCAAAGAGGTCAAAGTGGATCTGGAAACTTTGGTGGTGGTCGTGGAGGTGGTTTTGGCAGGAATGACAACTTTGGTCATGGAGGGAACTTCAGTGGTCATGGTGGCTTTGGTGGCAGCCCTGGTGGTGGTGGATATGGTGGCAGTGGGGATGGCTATAATGGATATGGTAATGATGCAAGCAATTTTGGAGGTGGTGGAAGCTACAATGATTTTGGCAATTACAACAATCAGTCTTCAAATTTTGGACGCATAAAGAGAGGAAACTTTGGAGGAAGAAGGTCTGGCCCCTGTGGTGGTAGATGCCAATACTTTGCCAAAGTACAAAACCAAGGTGGCTATGCCAGTTCCAGTAGCAGCAGTAGCTATGGCAGTGTCCGAGGATTTTCATTACTGCCAGGAAACAGCTTAGCAGGAGAGGAGAGTCAGAGAAGTGACAGGAAAGCTACAGGTTACAACAGATTTGTGAACTCAGCCAAGCACAGTGGTGGCAGGGCCTAGCTGCTACAAATAAGACATGCTTTAGACAAATACTCATATGTATGGGCAAAAAACTCAAGAATTGTATTTGTGACTAATTGGATAACCAGTGATTTTAGTTTCTGTTCTGTGGAAAGTATAAAGCATTCCAACAAAGGGTTTTAATGTAGTTTTTTTTGTTTTTGCACCCATGCTATTGATTGCTAAATGTAATAGTCTGACATGATGCTGAATAAATGTGTCTTTTAAAAAAATGTTCTGTGTAAAGTTAGTCTACTCTGAAGCCACCTTGGTAAACTTCCCCAACAGTGTGAAGTTAGATTCCTTCAGGGTGATGACAGATTCTATTTGGAATTTATTTACAATCTTCTGGGTAGAAAACCCATTGTCTTCAGAAACCTTGGTGTAGTTGACCTGATGGTTACTGTTGTGACCTGAAGTTTGCCATTAAGAGGGAAATCATGAATTATTTGTTATAAAGATGATTGTTAGCACATCCTATGGAATACATCTAAATTGATTAATGGTAGCAGATAAAATTAAAGATGGAAATGAAGTATGTGTATCACCCATTGTCATGTGTAATCAATAAATGATTTAATTATCTTGAACAAAGTAATAAAAGGGATAAATAAATGTGTTTTCTAATTAGCACTGAAATAGTCACATAAGGCAATATTTTCACATTGGAGCATGAAGTGTGAAAATTAGGAAAGCAAGAATCATCTGATTGGCTTTTACATGGAGTTTTTGGGGGTGAGATCCCTAGGAAATGAAGATTGGTAGGAAGAACATTCTCTCTTGAGATAAGCCAAAGAGTAATAATAATGAGGTTAGTGACCAAAAGTAAAAGACAGGTCAGTTAGAATATTTTAAGGACTTATACTATGCTTTTTATTGGGCCAAGCATATTGCATGTGTTACTTACCAGGATGTGAAGTCCATGAAGGCAAAACGATGTACATTATGTTGATTACTAGTTCATTTATAGCTCTATATGGAAGTGCTGCTATTATGCCCCTTTTACAGACGAGAAAATCGAGGTTCAGGGAGTTGAAGTAACTTGCTGAGGCTCCCCCAGAAGGACTCCAGAGTTGGTTGTTGGTTGGGTCCTAGCAATGGTTAAACATAGTGTTTAACAGGTGTCCACAGTACAGTCAGGCCCCCTTTCCTCCCCATATTTTTCATGCCCTTGCTACTCCAGCCAGATGAAGTGACCTGCAGTTTGCAACATGTCTGGCCACACTTCACACCCACATTTTTGCACATGCTGCTGCTTCTCTCTGGCATGTCATGAGCCCTGTTCACCTGGCTCACTTCTTTTGCCCTTTGAGTTTTCTTTATGTATCACCTTTTCCTTCTTCCTTCCATCACACCTCTCCCTCCTCCCTGGGGCTGGGGGAGGTGCTTTTCTCCTCTGTCCTCCATGATCATTTATGTCATGACTTCCTGCCCATTGGAGTTTCTCCAGGTTCTTTTCTGCAGGGTACTTATTGTTCCCCATTTGCACTACAGGCTACCTGGATCTCTCAGAATGGGTTTGTTGGATGAATGAAGGCTGAGAATCTCTTGCTGGTTCCTCTACAACCTGAGCCTGACCTGATGACTGGCAGTAGTTGCTGAATTCTACCCTCAACAGTGGTGCAAGTTTGGGCTTCTGGGCCCATAAACCTATATCCCCTGACCCTCTGACCATCTCTGACCCTCTTGTGAACCATCTGTTATTTCAAAAGGTATCATACATTCCTTCCAAATAAAACTTCATTTAGCTCACTTATTTGAAGAGTAATAAACCATTTAACTCATTTATAACTCACTGAACAGGAGGTTGAACACAGTTATAACAAAAATCAGGCTGAGGTCAAAACCACCCAAATTTGGGGGAATACATACAGCCCCAATAATTGGTATGAGTATATGAAAATCCCTTTGAGTTTTCTGACTGGTTCTCAAAAAGAAATTATATCCCATCTTTTTTCTTCCACTGTGGTAAATACTATGTCATTCAACTTAGAATAATTCAGTTCATTTTTATTTCCAGAGGATACATAACTGATCAGAAGATCTTCTTTACATTTAGAAACAAATATTTCTTTCTGTGGGGAAATAAATGGAAAAAAATCCAGAAAAATACATCCTGCAATTAGCTTCAGAGATATACAATTTCTAAGAAGATTCTTGCCCAGGGTATAGCAAGAACAGAAAAAGAAAAAGCCTTATTTGTACTTAAAAATTGGATGAATATTGTAGTTCTCTCTTCCATATGCAAATCTCTGTAGCATTTTGCTATTAATCTGCCATAAACTCTCAACTCTTCCTGAGACTGAACTAGCAGGTCAGGACAACACAGAGGCTGCAGTTGTCAATGCAGCATGTCAGTTTTTGAAAGCAAGTGTGTGTTCACGTGAGAGAGAGACTAACCTACCTCTCTGTGCAGGCCTGGACCAGTTCTACCAGAGTCCCAGTTGGATTCTCACCACTGAGCACTGACTTGGCACCTTGTCAGAACTCAACAATATACATAGAATGAATGAGTGAGTGAGTGAATAAGTGACTGAATGCATTCACCCTTCCAAGACATCACGCTGTGACTGGCCCATGTATATATTTTTTACACACAATGCCTCCAGAATCCTACCTATTCTTTGAGCCCAGCTACAGTGCCACCTCCTCTGTGACATACAAGAATTGTGAGAGCACTAAAGATGGAGTATCAACTCTGCCCTAAGTTATCTGAAAGCCTTCATGGAGGAGATGCCATTGGAGTTGGGTCTGCGTGAACAAAGAGGCTGCAAAGAAGGAGAAAGGAGTCTCTAGGAGGAAGTGGGGACACTCCTGCAGGTGAAGAAGCTCAGGTGAAGGGAAAGAGATATCAACACTCTTGTTGGCCTGCTCCCAGAGTCCACCAGGTCAGAGCCTCTGCAGCTCCCCAACAGGGGTGGTGACCTCTGCAGCTCCCCAACAGAAGAAGAGTCTTTCTGCCCCATATGTCTACATACCGTGTAATCAGAGTCTCTGAGCTGAGGACTTCCATGCCCTGAGTGCCAAGAGCATCTCCCAGGCTCTGCTCTAGTATGCCTACAGCTCCAATCCAGCCCCACATTCCACAAGAGCCAAGAAGCACCTGAGGTGTCTCCAGAGAGCTCTGATGGGAACATGTGAACCACCTTCTCCTGTGCCCTCATGACCCCTCAGGACCCCCCTTTCTGGTAGCCCCCAGTATACAGCACAGGGCCCAGAACATTGTAGGGCTCAATAACAACTTATGGAAGAATAACTACTTGAAACTTGGAGGTGGAGTCATTACCACAATTCCCATGTCAGGTGTAGTAGATTGTTTCTTCATTCTCAGAACTCTCAGTGGAGGGACAGCTTGGACCATTTCCATCCTCACTAAATATTCAAAGAGTAATTGCCCAGTCTGCTGTTTCTGTTTTCATCTGAGTAAACATGCCATGACATGAGGGGATAACCTCTTGTGCAAGCTGCCACCAGACACTAAATAGAGTGGCATGGTTCTGCAATCCAGATCTCATTAGGATAAAGAGAATTATCCTCATCCTGGGTATGTGGGAGAAAAATGAATGGCAAGATTAAATGTAAACTCCAGATTTACAGACACTACAGTGTGCACAGGAATTTCAATCAACCTTGAAGCAAGACTAAAGGGCAAGGTCAAAAACAAGTTTCCCATCCAACATGCTTTAGAAAGGCAATCAGTACCCAAAAACATGGCGGTGACCACTATTTTGAAATTCTTGCCAGGCCTGTTGACTTAAAGAGAAACTATAATGCGCCAATGCTCAGAGGTGGTGTATCCCTTCCTTTCTAACCACAGCGAGGTTAAATATAATGAAGAAAATACTCTGGTAGGACTTATGTAAGTGTTAGGGGAACCCAAGAGGGGCGATCAACTCTGCCAATAGTAGGACTTCCACGGGGAGGTGCCAACCAGAGCTGTGGAGGGAAAATCAGATATGCTAGAAGAAGGAATCCTAAGTGGTGGTAATGAAGAACTCAGTGGATCTATAACTGGATCTACTGAATTAGTTTTATGATGGCTGAAGGGGTTGAGATGTTAGGGTGAGTTTCATTTTGAGAGAGATAATGGACTTGGACTTGTGCCTGCTTCAGGGATTTTGGCAGGTGCTGAACTCTGCCCCTTCTCTTCTTATCACCTCCTTAGCGCCCCCTACTCCCGCTGCTCCAGGATATTATCTCTTGCCTCAGTCGCTGTCTTAGACTCCTATGATCTCTAGCATCTCTTCCTGTTCCTCCTCTATTCTATGTCCCATGGTTCCCACAGTGAGCTTTCTGAGATCAAAATCTGGCCACGGTCTTCTCAGGTTAATGCCTCCCAATCACTTCCAAAGGACACATCCGAATTCTCTGATGTATGGGGCCTGACGTCACACACCCGCATCCACATTTTCCTTCCATGGTGCCGCATCCTTCATCCATTTTGAACTTATTCCAGAACCAAGCTCTGCTCTTCTCTGCTCCTTTGCCTCTGCCTATCTTTTCTTCATTACCACCACTTAGGATTTCTTCTTCTAGCATATCTGATTTTCCCTTCACCGCTCTGGTTGGCACCTCCCCGTGCAAGTCCCCTTATTGGCAGAGTAGGTCGTCCCTCTTGTGTTCTCCTAACACTTACATAAGTCGTATCAGAGCATTTTCTTCATTGTGTTTAATTATTTGCACCCTTCGCTACCTAGTGTGTCCATGTGGGCAGACCTCAGATTTGATTGCCTGACACAGGATTCTCCTTTCCTGCCAGAGGATATGGGACATAAAGAGAGATAAAGACTGCTGTCTCCATGTGTTTCCCTTCACCTGCTGGTGTGCCACCGACATCCCTCTCCTAACACCACATGGAACTTTTAAACATTTATGTATCAGCGTTGCAGGTATAACTGACATACAATAAAGTGGAGTATTGTAAGTGCACAAGTTTTGAAAAATGCACACACCAATGTAACCGTCACTCTGATTAAGACATAGGACATTATAATCATTCCAGCAAGTTTCCTCAGGTCTTTTCCAGCAACAGGTTGTTCCTCTTATCAGACAAACACAGATCTGTTATCTAGCATAAGGAGTTAGTTTTGCCAGTTCTAGGACTTGGTGGAAGTGAAATGACACAGTATGTACTGTTTGTGTCTGTCTTCTTATGTTCAGAATATTTGTGAGGTTATCTATGCTGTGTATGTCAATAGGTTTTTAATTTTTTTTTCTGAGTATTATTCCATTGCATACATACAGATTGAGTATCCCTTACCTGAATTGCTGGGGACCATAAGTGTTTCAGATTTCAGATTTTTTCAGATTTTGGAATATTTGCAAATACATGTGATATCTTGGAGATGGGACCCAGGTCTACACACGGAATTCATTTATGTTTCATGTGCATCTTATACACATAGCCTGAAGGTAATTTTGTAAAATATTCTTAATAACTTTGTGCAAGAAACAAAGTTTATGTATGTTGAATCAACAGAAAGCAAAGGTATCACTATCTCAGCCATCTATTTGGACAATTGGTGGTGTTTGGCATCACTATCATTGATGAATTTATATACTACCTGGCTCTGAATTTATATGCTATCAATAAGCAGTTATTTTCTTACATTTATTCACACATAACTACTTAAGAGTAGAAATATGATCTACCATGCACAGAGTGAAAAAACAATGTGTTCAGTGTAACTAAGCAGCACAGAAGCATCAATGGAATGCCTGTATCAGCTGTTAGCAAAAACAAACAATGCCAGGCTCTCAATCCCTATCTCGGATGCTGTGTTTTAATTAAAAGGTTACTGTATACTGCATTTTATTTTGTTTTTTGGTGAGAAGAAGCATCAGAAGCAAGTGAAGGACCAGGAAGTGGGTCTCCTAGGAATGAGGAGGCATTCTGCTGGATGGCTTTTTAAAATGTCTGGGAGGGTTATTCCTGCCTTGGGGACGTTGAATGAAATGTATTGTGCACATGCATTTTGACCTCATGTGCACAACATGAGGTCAGATGTGTCATTTTCTACTTGTGGTGTCATACTGGTGCTCAAAAGGTTTCAGATGTTGTAGCATTTTGGATTTCAAATTTTCAACCTGTATTCTGCAGTTTGTTTATTCATCCACTTGTTGACAGACATTTGGGTGGCTTCTGGTTTGGAGCTATTACAAATGAAGCTGCTATGAATATTGCGAAAGTCTTTTGGCACACATATTTTTGTGTTTCTTAGACAAAATACCTTGGAGAAGAATGGCTTGGTCATAGGGTAAATGTATGTTTAACTTTCTAAGAAGCAATTAAATTGTTCCCTAAAGTGATGGTTTCATTTTATATGCCCACTAGCAATATATGAGAGGTACAGTTGCTCCATAATTTTGCCGACGCTTGCAATTATCAGTCTTCTTCTTTTTTTTAGAGCCAGGGTCTTATTCTGTCACCCATGCTGAAGTGCAGTGGTGCATTCATAACTCACTGCAGCCTTGAACTCCTGGCCTCAAGTGATCATCCCACCTTGGCCTCCGAAAGCACTGAGGTTACAGGCGTGAGCCACTGCATCAGGCCTCGGTCTTAACTGTAGTCATTCAAGTGGGTGTGTCATGGTATCTCATTGTGATTGTAGTTTGCTTTTCCCCACGTCGCTGAGAATCTTTTTATGTATTTATTGTCCATTTGTATATCTTTTTTTTGATGTGTCTTCTTCAAACCATTTACCCATATTGGATTGTTTGTCTTCTCATTAATGTTTTGTGTCCTGTATAAAATATTTTTGACTATGTCAAAGTCATGAATACTTTGTCTCTTGTTTTCTTCCAGAAGTTTTATAGGGTTGGCTTGTATGTTTATGTATACAATTCATTTTGAATTAGTTTTTGTGTATGGCATAAGGTAAGAATTGGCATTCATTTTTTCCATATGAATATATAAATACTCCAGCACCGTTTTACAAAAAGACTATCACTTACCTATTGAATTACCTTGGCACTTGTGTTAATAAAGTAATTTATCATATATGTAGGTCTATTTCTGAACTACATACTTGGCTCCACTGATCGATGTGTCTGTATTTACACTAATGCCACATTCTCATGATTATTGTGGATTTATAATAAGTCTTAAAATCTGATAGTAAAAGTCCTCTAATTTTGTTTTTCCTTTTCAAAATAGTTAAAGAATCCTATGTTCTTTAAATTTGCATATAAACTTTAGACAAATGAGATAGACCATTTCTATTTTTAAAAATCCTGCTAAGATTTTGATTGGGATGATATTGATTGCATAGGTCAATTTCTGTCAGAGATGAGTTTTAGTTTTTAGCATATAGGTCTTACACATCTTTTGTTGAACTTATTTCTAAGAATCTTGTAGTTTTGATGTGATTATAAATTGTACTACATTTTAAAAATAAACATTTTATTTTAGAACAGTTTTAGATTTACAGAAATACTACAAAAATAGTACAAAGAGTTTCCATATACCTCACACCCAATTTCCTCTATTATCAACATCTTACATTAGTGTGGTACATTGTTTACAATTGATAAAGGAATTTTGATACATTATTATTAACTAAAGTCCACACATTATTCAGATTTCCTTTGTTTTATCTAATGTCCTTTGTCTGTCCAAGATCCAATACAGGAAGCCATATTACATTTAGTAGTCATGTCTCCTGAACTCCTCATGCCTGTGACAGTTTCTCAGACTTACCTCATTTTCAGCACCTTTGACAGTTTTCATGAGTATTGCTCAAATAGTTTGTAGAATGTCCTTCAATTGGAATTTGTCTGCTGTTTTACTAAAGATTAGACTGGAATTATGTGTTCTTGGAAGGAAGATCACAGAGGTAAACTGCCATATTAATCACATCTTTTCAAGCGTATATACCAGCAACATGATTTATCACTGTTGGTGTTCATCTTGATCACCAGGCTGAGGCAGTGTGTGTCAGGATTCTTTACTATAAAGCTATTTTTTTTCCCTATTTCCAGGCCATATTTTTTGAAATTAAGTCACTATGTGCAGCCCACACTTAAGAGGTGGGAATGTATGCTCCCCTTCCTTGAAAGTGAAGTATTTGTGTGCGTTATGTGGAATTCGATTGCACAGTACATTTGTCTCTTGTCCCATTGATTTATTTATGTTTTTATTTTATTTCAGTAAGGACTCATAGATATTTATTTTATACTTTGGGTTATAATCCAATACTACTTCATTTATCTCGCTGCTCAAAATTTTCCAGCCTTGGGGCATTGGGAGCTCTTTCATTTGGTTTCTTTGACCTTTTGAAATACCTCCATCATTGTGTACTTTTTTGTTGTTTTTTTAAAAAAGCATGTTCTTACATTCTGGCACCACAAGATGCTCAAGGTTCATCTTGTGTATCTTCTGACTAAGACATAGAATCAGTCATTTCTCCAAAGAACACTGGCTCCTTTTAATGGAGAATAATGTTAAAAACTAAGATCTGAATGCTAGGTGTGCTTGTTGGTACTACAAGGTGCTTTTCCTATATCTCAGCAGACAGAAGAAATATATGTGTGTATACTAACCGACTAACTTGTGTAACCTATCATTTTTTTTTTTGTGTAGCCATCTATAACTATATGAAGCTAAACATGAGTTCACACTGATGTCTCCAACTCTAATTCTTTACCACCCAAATCCTTCTAGCCTCTTCCCCTTGCTCATCTGTAACTTCCCACTCCAGCAATAAGAAACCTGGATCCCGCCATCCACCAAACCATTTACTTAATTATTAAATTCCAGTATACGTGTAAAACCCTATCAGAACTGGCCCATACTCCCATTAGAAATGACTTTATCAACTACAGCACAGTTTTTATGTACAATTTGTTTTGCCTTTAGTCTTACAGATTTAACTCATTTCGAAGTTACTTAGGTCAGCATCTTTTACCCCCAACTCCTTCAGCAAGGTTGTTTCATTCATTTGTAATACAGTTAATTATTTTGTTATATTCTACATTTTATCTTGGGATCTCCCAATTTCCTAGATAATTAAACAATTTGCATACATTAAGATTCACTCTTTGGGCTGTAACATTTGTTTTGACAAATGTATTGTGTCATATATTCACCATAACTGTGTCATATAGAATCATTTCACTACCCCGAAAATACCCCCTGTGCTTCACCTGTTTAGCCCGAAACCCTACTCTTGAACCCCACACAACCACTGATAGGGTTATTATTGCTGTCATTTTGCCTTATCCAGAATATCTTATACTGTAATTGAAATCATTGTGTATGTGCCTTTTCAGACTGGCTCCTTTCACTTATCAATACCCACTTAAGATTCATTTATGTCTTCTTATAACTTGATAACTCATTTGTTTTTATTGTTGAATAACATTCCATTGTATGGGGGTACCAATTTGTTTATATATTCACATATTGAAGGACATTTTGGTTGCTTCCAATTTTGTCTGATTACAAACAAAGCTACTATAAACATTTGTGCACAATTTTTGTGTGGATATAAGTTTCCAAATTAGTTTGGTAAACTCTTAAAAGTACAATTGCTAGATTGTACATAAAACTATGTTTAGTTGTGTAAGAAACTGCCAAACTGTCTTCTAAAGTGCTGTGTCATTTAGATTTTCACTGATAATGAATGAGGGTTCCTTTCTCTTTAAACCAGAACTTTCAAATTTTAATTCAATAAAAAAAAAAGATCACTTTCAGAGCCACATCATGGTCTATTTTCCCCCCAGCTTTATTGAGGTATAACTGACAATAAACATTGTATATCTTTACACTGTACCATGTGATGTTTTGATATATGTTATGAAATGATAATCCCATTCAAGCTAACTAACATATCCATATCTCACACAGTTATTTTTTGGTTGCTATTGTGGGAACATTTAGTATCTACACTTTTAGCAATTTTCAAGTATACAATACATCATTATTTAACATAGTTACCATGCTGTACAATAGATGAGAATTCCTTTTATTCCACATTCTTGGCAGCCATTGGTATTGTCAGGGTTTTTGTTGTTGTTTTTTGTGTTTTGTTTCTTGGATTTTTGCCACTCTAATAAGTGTGTAGTGGTATCCCATTGTTGTTCTAATTTTCAATTCCTTAATGACATATGATGTCAAACATCTTTTTTCATGGTTATTTGCCATCTGTATATCTTTTTTGGTGAGGTCTTTGTTTATGGTTATTTGCCCTCTGTATATCTTTTTTGGTTGTTTGTTTTCTTATTGTTATGCTTTAAGAGTCTTTTGTATACTTTGGATAAAAATCCTTTATCAAATTTTGTATTTTGAAAAATTTCCCCCTAATTTTTGCTTTGTCTTTTAATTCTATCTCTCTCTGTCTTTTTTTTTCAATGAGGTTTCACTCTGTTGCTCAGGATGGAGTGCACTGACATAATCATAGCTCACTGCAACATCAAACTTCTGACCTCAAGCAATCATCTCACCTCAGCCTCCTGAGTAGCTGGGATTATAGGCTTGAGCCACTGGACCTGGCCTTTATTCTCTTAATAGCGACTTTCACAGCAAACAAAAAATTTAATTCTAATAAGGTCCAACTTACTGACTTTTTTCTTTAATGAATCAGACTTTTGGCGTTATCTCTAAAAACTCATGACTAAACTCAAGATTATCTAGATTTTCTCCTGTTTTCTGGTAGATATTTTGTAGTTTCGCAATTTAGGTCTATGATTTATTTTAAGTTAATTTTTGTGAAAAATATAAACTCTATGTCTAGGTTCATTTGTTTGCATGTGGATATACATTTGTTCCCCCACCATTTACTGAAAAGATTATACTTTCTCCACTGACTTATTTGTGTGGGTCTATTTCTAGGCTCTCTATTCTGTTTGCTTGGTCTTTGTGTTTATTCTTTTGCCAATACCAACACTGTTTCAATTGTGGTTTTTGATTTGCATTTCCCTAATGACTAATGATGTTAAACATTTTTATAATATGCTTCTTGGCCATTTGTACATCTTCCATGGAGAAATGTCTATTTAAGGCTTTTGCTTATTTTTAAAAGAATTGAATTCTCTGTCTTTTGTTGTAGAGTTTAAGATTTTAAAAATATTGCTAGATACTAGGCCCTTATCAGATATATAATTTTCAAATATTTTCTTTTAACTTGCTTGATATTGTTTTGTTTTCTGATGAGCAGTTTTTTATTTTGATAAAGTTGGATTTATCTATTTTTTTCTTTTGGTCTATATGATTCTGTTCTTACAATGGTATCGTAAGACACCATTGACAAATCTAGGTCATAACAATTTACCTCTATATTTTCTCCTAAAAATTTTACATTTAAGTCTATAATTCATTTTTACTTAATTTTTGTATATGATGTAAAGTAGACGTTTAATTTCATTATTTTGATGTGGATATCCAGTTGTCCCAACACCATTTGTTGAAGGTACTATTCTTTCCCCATTGTATGGTCTTGACACTCTTATTTAAAATGAATTGGCCATAAATATGAGGGTATGGGTTTATTTCTAGACTCTCAATTTTATTCTGATGATTTATATGTTTATCATTATGCCAATGCCAATACCACACTGCTTTGATTATGGTAGTTTGCTAGTAAGTTTTAAATTTGGAAATGTGAATCTTCCAACTTTGTTCTTCTTTTTCAATATTCAGGGCCCCATGTAATTTCATATGAATTTGAGAATCAGTTTATCTATTTCTGCAAAAAGGGCAGTTGGAATTTTAATAGAGATTACACTGAATTGGTAGACCACTTTGGGAACTATTACCATCTTAACAATATTAAGTCTTCCAACCTATAAATACAGGTTATCTTTTCACTTATTTAGGTCTTTAATTACAGCAGTGTTTTGTAGTTTTCTGTGGACAAGTCTTGCACTCTCTTGGTTGAATTTATTCCTAAGCATTTTATTCTTTTTGATGCTATTGTAAATTAAATTTTTTCATTTCGCTTTTTGCATTAATGTTAATGTGTAAAAGTACAACTGACTTTGTATATTAATCTTATATCCTATAACTTTGCCAAACTCATTTACTAGCTCTAATAGTTTTTCTTTTTTTGGTGATGGCTTTACGGTTTCCACCTACATAAAATTATTTTACTTCTTCCTTATGATCTGGGTGTCTTTGATTTCTTTTTCTTGCCTAAATGTCATAGCCAGAACTCCCATTAATTACAATGTTGAATATAAAAGACAAGAGACTACACCTTTGTCCTTTTCCTAATTCTATGGGAAAAGCTTTCAGTCTTTCACCATTAAGTATGAAGTTAGCCATGAGATTTTAGTAGATGCCCTTTATCAGATTAAGTTTCCTAATTTTTAATTTAGTACTACTGTGGTTTGAGGCCATATTATGTACTATCTTTTGAAATTCATTAATATTTCTTTTTGGTCCAGGTTATAGTCTATCTTGGTGAATATTCCATGTGTGCACCTGAAAAATTTGTATTTTCAAGTGGTTGGGAGAAGTGTTCTATATTAAGTCAAATTGGTTAATAATGTTTTTCATGTCTTTTATATCTTTAATGATATTTTTGTACACCTATTGTTATCAATTATTGGCAGCTGCTAAAATCTCTATAATTGTCAATTTCTCTTTTTCCCCTTTTAGTTCTATTCATTTTTGTTTCACAAACTTTGATGCTCTATTATTAGATGTGTATGTGTTTAGGATTGTTTATCTTTCTGATAAATTGCCCCCTTTTATTGTTTTTATGTCTCTTGTGATTGATAATCTATTTTGCATAAATGTATCATAGTTTTTGCAACATACTCTTGATATTGAAATTTTTGTTTTATAGGCACTCTAGTTTTCTTTGATTACTGTTTGCATGGCATATCTTTTCCCATCCTTTTATTTTCAATCTATATGTATCTTTTCATTTACAATGCACGGGCTATAATTTTTGAGCCAGTCTGACATTTTCTATCTTTAATTTAAAGAGTTTAGTTTACTTACATTCTATGTAAATATTGTTACTGGTATAGTTGGTTTAAGTTTAGCATCGTGCCATTTTTCCTTATTTGTTTCTTCTGTTTTTATTCTTCTGTTTCTCCTTTATTCCTTTCTTTTGAATATTCTTTAAATTCCATTGTATTTTTTCTATTTGATTAATTGTATCTCTTTTTAGTTTTACTTTCAGCTTTTAGTAGTTTATTTTAGGATTGTAATATAGATATTTAATATATTACTAATTTCAAATCAGCATAGAACTACTTCACAGCTTAAACCTGATGTCTAACATTTTTTGCTTTATACTTTGTACTTCCTACTTCATCAGACACTTCTGATTTCTGACTTCCTGCTTTATAAGTGTAATAACCTTACAACAGTATAATTCCACTTACTAATGCTGCTGTCCTTTTTGCTACTATTCTCATATTGTTTACTTCTATATAGTTTATAAACCTCACCTTACAGTGTTTCATTTTTTATTTTTTTGCTTTAGACACTTAGCTGTTTTGCAAGAAAATTGTTAGAGGAAAAACAGTCATAGCTTTTATATTTACACACTTATTCACAACTTCTGGTGTTCTTTGTTTCCTGCACTTTCAAGTTCCCATCTAGTATCCTTTCCATTTACCCTGAAGAACATCCTTTAGTGTTTCCCACAGTACGGCTTTGCTGGTGCTGAATGATAAGTTTCCATTTCCCTGAAAAGTCTTTATTTTACTCTTGTTTGATGGGCTATTTTCGCTGGATATAGAATTCTGAGTTGCATTTTTTTAAAAATTACTTTAATGATGTTGTTCTTTGACTCCTGGCCTCCACTGTTTCTGAGAAGTCAGTGATCATTCACATTTTGATTTTTTCCCTTATGCATGTTTTTATTCCCTCTCTCTGGCTGTTTTCAATATTTTCTCCTTATTTTTGTTTCTAATATTTCTACCACAATGTACTTAGATGTGATTTGTTTTTGTGTTTATACCTCTTGGGCTTGCTTAAATTTCTCAGATCTATAAGTTTATTTTAAAAATCACATTTGGGAATATTTCAGCTATTACTTTTAAAAATATTTTTTCTGCCCCATTTTTTACTCTCATCTACTTTTGGACCCTTATTACTAATAAGTTTTGAGAGGTGACAGCGTGCTGGCAGTCCTCACAGGCCCTTGCTCTCTCTCGGCACCTCCTCTGCCTGGGCTCCCACTTCGGTGGCACTTGAGGAGCCCTTCAGCCCACCACTGCACTGTGGGAGCCCCTTTCTGGGCTGGCCAAGGCCGGAGCCAGCTCCCTCAGCTTGCAGGGAGGTGTGGAGGGAGAGGCGTGAGAGGGAACTGGGGCTGCGCATGGCACTTGAGGGCCAGTTGGAGTTCCGGGTGGGTGTGGGCTTGGTGGGCCCCACACTCGGAGCAGCCGGCGGGCCCTACCAGCCCCGGGCAATGAGGGGCTTAGCACCCGGGCCAGCGGCTGCAGAGGGTGTACTGGGTCCCACAGCAGTGCCAGCCCACCAGCACTGCCCTCGATTTCTCACTGGGCCTTAGCTGCCTTCCCATTGGGCAGGGCTTGGGACCTGCAGCCCATCATGCCTGAGCCTCCCACCCACTCCATGGGCTCCCCGTGCGGCCCAAGCCTCCCTGATGAGCACCGCCCCCTGCTCCATGGCACCCAGTCCCATCGACCACCCAAGGGCCGAGGAGTGCGGGCGCATGGCAAGGGACTAGCAGGCAGCTCCACCTGCAGCCCCGGTGCGGGATCCACTGGGTGAAGCCAGCTGGGCTCCTGAGTCTGGTGGAGACGTGGAGAACCTTTATGTCTAGCCCAGGGATTGTAAATACACCAATCGGCATTCTGTATCTAGCTCAAGGTTTGTAAACACACCAATCAGCACCCTGTGTCTAGCACCAATTGAATGCACCAGGGTTTGTGAATGCACAAATTGACACTCTGTATCTAGCTACTCTGGTAGGGCCTTGGAGAACCTTATGTCTAGCTCAGGGATTGTAAATACACCAATCAGCACTCTGTATCTAGCTCAAGGTTTGTAAACATACCAATCAGCACCCTGTGTCTAGCTCAGGGTTTGTGAATGCACCAATCGACACTCTGTATCTAGCTACTCTGGTGGGGCCTTGGAGAACCTTTGTGTGGACGCTCTGTATCTAGCTAATCTGGTGGGGACATGGAGAACCTTTGCGTCTAGCTCAGGGATTATAAACGCACCAATCAGCGCCCTGTTAAAACAGACCACTCAGCTCTACCAATCAGCAGGATGTGGGTGAAGCCAGATAAGAGAATAAAAGCAGGCTGCCCGAGGCAGCAGTGGCAAACTGCTCGGGTCCCCTTCCACACTGTGGAAGTGTAGTTCTTTCGCTCTTTGCAATAAATCTTGCTACCGCTCACTCTTTGGGTCCACACTGCCTTTATGAGCTGTAACACTCACCGCGAAGGTCTGCAGCTTCACTCCTGAAGCCCGTGAGACCACGAGCCCACCAGGAGGAAGGAACAACTCCAGACACGCCGCCTTAAGAGCTGTAACACTCACTGCGAAGGTCTGCAGCTTCACTGCTGAACCAGCGAGACCGCGAACCCACCAGAAGGAAGAAACTCTGAACACATCTGAACATCAGAAGGAACAAACTCCGGACACGCCACCTTTAAGAACTGTAACACTCACCGCGAGGGTCCGCGGCTTCATTCTTGAAGTCAGTGAGACAAAGAACCCACCAATTCCAGACACAGTTCGATGATTTCTCACAGGTCCCTGGGTCTATTATTACTTTTCCCTAAGTTTTACCCCTTTATTCTTCAAATTGGGTAATTTTGAGATGGATTGAGCAGAGATCATGGTGGATAGGAGGCAGGACTAGATTGCAGCTCCATACATAGCAGCGGGCAGAGGCTCACACTGTGAATTTTAGCTCCAGATCAACTGCAAGAACAAACCAGCAATCCTGAGAGGACCCACAGACCCTCTGAAGGAAGTGGACCGCTCTTACAGGACCCAGGAGAGCCCCCACCCCCAAAACTGTGAGTGCCCCAACTGCAGAAGTGGGAAAGGGAGACCTTCCTCCTCTCCCGAACACACCCCTCACTGGAGAAGATGAAGGTCTCTTTGCGGGAGACGTTTCTGACTTTACCTGGAGCTGAGTCAATTTGGAGAGCCAGCGAAATACAGGGGTAGAGGAAGCAGCAGAAAGGCCCTGGGTGCTCACCGCATCCCCTAGCAGGCCATCTCTGCCTGGCACCACGGGGAAACAGGAGAGGAACAGGGGGTAAAATTACACAGGGAGAAGTAAATCTCTAGCTGAACTTTGTAAAAATTTGAACAGGGTGAGAAGCCTGCTGGACAGAACTCAGGGGAGGACTCCACAGGTGATGGAAGAACCAAGTCCTTTTCTTTCAAAACTGGGAGGCGGATAGCCTGGGACAGGTTTTCAAGCCGGTGGTATAGTTCTCCACCTGGAAACCGTCTAGGGGCTGTTGGCGGGGGACAGTGGGAATGAGACCAGCCCTTTGGTTTGTGTGGGAGCCAGATGAGGCCTATGACTGCCAGCTTTCCCCCATTTCCTTGACAACCTGCCTGACTCAGCAGAGGCAGACATAATCCTTTTAGGTACACAACTCCAGTGACCTGGGAATCTCACCCTCATCCCCCACTGAATCTGCAGCAAGACCCACCAAAGGAGAGTCTGAGATCAGACATGCCTAGCCCCGCCCCCACCTGATGGTTCTTTCCTACCCACCCTGGTAGCAGAAGACAAAGGGCATATAATCTTGAGAGTTCTAGGGCCCTGCCCACCGCTGGTTCCTCCCCATTATACCACAGCTGATGCCCTCTGGAAAGCGCCACCTCCTGGCAGTAGGACAACCAGCACAAAAACAGAACGTTAAACCACCAAAGCTAAGAACCCCATGTAGTTCATTGCATTCCCTGCCACCTCCACTGGAACAGGCACTGGTATCCACAGCTGAGAGGCTCATAGATGGTTCACATCACAGCACTCAGCGCAGACAACCCCCAGTACCAGCCCAGAGCCAAGTAGAGTCACTGGGCGGCTAGGCCCAGAAGAGACAACAATCACTGCAGTTTGGCTCACAGAAAGCCACATCCAAAGGAAAAGGGGGAGAGTACTACATCAGGGGAACATCCCATGGGACAAAAGAATCTGAGGAGCCTTCGGCCCTAGACCTCCCCTCTGACAGAGTCTGCCCAAATGAGAAAGAACCAGAAAAACAACCCTAGTAATATGACAAAACAAAGCTCTTCAACACCCCCCTAAAATCACACTAGTTCACCAGCAATGGATCCAAACCAAGGAGAAATCCCTGACTTACCTGAAAAAGAATTCAGGAGGTTAGTTAGTAAGCTAATCAGGGAGGGACAAGAGAAAGGCGAAGTCCAATGCAAGGAAATTCAAAATATGATACAAGAAGTAAAGGGAGAAATATTCAAGGAAATTGATAGCTTAAAGAAAAAACAATAAAAAATTCAGGAAACTTTTGACATGCTTTTAGAAATTTTAGATGCTCTGGAAAGTCTCAGCAATAGAATTGAACAAGTAGAAGAAAGAAATTCAGAGCTCGAGGACAAGGTCTTTGAATTAACCCAATTCAACAAAGACAAAGAAAAAAGAATAAGAAAATATAAACAAAGCCTCCAAGAAGTCTTGGATTATGTTAAACGACCAAACCTAAGAATAACTGGTATTCCTGAGGAAGAAGAGAATTCTAAAAGCTTGGAAAACATATTTGGGGGAATAATTGAGGAAAACTTCCACAGCCTTGCTAGAGACCTAAACATCCAAATACAAGAAGAACAAATAACACCCGGGAAATTCATTGCAAAAAGATCTTTGCCTGGGCATGTTGTTTGCAGGCTATCCAAAGTTAAGACAAAGGAAAGAATTTTAAGACCTGTGAGGCAAAAACACCAGGTAACCTATAAAGGAAAATCTATCAGATTAACAGCAGATTTCTCAGCAGAAACTCTAGAAGCTAGAAGGGATTGATGCCCTATCTTCAGCCTCCTCAAACAAAACAATTATCAGCCAGGAATTTTGTATCTAACAAAACTAAGCATCATGTATGAAGGAAATACACAGTCTTTTTCAGACAAACAAATGCTGAGAGAATTTGCTATTACCAGGCCACCGCCACAAGAACTGTTTCTAAATCTTAAAACAAACCCTGAAAACACATCAGAACAGAACCTCTTTAAAGGATAAATCACATAGGACCTATAAAACAAAAATACAAGTTAAAAGGCAAAAACAAAAACCAAACAAAAACAAAGGACACAGGCAACAAAGAGCACAATGAATGCAACAGTACCTCACATTTCAATACTAACATTGAATGTAAATGGGCTAAATGTTCCACTTAGAAAATACAGAGCTGCAAAATGGATAAGAACTCACCAACCAACTACCTGCTGCCTTCAGGAGACTCACGTAGCACCTGAGGACTCACATAAAGTGAAGAAGTGGAAAAAGGAATTTCATGCAAATGGACACCAAAAGTGAGCAGGGGTAGCTATTCTTATGTCAGACAAAGCAACTTTAAAGCAAAAGCTGTTAAATAAGACAAAGAGGAACACTATATAATGGTAAAAGACCTTGTCCAACAGGAAAATATCACATTTCTAAACATGTATGCACCTAACACTGGAGCTCCTAAATTTATAAAACAATTACTAATAGAACTAAGAAATGAGATAGACAGCAACACAATAATTGTGGAGGATTTCAATACTCCACTGACAGCACTAGATAAGTCATCAAGACAGAAAGTCAACAAAGAAACAATGGATTTAAACTATACTTTGGAACAAATGGGCTAAACAGATATATACAAAACATTTCATGCAACAACCACAGAATACACATTCTATTCAACAGCACATGAAACTTTCTCCAAGATAGACCGGCTCAATAAATTTAAGAAAATTGAAATGATATCAAGCACTCTCAGACCACAGTGAAATAAAACTGAAAATCAACTCCAAAAGCATGCAAATACATGGAAATTAAATAATCTGCTCCTGAATAAACATTGGGTCAAAAATGAAATCAAGATGGAAATTAAAAAATTCTTCCAACTGAAAGACAATAGTGACACAACCTATCAAAACCTCTGGGATACAGCTAAGGTGGTGCTAAGAGGAGAGTTTATATCCCAAATACCTACATCAAAAAGACTAAACGAGTACAAACTGACACTCTAACATCACACCTCAAGGAACTAAAGACACAAGAACAAACCAAACCCAAACCCAACAGGAGAAAGGAAATAACAATGACCAGAGCAGAACTAAATGAAACTGAAACAAAAAAAATACAAAAGATAAATGAAACAAAAAGCTGGTTCTTTGAAAAGATAAGTGAAATTGATAGACCACTGGCAAGATTAACCAAGAAAAGAAGAGAGAAAATCCAATAACCTTACTAAGAAATGAAACAGGAGATATTACAACTGACACCACTGAAATACAAAGATCATTCAACTATGAACACCTTTACAGAAACTAGAAAACCTAGAAGAGACGGATAAATTCCTGAAAAAATACAACCCTCCTAGCTTAAATCAGGAAACAGAAAATTAAAGAGAACAGAAAATTAAAGGGCATCCAAATCAGTAAAGAAGAAGTCAAACTGTCACTGTTTGCTGATGATATGATTGTTTATCTTGAAAACCCTAAGGACTCCTCCAGAAATCTCCTAGGACTGATAAAAGAATCAGCAAAGTTTCTGGGTCCGAGATTAATGTACACAAATCAGTAACTCTTCTATACACCAACAGTGACCAAGTGGAGAATCAAACCAAGAACTCAATCACTTTTATAACAGCTGCAAAAAAAATATTTAGAAATATACCTAACCAAGGAGTCAAAAGACCTCTTCAAGGAAAGCTACAAAACACTGCTGAAAGAAATCATAGATGACACAAACAAATGGAAAAGCATCTCATGCTCATGGATGGGTAGAATCAACATTTTGAAAGTGACTATACTGCCAAAAGCAATCTACAAACTCATTGCAATCCCCATCAAAATACCACCATCATTCTTCACAGAATTAGAAAAAAACAATTCTATAATTCACATGGAACCCAAAAAGAGCCTGCATAGCCAAAGTAAGAAAGACTAAACAAAAAGAAGAAAACCAGAGGCATCACACTAATTTCAAGCTATACTGTAAGACCATAGTCACCAAAACAGTGTGGTACTGGTACAAAAATAGGCACATAGACCAATGGAACTGAATAGAGAACCTAGAAATAAACCTAAATACTTACAGCCAACTGACCTTTGACAAAGCAAACAAAAACATAAAGTGGGGAAAGGACACCCCTTTCAACAAATGATGCTGGGATAATTGGCTAGCCACATGTAGGAGAATGAAACTGGACCCTCATTTCTTGTCTTATACAAAAATCAACTCAAGATGGATTAAGGACTTAAACCTAAGACCTGAAACTACAAAAATTCTAGAAGATAACATTGGAAAAACCCTTCTAGACGTTGGCTTAGGCAAGGATTTCATGACCAAGAACCCAAAAGCAAATGCAAGAAAAGCAAAGATAAATATCTGGGACCTGATTAAACTAAAGAGCTTTTTCACAGCAAAAGGAACAGTCAGCAGAGTAAACAGGCAACCCACAGAGTGGGAGAAAATCTTCATAATCCATACATCTGACGAAGGACTAATATCTAGAATCTACAACGAACTCAAATCAGTAAGAAGAAAAACAAACAATCCCATCAAAAAATGGGCTAAGGACATGAATAGACAATTCTCAAAAGAAGATATACAAATGGCCAACAAACATATGAAAAAGTGCTCGACATCACTAATAATCAGGGAAATATAAATCAAAACCACAATGTTTATACCACCTCACCCCTGCAAGAATGGCCATAATCAAAAAATCAAAAAACAGTAGATGTTGGCGTGGATGCGGTGAACAGGGGACACTTCTACACTGCTGGTGGGAATGTAAACTAGTACAGTCACTATGGAAAACAGTGTGGAGATTCCTTAAAGAACTAAAAGTAGAACTACCATTTGATCCAGCAACCTCACTACTGGGTATCTATCTGGAGGAAAAGAAGTCATTATTCGAAAAAGATACTTGCATATGCATGTTTATAGCAGCACAATTCACAGTTGCAAAATCATGGAACCAACCCAAATGTCCATCAATTAATGAGTGGAAAAAGAAACTGTGGTATATGATGGAATACTATGCAGCCATAAAAAATGAATGAATTAACAGCATTTGCGGTGACCTGGATGAGATTGGAGACTATTATTCTTTTTTTTCTGAGACAGAGTCCCGCTCTGTCGGCCAGACTGGAGTACAGTGGCACGATCTCGGCTCACTGCAACCTCTGCCTCCCAGGCTCAAGCAATTCTCTTGCCTCAGCCTCCCGAGTAGCTGGGATTACAAGCGTGTGCCTCCACGCCCGGCTAATTTTTGTATTTTTTTTTTTTTTTACTAGAGGTGGGGTTTCGCCATGTTAGCCAGGCTGGTCTCGAACTCCTGACCTCAGGTAATCCGCCCGCCTCAGCCTCCCAAAGTGCTGGGATTACAGGCGTGAGCCACTGAGCCTGGCTGAAGACTATTATTCTAAGTGAAGTAATTCAGAAATAAAAAACCAAACATCATATGTTCTCACTGATACCTGGGAGCTAAGCTATGAGGTCTCAAAGGCATAAGAATAACAAAATGGACTTTGGGGACTTGGGGGGAAGAGTGGGAGGGTGGTGAGGGATAGAAGACTACAAACGGTGCAGTGTATATTGCTTGGGTGATGGGTGCACAAAAATCTCACAAATCACCACTAAAGAACTTACTCGTGTAACAAATACTACCTGTACCCCCACAACTTATGGAAGAATTTAAAAAAAAAAAAAAGAATGACAGATTTATCTAATGGGAATAGAGGCTACAGGCTATACCTGGCTCTTATTTCAGCTGTTAAGCTAGGCTATGAGCGCTTTTAAAAGCAAGCTCCTTGGGGCATAGTGAGGTGTAGTTAATAGACAAGTGTGCGCACTGTGAAGTCATGCTGCTTTGGTTCTAATACCAGTTCCACCAATTATTAGCAGTGTGGCCAGAGGTATAGATATTGCTTAGCCTGTTTGTGCCTCAGTGGCATCATAGGGTAACAGAGATTATTATAGTCCCCACCCCATAGGGTTGCTCTGAGGTAATGATTTAATGGTCGTACCATTAGCATTATCTGGGAATCTGCTAGAAAAGAAAATTTCCAGGCTTCCTGAGTCAGAAACTGGAAGGCCCAGCATCAGTCTGTGTTTAATACACCCCCTAGACAATGTGACAATGCTGATTTGCATTAATGTTTGAGAACCATGGGCTTAACACATGGAAGTACTTAGCATAACACCTGGGACATAGGAAGTGCTCAGTAAGTGTCAGTAGCTTATTATTGCTGTTATTAGCAAGGGCACTCATCACTTCTAGAGTCTTGCGTGAGGAAGTTCAGCCCAGCTCCAGAAAAGAAAGGGTAGAGCGCCATTCTCATGTTCAAGTGACCATCTGGGTTCCCAAGGACTGGTCTGTCTTGTCTTGTTCACTGCAGAATTTCTACCCCCGACAGCAGTGCTCAGAACATAGTGTAGACTTGACTCACTGTGTGGAAATGACATCTCTTCTCACTCTGTCTCAGTGAGTAGAGTCTGGCTTTGAGAAGAGGAGGGGACTTCAACTCCTACTGGAAGCACCCCACATCTAGGGAGCATTCTTTGCTCACCTTGGACTTGTTTTCATACTCCCTTGTTAAGTAGATTGGGGTGTGTGGGGGTGAGTGGGTAGAGGGTTCCCAGGCCCCTGTGTTTATATTACAGTGTATTAATAAGAAAAGGACAATTCAAGAGAAAAGTGAAGAAAAGCCTTGTACATTACTTGAAAATGAATAACCAAGTGGCCAACAAACATGAAAAGGTGCTCAACATCATTAGTCTGTAGGAAAATGCATCTTAAAACCACAGTGGGATGCTACTACACATTCATCAGGAAGACCAAAGTAAAGGAGATGAAAAATACTGAGTGCTGAGGAGGATGTGGAGCAACTGAACTCTTCTATATAGCTACGGTGATAATACATTGATAAAGCCAGTTTGTTTGGAAATTTCTGCCAAAGTACATCCTATGGCCCAATATTTCTACTCATAGGTATAATACACCAATAGAAGTGTGTCAACATGATTCTCTGAAAGATAGGTGCTAGAATATTCATAGAAGCATTATATTTAATACCTCCAAACTGGAAACTACATGAATAAAGTTGTCTGCCAAGAGTAAAATAGATAAATCAAAAGTGGCATATTCACATAAAAGAATACTACACAGCAATGAGAATTAATGACCTGCCATTACACTCAACAACATAAAAGAATCTCATAATCTTGAGCCAAAGAAGCCAGACATGAGAGAATATGTATATACTGTCTGATTCCATTTAAATAAAGTTCAGTAGCAGACAAAAAAAAAAAAGCAAAAAACAAAAGACAAAAACAAATTGGGTAATTTTGATTGTTCTATCTTCAAGTTCACTGAGTATTTTTTCTTGCCATCTTTAATGTACTGCTAAGTTTACCCAGTCAAAAATTCATTTGATTAGTATACTGCTTAGTTCTAGATTTTTTTTGGTGTAAGTTTTATTTCTTTAAGTAGATTTCCTACCTGCTCACTCATGAAGATACAATTTCTTTAATTTTTTAAGCATATTTTCACTTAATTCTTCAAACATATTTATCATAAATGCTTTAATATCTTTAGTAAATCCAACATCTAGAGTTGAGTATGGGTCACACATTTTCATTTTTTTCTTCTCTGTCTCTTCAGTAATTTTTGATTGTATATTAAATTGCCAAATATACAATTAAGAAACTCAAGAATCTATTATCTTCTGCTGAAGACTGAATTTTTTTTCTAGTAGGCAGCTCACTTATTGATGGACCACCTTCACCCTGGGTAGACTTGGTTTTATGATTTATTTAGGGCGGATTCATGGAAAGTCCAGTCGTTTCCCCAGCCACTGTAACGTGGTGGCACTCAGCTTCCAAACTTTGTCTCCCCTCCCTTTGTCTCCCACTTCCTGATTTTTCAGGGATTGGTGTTGGGCTTTGTTACTGTAGTAGGCTTATGCCTTATTTTATGGTGTGGTCTCTATTCCTCAGGCTCAGATTTTCTGGTATCTTAGATGGATGTCTGGGATGTTAATGAGGCGTTAATGAGTTTCATCCTCTCTGGCTAGCCTGAAACTCCAATGCCCCCAACACTGCTGGAACCTCTCTTACCTTTGCTCTGATCTCAACTCTGTGACAGCTAGTAAGCCTCATCATATTGTCTATGCTACCCAAATGCAGCCGCATCCTCAGGCAAAGGCTTGTTGGAAACTCTCAAACAGGCTTCTGGGGGTCAGAGGGGGGTGTTTCCTGTACATCTAGGAACTGTGATTTCTTTCTTATCAGCTCAGTGGGATTGCCATGCTCTGCTTGGACTCTAGATCACTGTGTAGTGGTCAGGAAATTGTCCCCAAGCAGACGTCTGGGATAATCATGAGACTCACCTCATGAGTTTCCCTTCCCTATGGGTTCACAGAATTGTACTGCCTTTTAACCAGTGTCTGAAAACAATTACGTCATGTATTTTGGTAATTTTTGGTGAAAGGTCTAATCCAGGGCCAATTACTCCATAGAAGTCCTAGTATTTTTTTGTGTTAAACTTTCTTATTTTTTAAGGACCCTTTTAAATGCTGCCTCTTCTATGAAGTACTTCTTGATAACTGTAGCCAGAATTAATCTCTTTCTCCCTTCCATTTCTATGGCATTTTGTATTTCTTTTATCACAATGAGCCACGAATGGTATTCCTGCCCCTTGGACTGGTGCTTTGAAGGATGCCATCATTGTATTACACTTAAAACTGGTCTTTTCTGGAGTGACAGGATTAAGGAGAGACTATCAGAGTTTATGGGTCTGCTTTCAAGATCAGAGACCAGCACGACACTTTCCCACATACTGCACGTTTTTCTCCCCCACTAAAGGTAAGCTCCTTGAGAGAAAAGACTACACATTTTAGATCTTTGTTTCTGTGCCATTGTGCCTAGCGTAGTGCCTGACATGATGATGATGATGGCAACAGTGATATTACAATTACATCAAGCACTTATTGAGTACTTTCTATGTGCCAGGCGCTAGGCAAAAGCATTTTATTTAATGAACAAACATTTATGTGTCATTTACCCTGTGCCAAGCATTATTCTAAGCACTAATAAATATTGATCCATATACATGTATTATCTTATTTAAACCACACAAGAACCTTATGAAGATATCTGTTATTGTCTCCATTGTGTAGATAAGGAAACTGAGGCTTGGGATATTTGGGTAACTTTCCCAAATGCTCTCACATCCAATAGGTAACAGAGTAGAGCTAGAAAGAAATAATCAAATATTTGTTAAATTTCATAAAATTTACAGCTCTGCTTGGTAATATTTTATTCCACCTTAATGGGGAGTGTATTTTACAAAGACATAATGTGAACTCACCCTGCAGGGGTTAGTCTGGTAGCTCCAGCTGGCTGCATACCATATCCTGAACTAAGACATTAGTGCCAGGACTGAAAGTTTATGGAAAAGGAAGCCCTGTGGAGATTAATGGTCACCCTTCCACAAGCTTCCGTTTGATGGATGCTGAGTTGTCAGAGTGAGCAATGGCTGTGTGGCTGGACCCAGAATCACAAAGGCCCAATTCTTACTGATTGTTTGCAATCACTGCTTCCAAATTAGATTGTAGGCAAAACACCAGACTTTTTAAATCACCAGAGAAAATATTGTGTTTCTCCAAGAAGATGGATCACATAGTGAGCATGTAGTACTCACACTTTAATTCAGGTTTTATGGAGTTGTAAAATTCAGTAAGACATTTCAGTCTAATATATCAAGAAAAATCTCAATACAATATGTTTTTTCAAATATTTTTACCTTCTTCCTGGGGAAAAGAGTTGGGGAAAACTCCTGTGGTCAAAACAGACACTGCTGGGCTCCAAATTGAAGCAAGCTACCCACTGGAACATCTTTTACATAGCGTAAGGCCTTACCATTCCTCAACAGGGATAGATAAGAGCATTTTTGCACAGTAGAAGGAAGATATTTCCTTTTCATTATTATCATTTTTTCTAAATGCTAAACAATTTTGAGAGGAAGTCTGGCTGATTTCCAGGGCCCTAGAAAATGATTGCATTTGCTTCTTTTAAGTACCATTTCTGATGAGTTCAGCCAGTCCCAAGTCCCTACACTGTGGGGGATGCATCCTGGTGCTAAATTGATTCTGAAAGTACCAGAGACTCTGACAGCCCCTCTCCAGCATGTCCAGAATAGGCTAGTTGTAAGGCATTATACGATAATGATGCACTTCTTATACCCAAAATAAGAAGGCAACACATTCTTTATCCCTAATATTGTGACAAAAGTCAGAATGAGAGAGTGATGATGCTTGCACTCCGTTGCTGGTTCAAAGATCGACATTCATTTAAGGATGAAGAAATGTCATAGAAGACACTATTTAGAGAGTCAAATGCCTAGTTAATCTAGTATTTAGACACTCAGCTGAACTGTGAACAGTATTAAGGGGTCAGGATAGGTGATATAAGGTACAAGGCACCTTGGCAACTGCCTTCATGGTTGTCTTGTTTCCGTGTTACTTGAGATCTCCCGGTGATTTCAAACATCAAGTGACTGGATACTCCATTTGGGAATTATGCAATGAAGTTGGACATGAATGAGATTGAATAGCCTTCAACAGATTATTTTTATTATTAACTATCATGCATTTCCTGTGAATGTATTGGAGTAATATTTTAACTGAAGCTAAATATTTACTAAAGTATCTGGCAGTACAAATTCACCTTGATGCAGGATCAAATTTGGGAATCATTTATTTAATTTTTTTTAAAATAAAAGCTTAGTTTTTCTGTAAAAAAATTTTTAAAAAATTCTACACACCTACTTTTTGAGTTAAGGGAAAGTTCCTAGTCCATAAATAACTAGTAATAATTGTACTCCGAACTCATATTACGACCAACAAAATGATTCAAATGGAGAATAAAGTATCTCAAAAACCTAAGAGTGAAGAACTAGAAACCATTTTAAATATAATTTATAAAATGTTCTTCCCTTTAAAAAAGTACCAGGTTGTCTTTTTGGACTTAAAATCGTTGCTAGGTTATGATACCAAATGTGCTTCAATTCCTGTCTAAATCGGGAAGTATACAGCAGGTGTGACAGCATGACTAATGAGCACAGAATTGGGAGATTGGGTACTGATTCCAGAGGTGCCTCATACTAGTTGTGTGAATGGAGGAAGTGACATGGCCTTTCAGGGTCTCGATGCCTGTTCCTGTAAACAAAGGGGCTCCAGGCACTGCTTTATTTTATTTAATACTCACAATAATTTTATGGGATTACATTGGTCACATTTTACAGAACAGGGAACTGAAGCTTACAGAGTTCAAATGCTTTGTTCAAAATTAAGTTGTAGTTTTGCACCCATAAGCATAAAGAAAATTGGCTCTTGGTGTTGATTTCAGGCACCAAAAACCAAATGTACACAGGCTGAATGATCTAACACTGTCCTAGACACCCACATGTAAGAACAAATCTATCAGAGTCCAGCCAATTCTGATCGTTTCTACAGCCTTTGGGTGGTGTTTTGAAATAAAGTCTGTAACAGAAATTGCGTGGGGGAGGATTTCCAGTGAAACTGCTCCAAGGAATGCCTATGTGCAATGACTATAAATGCTGTTTGGCATCATTTAAATTGAATTGGGAATGTGCTGAATTGGGGACTGACTAAAATGTTAAACCACTTCACTTGAACTATGTTCAAGGACAGGGCTGAAAAAAAAATTGTAAAGCCAGCTGCAAAGGGGAAAGACATCAGGTTGCCTGCATCAGCTGATGGCAGCTTGCCCTGGTCTCAACTCAACTTGGCAGCTCTCCAGTCCCAATGGGCAGCTACAGTGAGGACAGGTGAAGGTCTGAATGGGCAGCCTCAGGAGACAAAGATCCTGCAAAGGTGGCAATTTATTGCTGTCAGCTGGAAATCACCACCAACCAGAGTAAATATTTCTTAGTAATGTCATCTTTTAGCAATTAATTACATTTGTGAACAATATTGAGACATGTGCCTTGTCACTCTGAACACCCTGCAAACTAAGACACAGCAACCCAGTTTTAATGGGTTCAGTCTGCAATGTCTGTGAAGACTCAGCTCAAGAAAAAAAGATGTAAGACTTTTGAGGTTTCCATGCACCTTGTAGTTTCATCTTGATTAATTCATTTATTCATTAATTCAACAAATATTTTCTGAATGCTCATTACATGTATATAACTCTTATAGATTCCTTGAGATACATCAGTGAACAAAACAAAGATCCCTGCTCTTATAGAAATGAAATTCCAGCAATCTACATAATTAAGTGGAAAGAGCACTAGTTTTGGAGCCAGACAGCTCTGGGCTCTAAAGTCAACTTCCCCACTTCTTACCTGCATGCCTTAATTTGGCTGACCTTCTCTTTTCTCATGGGTAAAATGTGGGCCACAATTCCAGCTCACAGAAATGCTGTGAGGTTTGAAACACATAATGGGGGAAGCAGTGCTTGGAACCTGAAAGGTTCTAAGTAAATACCACTTCTTTCTGCTTTATCCTGGCAGTGGTTTCCTTCCCAACACATGGCCATATTCCTTGCTGGAAACAGGCCAGCTACACACCATGGACTTTGTCCTGTGCCTGCTCTGACATCAAAATGCATCCACTCTATCCTTAGTCATATTTCTAGCTACAATTGACCAGAATCTAGCAAAAATCAAGGGCGAAGGCTTTGGACTGAATGTATGGGCACCCCTGCCTCCTCTCACCCCACTCATATGTTGAAGCTCTAATCCCCACTGTACTGGTATTAGAAGGTGGGGCCTTTGGGAGGTAATTAGTTTTAGATGAACTCATGAAGGTGGGTCCACCATGCTGGGATTTTCCACTTATAAAAAGAAGAAGATACCAGAGCCCTTCTCTTTAGCCATATGAGGATAATGGCTAAAAGGCTAAAAGGTTATGTGGATAACTAGGAAGAGGGCTTTGCCAGACATCAAATCTGTCAGCACTTTGCTCCTGGGCTTTCCAACCTCCAGAACTGTGAGAGAGCAATGTCTGCTGTTTAAGCCAGTCAGTCTATGGGATCTTGTTAGGGTAGCCTGAGGTGACTAAGACAGTGAGCTTGACATCAACTGAAAAGAAAGGATGGCCATTGGTGCTGAGACATCCATTTTGATGGTTTGAGCACAGGGTTCCTCCCTGATAATCGCTTGGCAACTTCTTGGGAATCTCTGCAGCCATGTCTCACATCTGAAGGTATCTCTCAGTGGGTAGGAACTTAAAGCCCCAGAAGACCACAGACAATACTCTCAGGTCATGCCACACAAAGTGAAGTTTTTCCTTCCCAGAGTTCTCTGCTACTGTCAAACTTCCTTCTGTTTGATTATGTCGTGGTTTATTATTATGTTTTCTAATGGCACCCAAAATTCTAACTCACTTCTGGAATATCATTTTTTCATATAAGTTAAAACATCTACCCCTTTGTACCTTTCTAACACTCTGAGGCTTTGTTTCCATTTTTTTCCTTCTTTGAGTTTTTGTCTAAACTAAACAAAAACTAACAATGACCAAGAAATTTACTAATGACCTCCTGTGTAGCTTAATCAATAGAGGATTATACAGAATAAAATTTTTTTGAGAATTTCAGGTATCATTATGTAGCTTTCAGGTGATAGGAGTTTTTATTGTATTATATTTTTAACAATGTCTTACTGCTACAAATGCACTATATAATACATGCACATGACAGAAAACAGACAATACAAATAAGGACATAAAATAGTTTTTAATTCCAAGACCCTGTGATAAAGGTCATAGTCATTTTTGAGAAATACTATAGTTATTAAAGATTGGTAACCTACTTCCTTATCAATCTTTTTCACTTCCCCTTGTCATTAGATAGTTTATATAACATTTTAATAGCTTCACAATATGCTGTTATATGGATTACCATAATTTAACCAACCACTCTCTCCCAGCCTCATCTTTTAGACTTATTTCCACACATTTTTGGCCATCACTAACAACATCACAGTGAGAAGCTATGTAGCTACACCTTTGATCTCATCCATTTTATTTCTTTAGGATAACTTTCTAAAGGCAAAATGATGGGTCCAATAATACAGCCAAATTCTTATAGATTCACGTATTCATTTAACAATATCTTAAGCACCTAATAATTTTTAGGCAGCAATGGCCACCAGAGAAAAATCATGTGAAAAAGGCACACAGCCTCCACGTTTGCTACGCTTACAGTATCATGAGGTTGTCCCTTTGATTCTCCTGCCAACAGAGAATGAGCGTCGTCCTTCACCTGTGAGGGTATACCTACTATGAGTTGGCTCCTTCCAAAATGCCTTCAAAAATGTGAATTTTTACATTTGTTGTATTTCAAAATAAAAATGTTCCCAATATTTTAACATCATTTTTTGTAAAATGCCGTAATGAATTATGATCAGTGCATTGGGATGGATACTTGCAAAATGATGCCTTTTACCAAAGTTCTTGAAAGTGATCATGGACTCCTTAAAATCAATGAACTCGTGTTTTTATGTCTCAACTTCATACATGTTTTATGCTTAAAACCTCATGTGTTCCTTGTTTTAGCATCTATGGTGTCTGGAGCAACCCAGACTTGTTCTGTCTGAATGTCACTGCATTTGTGTCCAAACAAATTAGTGTCTGAAATGGCTCAAATGAAAATACATTCCCACATGGGCCAGGGGACTGGACAAGATGGCTTTGAAATGCCTTCTAGCCCTACTTTTTTCTCCTCCTTTGTCATTTTAAAAAGAAAAAAGGGTCTTCAAAAAGAACAAAATCTGTCAGAACTCAGATAAAAATTATTCAAAATCATTAACAAAGAAAGAAATCTATCTTCCCTCAACACAAAGAGATCTCAAAATGTCATACTCAAATCTACAACATGGAAAATCTGAACCATTGAAAATCATACATTAACTATGGTTATAAGATAGTCATCTCATCTCAGCAGCTAAAAATACACAAGGACAGTCAGAAATATTGCCATTTTTTTATAGCCAGTAAAATTGCTTCATTTTTACTCCACAAAGAAAAAGGCTCCCTTGAACACTGAACAATATTAAATTTGCTGTTAACTCCAGTTATGCCAGATTCTGTTTTAAGGTCAGTATTTCTCCCTGCCTCTGCCAAATTCATCCCTGGCCACAGTGCCTTTCACTGCACTAGCTCTGAGTCCTTTGACATTCTTGGGTAACTCCAGCTCACTATCCTAAGATCTAGGTCTTTTTTTCTCACCTCCATTCTCGCACAGATCCTAAACACCCTTTAATACCCATCCATGCTTATTTAAAGGTGCCAAGAGTACATGATTGAGTTCATGGCAGTGTCCTGAATATGGCTTTTGTGGTGAGAGAATAGAGAACAACATATTTTCCTGATGCTTTCAAGTAAGGCTCTGGGCAAAAGATTTGACCTTGGGAAGAAGAGGTGTGAAGTCAGTAGCCTCAGCATCAGAAGTGATAATAGTGAGACGGGGGAAGTACTATGCCAAAGGATCATTTACTTTAGAAAAATGACACAAACCTGCAGAGCAGCCACTAAAATATGTTCTCAGCTTAGGAGCCTTATATTGTGGGGAACTATAAACATTTATTTTCCTAAAACCCCTAAATCACTTTTAATTAAATTAGAGCCAATGTCCTTCAAAATACTCCTGAGGTGATGTTCTCCCATGAGGTTGCCTAAATTTGAACCAGTATGTTGTATACATGAATGAGGTTAAAAACTTCCTAGGGACCTTGCGGAAATGCAGAATCTCCGGCCCTACTTATCCATCAACTTCATTCAGGAGGTCTGGGCTGGGGCCTAGGTAATTCTGATGCAGGTGCTCTCTAGAGATAAAATGTCTGGGCCTGGTGCATGATTTCAGACACTTTACAGAGAAAGTTAGACTTACATTTGGTGAAATGTGAGGGTTTGGAAATCATGTAGGATTTTAGCATAACGATCCTTAAGTCATGTGGTTAGGTGAGTGCTCAGGCAAAACAAGGGTAATAAACCTCCATATTCTATGACCAGATTTTTTTGCAGGGGAGCATCTCATCACGCAGAAAGGGACAGTTTTGGTTCTGAGCTAACCGAACGTCTCAGACAATTGAAAATATACAAATCTCTAGTAGGTTAAATATGACAGGAGCAAGTGTGTGGGTAATGAATTACAGGTATTAAAAGATTTTGGTGCTTAGCATGAATGCTTGCTTACTTAGAATTCTTGTTACAAAAGAGAGTCTGAGGGCGGATAGATAACACATGTGAATTAAAGTGTAAAGAAATTGCTTCGTTTCTGGGTCGTCTTGCCCTTTCTGAGCCCTTTTGAGGCTTCCATCACCTATAGGATAAAATCCAGACTCCCCAGTCTCACATGTCAAAGCATTATCAATCAGACCCCATTTACTTACCCAGGACCCTACCGGCCCCAACACCCCAAGGACCTTTCTACTGCTCTGTGCTATAGCCCCATCCACCGTAAGAAGTCTCCCAAACCTATTCTCCTGGAGAACACACCTTGACCTCTTGGGCCCCTCATCCACTCTGTACTCCCACCTGAACCCTGTTCCATAGCAACCATCATTATCATTTCTCAGACCTCAGTTCTAGAGCTACCTCCTCTTTGAACCCTTTCCTGATCCTCTCGGCCACCCCCACTGACTATCTGAGTTTTCACTAATAACCCCACAGCAACCTAAACCCACTCTATATTGATTTCCAGGGCACATGGCTGCATTTATTTGTTTACTGGTCAGTCGCTCCTTATTAGATGACTACCCCTCCTGGGCAGAAGACAACTCACATGGGTGGTGGCATCACAAGGCCTTGGATTTGGGCAAATATTGACTAAATAGCTGATAAATTTATTTTTTATTTTTTTGAGATGGAGTCTCGTTCCGTCGCCCAGGCTGGAGTGCAGTTGGCGCCATCTCGGCTCACTGCAAGCTCCGCCTCCCAGGTTCACGCCATCCTCCTGCCTCAGCCTCCCTAGAAGCTGGGACTACAGGAGCCCACCACCACCCCCGGCTAATTTTTTGTATTTTTAGTAGAGACGGGGTTTCACCGTGTTAGCCAGGATGGTCTCCACCTCCTGACCTCGTGATCCGCCGGCCTCAGCCTCCCAAAGTGCTGGGATTACAGGCGTGAGCCACCGTGCCCAGCCATAAATATTTTTAATGTGAAATATCAAATCATTAAGTTGCTTGTGTGGACTGAAGAACAGAATCGTCATAGCGCTAACATCTTAAACCTTGTCCCTTTTTCCGATAATTTTCTCTGGAATGAGGAAGGATTGTGTGAAGAAAGTCCCTGTTTACCAGAGCAATCTATGGCTTTCCCAGTTTTAGTGCAGGTTCTTAGGATGGGTTCCCTCTGACCTCCAATCACTGTGCTCAGCATCAGATCACCAGCCACCACGTGCTCTCAGATGCTGGGGCTTGGGAGGTACAGATGGGTTAGATGAATGCCTGTATCATTTGTTTTTCATGACTTTATTCTTGAAATAAAATAACTTCAGAATTATTCATTGTAACAGTGCAACATTTAAAATTCTGGGGGGTTTTTGTGTGTATTTGGTAATTCATATCAATTTATTGAAGACTTGAATATACCACCCCACCTCTCCCAGCAAACCAAATGGGATTACTCAGTTACCCCAGATTGATTTCCATTCTGTTTTACAAATCAGCTTTTTCATTGCTATTCAGAAATGAAAGGACTAGCTTTGCCCCTGCTGTCACAAAACCCCCCTCAGAGCAGCTTCTAACATGGTCTGGCTGGTCCCCAGGAGATTGGTTAGATACAGTGGAATTGTCAACACTTTTAATAGCCCAAACTCAACATCCTACTGTATTTTTACCTCTAAGAAACTCTAGGGTAAAGGCTAGGAAAGCTAAAGACAAACCAAAAGCACCCTATTATTTTATGAAGATGGATTTCATTCCCTCATTTCTATTCATCCATTTAAATATTGATCGAGGCCCTCTCTGTGTCAAGGGTTGTGCTGAATCTTGCACATGGAGCTGACTGTCTTCAGTCTAACGGGGAGACACACGAGCAAATGGTTATAGGGCTGTGCAGGGTTCTGAGCTCTGAAGAGAGTGTGGCATTGGGCAACGTGGGGACAAAACAGAGAGCAAGAAACTTCGCATGGGGAGGTAAGAATGGCCTCCCGGTAGTAGAAGTGTGCCAGGCCAGAAGGCACCCCGGTGGGTGAGCAGGAGGAAACAGCTGCTAATCTTAGTTGAATCCCCCAACTCAGTCAGTCTGGCCACAGCCGAGGGTACAGATGTGAAAGCAGAGACTGGTGGCTCTAAAATGAGGGCAAGCCCCAGATCTGAAAGGCCTTGCCTGCCAGGTAAATGATGACCCCTGGGAGATGGCTTTGCTGTAGACTTCTACTTATAATGTGGCTTATCTCCACATGACCACACATATGCATATAATAGACGTCGCATTAGGGCAGGTGGGTAATAAAAATAATGAGACTGCAATGATGCTATTGTGTATTTAAACTAGTCCCATATCAAATCAACGGATTTGATTATTATTTTGTGTAACCACTAATGTGTTCCTGCCACATGTCTTAGAGGAAGGGCACCCCAGAGGTACCCCAAATGCTATGGTTTCCCCAGGCTTTCCTTTCAGCTTAGCTAGAACAGGTGAACATGCTTCTAATTACCAGAGACATCTTTGTTCCCTCTACAAAGACAAACTTCTTTTAGCTCTTTGTGCTGTCATCCCACTCTATTAGACATTTTCTGTGGGGTGTGGATTTTGCCGTGATGGGTTTCTTTAACGGGCCTTGCTATTGCTTTTTATCTGAAAGAAACGGCTGCAAGAATTCAATGGATTATTTATTAAACAGCCCGTCCTGCTTTGAGAGACTTTTATTTTCTTTTGAGTGTTTAATAATGATTCTCCTCTTGGATGCTCTCTGCGTAAAAGAAGTTAAACTATTGAAGAAATTATTTAACTATTTTAAAACTAATACACTTTAGAATTCTGATTTGAGATAAAGTAGATTTTTATTAACAAAGGGTAAATCTCATTTTTCCCAAGTTTTCCTACTGGGAGGACAAAACCAAGAGACAGATATAGAGGGTGGGACTCAGGTGATCACAGCCCAAGGCGAAATTAATACAGGGCTCAATGTCCTGTTCGTGAAACCCAGAAGACTTCCTTGCCTTCTGGCCCTGATAAGAAACCAGAAGGCATATATGTAAAAAGAATATCCCTCATATATGACTTTTGAACAGATTTTTGTATAAATGCACAGATATGTACCAATTGTTTATTCATAATATTAGCTAACAATCACTGAGTATGGGGACGGTGTGAAAGATCTCACAGGTGACGTTGCCTTTTCCTCTAAATAGCTCCATGGAGCAGGTATAATTATTTTTCTTGTTTTATACATGATCAATAATAAAACAAATAACAAAAATAAACAAGAGGGGTTTAGTAATTTGTTCACAGTTAAACTTCAGCTAGTAAGTGTGAGTATCCACACCCAAATACTAGTCCATCTTCAAAGTACACACTTTTAACAATTTATTGTGGTCTTCTGATATTTGTATTACCTTCTTTGCAAAAACTATAAGAATTCCATTGCTCATCCTCAGTCCCAAAAGCCCTGAGAGAAAAAAGGCTTTTTAAAAAGACAGTAGAAACGAGTTTATTTAATGCAAGACTTGGGTTCCTAGCAACATCATGATGAAAACTGTATATTTATTACAAGACAGCACAAAGCACTGATATAGAATTCCAGCACTAAAATAATAATGTGTGGTCATTGTTAGGGCTAGAAATTATATTTATAGTTATGATTTTATAGTATTTGAAATTATAACATTTGCTATAAAATCAGCTCTCTTTCAGGACACTGTTGCAAGTAACTGTTTCTATCATTTCACAAATATGGAGAAAAACAGGAAGAAGTTTAGGAAGAAGCCACCTAGGAAATTACAGAGCTCGTTGAGAATTATAGCTTTTGTAAAAAGAAAGAAAAGAGAGTCAGTTCATTGTAATTTTTCAATACTGAACACATAAGTTGGTTGTTTCCAGAAATAGGGCGCTTGTCTTTCTTAAGCTAAATACTTTCAACATCTGGATTGAAATGGGCAAAGCTTTTAATTATCTTGTAATTCAACATCTGGATGCAATATTTTTTAAAAAAGAGGATGCTATTCAGGGAAAGACAGGTTGCAAACACATTTCTTTATGTCATTTTCTTTTACTTTTTTTCCCCTCAGCTTTATTGAAGTATAACTGACAAATAAAAATTCTATATATTCAAGGCGTACAACATCATGATTTAATGTATGCATTCATCCTGTAATCACCACAATCAAATTAACGAACATACTCTTCACCACACATTGTTGCCTTTGTGTGTGTGTGTGTGTGTGTGTGTGTGTATGTGTGTGTGAATGTGGTAAGGACACAAGATCAACGTTCTTAGCAAATTTTTTTTTTTTTTTCTCTGAGGCGGAGTCTCGCTCTGTCACTCAGGCTGGAGTGCAGTGGCGCCATCTCGGCTCACTGCAAGCTCCGCCTCCCGGGTTCTCGCCATTCTCCTGCCTCAGCCTTCCGAGTAGCTGGGACTATAGGTGCCCGCCACCACGCCAGGCTAATTTTTTGTATTTTTAGTAGAGATGGGGTTTCACCGTGTTAGCCAGGATGGTCTCGATCTTCTGACCTCGTGATCCGCCCGCCTCGGCCTCCCAAAGTGCTAGGATTACAGGCGTGAGCCACCGCGCCCGGCAGCAAATTTTAAGTAAGTAATAGATTAATATAAACCATAGTCACTGTGCTATATGTTAAATGCCCAGAACTTATTTATCTCATAACTGAAAGTTTGTGCTCTTTGATTAACGTCTCTTTTCCCACATGCTGCAACTCCTGGCAACCACCATTAATCTCTCTGCTTCTATGAGTTTGGGTTTTTTAGATGCCACATGTAAGTGATATCATGCAATATTTGTGTTTCTATGTCTGGCTTATTTCACTAAGCATAATGTCTTCCAGATTCATCTATGTTGTTGCAAATAGCAGGATTTTCTTCTTCTTTTATGGCTGAATAATTCTATTGTGTATATAGAGCAAAGTTTCTTTATCCACTGATTCATTGATGGACACCTAGGTTATTTACGTATCTTGACTCTTATGAATAATGCTGCAATGAACATGGGGCTTGCAGATATCTCTTTAAGATACTGTTTTCATTTCCTTTGTCTATATTCCCAAAAGTGGGATTGTTGGATAACATGGTAGTTCTATCTTTAATTTTTTGAGGAACTTCCATACTGTACACTGTTGGTGGGAATGTAAAATTTTATGAAATATTATTTTTAAAGTTTTCATAATGCCTATGTCAATTTACATTCCCACCAACAGTGTAGAAGGGTTTCCTTTTCTCCACATCCTTGCCAACACTTACTATCTTTTGACTTAGTATAAGAATGGTAATAGCCATTCTAACAGGAGTGAGATGACATCTCATTGTGGTTGTGATTTGCATTTCCCTGATGATTAGTGATATTGAGTCCTTTTTCTTATACCTTTTGGCCGTTCATATGTCTTCTTTTGAGAAATGTTTATTCAGGTCCTTTGCCCATTTTTTTTAATTGAGTCATTTATTTTTATTGCTACTGAGTTTTGGTTCCTAATATGGTTTGGATATTAACCCTTTATTATATGTATGGTTTGCAAATATGTGACATGCAAATATGATGTCATTTTCTTTTAATCTCCTTATCATCATCAGGTATCTACTTTAGGTGGTAGGAATAATACCAAAATCATTTCAGTTACAATCCTGTGCTATCAGCCCACTTCTGCTTTACTCTAGCTGATGATCCAGTGTTTATTAGACCACAAATAGAAGCTGGGTTAGACATGTCATTGCTATATACATAAATTCTTACCTTTATCAGGACTCTCTTGTTGCCCCTTGAAAATACAGGCACTCTCCTGCTTCAGGGTCTTTGCACTTGCTGTTACCTCTCCCTGAAATCTCTCATCCCAGATACTTGCATAACTCCCTGCCTCATCACTTTCAGGCATCTTATTAAAATTGTAACCCCCAGCACTTGATATTTATTCTTCTATGGTTTATTTATCTCCACAGCACTTATATACCTTTGGCATATTTTATGTTTTGTTAATTTGTTCTTTATCATTTTTTCTCATTAAATGTAAGCTTCATGAACATAGAAGTTTTATTGGTTTTATTAATCACTGTATTCCAGCATCTGGAACTGTGCCTGGCACATAGTAAGGGTTTGGTCAAAGTTCATTAAATATATTATAAATAAATATGTATTATCAATAGAAAACCCTAATGACATATATACTCATAAGAAGTGTTTTCTGTGGAGGCAGGCACTGAGTTTTGTCTCTCTCAGTGTCCCCAGTCTCCTGGAGAGGGCCTGTTACATCATAGACATTCAATGTATATTTATGGATTGAATGGATAGGTCAGCGCTCATTAATAAAACTATTGAACACTGGGTGTGGTGGCTCATGCTTGTAATCCCAGCACTTTGGGAGGCTGAGGTGGGCAGATCACCTGAGGTCAGGAGTTGAGACCAGCCTGGCCAATGTGGTGAAACCCTGTCTCTACTAAAAATACAAAAATTAGCTGGGCATGGTGGCATGGTGGCACGTGCCTGTAATCCCAGCTACTCGAGAGGCTGAGACACAAGAATTGCTTGAACCCAGGAGGCGGAGGTTGCAGTGAGCCAAGATTGCGCCATTGCACTCCAGCCTGGGCGACAAGAGTGAGACTCTGTCTCAAAAAAAAAAAAAAAAAAGAAATACAATAAAATAAAACTATTAGGAAAATAGGTTTTTAAAGAGAAGAGAGGAAAGGAAGAAAGACAGAAAGAATGAGAGGGAAAAAGTATTGATATTTCAGAGCTCACTCCCATTTCACATTGATTTTACAGAGTTTACATGTAACTTATTATGTTAAAGCTACAATAAAATTTGCAGTTCCTCCCCAAAAGAAGAGTAAATTGTGAATAAAGGTAGTTTATCATGAAAAGTCATATCGACTCCCCATCAGCTCCCTTTCTAGTTTGTTGTCGGTTACTCTGCAGTGAAAGAATGCATTTGATGCTGTGTCTCTTAAGTCCTGGCTGTATTAATCATATTCTCCTCTTTGTAGACATATTGGATTCATATATAATCTAACAACCATTTACTCGGCAGAGAAAATAAGGTTACACTTGGCAAATTCGTTCTTTGTAGATCCAGAGACAAAACAGACACTTCAGTTCCACCACGAACCAATCATCACCTGGGAGGGAGCAAGAAGGGGGCAAAATGTAAGATGAATTTTAATCATGAGCAGGACATTGACATTTGAAGTTTCTGTTTATTACAAAAATGAGAAAGCTTCAAAGTTATTCTCTCTGCTGGTTGGGAACCAGAGCTAAACAGAGACAGGAAAATTGCCTTTGATTGAAGCATGTGGCCAGCAGCCACCAGCATGCTCCAAAAGCAGAAATAGACATTATAAGACACAGAGGATCATTGTGTGACCCAGAGTTCCCTTGAAATATTTTAGAGCACATTTTTGAACATGGAGAAATAATAACAACACTATAAAAGCTTGGAATTTAGGACTTGGGCTCTTCTATGTTTAAGTAACCAGAATTATTCAGGTTTTAAAACACAGTCTAAGGTAGAAAACACAATTACCTGAAAAACATAGTAAAATAAAGAATGGAAGGCAATTATGGTGGCAAACTATTAAGCTTAGCCAGCAAATAATTACTTGGAAGAAGAAATCTCGAGGTTAGTATAGGAAAAATGAAGAATTAAACCTATTCCAGACTGCAGGTAAGGTTTTTATGTTTCATTGTATTAACATGAAGGTAATCATATTAATCATTAGCATTACCTCTCAGTACATTTCTAAGAGATAAGACTACTTCCTGCTCCCTTGATGGCAAAGGTGTGCCTGTGATTTTCTTTGGCCAATAAAATGTTAGTGGAAGTGACATATGACAATTCCTAGGAAAAGATTGAAGAAGCATCATGCAATTCTGCCATCTTTCTTTTCCCTCTGCTACGTGACCAGCATATTCTAGATAGGGACTATTCTTCAGCCCAGGTCCCAAAATGAAAAGAACACATAGTAGAGTCATAGCCTATTCATGCAGACATAAACGTAAGTCAGCGAATCACACTGCTTTTGCAAGACACTAATTCTGGGAGTCTTTTGTTATTGCTGCACAACTTATTCTCAGCTGACCTATATTGATTTTAGATTTGTGAAGGGTATTGAGAAAACAGTCTGGTCTTCTCAGAGGAGTGATAACATAACTTAGAGAACATCAGAGAGTTCTAAGAATTCAGTTTCTCCAGGTGGAGTGCCACGTCAGAATTACCTAGGAGCTTGTGAAACATGCACATTTCCAGGCCTCACTCCAGAATTAGTGAACCTGAATCTTTGAAAGTAGGCATTGTGAAACTGCATTTTCAGAGGCTGCCCAGGTGACCCTGTACAACCCCAAATCTGAGAACTGCTGGCCAAAATGTTTACTTAAGATTAAAGTGCAAAAGCAGAGAGGCAGTGTACAAGAAATTAGAAAACTTATCTTTGGGAATCTTGAGATTGGATCCTGGCCCTGCCACTCAGATTTGGGATTCCAAGCTAGTTCTTCAGTTCCAGGACTCAAATTTCTCATTGCTTTGATTGTTTTGATAACAGCCATCCCAGGTACCTCCCAAAGCTGTTGTGATATAATAACTCAAAAGTGCTTTGTAAATTGAAAAATATTTTGCATATTAGGATATTGTCAGTCTTGCCAAGATAGGGGGTAGCTCAAGGTTTGAATTGAAATGGAAATCAGCAATGTGGCATAGGAAAGCAGGCTCAGTCTCATCAATGCTAATTTTATTTTGCTCTTTTAATCACCAGTAGGAAAATGTATTAGGGATTATTCACATCTAAGAGATGGATTAATATCTAGAGTCCATCAGGTTTAAGCTGCAGAACTGAGAAGCCAGAGGCATCCTTGTTATTTCAATTGAGAATCCTAAATACTTGGAGAAGCCAGGAAGGGAGAAACTGCCAAATTGTTATTAGACAACTTAATAAAAGATAGATACAAGCTCCTCGAATCTCCTTCTCATCCTTGCTAAGATGCCACATTTACTGAGTGCTCATCAGGTGCTAGACATTGGGCTAAGCAACTTAAGGCTTTGTAAATATCTCCAAAGATCGGTATTTTCAGCCCACTTTCACAGGTGAAGAACTTAAAGCTTAATGAAGTCGTTGCTTGTCAAAAGTGGCTTCTCTCATATTGAAACTCACCACTGAAACACCAAGGCATTCTACATAACTAGAATATCTAGAAACTATAGTATATTAAATTTAAAAACCTAACATCTCTCATATATGTCATCTTCTTACCCTACATTAAAAAAACCCTAAGTGCAGAAATGCATGGCTACTGCACAGTTGTCCCTAGATTTGAGTAGAAGAAGTGAAAAGAAATAGAAATCATTGTAGTCCTCTTGGCTTTTTATGTCATCAGGATCTAAACACAGCTCTAATGATGAAGGAAAAGAAAAACGCATCCATTGGTGCCAGCTTTTTATCCCCCTGCAATTATAACTCTTTTGCAGTGGGTATCCTGTTTCTTCTTAAAATGCTTTCCTTGATTTGCTCATCAATATAACCTGAAATACTTCCTTAATAAAAGCATGCCAAAGTAAAAGGTCCTTGTAATTAGGAGAGTAAAAATATGCTCATTTATATTTTAAAATTACAATGTATTCAATGTATTGAATTATGGTTAAGAATTTAAATATCTAATTACCCTTTATCCTATACCTAATATAGGACCAGGGAAAAAGAAGTGACTCTGATACTAAATCCCCCCCCCCATGCTAACATATTAGAATTTAATTAATAAAATATGACTCTTCTTTAATGATTTAATGGCCTTTAGTTTTTGGACCATCATCTTTCCACCAAAGTGCCTATGGCTCGAAATCTTTTAAAAGCCATATGAAACAAAGCTATAATAATATACGACATAGGCTACTGTGTAAAAAAAGCTGTATTGTCAGACGAATGGGATGCATAAAGAGAAGTAATAAGGCCAAGTATGAGCTTTATATGAGCTTTAAAATCAATCAAAAACCATAATAAATCATGGCAGTTTGAGTTCTTGAATTACTTAAAAATTCATTTAACGACTTTATTAGTCATTTTCTTAGGCATATTTCAAAACATGTGGAAATTGCCTTTCTTTCCCTTCCTCCTTCCCTCCCTCCCTCCCTCCCTGCCTGTCTTCCTTCCTTCCTTCCCTTCCTTCTTCCCTTCCCTCCCTCCCTCCCCCCTTCCTTTGTTCCTTCCTTCCTTCCTCCTGTCTTTCTTCCTTCTTTATCCCATCTCCTTTTGATTCTTCTTTATCTTCTTTCATCCTTCCTTTCATCTTTACCTGGAAAAAAAAAAACACTGAATTTTATCTTTGCCATAAAAACTCCCCCCACAAGTCCTGGTTTCTCCCATATTAAAAGTAACTCTCCCTGAATGACCCCCGGGCTTGTGATACTTTCTCTAGTTTACTACAACACCAAATAATGGACAATGATTTTGTTGAAATACCTAATGTACGCCCTACTTCGAGGAAAACATGTGTCTTTCAGCCTTATTTAACTTCGGTTAAGAGCTCTAGGATGTCTTGGACAGAGATTCATATGTTTGTTAATATTTACTGAAGCAATCCTTCTATTCCTATAACTGATATTAACAAGCTTAACAAATTGAATAATTAAAGACTATGGAAAGTCAACCTTAATGCAAGGCATAGCTTTTACCATTTTTCCTCATCTTTGAATAGAAAGTACTCATTTGATCATGGGGAAAAGGTAAAAATTTAAGCTAAGAAATGGGTAAGAAAAACCATTGTCAGGGTGCATGGTGGGGCTGGTATGGACCCAAAAGACCTGAGGAATAGAATTGTCCAATACTGATTTCCAGTGGGCCAGTGAAATCACTCTTTGTTCTCGTTCTCTGGACTATGTTAAAAGCTTATAGCTCATTTTATTAAAATAGTTCCAGTGAAGACACATAAATTACACTAAAGGAACTTCTTCAGGCTGAAGAAAAATTATATCAGAAGGAAGCTTGAAACTTCAGGAACAAAGAAATAGCAACAGAAATAGCAAATATCTGGTAAATATAAAATATTATTTTTTATCTTCATAAGTTCTTTAAAATAATATGTCTATGGAAAATTCAAAGTATAACATTGTCTAGTGGGGGTTTTGATACATGTAATGTATCTGGCATCCATAAGATAAGGGAAAAGAATAAAGGAACCTACAAGGTTGAAAGTCTTCCATAGTTTCCTTACAGTGGTAAAACATAAACCCTAAGTAGAACTGTGTAAGTTTAAGTGTATGTATTTAATTTCTGGAGAAAACACTAAAAGTAAAAATAATGGAAAGATATATAGTCAAAGAGCCAAACAAAAATTAATACAAAATTTACAAAATTTTACAATTTTAACAAAAAATTAATATAAAAATGTAATACAAAATGTCCAAAAATCCAAAGCAAGTCAGAAAGTATGGAACATAGAAACAAAAGGCAGATAGGAAACACAGAAACAAATAATAAAATGTTATACCTAAATCTAATCACATCAATAATTATATGAAATGTAAGTCATCATTGCTGAAAGAAATCATAGACAACACAAAGAAATGGAAAAAAAGATTCCATGCTCATGGATTGAAAGAATCAATACTGTTAAAATGGCCATACTACCCCAAACAATCTATAGATTCAAGGCTATTCCTATCAAACTACCAATGTCATTTTTCACAGAATAAGAAAAAGCTGTCCTAAAATTCATATAGAACCAAAAAGAGCCCAAATAGCTAAAGAAATCCTAACCAAAAAGAATAAAGCCAGAAGTATCACACTGCCTGACTTCAAACTATACTATAAGGCCACAGTAACCAAAATAGCATGATTCTGGGACAAAAACAGACACATGAACCAATGAAACAGAAGAGAGAACACAGAAATAAAGCCACACACCTACAACCATCTGATCTTTGACAAAGTTGACAAAAATAAGCAATGGGGAGAGGACTCCCTATTCAACAAATGGTGCTGATATAATTGGCTAGCCATATGCAGAAGAATGAAACTGGAATCCTTTCATTCACCACATAAAAAATTAAGATGGATTAAAAATTCAAATGTAAACTATAAAATCCTAGAAGAAAACCTAGAAAATTCCCATCAGTCTTGGCAAAGAATTTATGACCAAGTCCTCAAAAACAATTGCAACAAAACCCAAAATTGACAAGTGGAACCAAAGTAAACTAAAGAGCTCTGCACATCAAAAGAAACTATCAACAGATTAAATAGGCAGCCTCCAGAATAGAAGAAAATATTTATAATCTATGCATCCAACAGAGATCTAATATCTGGAATCTTTAAGGAGCTTAAACAATTGAACAAGCACAAAATAAATAACCCCATTAAAAATGGGCAAGGGACGTGAACAGGCACTTCTCAAAAGAAGATATCCAAGCAACCAAAAAATATGAAAAAATGTTCCACATCACTAATCAGCAGAAAAATGCAAATCAAAGCCACGAGATATCCTCTTACACAAGTCAGAATGGTTATTATTAAAAAGTAAAAAAATAACAGTCCTTTGTTAGATGTATAGATTGCGAAGATTTTTTCCCACTCTATGGGTTGTCTGTTTACTCTGCTAATTGTTTCTTTTGCTGTGCAGAAGCTTTTTAGCTTAACTAAGTTCCATCTATTTATCTTTGTTTTTGTTGCATTTGTTTTTGGGTTCTTGATCATGAAGTCTTTGCCTAAGATAATGTCTACAAGGGTTTTTCTGATGTTATCCTGTAGAATTTTTATGGATTCATGTCTTAGATTTAAGTCCTTGACCCATCTTGAGTTGATTTTCCTACAAGGTGAGATGAGGATCCATTTGCATTCTTCTACATGTGGCTTGCCAATTATCCCATCACCATTTGTTGAATAGGGTGTCCTTTTCCCACTTTATGCTTTTGTTTGCTTTGTTGAAGATCAGTTGGCTGTAAGTATTTGGGTTTACTTCTGTGTTCTCTATTCTGTTCCATTGGTCCATGTTCCTATTTTTATACCAGCACCACGCTATTTTGGTGACTATGGCCTTATAGTATAGTTTGAAGTCACATAATGAGATCCCTCCAGACTTGTTCTTTCTGCTTAGTTTTGCTTTGGCTATTTGGGCTCTTTTTGGTTCCATGTGAATTTTAGAATTTTTTTCTAATTCTGTGAAGAATAATGGTATTTTGATGGGAATTGCATTGAATTTGAAGATTGCTTTTGGCAGTATGGTCATTTTCACAATATTCATTTTACACATCCAGTTTGTGCCATCTATGATTTCTTTCAGCAGTGTTTTGTAGTTTTACTTGTAGAGGTCTTTCACCTCTCTGGTTAGGCATATTTCCAGGTATTTTATTTATTTGTTTATTTTTGCAGCTATTGTAAAACAGATTGAGTTCTTGATTTGATTTTCAGCTTGGTCGCTGTTAGTGTATAGCGGAGCTATTGATTTATGTACATTAATTTTGTATCCTGGAACATCACTGAATTCATCTATCAGTTCAAAGAGCTTTTTGGATGAGTCTTTAGGGCTTTCTAGGTATACAATTATATCATTGGCAAACAGCGACAGTTTGACTTCCTCTTTACTGATTTGGATGCCCTTTATTTCATTCGCTTGTCTGATTGCTCTGGCTAGGACTTATAGTACCATGTTGAATAGAAGTGGTGAGAGTGGGCATCATTGCCTTGTTCCAGCTCTCAGGTGGAATGCTTTTAACTTTTCCCCGTTCAGTATTATATTGGCTGTGGATTTGATGTAGAAGGCTTTTATTACATTAAAGTATGTCCCTTCTATGCTGATTTTGCTGAGGGTTTTAATCATAAAGGGATGCTGGATTTTCTTGAATGCCTTTTCTGCATCTTTTGAGATAATCATGTGATTTTTGTTTTTAATTCTGTTTATGTGGTGTATCATACTTATTGACTTTCATATGTTAAACCATCCCTGCATCCCTCTTATGAAATCCACTTGATCATAGTAGATTATCTTTTTGATATGCTGTTGGGTTCAGTTAGCTAGTATTTTATTCAGGATATTTGTTTATTTATCAGGGATATTGGTCTGTAGTTTTCCTTTTTTGTTATATCTTTTCCTGGTTTTGGTATTAGGGTGATACTGGCTTCATAAAATGATTTAGGGAGGATTCCCTCTTTCTCTATCTTATGGAATAGTGCCAATGGGATTGGTACAAATTCTATTTGAATGTCTGATAGAATTCAGCTGTGAATCCCTGATAGAATTCAGCTGTGAATCCATCAAACAAATCAGCAGGAAAAAACAAAAACAAACAATTCCATCAAAAAGTGGTAAGGACATGAGTAGACAATTCTCAAAAGAAGCTATACATATGGCCAACAAAGATGAAAAAATGCTCAGCATCACTAATGATCAGGGAAATCAAAATGAAAACCACAAAGTGATACCATCTTTCTTCTGCAAGCATGGCCATAATCAAAAAAGTAAAAAAATAATAGATGTTGGCATGGATGTGGTCAAAAGGGAACACTTTTACACTGTTGATGGGAATGTAAACTAGTACAACCACTATGGAAAACAGTGTGGAGATTCCTTAAAGAACTAAAAGTAGAACATTTGATCCAGCAATCCCACTGCTGTGTATCTATCCAGAGGAAAATAAGTCATTATACAGAAAAGACACTTGCATATTCATGTTTATAGGAGCACAATTCACAATTGCAAAAATATGGAACCTGCCCAAATGCCCATCAATCAGAGTAGATAAAGGAGTTGTGGGATATATATATATACACAATATATATATACACACATACGTGTATATATACATATATACACACATATACGTGTATATATACGTATATACACATATACGTGTATATATACATACGTATATACACATATACGTGTGTATATATACATACGTATATACACATATACGTATGTATATGTGTATATACGTATACACTTGTATATATGTATATACGTATACATATGTATATATATGTATATATATATAATGGAATACTGCTTAGCCATAGAAAGGAATGAAATAATGGCATTCACAGCAACCTGGATGGAATTGGAGACCATTATTCTAAGCGAAGTAACTCAGGAATGGAAAAACCAACATCATATGTTATCACTCATAAATGGGAATTAAGCTATGAGGATACAAAGGCATAAGAGCAAGACTCCGTCTCAAAAAAAAAAAATGACAGAATGGACTTTGGAGACTTGAGGGAAAGGGTGGGAGAGGGTGAAGGATAAAAGACTACACACTGGGAAGAGTGTTGAGTGATGGATGGACCGAAATCTCAGAAATCGCCACTAAATAACTTATTTATGTAACCAAACATCACCTGTTCCCCAAAAACCTATTGAAATAAAAAATAAATGAAAATCTTGGCGATATCTAAAAAAGAGTAAAATAATAACAGATGATGGCAAGGTTGCAGAGAAAGGGGAACATTTATACACTGTTAGTGGGAATGTAAATTTGTTCAGCCACTGTGGAAAGCAATTTGGAGATTTTACTACTTATATACCCCAAAGAAAAGCATTTATTCTGCCGAAGAGATACATGCACTTGTATGTTCATTACAGAACTATTCACAATATCAAAGACATAGAATCAACCTAGGTATCCATCAATGGTGGACTGGATGAAGAAAGTCTGGAACATATGCACTATGAAATACTACACAGCCATGAAAAAAGAATGAAAGCATGCTCTTTCCAGCAACATGGATGCAGCTAGAGGTCATTATCCTAAATGAATTAAGGCAGGAACAGAAAACCAAATACTGCCTGTTCTCACTTATAAGTGGGAGCTAAACATTGTGTATACATATACATAAAGATGAGAACAATAGACAATGGGGGCTACTAAAGGATAGAAAGAGGGAGGGGGACAAGAGCTGAAAAACAACTTATTGGGTGCTATGTTCACTACATGTGTGGTGGGATCATTCATACTCCAAACCTCAGCATCATACAATATACCCATGTAACAAACGTGCACATGTAGCCCATGAATCTGAAATAAAAGTTGAAATTATAAAACTGAATAAAATAGAAGTCATCTAAACATACCAATAAAGAATGAGGTTTTTGGGACAAATGAAAAAATAAAACCAAATGACCAGATGGATTTTTTTTTTTTTTTTTTACCGTGGATGATAGCCTGGATTAGCACTTAAAAATCAATAAATTAATTCATCATATCAACAAACAAAAGAAAAAGCTTATAGTCATAGAAACAGATACAGAACAAGCATTTGATAAGTTTTAACACTAAATTCTGATAAAAACTCTTAACAAACTAGGAATAGAGAGGCACTTCTTCAGTGTGATAAAGCGCATCTACCATACCTCATGGTGAAAGATTGAATAGTCTGTCCCTTACAATCAGGAACAAAGTGAGTGTGTCTTCTCTTACCTCTTCTATTTAACATTGTACTGGAAGTTGTAGTCAACACAAAAGGCAAGAAAAAGAACTAAAAAGCATTTTGAATATAAAGAAGAAAACAAAATTATCTGTATTCACAGATGGCATAAATGCATACTGAGATAATTCCAAGGAATCTACAAAACATCTCCTAGAACTCATTGTGAGTTTACAAGTTCACAAGATACAAGGTCAATATACAAAAATAAATTGTATATATATCATCAATGAACAACTGAAAAATTTAAAAAAGCTACCATTAACGAAAGTACCAGAATACATAATATACTTAGTTATATATCTAAAAAAAATAAGCTAGGCATAATACAGTGTGAAGAATATTATATATTGCCTGCTAATGTCATCCCTTTTTGTGGTCCCCTGCATTAACATATATGAAAGAATGGTTCCCTTAATTAAAGAAATCTCAGTTTCTAAGTTGTGGTATTCATTTCTCTCTATTTTTGGAAACACAAAGCCTAGAGATAAGGAACTTTAAATAAGCCAAATAGTTCTGGTAGAAAAAAAGAGTCCTGCCTAGAACAAGAAGACAGTTACATGATAATCAGGTAAAAAATGGTCCACTCCTGATAACACAGACTCTATTCTCTTTCTCCAGGGAGATGAAGTTTCTGGATATTCACACTAATAAAGTAAATGACACATGAGGCAGGGACTACTGAGATACCTGCCAGAGAGGAAGGTTCCTGCAGGAAGTGAGGTGGGAGCCAATGAGGGAGCTGCCTTTCTGCCTGGTGTATCAGCCAGACTCCAGTTCCTATTGGTGAGACTCCACCAAGCAGCAGTTGTTCCTGAGCCTCTTGGTGGGATTAAAGTGAGAGTAGCCTCTATGCATGTTTCTAGAGAGTATTGTACTGGAAACCAGGCCCTAAATTTGAGGGAACTGAATTTGAGCAAGTGATTTGGAGCCTGAAGGCCGACAGACCACTTGACATATACAATGAAGAAGGTTGATGTGGTATTGAGGAGAGGGGATGGTTTTAATTTAAAGAGATTATTGTTTACTGAGTTTCTACATATTCCACTGTTTTATGTGATAAACGGACATATTACAGAATGAAAGTTCTTAATTTACAGCACTATTTTTTTCTGCTGAAATATTTGGTGCGATTTTATTTTATTTTATTTTTTAACCATCTTACGGTATGATTGGCATACAAAAAAAAATCCCTGTAAATATTTAACGAATACAATATGGTGAGTTGGAGACAAATATACCCCCATGAAAACATCACAGTCTATGCCCTAAACACATTCATCACCTCCAAAGTTTTCTCCCCACCTTTATTTATTATTATTATTATTTTTGTGACAAGAACACTCAACATAAGATCCACCCTCTTAGCAAAATTTAAGTGACAATACAGTATTGTTAACTATAGGCACTATGCTGTATAGTGGATCTCTAGGACTTATTCTTGCATAAATGAAACTGCACTTTTGACTAATACCTCCAGTTTCCCGCCCCCATCCACCGAACACCTGGCAACCATCATTACACTCCCTGTTCCTATGAGTTTGACTATTTTAGATTCCTTATATAAGTGGTGTCATGTAGTGTTTGTCCTTCTGTGTTTGACTTATATCACTTAGGATAACAACCTCCAGGTTCATCCATATTGTTACAAATGGTAGGATTTTCTTCTTGGTAAAGGCTAAAGAATATCTCATTTTATGTAAATACCACATAGTTTTTATTCATTGTTCATTCATCAATGGACATTTATGTTGCTTTAATGCCTTGGCTATTATGAATAATACTGTAGTAAATATGAAAGTGAAGATATCTCTTTGAGATTCTGATTTCAATTCTTTTGGATGTATACCCTAAAGTGAAACTGCTGGGTCATATAGTAGTTCTATTTTCAATTTTTTCAGGAGCTTCCATAGTTTTCCACAACGGTTGCACCAATTTACATTTCTACCAACAGATTTATAGCCCTCTTCTAGCAGGAAAAGCTAACTCAGCCATGGAGGGTAAAGTATTCACTGCAGATATTCAGACTTTACAAATATGTGCAATTCCTTTAAAAATGACAGTTAGGAGAACGTAACAGAACCAAATTCATAAACTGGAGGCGATAGCACTAGTAGACTGCAGCTTGGCATGGCTGAAATTTCTTGAGGCAGTTGTGTGCCTGTGTCTGCCTCTGAAGCACCGCTTCATTCTGGGATCTTTTGACTTCTGTTCAGTCTCTCTAAGGGATCTTGAACCAGGTAAGAGAAGAGGTGGTTATGGAAGAGGAAGGAGGAGCAGTTTTGCACTGCCACAGATCAAATGAAACTTGAACCAATGCTACATAGTATCCAAAGTTGACTTCATGTACTTTCAAAAATTCTGTATGTTTATGGACACATTTCCACATACTCTCTCATGTGGTGTTTTTGGTGGTGGGTTCCCCTGTCATCTACATTTTCCCACTCATATTTTTGGGGATGGAACATGCCCGTTATTTATTTCTAAGTATGTGTCCACAATGTCACATCAGGCTGCCAACCTAGATTTCTGGACAGTCACAGTTGAATTGTATAGCAGGTGGTAATACAGTCTACCTCTGTTTGCTTTTCCATCTGAAAATTGATCACTGAAATTCCAAAACTCATTCTGAGCCACCCACATATAGACACCCTGCTAATGGACTATTTCACTGCTGCAGGTTATTGAAATGGAAAAGAGGGGGCTAAAATGAGATGCCTCATTTACAGAATATTTCTGTGATGGGATTTGTTAGTTAAGCCACTACAGAGGAATATAAATTTTCTCTAATGGGTTCCATTATGATTCCCTAGGTAAACAAAACACTTTTCAAACAACTTATGTAATTACACATAGGCTGGAGAGGATATTATTTCTGAGATCCACTATTTAGTAGGCAAAATACAACTCCAATTTATTCTAGATATAAATTTTACAAAGGCCCTGGCAGGGAAATTGATGAAAGGTCACCTATTTAATAAAGAGAAAAATAGCAGACAGAAAAGACTCTGAGATGGCTAAGTGTCCAGTCTATCTCCGCGTGTCATGTTGGGGATGGGAAGATGGGAACTTTGGACAAAGGAGGCGACCACATAGACAGACCAGTTCAGACTCTGCCCATGGGATATGGTTTGTGGTTGTTTCTGACCTTCAAAGCCTTGTTTCTTCCTCTGCTTCTCAGCCTAAAGCTTTTCGAATGCACTAAGATTTTGTTGATGTTGTTGGTTTAAGTAAGCAGTCCTGAGTGGATAACCAGTAGCAATGGACAGTCAGGAGTTTGTAAGTCAGGGCCTGCCTTACACTTTTTGAATCTAGACAAAAATAAAACCATTACTAATAGGACTACTTAATGGCTTCCTTGGTGGTACATGCCAAATATTTTATCGTCTTAGCTTTACATTCAACCCTGTCACTCCTAAAACAAAACTCATTATGTTGCAGTCTAAACATTTCTTTAGCATCCACCACAGGTAGGGCATTTTGGTAGGTTTTAACAACTGTGAAGTCGCTGCTTACATTCCAAATTCAGTGAGGCAGCAACTGCTAGAAAAAGTGCCTCTCTGTGGATTGCTTTAGGTGGCATAAACCCTTTACATGACTAAAGGTTTTTTTCTAAACATGAAGCCTGATGGATTCAATACTGGGACCATGGTTTGCCAGCTAAGGTGAGAGCTAGGGATGGATGGTTGCTATTGCCTTGCTTGTCGGACAGCACTTGGCTGTCCTCCAACCAGCTGGAGTCATGGCAGACTGTTCATTACATACACTTAATGGACCGGGAAATTAATAAAATGGAAAAATATCTATTGTTGCTCAGTCTCTGAGAGTACTTCACTTAAGCACAAAGAGGGAATATTTTATTGTTTTATAACATTTTTAATTACTCAAGCAACATATGTTTACTGTATAAAAATTAGAAAAGTACAGATAAGCAAAAAGAAGAAATTAAAAGTCATCTTTGATACCTAAAAATAGCCATTAGGAACAGTTTAGTATATTTCCTTTCAGACTTGTTTCTATGCATATATGTTAATTGTTTAGATTGGATTACACTGGTAATATTTTATAATATAATTTTTTGACTTAATTATATATCAATAAAGTCATCATCTGTCAATAAATACAACTTTGTAACATTTAAAAATCACTATGTGTTTAGTTACAGTAATTTATTTACCCCTGTTCATTTACTCAGATACTCTACTGGTAGACATTTGTAGTATTTCCAGTTTTAAATATTATAAGTTAAATATTACAAGTTTCAGTAAACATTATTGAAACTAATTTGCATGCACTTTAGTGATTATTTCTTTTTTTGAGGATTTAAAAAATTTGTATAAATTTAGGGAATAAAAGTGTGGTTTTGTTACACTGACATATTTCACAATGGTGAAGTCTGGGCTTTTAGTGTAACCATCACTCAAATAGTGTACATTGTACCCGTTAAATAATTTTTCATTTCTCACTCTCCTTCCACCCTCCCACTCTTATTGCTTAAATAAAATATTTCTTAAAATTCAATTGCTTTGTCAAAAGGTATGCATATTTTATGTATTTTGGTATATACTATCAAATTGTCTACTAGGAAATTTATATCAATTTATGCTCATAGTAACTTAGCATTGGGTAAGAGTCTGACTTTAAAAATCCTTGCCAATCTGACAGACTAAAACTAGTATTTCATAATTTAAATTTTTTTTTGTTACTGGTGACTTTTAGCAATACTTTTGTGTTTACTGGCCATTTTTGCTTGTTCTGTAAATTGACTGTTCATGCCCTTTGTCAGTTTTTAAAAATTGGTGTATTTATCTTTTTCTTATTGAAATGGTCATCATTTAGGGGGCTATCAATAACAGGGTGGTATTCTATGTAATTTTTTTTAGTAGTTGAGATAAATTATAAAGAGGAAACCATGTGAGCAGCCATCCCAGACTCATAGTTAATAAGCGCCAAAGATGCTTATATTAATACTTACATTTTAATAACTGCCATTTATTATGCAAAGTTTGCAAATAGTTCTGCACAGCTTACCATCCCAGAAAATATCTGGGCCTTCTCATCTGTTTTTTTCAGCACACATACTGTACTAATGTGAAGGAGAACTGTAGATCTTTTTTCTTCCTCTCCCATACAGGACTCTACTTTCAAGCTGAACAGGGGGATGAGTGTTGGACGCTGTCAGTGCTTCTCCCACCAAGATGCTTTTATCTTTTTGTTGTTGTTGCTGTTGGACAATAGCTCCCAATTCATTTTCACTCCCAACTCCAGCACCTGCTTCTTTGTGGAAGGGCTGCCCTTGTGCTGCCATAACCCACTTCCCCTGATGGGACCTTACGCCCACCTAGGGGAATCCCTTAATAAACAGTGACTGACTGCACAGCCCTCTTGTCCTGAGATGGACAACTCTGAGTTGTGACCTGTCTTGTCTTTGGAGCTCCTGTGGGACCAAGCAACAGTCATCCTCCATGGAACTTTGCTTGACATCACATCCTAGCTTGACATCTTTTCTTCACCACTCCCGCCCTCCCTCTCTCACTTTCATAAAAATCCTCATTGTTGGGTTTGCTTCTGGGGAATGTGCCCTAAGGCACATATATCAATATTTAGAACTGACAGTTTTATGTCAGGAAAGTTCCCTGCATGTTGTAAATGCTAATGGCTAATAATATCTACAGTAATTAACAATTTTGAGTTTATACTATGAACCTGACACTATGCTAAGCACTTTCTCATGTGACATTTCATCTCATCTACAAATTATAGAGAATATGATTTTTCTCTGATGAGGAAACTAAGCTTAATTTGTTTATGTTCACGTAGATTCTCAATGGCTGAAATGGAATTCAAACTCAAGGCTAGGAGACCCTAGAGCCCAAGCTCTATAACCACAATGCTATCTTGCCCCAGAAGAGGCTGAATGATTCCTGTGGCAGATTCAGAAACCGTTCTGGACACACAGCCTTCTTGGGACACCTGGGCATTCCTGGGCACATTCTAAGGTGCATGTGCACTGGCCAGCCAAGGCTGTGTTTGATCATTTTCACATCTCCACAAGTTCCCTTTAAAGGACTACCCTTGTTTTCAGCTCATCACATTTTGTAGAATAAAGAAAATATGATGAAACTTTCTGTTGGACAGAAAGTCAGGGAGGAAACATATTTGGATAGTATAGAATCTGGATCATCAGTGCTTTTCTTGTGTGTGTGTGTGTTGTTTTGTTTTGTTTTGTTTTGTTTTAATTTAGCAGCTGAAATCTTCCCATAAAGCAGTATGATTGTAAATTATGCCTAATTTTAGCTACATGATACTTTCATTTTGACTTTAGCCTACAGACTCAGACCACAAACAAAAACAAAAACAAAAACAAAACCAGATGCTGAGATTTAAGAGATGTCTGCACATTCCAACTAATTTCTTGTTAGCTAACTCAGGCTATTTATATGGCAACACTTACTTGTAGAGCGCCAGACTTAGGAAATAACGGCAGGATGCCCAGTTGAATTTTAATTTCCAATAAGCGATGAATTTTTTTTATGTCTCATGTTATTTTCCTCCATGCAACATTTGGAACATAATTATCTCAAAAAATTATTTGTTGTTTATCTGAAATTCAGATGTAACTGGGTGTCCTATACTTTACCTGGCAACCCAACTTACTTGGACCCCATCTCAAGCCTAATAGCAAGACTCTGTGATACAGTCCGCTGTTAGATCTTCACAGCTATGCTCATGTGCTCAAAGTGTCTCTGCTCAAGGCAGGTGGCTTGGTCACTGCAATAGAGCCTTTTACTGGATCCTCCAACTTCCAAGTTTGTGATACACAAACTGGTCTCACTCAGCTACCTCAATGATCATTCTAAAACATACATCAAATTATGCCACTCTTCTCTTTAAAACTCATTAGTGGATTTCTATCAAAATTTAAAGGAGGCATCCATGTAAACCCTCACCTGACCTGGCTCTGCCTTGCCTTACTGATTTCTCTGTCCCTTTCTCCATGACTCTCACTCCGGTTACAGTAACTTCTCATTGTTCTCAGAGCACGACAAGCTTGCCACTACCCATTTGCATCTGCTGTTCCTCCACCTGGAGTGCTTTTCCTCCAAAGTTTGTATGGCGTGCTCCCTCAATTTCTGTGGTCACTGCTCACATATCCCATCAGAGACTTCTTCCTTGACAACTCAGTCTAAGATAGCTGCCATCACTCCTCATTGGTTACTTTCTATCACACTCTTTTATTTTCTTTATAACATCTTTTACTATTCAAATTGTCTTGTTTGTTTATGTGCTTTAGTAAATGTATCACCTCCTTCCTGAATAAAGCAGACTTCATGAGGTTTCTGGCTGTATCTGCCTTACCCACCAACATATCTGCAGCATGTAGAGCAGGGCCTGGTAGAAGGTAGGATCTCTGTAGATATTTAAATGAATTAATCCTGGTAAGTAAAGATAATCATTCTTGAAAGCAAGTTTCTTAAGTTGGGCCCTTCAAATGCAGACACCAAGATGAGGATTTTCATGCATATAATTTTTTAAAGGAAGTTCTTCCAAGATGAACAAGTAAGGGAGGGAGAGACAGAAAGAAACTAAGCAAGGGGGAAATGCCAGGTTGAAACTCAGCCAAGCCTGATCTCCTTAGGAGATCGGGAGCAGTCTCTCCCTCCTGCACATACCTGGGCTCTCATCCTCCTGCAACAAGTCAGCCATGTGCTAGGGTTTACTCCAGGAGCATATTAACTCCCAGGATTTTAGGCTCTCAGTAGCTGGGTGAAGCAGTTCCAGTAACCAGCAGGTAGTTCTCTGATGAGGTTTCCAGAAGGCATGAGCTGCTAGGCGCAAACACTGCAGAAGCTGAGGAACGATTCCACCCAACCAGTAAGGGCATCTGAGGAGATCTGGGTGGCTCCAAAAGCATCCACTACAGCAGAACTAGGATGATATTCCAGAGACCTGGCCATAGCATATTGGCAGGGGAGTTTGGCTGCCTTCAGTGCAAAAATGTTCCTGACTGGCAGCAAGCTGTGGGATAGTTAGGACTCATGGGCAAGTCACAAAGTGAGAATGAGAGATTCCAGTCATACCAAGGGTTAAGGAAAAACCAAAAAACACCTAGTTTGGTTGTGTGACAGAATAAGTTGCTGTCTGTATGTACTTCTTGGGAGGAATAAGAGAAGAAGTGACTTCTATCCTCTCAGAGCCTTGATCTTCAATCAGGCAGTTGACAGCATAGGGGGAAGACAAATAGTTTCAGCAAAGCTTCTGGGAGCAAGTCTTTAAGTAAGAAAGAGTAGAAAGCAGTGCCCTCAAAGGTCTGGAAGTGCTGGTTGAGGAAATTCAGAGTATCTATTATTTTATAATGGAAGAGCTACAGGTCAAAGTCCAATAGCAATATCTACATGCTCCAAGGCAATTGTACAACAGCTCTAATGTGGGTTTAATCTTAAAAACTTCAGTGGAGTGTGTATATCACCTATCAGAAGGTAATAGCCAGACATAAAGAAGCCACACTGAAGAAGCTTGCAAGTATTCATTTAAAACACAGTGCTATGTTTTGTGATCACTGCTTTATAATTGCTGTAATCCATCAGTTTAATTTTGTCATAAAAAATTCTAAGAAATCATGACTAAGTCACAATTGATAAGATGTGAATAGTGTCCTGGACTATGCACTGAGTCCCACTAATTTATTGGTCCATTTATTTGAAATAGATTAAAATTAAAGATCCTTCTGAATGCTAGTTAAGTGGCTTTGGGCAGAATTCTGTTTAGTGCTCAAATGAGAAAATGATTTCTAGATGAAATTGAGTCTGAGGGGTTTTATCTGGAAATTTTTCTCTTCTCCATCTCCTATAATAGACATGAGGACCCAGGACATGCTCAGTAGTGCTTGCATTATGTAGACTGTGCATTACACATCCCCAGCTGTACCCAAGTAACTCTTACCCAGGCTACTCTAATTCTCAATGACAAGAATTTTTAATGCAGAAAGTCCTCTGGAAGAACATTTTCAGAATTAAATAGACTAATTTATTTGATTAAAAAAATCCACTCAATCAAAGAGGAACCAAAGTGTAGGCCACTCTCTTTGGAAATCAATTTCCTAAATTGTTTCCTAGTCAAAAACTTTGGTTCTTTATTTTTATCAGTTGTTACTATTTCATAAGGCCAGATGTTAAAAAAATTACTCTTGGTTTATGACAAAGTATTTCATATTATTTCATACTATTATAAAATATATATTTCTCCTGTAGTTGGATCCATGCATCTGGCTCTTTTAGAAGGGTGTCAAATCATAAAGATATATGTTTAAAAATGGGAGTTATGTTTTAAAATCAATAAAATTCACTGGTAAATACGTGAAGAGACCTTTAATCTTACCAGTAATTACAAAATAAATTAAAACAATAATGAGATGGCTTAAAGAGTCTTACAAAGCTAAGGCGGTCAAGGATGCAATGAGATAGGGCTTATCAATCTCTCACCCTCCTCTGGACGCATACCAGAATGCAAATTCCATAAGGTCAGGGGCCTCATCTGTTCAAGTGGCACTGTGAATTTGTACAAGCAATTTGGTAATAGGTAGTAAAATTAAAGACCAGCAAAAGCTACAAGCTAGCCACTCCACTTTTGGGTATATATCATAAAGAAATTCTTCCACATATGCACCAAGAGAACAGGATGAGGAACTATTCATTGGAAAATTGTTTGGTTCAGGAAAAAGCTGATAAAGACCCAAATGTTCTTCAGCAGAGGGCAGGAGAAGTTAGCTGTGGCATATTCATGATGCAGTAAAAGAGAAAAAATAGATGTATTTGATTACTATAAGTAGTAGATCTCAAAAACAATATTGGCTTTGAAAAACAAATGCTAAATACCATGTATATTGTATGGTTTATGTAAAATATATATTGTTAATTAACACATATATCCATAGTTAAAATATAAAATGACCCAGATGCATATGACATTTGTGATAGGGCTTAACTTCAGGTTGAAAGAGTGTACTTTCATAAATGTAGATGGTATAGCTTACTACACACCTAGGCTGTACAGTACAGCTGGTTATTTCTATGCTACAAACCTGTACAACATCTTACTGTTCTGAATACTGTAGCCAGTTGTGATACAATGGTATGTACTTGTGTATCTAAACATATTTAAATATAGAAAAAGTACACTAAAAATATGGCATTATAGTCTTATGGAACCACCATTATGTATGCCATCTGTTGTTAACTAAAATACTATGTGACACATGATTGTACCTAACATCTTAACTTAAAACAATCTAGTTTGGGTTAATACCAATTTAATTTTAATAGTATGTAAAAACTGCTCCCGTAAAGCTCTATACCCTTACCCTTTTTATGCTATTATTTTTTATATGAATTATATTATTATATATTATAAGCCCATTAAAACATCTTTATGATTTTTTTAAAGTGGTCTTTTTTTTCAATCAAATAGAATCAAAATACATTTATACCATCTTTTATATTTACCAATAATAGTTACCAGTGTTCTTTAGTTCTTCATGTGAATTTGAGTTGCTATCTAGTGTCCTTACATTTCATTCTGAAGGATTTCCTGTAGTATTTCTTGTAGAGGGAATTTGCTGTTGATGAATTCCCTGTTGTATCTTAATTTCTTGTTAATCTTTTGAAAAAAAATTACAGGGTATAGAATTCTCAGTTAGCTTCACCCCCCCCACACCCCTGCCAACACACACACACACAACACTTTAAATATATCATCCCACTGCCTTCTGGTCTCCATGGTTTTTGATGAGAATTTAGCTGTTAATTTTATTGAGGATCCTTTGTATGTAATGAGTCATTTCTCTCTCGTTGCCTTCAAAATTATTTGTTTTGTCTTTTGACAAATAGGCTATGATATAGTTAGGCATGGATCTCTTTGAGTTTATCCTACCTGGAGTTAGTTGAGCTTCTTAGCTAAGGAGATCAATATTTCCAGGCATTGTTTCATCAAGTATTTTTTTAAATTCCTCTTTCTCTTTTTCTTCTTCTTCTGTGACTCCCACCATGTATATGTTGTTACATTTAATGGTGTTCTAGAGTATCTGGGGCTCTGGCCATTTTTTAATTTTAAGAAAAATTAAAGGAAATGGATAGTTTCAATTGACCTATCTTTTCTTTCGACCTAATTTTTCTTAAAATTAAAGGAATGGGTAGTCTCAATTGACCTATCTTTCAGTTTGTTGATTATTTCTTCACCATGTTCAAAGATGCTGTTGAGTCACTCTAGTAAAATTTTTATTTTTTTTTTACTTTTCAAGTCCAGAATTTTAATTTAGTTATCTTTATAGTTTCTTTGTCAATATTCTCTATTTCATATGACATTGTTCTCATACTTTAGTTATGTAGACATTGTTTTCTTTAGTGCTTTGAATATACTTATAATTGTTTATTTAAAGACTTTGTCTAGGAAGTTCAATGTTAACAGCTTCTTTCAAGACAGGTTCTATTGACTCAATTTTTTCCTACGTATGGGCCACACTTTGCCATTTTTTCATGTCTTACATTTTTTGTTAAAACTCTACATTTTAAATAATAATATATGGCTGCTTTGAAAATCAGACTTTTTCCCTTCCCTGAGTTTGTTGTTGATATTTGTTGTTTTTATTTTCTGTTTGTTTGTTTGTTTATTGGCTTTCCTGTACTAATTTTGTAAACTTTGTAATCACCCTGTATAGCCACTGAAGTCTCTGATTTGCTAGCTTACTGCTAAAGATTTGACAGAGATTTCTTTATATGACTTGAACTAGTGAGTCTCCCACCCTCTTCTGGTAGGCTCTGTATTTGTTAGGAGGAACACCTTTAATGCTCCAACAGTTTACAATTCTGCCTTAGGCTTTACTTTCTGCTTGCATAGCACTTCAAGGTTACATACAGGTGAACTATTGGGACCTTCTCTGTTGTTTCCTAAACATTTGTACTACCCAGCATATGTGCATGGCCTTTTAGGTCCCCAGGAACATACTTCATCTTTTCAAAATGCACTATGAACATCTTATTTCCAGATTTTCTTTTATTTGGACAGATTTTCTTTGATCCAAATGATATTGCTGACTGAGACAGCAGTGGTGCTAAATAATTTCTACTGATTGTTTTTACAAACACCTTGGGGACAGGACTTTTCTTATTGAGCAAGCCCTGAGTAAGTTCAAATAAAGAAAAACACTATGAATAGGGGACTTTTTAATGAGCTGCCAGATAGGTCAAATAGTGACAATCTTTGTAAACGGGGCTTTTGGAGAGCTCCAAAACCATTTTTCTCCCTCCAGTGGCTGCTACAATACTGTTTTTTTTAGCATCTGTGGTTGTGAGACTGCTAGTTTTCAAGTTTACCATAGATCTCAGGAGAAGGAGATAGGAATAGTGCTAGTTAAAATTCCACAAAATTTGCTGAGATCCTCACTGAGATTCATCCTTTTTTCTTGAATGATCACTTGTATTGTTCCAAGTTTTTGGTTAATTTCCAGAACTTTAAAAAAAAAATTTTATTGGACATTTTTTCCCCAGTGTTTTTGTTGATTGGAGAATTAGATTTTCAGTTTCTTACTTTGCCATTTCAGAAATGCTTCTCTACGTGCATTAATTTTGCAGTAAAAAAGCTCTTAAATTTTTAAATGTTTGTGCAGGATAATTAGGAGTTATTTATAATAGTAATCAACTAGGAACAACCTAAATTTTCAAAAATCATTTAAAAGATAATATATGTGTATCTTTTATAGTGATTGTATATGTGTAGTGTGCATGTATAACATGTTAAATAATAATAAATAATAACTTTACATACCTCTGGAAATGTGGAAGATAAACATATCCCAAATATTAATATTGGCTATTTCAGGAAGGGTAGGAATATGGGTGATTTAGTTTTCAAAAACTTTTTAATTTTTTTAAAATGCACGTCCATGTGTTATTTAAGTATTTCATATTAAGCATGTATTTTTGCAATTAACATATTATTTTATTTAAAATAAAATGTACTTTCTAGTTAAAAGAATATGTTCTTTCATACCACAGTTCATGTAAGATAAATGTGATATAGAATTTCCAGGTATCGGTAGTTCATAAAGAGTCATAGATTGCTGTTTAATAGGAAACTTTCTCCCTACATCATTACTTTGAAAATCTGGGTCAGAATGAGGAAAAAAAATAAAAAGATGCTGCTTCCTGGCTATTGGGTAGAGCATGTCACTTTCTTGGCTTTGTTTAGATGGGTTCCACAGACACTAATGCCAATTCCCAGAACTACTTTTGCTTTTAGAATCTTCACAGATCCCTGGGAATGTATAATTTCCCCATTGCTTAGCAACCGTTCCGTTATTTTCAGAAACTTGTTAAATGAATGAATGCATTTTGATGACAAGACAGCTTTATTCATGCCATGCTCTGGGCCACCATGTAATAATAAGAGATAACGAAATGAAATATTGCAAAGATCATGTCCCCAGTCACTTCTCTCCACAAGAACCCTCAGAGGAGCTGGGTTGGAAAAGAAACTTTTTATGCAAACAGATTTTAAAAGCTAATAGAAAAAGCATATTGATTCCGAAATAATTATATTGTGTACACTCACATCCACATTTTCTTTTTATCAATCATTGGATGAGTTTACATGAATAAAATGCTAATGATAGTGTTCTGTGGACATAAGTCTTTGACAGTTTCAAAACCCCTAACATGGCTGATTTCCTTTACACTCCTACACTTGTGTGTGTTATGAACTCAGACTTGCATTGCAGAGTGACTGATGGATGATCATGGTTCTCAATTAAATAAGCTCAAACATTTGGCCAGGAAAGATTGCAGAATGGAGTAACACATCCCACAGAACCAGTTCCTTTGTAAGAAGAAAATGCTGTGTGTTAATATTCCTTGAAATGAAAATAATAATTATAAACAGTTATGGCTTAATATATTTTGGTTTTGACCCTCAGAAAGCTCAGAAAAATTTTGGTGCCTAAATTCCAGTAACACATCTGCTCTCAGGCCCTAAACAATCTTATCTCCTCCTAACCACATATGAGGAAACATACTCATACAAACACACATGTGCACACATGGAATGACACTGATAACACATGTGAAAAACAAAAAATGTAAAGTTATAGGATTATGTCATTTAAATATATATGATTGAATAGTGAAATTTTTGAAAACTTAAATTTATAAGAATTAAGGTCATGGCACAGGGGCAGGGCTTTATAGTCCCTCTCTTGGTCTCAGGGAAGTCCTAAGTCTAGTCCAAGGTAGAACCAACACTGGAAATCAATATCGCCTTCTTCCAGTTCGTGCTCTTCCAACTCACTGCCTCACTCACCCTTCCTGTCAGAAACTTTCAGTTCAGGATTAAAACGAATTTTAATAAGTAAGTAAAACATCTACTGTAAATTTTTAAAAAATTTTTTATTTCCATAGGTTATTGGGAAACAGGTGGTGTTTGATTACATGAGTAAATTCTTTAGTGGTGATTCGTAAGATTTTGGTGCAGCCATCACCCAAGCAGTATACACTGCACACAATTTGTAGTCTTTTATTCCTCACCCCCTTTATATCCTTTCCCCCGAGTCCCCAAAATCCATTGCGATCATTCTTATGCCTTTGTGTCCTCATAGCTTAGCTCCCACTTATGAGTGACAACATACAATATTTGGTTTTCCATTCCTGAGTTACTTCATGTATATATTCCATTCCTGAGTTACTATATATATATATTAGGATATATAATATATATATTATATATATTCAAGATATATAATATATATATTATATATATTCAAGATATATAATATATATTATATATACACAAGATATATAATATACATATATAATATACATATATGATATGTAATATATAAAATATACATATATGATATGTAATATATAAAATATACATATATGATATGTAATATATATAATATACATATATATTATATATTATATATTATATATACTATATATAAATATAGTATACAATTATAATATACAATACAATATATTACAATATATTATATATTATAATATAATATAATACAATATATTATATACAATATAATACAATATATTATATAGTATACTATATATTATAATATATATTTTATATATATACAATATATAGTATACTATATAATATATATTTCATATATATACAATATATAGTATACTATATAATATATATTTTATATACATATATATAATATATATGCATATATTATGTACGTATATATATTATATATACGTGTATATATAATATATAAGTGTATATAATATATACGTGTATATATAATATATAAGTGTATATATTATAAGTGTATATATTATATATACGTGTGTGTGTATATATATATGTACACCACGGTTTTTTTATACACCCATTGATTGATGGGCATTTGGGTTGGTTCCACGTTTTTGGAATTGTGAATTGTGCTGCTATAAACATGTGTGTGCAAGTATCTTTTTTGTATAAGGCTTCTTTTCTTCTGGGTATATACCTAGTAGTGGGATTGCTGGATCAAATGGTAGTTCTATTTTTAGTTCTTCAAGGAAGGAATCTCCACACTGTTTTCCATAGTGGTTGTACTAGTTTACATTCCCACCAGCAGTGTAGAATTGGTCCCTGTTCAATGCATCCACTCCATCTATTATTTTTTGATTATGGCCATTCTTGCAGGAGTAAGGTGATATTGCCTTGTGGTTTTAATTTGCATCTCTCTAACATTAGGAATATAGAGCATTTTTTCATATGTTTGTTGGCCATTTGTGTGTGTATATTTATTTATTTATTTATTTTTATTTATGTATTTTTTTGAGACAGAGTCTCCCTCTGTCACCCAAGCTGGAGGGCAGTGGCATGATCTCAGCTCACTGCATCCCCGCTTCCCAGGTTCAAGTGATTCTCCTGCCTCAGCCTCCCAAGTAGCTGGGATTACAGGTGCCTGTTCACCATGCCTGGCTAATTTTTGTATTATTTAGTGGAGATGGGGTTTCACCACGTTGGTCAGGCTGGCCTTGAACTCCTGACCTCAAGTGATTCATCCACTTAGGCCTCCCAAAGTGCTGGGATTACAGGCGTGAGCAATTGCACCCAGCCTATCCTCTTTTAAGAATTGTCTATTCATGTCCTTAGCCCACTTTTTGTTGGGATTGTTTGTTTTTTTCTTGCTAATTTGTTTTAGTTTGTAGTTTGTTTGTTTTTTCCTTGAGAATTTGTTTGAGTTTGTTGTAGATTCTGGATATTAGTCCTTCGTCAGATGGATAGATTGTGTAGATTTTCTCCCACTCTATGGGTTGTCTGTTTACTCTGCTGACTGTTCCTTTTGCTGTGCAAAAGCTCTTTAGTTTAATTAGGTCCCAGCTATTTATCTTTGTTTTTATTGCGTTTGCTTTTGGGTTCTTGATCATGAAATCCTTGCCTAAGCCAATGTCTAGAAGGGTTTTTCCAATGTTACCTTCTAGAATGTTTATAGTTTCAGGTCTTAGGTTTAAGTCCTTAATCTATCTTGAGTTGATATTTGTATAAGGTGAGAGATGAGGATCCAGTTTCATTCTCCTACATGTGGCTAGCCAATTATCCCAGCACCATTTGCTGAAAAGGATATCCTTTCCCCACTTTATATTTTTGTTTGCTTTGTCAAAGATCAGTTGGCTTAAGTACTTGGGTTTATTTCTGGGTTCTCTATTCTGTTCCATTGGTCTATCCACCTATTTATATACCAGTACCACACTGTTTTGGTGACTATGACCTTATAGTATAGTTTGAAATCAGGTAGTGTGATGCCTCTAGATTTGTTCTTTTTGCTTAGTCTTCCTTTGGCTTTGTGGATTCTTTTTTTAGTTCCATATGAATTTTAGGATTTTTTTTCTAATTCTTTGAAGAATGATGGTGGTATTTTGATGGGAATTGTGTTGAATTTGTAGATTGCTTTTGGTAGTATAGTCACTTTCAAAATATTGATTCTACCCATCCATGAGCATGGGAGGCATTTCCATTTGTTTGTGTCATCTCTGATTGTTTTTTTTTTTTTTTTTTTTTTGAGACAGAGTCTTGCTCTGTCGCCCAGGCTGGAGTGCAGTGGTGTGATCTCAGCTCACTGCAAGCTCCGCCTCCTGGGTTCACACATTTTCCTGCCTCAGCCTCCCAAGCAGCTGGGACTACAGGCACCCGTCACCACACCCAGTTAATTTTTTTGTATTTTTAGTAGAGATGGGGTTTCACTGTGTTAGCCAGGTTGGTCTCAATCACCTGACCTCATGATCCACCCACCTCGACCTCCCAAAGTGCTGGGATTACAGGCGTGAGCCACTGTGCCCAGCCCATCTCTGATTTCTTTTGCAGTGTTTTGTAGTTTTCCTTGAAGAGGTCTTTCAACTCCTTGGTTAGGTATATTCCTAAGTATTTTATTTTATTTTTTGCAGCTGTTGTAAAAAGGGTTGAGTTCTTGATTTGATTCTCAGCTTGGTCACTGTGGGTATATAGAATAGCTACTGATTTATGTACATTAATTTTGTATCCAGAAACTTTGATGAATTCATCTATCCATTCTAGGAGCTTTTTGGATGAGTTTTTAGGGTTTTCTAGGTAAACAATCATATCATCAGCAAACAGTGACAGTTTGACTTCCTTTTTACCAATTTGGATGCCCTTTATTTTTTTTTCTCTTGTCTGATTGCTCTGGCTAGGACTTCCAATACTTTATGTTGAAGAGAAGTGGTGAGAGTGGGCATCTTTGTCTTGCTCCAGTTCTTAGAGGGAATGTTTTCAACTTTTCCCCATCCAGTGTTATGTTGGCTGTGGGTTTGTCATAGATGGCTTTTATTACACTGAGGTATGTATGCCGATTTTGCTGAGAGTTTTAATTATAAAGCAATGCTGGATTTTGTGGAATGCTTTTTCTGCATCTATTGAGATGATCATGTGATTTTTGTTTTTAATTCTGTTTATGTAGTGTATCATATTTATTGACTTGCATATAGTAGATTACCCCTGCATCCCTGGTATGAAACCCACTTGATCATTGTGGATTATCTTTTTGATATGTTGTTGGATTCCGTTAGCTAGTATTTTCTTAAGGATTTTTGCATCTATGTTCATCCGGAATATTGGCCTGTAGTTTTCTTTTTTAGTTATGTCCTTTCCTGGTTTTGGTATTAGGGAGATATTGGCTTCATAGAATGATTTAGGGAGGATTCCCTCTTTCTCTATCTTGTGGAATAGTGTCAATAGGATTGGTACAAATTCTTCTTGGAATATCTGGTAGAATTGTGCCATGAATCTGTCTGGTCCTGGACTTTTCATTTTTGGTAATTTTTAAATTACCATTTCAATCTCACTGCTTGTTATTGGCCTGTTCAGGGTATCTAATTCTCCCTGATTTAAGCTGAGAGGGTTGTATCTTTCCAGGAATTTATCCATCCCCTCTAGGTTTTCTCGTTTATATTTGTAAAGGGGTTCATAGCAGCCTTGAATGATGTTTTGTATTTCTGTGGTGTCAGTTGTAGTATCCCCTGTTTCATTTCAAAGTGAGCTTATTTGGATTTTCTCTCTTCTTTTCCTCATTAATCTTGCTAATGGTCTATAAATTTTATTTATCTTTTCAAAGCACCAGCTTTTTGCTTCGTTTATCTTTTGTATTTTTTTTTGTTTCAATTTCATTTACTTGTGCTGATCTTGGTTATTTTCTTTCTTCTGCTGGGTTTGGGGTTTGGTTTGTTCTTGCTTCTCTAGTTCCTTGAGGCATAACCTTAGATTGTCTGTTTGTGCTCTTTCAGACTTTTTGATGTCACTGTTTAGGGCTATGAACTTTCCTCTTAGGACCACCTTTGCTGTATCCCAGAGGTTTTGATAGGTTATGTCACTATTGTGGTTCAGTTCAAATAATTTTTAATTTCCATCTTGATTTCATTTTGACCCAATGATCATTCAGGAGCATGTTATTTAATTTCCATGTATTTGCATGGTTTTGGAGGTTCTTTCTGGATTTGATTTTTAGATTTATTCCACTGTGGCCTGAAAGAGTGCTTGATATAATTTCAATTTTCCTGAATTTATTGAAGCTTGTTTTATGACCTATCATATGGTCTATCTTTGAAAGTTCCATGTGCTTATGAATAAAATGTATGTTCTGTGGTTGTTGGGTAGAATGTTCTGTAAATATCTGTTATGCATTTGTTCCAGGGTATAGTGTAAATCCACTGTTTCTTTGTTGACTTCTGTCTTGGTGACCTGTCTAGTGCTGTCAGTGGTGTATTGAAGTCCACCACTATTATTGTGTTGCTGTCTACCTCATTTCTTATGTCTATTAGTAATTGTTTTATAAATTTGGGAGCTCCAGTGTTAGGGCATATATATTTAGAATTGTGATGTTTTCCTTTTGGACAAGGCCTTTCATCATTATTTGTCCCTATTTATCTTTTTTAACTGCTGTTGCTTTAATGTTTATTTTGTCTGAAATAAGAATAGCTACTTCTGCTCACTTTTGGTGTCCATTTGCATGGAAAGTCTTTTTCCTCACCTTTACCTTAAATGTGTCTGAGTCCTTATGTGCTAGGTGGGTCTCTTGAAGGCAGCAGACAGTTGGTTGGTGAATTCTTATCCATTCTGCAATTCTGTATCTTTTAAGTGAAGCATTTAGGTCATTTACATTCAATGTTACTATTGAGATGTGAGGTGCCATTCCATTCATTGTGCTATTTGTTGCTTATATTCCTATTTAAAAATTGGTATTTTTGTTGTATAGGTCCTGTGAAATTTGTGCTTTAAAGAGGTTCCATTTTGATATGTTCCTAGGGTTTGTTTCAAGATTTAGAGCTCCTTTTAGCAGTTCTTGTAGTGCTGGCTTGATGGCGGCAAATTCTCTCAGCATTTGTTTGTCTGAAAAAGACTGTGTCTTTCGTTCATTTATGAAGCTTAGTTTTGCTGGATACAAAATTCTTGGCTGATAACTGTTTGGTTTAAGGAGGCTGAAAATAGGGCCCCGATCCCTTCTAGCTTGTAGGGTTTCTGCTGAGAAATCTGCTGTTAATCTGATAGGTTTTCCTTCATAGGCTACCTGGTGTTTTTGCTTAAGTATTGGGGAATCTGCCCCAATATTCACGTAGGTTCTTTTCTATTTTCCTTAAGCGTTGGCAAGCTTGAGAAATAAAGGGACAGAGTACAAAAGAGAGAAATTTTAAAGCTGGGCATCCAGGAGAGACATCACATGTCGGTAGGTTTTGTGATGCCCCACAAGCTGCAAAAATCAGCAAGTTTTTATTAGGGAGTGTCAAACGGGGAGGGAGTGCGCGAATAGGTGTGGGTCACAGACATCAAGTACTTTACAAGGTAATAGAATATCACAAGGCAAGTGGAGGCAGGGTGAGATCACAGGACCACAGTATGGGGGTGAAATTAAAATTGCTAATGAAGTTTCGGGCACCATTGTCATTGATAACATCTTATCAGGAGACAGGGTTTTGAGATCAACCGGTCTGACCAAAATTTATGAGGCGGGAATTTCCTCTTACTAATAAGCCTGGGAGTGCTATGGGAGACTGGAGTCTATTTCACCCCTGCAGTCTCAACCATAAGAGACGGACACACCCAGGGAGGCCAGTTCAGAGACCCACCTCCAGGTGCGCATTCTCTTTCTCAAGGATGTTCCTTGCTGAGAAAAAGAATTCAGCAATATTTCTCCCATTTGCTTTTGAAAGAAGAGAAATACAGCTCTGTTCCGCTCGGCTCACTGGCAGTCAGTGTTTAAGGTTATCTCTCTTGTTTCCTAAACATTGCTGTTGTCCTGTTCTTTTTTCAAGGTGCCCAGATTTCATATTGCTCAAACACACATGCTGTACAATTTGTGTAGTTAATGCAATTATTACAGGGTCCTGAGGCGATATACATCCTCCTCAGCTGACAGGATTAAGAGATTAAAGGAAAGACAGGCATAGGAAATCACAAGGGTATTGAATGGGGAAGTGATAAGTGTCCATGAAATCTTTACAATTTATGTTTAGAGATTGCAGTAAAGACGGGCATAAGAAATTATAAAAGTATTAATTTGGGGAACTAATAAATGTCCATGAAATCTTCACAATCGACGTTCTTCTGCCATGGCTTCAGCTGGTCCCTCCATTTGCGGTCCCTGACTTCCGGCAACACTTAAGATTCTTTTCTTTGTCTTAACTTTAGATAACCTGACGACAATGTGCCTAGGTGATGATCTTTTTCTGATGAATTTCCCAGGTGTTGTTTGAGCTTCTTGTATTTGGATGTTTAGGTCTCTAGCAAGACCAGGGAAGTTTCCCTTGATTATTTCCCCAAGTACATTTTCAAAACTGTTAGATTTCTCTTCTTCCTCAGGAACACTGATTATTCTTAGGTTTGGTCATTTAAGATAATCCCAGACTTCTTGGAGGCTTTGTTCATCTTTTTTTTTTTTTTCTTTTTTTTTTGAGACAGAGTCTCACTCTGTCGCCCAGGCTAGAGTGCTGTGGTGCAATCTTGGCTCACTGCAACCTCCGCCTCCCGGATTCAAGCAATTATTCTGCCTCAGCCTCCTGAGTAGCTGGGATTACAGGTGTGCACCACCACGTCCAGCTAATTTTTGTATTTTTAGTAGAGACGGGGTTTCACCATTTTGGTCAGGCTGGTATCAAACTCCTGACCTTGTGATCCACCCTCCTTGGCCTCCCAAAGTGCTGGGATTACAGGTGTGAGCCACTGCGCCTGGCCTGTTCACATTTTGTTATTCTTTTTTCTTTGTCTTTGTTGAATTGGGCTAATGCTAAAACCTTGTCTTCAAGCTCTGAAGTTCTTTTTTCTGCTTGTTCAATTCTATTGCTGAGACTCTCCAGAACGTTTTGCATTTCTATAAGTGCGTCCATTGTTTCCTGATGTTTTGATTGTTTTTTATTTATGCTATCTATTTCACTGAAAATTTCTCTCCTCATTTCTTGTCTTTTTTTGACCTCCTTAAATTGGACTTTGTCTTTTTTCTGGTGCCTCCCTGATTAACTTAGTAACTAACCCTCTGAATTCTTTCTCAGGTAAATAAGAGATTTTTTTTCTTGGTTTTGATCCATTTCTGGTAAGCTAGTGTGATTTTTGGGGGGTGTCAAAGAACCTCGATTTGTCATATTACCAGAGTTGGTTTTCTGGTTCCTTCACATTTGGGTAGCCTCTGTCAGAGGGAAAGTCTAGGGCTCAAGGTTGTTGTTTAGATTTTTTTTTTTTATCCCACAGGGCATTCTCTTGATGTAGTACTCTCCCTTTTTTCCTAGGGTTGTATGTTCCTGAGAGTTGAGCGGTAGTGATTGTTATCTCTCTTCTGGATCTAGCCACACAGCAAGTCTACTGGGCTCTGGGATGGTACTGGGGGTTGTCTGCGCAGAGTCCTGTGATGTGAACCCTCTGTGCATCTCTCAGCCATGGATACCAGTACCTGCTCTGGTGGAAGTGGCAGGGGGGTGAAATGACTCTGTAAGCATTCTTAGCTTTGGTTGTTTAATGCACTACTTTTGTGCTGGTTGGCTTCCTGCTGGGAAGTGATGCTTTCCAGAAAGTATTGGCTATGGTAGTATAAGGAGGATCAGGCAGCATGCAGGGCCCAAGAACTCCCAAGAGTGTTATGCCCTTTGTCTTCCAGCTACCAGGGTGTGTAGGGAAGGACCATTAGGTGGGGGCAGGGCTAGGCATGTCTGAGCTCAGACTCCTTGGGCAGGTCTTGCTGTGGCTCCTGTGGGGGATGGGGGTGTGGTTCCCAGGTCAATGGCGTTATGTTTTTAGGAGGATTATGGTTGCCTCTACTGTGTCATGCAGGTTGTCAGGAAAGTGTGGGAAAGCCAGCAGTCACAGGCCTCATCTAGCTCCCATGCAACCCACAGAGCCAGTCACACTCCCACCATGTCCCCTCCCAATAGTGTGGAGTCTGTTTCCAGGCAGTGGGCAAGTACGGTTTAGAACTTGTCCCACCACCTCCCAGTTGTGAAGTAGGGCTTTTGTGCTTTCCTCACCTGTGCAGTCTGCACACAGGATTCATGCCCTCCCACAAGTTCTGGCCAGGAGACTTACTGATCAGTTAAAATGTTTACAAAGTTCAGCTAAATGTTTCCTTCTCCCTATGGCCTTTTCCAGTGCCTCTGGCAGCCCTCCCCAAGGACCCCTGTGAGGCAAGGTGGAAATGGCTTGCTAGGGGACCCAGTGAGCTCACAGGGCTTTTCCTGCTGCTTCCTCTACTGCTGTGTTTCACTTGGCTCTCTAAATTGACTCAGCTGAAGGTAAGGCCAGAATCTTTTCCTGTGATCTAGACCTTCAGGTTCCTCTGTGAGGGTGTGTGTTTGGGAGGCAGATGATCCCTCTTTTCCACTTCCACAGTTTGGGCACTCGCAGTATATGGAGTGTCTTCTGAGTCCTGCAGGAGTAATCTGCCTCCTTCAGAGGGTCTGTGAGTTCTCCTGGCTTTCCTGAATTATTCCTGCAGCCTTTCTGGAGCAAAAGTTCATGATGTGAGCCTCCACAGCCTGCCCTGTCTGTCCGAGTGAGAGCTGCAATCTAGTCCTGTCTTCCATCCACCATGATCTGCCTCCCCTGTAAAAATCTAAATAATACAGAAACACACAGAGTAAAAATTAACATCTCTCTTTGATTCCCCACATGTGAAAATTTTAATATATGTGTATCGTCCTGCGTTTCATCCTTATGAAAATAACAAAAATAAGCTTTAATTAGGTGACTCAGTTCTAGTCAACAATGAAAGCCCACAGCATGTGTGTGCAAGCATGCAGACATTTGGGAAGTGAAGCAGGATGAGGGTGTAGGGATGTATGTGTTGTCGCATTTGTCTTCAATGGGCTCATATAGGTTGTTCTAGAGTTGCCTCCATTAGATAGAGATAAAATATAAATGGGATCACAAATAATAGTAATAATGTCAAAATGTATAATTTGAGAAAATATTATATAATTTGGTAAAGAATAAGCCTATCAATGAATGCTTCATGAAGAAAGTGGAATTTTAGGTGAGCCTTGAAAGCTAAGTCAAATTCAGAGAAGTAAAGGAAAGAAAGAAAAACCCAGAGATTAATTTTAATTTGCACACTACATTCTCCCCAACAGGATTCTACTGTGGTTTATAATAGGGTAAACTACTTAACCTCCTTATGCCTTATTCAGTTTTCTCTTTGATAAAATGGGACAATAAAAACAGAACCAACTTCACAGAGTTATTGTGAAGATTAAGTGAAATGCTATATCTAAATAACTTAGAACGGTATATGAAATACAGTAAGATCCAGTCAATGTTTATTACCTGGACTTCTATTATACAGCAAGAGTAAAGCATTTATTCATAAATCTGTGTCCATTTATGAACTGCAGATACCTGCCACATAAAACTCTGCAAGAGTTTCATTCTTTCCTGTCCCCCAGCAATGAGAAAAATGGAACCCAGCTTAGTTTAATCAGGCATATCCCTCAGAGACTATTTCTTAGGGGTGGTACCTTCTTAAACAATCTGTGATGAAGCACCTGATTTTAAAAATTTTCAGTCCATTGTAGACTAACACTGTTATAAAATATAATAAAAATAAATACTAGAAAAGTAAAGTAGAAAAGACATTTAAAAGTACTAATTTTTTATTGTTTGGTTCAATAGGCACAAAATTTCTCTGTCAAATTGCTGTATAGATTTCTGAATTCCCATCCTCCATTTCTGAACTTACCTTGCTTTAGATAGTAACAGTCAGTGGACCACCCTTGGCGTAGCAACATTCCAGGGCACTGGACCTGTACTTCCAGAGTTGCCTCCATTAGATGGAGAGCCACATTCCAACCCATGGCATTGTTTGAGTATATTTGCCATTTGGTGCACAAATGAATAGTAGTACCCTCTTGCCTCCACCTTCTCCTCTGACTCTTTCCTTGGCTTTTATTTCTGCTAGCTGCAGCCCAGTGCATATGAATATAAAGCTGGCTGCTGACAGTTGAAGAAAGTACAAATCACAGTCAAGATAACTTACTATTTTGAAGAACATGAGACAGGGTTTCTTACTACCACTTACTTCTCCTTGTCATTGAACGTGGACATGTCCTGAACGTCTCAACATGTCCTGAATTCTCTTAGCTTAGAAGGCCATGACTTTCAGAATTCAGAGTTTAGAGACATTGCAACTGATTATCAGAACTCGATGCTGCTTACACAGACCTTTAACCCCCATAGGAGTTGGATGTCAACCTCCTCCCTGCTCTGGCCTGAGACACCTGAGCTGACCACCTGTTGGGATTGGACCCAGTCCTTCCTCCTGCCTCATCCCCATCCCCAGCTCTATTCACATGCCTTGCCTGGTATCATGGTTGCCTTTGTTTCTAGCCCTGACAAGCTTTTATTCAGATGTGTTAATTAAAACAATAAACCTTGCTGTTCCCATTTTCCAATTGCAAAAGTGTTCTTGAATCAAGGGTGACTCAAGGAGTTCATGATTACTTCTAATGAGCAGACCACAAAAATCAATCAGTCCCTTTGTAGAGAAACAACACTCGAGTGCAGTCACCTATAATGTGAACAAGGAAACATTTCTTTAACAAGAAAAACATTAATGATAAAAAAAGAGTGGGAGTGGTGGAGCTTCAGATCAGCAAGGAGGGTAGAAGTGACTCCAGAGGTGGCAGATTCTGCTAATTAAAATCTGCCCTAAAATGAACTACTTACCAAGACATTTTAGCCTGAATTTTAAAACAAAGACCCAATATTGTCTTGGTGTCTTTATTCTTTTTGCCTTTTCTTCATCTAAACTTATTTAAAGCTATTTCTATTGTAAAATAAGACACACATACAGACAGTGCATAAAATATATATGTTTGGTTTAAATTATTATAAAGCAAGCTGCATGTAATTGCTTTCTCAGGCCAAGAAATTGAATGTTGCCAGAACCCCAGGAACCACCCAGCCTCTTCCCATATGACCACTTCCCCACACTCTCCACCTTCCTTACTTCTATGGTAAGCACTTATTTGCTTTACCTTATAATTTTATCCTTTAGGAATGAATCTCTAAACATTATAGTTGAGTTCTCTCTGTGAGGTTTAAATAAACTGAATCTTACAACATGCATTCTATGTGTCTGGCTTCTTTAACGCAACATTCATCCATATTGTTGCATGTAACTGGTTTCATTTGTTTGTTGTTGTTGCTGTGTGGTATTCCATTGAATTAATATACCCCAATTATGTACCTGCTCTTGTTGATAGACTTTTGGGTTGTTTTCAGTTTAGTGCTATTACAAATACTGCTGCTATGAACATGCTTGTACATTTATTCTGATGCACATGTGCACACGTTTATTTTGGGCATATACTCAGGACTAGAATCGCTGGATCATATAATATGCAAATCTTTAACTTTAGTATATAATGCCAATGGTTTTCCACAGTGGTTGTCCTAATCTGCATTCTCGCCAACAGTATATGACAATTTTCCACTTAACTTTTAAGAGAGGAAAGAAGGCTTTTCATTGTGTTAAAATATATTTAACTACATGAAATCCATACATTTAGAGTTTCATGGACTAAGCTCCTATAGGTGGTCTGAGTGGTGTGCTCAGCAAGTGCTCTTACTCTGGACTCTAATAGACCTGGATTCGAGTCCTGGCCCTGCCACTTATTCACTATATGCCATTAGACAAGACAGATAACATTTTAAATTCTGCTTTCTTGTTTGTAAAACAAGGGTAACCATAATACAAAATTCACACAATTGTGTTAATTTAGTAACACATTCAAAATGCCTAGTACATTGTCTGGCATGTTGGAAACCTAAATATAATAGGTGCTATTACATTATTATTATTATTATTACTATTACTATTTGCACTCAGGATTTCCTTTCTAACCACAGCGGCGAGAAAGATTGGGAGGCAAAAGTTAACCTTGGCCATCTGTACATGCATATTTTTCAGTAACCTCCAACCTCAGGAAATAGTCTTAGAAAAGGATAATCAAGAGGATATTTACAAACCAGAACTCAGTTTTGTTTAAGTGGCATCAGCCAGATGAGCAACACTTGTCAAGAGTGTTTTCCTAGTCACCCTGACAGTTCTATACCTCCTGGCACCTCAGAGAAAAAATAATTGGAACCCTGAGCTCTCCACCACCACCTGTCCAGGGAGCCCAAGTGCTCTGCTCCCTCATTCCAGGAGCAGCCACCTGGCATGTCCCTGACTCCTGAGACTGCAGCTGCAGGAGCAACATGGAAGCCATTTGGGCCCTCTGCTTACCGTCGCTCTGGGATGCAGCTGCCAGGAGCTGTTCCCAGAGGACTGTGGTGGCTAGTAGCCAGCAACACTGAGAAATAAAAGTCACAGAATCCAGGATACAAGGTAGAAATTACTGTAAAATGCCCTACAGTGAGTGAGCGGGAAGGCCACCAGTGCAGTTCTGTGCTGAGTGTGACTGATCTCTCAGCATCTTCTCTCTAGCACCTGCTCCTTTTGTCCACTCTTCCAGGAAGATGCCCAACAGGCATTAGGAAGATTGCCTGTTCTAGAAACAGGGCTCTGACGGTCCTCTAAATAAAAGACCCATTTAGATTCCAAGGTGCAGGCCCTGGGCTAAAACTCCTAGAGGATTGTGAGGTATGACACCTAATGGGCAGGGGGCAGAAGTGAGGCAGGTTCTTTGTCTGCAAGGAGATGTCCAGGCCTGCTTTTGATAGGGGAAGGAGGTTCAGAGTGGATTATGGGGTCTGATTTTCAGGATTGATTTGGTGAGGCCACTTATTCAGTGATATCATTGTCCTTTCAAGGTCAAGCTTTCTTACTTGTGACTTTTTTCTTTGAGAGGAGTGATGTATTAGAAAAGACTTAAAAGTCTACCGGCTAGGGACCTGGAGTCTGGGTTAATCACACACATGTGTATATTTGTTATTCTAAATAGGCTAAATTGATTCTTGTACCAGAGAAAACCTGTTCTAATAAAGCTTGAAATCATTCTAGATTACTCATTATTTCCATGCTGTGCATCACGTTTTCCCCACTCTAGTCAATTTCTCTTTAAAATGCTTCCCACCTATGTTTCTCCTCCTTCTTACTTTGTCTTATTACAATCATTCCTTTGTCATTGCAAATATCTCTCATTCTAATCAATTCTTCATAGACCTGTCAACTTAATATTATTCAAATAATGTTTTCATCATATCCTTTCCTGCTCAAAAAGGTTCCCAGTTGCCTCATAGGTAATACCAAAATTCCTCAGCCTGGAGCTCAAGGCCCTTCCTTATCCATTATTTTTTAATTCTCATTTCCCACTATTTTTCCAATGAATCCTGTTAGGACTCATTGTCCCTGTAACATGCTACCCCCTCTGCTCTTCCATGGCTCACCCTCTGACACAACTTGCTTTCTTCCCTTCTTCTTCCATCTTGCCTAGTATTGCCAATGTGTGGTGTGTGTACCTCTGGTATAACATAATATAATTGGGTAGTAGACCAAATTATTTTTTATTTATTTATTTTGAGACAGAGTCTCACTCTGTCACCCAGGCTCAAGTGCAGTGGCGCTATCTTGGCTCATTGCTACCTCTGCTTCCCAGGTTCAAGCCATTCTCATGCCTCAGCCTCTTTAGTAGCTGGGACCACAGACACTCACCACCATGCATGGCTAATTTTTTGTATTTTTAGTAGAGATGGGGTTTTGCCACACTGGCCAGACTGGTCTCGCACCCCTGACCTCAAGTGATCTTCCCACCTCGGCCTCCCAAAGTGCTGGGATTATAGGCGTGAGCCACAGCACTCAGCTGACCAAACTTTTTTAAAGGAAATTTTAATATGTAGGGTCTTAGTCAATATATAGTGGAGAATTTAAAAAGTCACATCACACCCATGACTTCATAGATATCACTGCTCAGAATGGGCTAGAGTAGAAAACGCTGCATTATCCCACTTTTACAAAGTATAAAATTATAGTCTTCCACATTATCAGGATATAAATGGAGTGGCCCCATACCCTGGCCAGATAGATTGGCTCAAGAATGGGCATTTGGTTTGATTCAGTCCAAAGAGGAAAGGTCTACTAGAGAATTGAGAAAGACGTTTAATCACTCTTAAGAGCCATTAGAAAGGATATCCTCTCCTCTCTTTTTCTGGATGTAGAAGCTGCAGATACAAAGACTGAAACTGCTATAGTTACTTTGGTACCATAAAAGAAGGCAGCCTGAGGACCAAGTCAGCCCACAACACCGAGTTGAGACATGTTCAGAGAGCTCTATATTAAACCAGATTAAACCAATTCTAGTTGGACTTTCCGTTCCATGAGCCAAGGCATTTTCCTACTGTTGAAGCCAGTTCAAGTTAGTTTATCCGCCACTTCAGTCTAAAGCATCATGGCTGCTTCAGTTTGGATGATATGAGTTGCTAACATAAATCCATGCTTCCCACATTTTTTTTTTACCTGATGTTCATAGTAGAAAAATGGTAGTAGTTGTAACACAGTGGTGTAAATGGATAATATTGCTTGTGATCAAAGGTGAAGCACTCTGGGGCCTTTGGCTGCATCAGCTTCACAGAAAGCTGGGGGTCAGTATCTCAGAACTTGTAATCCACTTGTGGTAAGTGTGAGAGCCCAGTGACTGGGAGGCTCTGCTTTAGAAAATCCATGTCTATGGTTCTTTCTTTTCAGAAATGTGTAAAAACATCACTTGTGGAAGCAGTAACTCATTTAGTAGGTTAAGTATAAATATGTTAGAGTTCGGCTTTTGCTCTTTGTTTTTCTCTTACATTGGGCCCATTCAAGAGCAATGGTTAAAAATAAGAGTTTTACAATGTAAAAGTGAGCTGTGTTGGAAATGTGAGCACTAGTAGTGAATGGCATTCTAATGGTTGCATGAGAAGTTAAATGTACTGATCACTATGCTCTGGCATGCTTTATGAAAAGGTGGGCAAACACTAAAACGATTTCTATTTTATTCAGATGCCCCTGGCTTCAGATAGAAAGGCCCTGAACATCTACTGGGGTTTTGAGAAGAATATCAACACTTTCCTAAGAGAATTTTCTATCTGTAAGATCATATACTTGATTGGAAATGGCTTTGCTAACTGGTATATTTTTATTCATTTGATCAACTTAAATATACCCTTACAAAAGAAGTTTATACCAATACATCAAGCGTACAACAAAGTGAACACAGTGACTGCAAACCAGATCTGTAGGCCTCATGCCTCAAATAATGAAAATTGTGATTTTTTTTCATTGTGCAAACAACTTGATTATTAACTCTGATGAATATCCGCTAAAAATATTTTGAATATTATGAAAAGCAGTTGGAAAAACTTGATATGTATTCTTTGAAATTATTTTTCCAAATGGAGTAAATGGATTAAAATAAAAGAAAGAAAAACCAAAAATATTTTCCCTTAAGGACATTAGCAGATAATATTAATATATTCAGAAAAAGTTTGAAGCTTGCTTCAGTTTTTGAAATAAATATTTATCAGAAAAAACTTCCTATTTTATTTTGATTCAAAATTAATTATCAGGATTCAGTTCTTTCAGAGAATATAGTGATTTTTTTTTCTATTCTCATTCTATGCTCTTGTCAGTTGGAATTCAGTGAAATCATAACTAATCACTGAAACTATTTTATAAAAATTTCTTTTCATCTGAAACTAAGTGACTGAGCCTATTATACGCTTTATTCTTGATTGACTTTATTCTTTTCTGTTAGAAATTATATTTAGGTATGCATTTCTACAAATTGATTACACCGAATATTGCTCATTTTACTACTTAACTTTTAGTTTGGATTTAATTTTTAAATTCAATAATGTTATTTTGCTCTATTTGTACTATAGGTTTGTATTATAGTTTGTCTAATGACAGTAGTAATATAATATTTTATTCATGAATGCATGTTAATAAAAATGTATATTATATACATAAGTATATAATAGTATGTGTGTTGTTCACACATGGCCCCAGTTGGTCATGTGGATAACTGAGGCTTTGGAAACACGGCTCTAGTTGAGATATACTTCATTCAAGGCCAAGATACATTTTTCTTCCTTTAGGAAGCCTTCCCTGACAAGTCAAACCAGCATCCAGTTCTCCTTCTTTTTAGGACTCTTAATTGTGTTTATCTTTTTTGTTTATCAGTCTTAAAAAGCTCTTGGTTTTACTCTTTTCGTTAATTGACAGACACTTCACTTACAGTGTTGACCTGTGTGCCAGTAGCAGGGTGGTGGAAGTGGTCTGCTGTAGGTGCAGGCAATAAGAGGTGCGTTGACTTTAGTGAATATAAAAACATCAGCAAAACCCTCTGGGCATGGTAATAATGCGTATACCTCCAACACTTTGGGAGGCCGAGGCAAGCAGATCACCTGAGGTCAGGGGTTCGAGATCAGCCTGGCCGACATGGTGAAACCCCATCTCTACTAAAAATACAAAAATTAGCTGGCATGGTGGCAGACCAGTAGCCTGTAATCCCAGCTACTCAGGAGACTGAGGCAGGAGAATCACTTGAACTCGGGAGGCAGAGGTTGCAGTGAGCAGAGATCACGCCACTGCACTCCAGGCTGGGCAACAGAGTGAGACTGCATCTCAAAAAAATAAATAAATCAATACAACCAATTGAAATCCAGTCTGCTTTTGATTATCACCAGGTTCCAGCAATTCTGAACATCACTGATAAAATACTCCATTCCAAAAAAATCTGTGGTTAGTCCAAGTTTTAAATAATTATTGCAGCTATGGTTAAATTTTAATAATACATATGTATGCTTCAAACGAGGACATTGTTATTACTTTTCCTTTAATAAACATTGTATTGAACACAAAATAATTTGAAGAACCCCTGCTTATACAGTTAGCCTCCAACATTTGTGGATTCAACTGTACTTATTTATTTCAAGAACAACATAGTTCAAGTTCATAGTTAGAAGTTTATGATGGTTTGAAATCATTGGCTGGTGCTTGTTTGGGGTCTGGTTTATGTCTCCAATCCTGTGGTCTACATATTCATGCATTTAAACAGTGGATTTGAAATAAACAATACTGACCCAGTCAGTGACTGTAAATTTCTTCAATCCTGCCATTCCTATGTGGTCACTTGAAGTTTTTATGTTTAAAAATTTAAATCAGTAAAACAGTATAAACTGAGGGGTGCAATATTTTTGTTTAGCTACTTAAAATTTTAGTTTGTATTCAGAATTTGACTGAATTTGAAGAGTAATTTAAAAATTGGAATGTATTTAAAATTGTCTTAAAACATCACATGCCAAGAAAATAATGGTAATTTCTGATTATCCTTGATTACTATTAAAATGATTTTCTCAGATAGAAAAGGAATGTATTTAAAATGATCCAATGCATTTGTTAAAACTCAAGATTGTACACCAAAAAGGGTAAATTTTACTGTATATAAATTATATCTTTGTTTAAAAACAATATAAAAAGTTCTGCTCTGGGTGTCAAACACGCTAAGTACTTCACTGAAATAAAGAAAGAAGTGGATGACTCATCAACAATCGGTGCTACTGGGAGGTGTGGAGAGAGGGAAGGTATTGATAGTGGTCAGGAGTTAAGTTGGCATACAGGCTACACCACACAAGAACTAGTGTCTATTCTCAGCTGGCCCGTGGAGAGTCATATATTGGAAGAGGATGTGAACTGCTCACAAGACCAGCAGTTTTGCAATCTGCTGTTACTTGGGGTGGGAATATCTATAATCCTTTTCTTCTTTACCTCCCAGCACCAATCTCTTAATCCCCAGAGCTGGTCATCTAGCATCCTATGAGCAATTAGAAACCCACTGGTAGCCTTGTGCAATTGTGGGGTACAAGGATGATGCCCATGGAAGAGGCCACAGAATAGTCTAAGCCTTCTGGGAAAGATTCCTTATGTTTCTTGTCAGTGAACATTGTTTCCTTCTCTTGATTTCCATAAGCTCTTTCCATGTGGGTTTTATTACACAAAACATTTCATTAAATTGGACATCTTTTCACTACCTCTTCTTTGACTTTAGTTTGTTTTTACTGATTTGGAAATCTAAATATCTTGTTAATTAAACTGAAAATGTCCCCCCGCCCCCAGGCAAGTAGAACCAATCCCAATCATTGCAGTGGCTACATCTGCATAGAGATCACTGTGTAGGGTTAGCAGAATGCTTAACCTCAAATTCACTATCCTAGAGAGGTAGCATGAGGGCATGCTAGGCTGGAAAGCCAAGGTCAGATACCTGGGGCCATGTCATGGGTTTCCACAGCATTTTAGAATAGGAGAGCCCTCAGAGAATGTCTAACAGTTTTGATTAACCCATTGGTTACCAATGGGAGAACATTGTTACCAATGAGAACAATGAGGCCCAGAAACAGAGTGAGGTTTGCTTGAAGCACACAGCTCATTAGTGACAGAACTACGACTGCAAATCATGTCTCCTTCTCCTACCTCCACAAAATAATGCAATATATATGTATGGGTAAAGCCATGAGCTGCATTTATTTAGAAGGTGGTGGTGAGAAAGAATATAAGGCATACCTGGGAGAAATTTGTCATGTCTTTCAGCTACAGAGAAAATTCACTCCAGAAAATAGTTGTGGTCTCAAATAGCTGTGAATGAGTTCAGGATTCCTGGGGAATAGAATATTTAAAGAAACCTCATTTAGAATCCTTTTGTACACATAAATATTTTTTGGAATATATATAATTGCTTTCCATAAATTTTAGAGTATTTACATCTAGGTTGTTTCATATGCAACCATCACATAGTCAGAAAAACCTAACTTGGAGAGGCCATGGCTCTCCAGAGAAAATGCTATTTGGGGCTGTATTATTAAAGGTAGATGACATTGGCTGCTGCAACTGAAAACCCTGAATTCTCAGACACTTTACACAAGACAATTTATTTTCTTCTTGTGTCTTAGTTAGATATGGGGTAAGGAGAGCTGGTCATCTAGTGGCCCAGGTTCTACTCTCCTCTGCGTCCAAGGAGTTCTCTCTAGTCTACTAGCCAATGGAGAACAGAGAGACACACAGTTGGAAGTAAGGGTTGGGTCAAGAGTTGACACATCACTTCCACTCATTTTCTAATGGCCAACACTTACCCTCCTGGCCAGCTAACTTCATATCCAGCTTTATGCCAAAAAAGTGAGGCATTCATGGATGTTGGTGAGCACAAGCTTTCTCTACTCAGGTTTCACCAAAAGGCACCTGCATGGCAAAACTTTCCCAACTCCAGCAGGGCCCTGTGCTGGAGGAGTCAGAGCCCATGGCATGTATCATTATGATAATTCTCTAGAGACCATGACATCCTGTTCCAGGCTTCCACTACAATAGGGCAGGACCTGGATTCAACAGGAACACAGCCGGTTCCTCTCTGGAAAATCTCGGCTTCTGGTATGGCACAGCTTTTGAGCACTGAGTTGCACCTTTCCAACTGCAATTAAAGTTATTAGGTGTTTGGCATGAGGAATGTGAGAACCCAACCTGTCTGCAGAGTATAAAACATTAGAATAAGGTGGCCGGGCGTGGTGGCTCATGCCTGTAATCCCAGCACTTTGGGAGGCTGAGGCAGGTGGATCACGAGGTGGGGAGATCGAGACCATTCTGGCCAACATGGTGAAACCCCGTCTCTACTAAAAATACAAAAATTAGCTGGGCATGTTGGCATGTGCCTTTAGTCCCAGCTACTCTGGAGACTGAGGCAGGAGAATTGCTTGAACCCGGGAGGTGCAGGTTGTGTGAGCCGAGATCGCACCACTGCACTCCAGGCTGGTGACAGAGAAAGACTCTGTGAAAAAAAAAAAAAAAAAAAAAAAAGAAAGAAAGAAAAAAGAAAAAAAAAAAACATTAGAAGAAGGTATAATGTCTCTGGAGTTTTCCTAAGACTTCCTGATATAATAGCCTCTGGGCAGTATGCACGTGCTCAGCTGCAGTTTTCCTGAATAAACTATGTGTCTTCTTTCAAAGTACTTCTTGTCTCAGACGTGTTTTTTTCCCACTGCTTAAAAATAGAAGCCTAAAGAAGAAATGAGAATGGTTTGGTAATGAAAGATCAAGGCAGACAGTAATTATTGATGAAGGATGAAAGCTGCAATGGCATGAGAATGCATTTTACCCTTTCCTTATTCCATGGAGCATAACTGACTGAGCATAACTTGAAACTCATATTTGTATTTTTCTGAAGCTACACTTCCCATAGGCAGCTCTCTGCTTCTGACAGCCACCTTTAGCTGAAGCATTCCTCACTGGGTTTGCACAACTTTCCTTTGACTTTATGGCAGTCAAAGACACTTCTACCCAACCTGCTCTCCCTCTCTTTCACCTGGGATCCAACTTGCATTACAAGCCATGATCCAATGGCTCTCTCAGCTTATCTTGGATTCTTCCCTGTTTCCTTGTATGTGGGCATTTTCCTAATAAAATCTCTGCACATCCCTCTTTGCCTCTTCTTCTTAGAAGATCCAGACTAACAAAAGTTCAGGCTTAATATTATCCTGTGAACTATCACTTGCAATGAGTACAACATTAACACATCACTAATTTCCACAAAGGTCAGCTCTAATAAGTCTTCCCTTAAAATTTCTATGAAATAAGAAAGGGGACTTAGCAACCAAGAAGCTGAGAATTGGGATGTTGGAGAGATCAAGGGGCTTGGACCCCTTTTAAGTGTTATTTCCGTAGGGTAATCAGGGGAACCTGAATTCTATTCCTAGAGGCCTTTAAGAGAAGAATCTATACAGGAAATAGCAGCAAGTGAGTAATAATATACCACTTGATTATTTATTGTATTTATTATTGGGTGGCTCAAACCTAATGAAGAGTTTTCTAGTAAGCTTGGCTAGGCTGAGCTGGATTAGGCCAGGCTTGAGCACCCAACCTAGCCCAAAGGCCTAGTAGGCTCTTCAAAATCTTTAACTCAAACCTAAATTCCAGAATCTACCTACCCTCAGCCAGACACATGGGACAGAGGTCAAAGGCAAAATAATACCTAAGCCTGTGTGTTTGAAGACAAGAGAGATTAAGATGGTGGGTCTCTTCCCATGTGGGAATGGACTCTGGCTTCCCTGACCACCTAAGCCACAGGAGGAAGGAAAGAGGTCATCCATCAGGATGTTTACGCTGACACCACCCATTTTAGAGAGCATGACCTAATCAGATTCTTGGAAACCAATGCAATCAGATTATTATTCCCTCATCTTAGAGGAATCAAAAGGAAGAGAGTATTGAGGGAAGGAAGATAATATTTACCCTCCTCGGAGAGCATTCCTAGATCCTTACTAAAATGCACATTAATCACTTAGGAGCTTGGTGTGTGTGTGTGAAGGGGTCTTATAGGAGGCAATCTCTTCCCTTAAGGAGTGAAATTCAATTGGAAAATGAGAAAGACATATACAGAGAAATCAGATAACGTTTCAGTTCTTGGCTCTGTAGTTCTGAACAATAGGATAGATGGGATCAATATGAGCTGGGCTGACAAGCATGAGCTTTTAAGAAGAGTCCAAATCTTGTAAAGTTTTGTAGGCTCCTTGGTTTTCTTATGTAATAATCTTACAGGGTAAGTCCTCGTGAAGATTAAATGAGATAAAACATAGTGCCCAGCACTCATGAGAGATGGCAAGTTGGCAGTGAATGCTGGCCAATTTCCAGGATAGGTGAAGGGGTGGGGTGACTCCGGATGAGAAAAGCAGCAGCCGCAGAGATGTATGTAGGGACCACAGGGAGACCACTTGGCCAGAGAGAGGCGAGCACTTTGCAAGATTGTGGGGAGTCAGGCAGTATGCTTTCATAGGCCTAGGGAAAAAGAGCCATCCAAGGCAGCTGGCTGGCACTCCAACTTAACGCAGAAAGAAATTGACTGAGAAGTAGAAAGTGGCAATTGGAGGTGGGTGCTTACATACTTAAATACCCGAGAACAGTTGGGTAAAAGGGTTCAGCTGGACTTTTCTTGTCAGAAATGAGGCTGCATTCTTCCTCCTCTAGGGTCCTACAAATAGGATCAACAGCATAAAAGAGAAGATTGCCTTTTCTCACTTCAAGCAATCAAGGATGCTATTACAGAAACTTGCAGAAGGCCAAGCAGAGGGTTTGCCTGTTGCAATACCAATTGTTTGCAGAATTGTATTAATATTCCATAGCTATCGCTACATTTTCAAATAAGATAGGTAAAGAAATTAAATGCAAAGTGACAGTGTGGAGCCCTATTGAAAAAGTTATTTCTCAAACATTTACAATTTACATTTTTTTAATCAATCACGACAAACCCAGATAAAAACATTTGGCCTCTAATGTACATTCCATTCTAATTATAAAATGACCAATCTACTTTCTAAGCTGTTTGATCTGTACCTGTATTTACATCTTCCCCTTGCCTGTTGCTTCCAACAGACATCTAAGATTGTCTGGGTTTTGGACCTGCCTACACAGATGCAATTTTTGATGTCATTTTCACATAAAGTTAAATACCTCTGGATCCTTGTAGCCTTTTTCCTCCATTGGTTTCATTATCCCAGACTCAACACGCACGACTCTCTGTCTTTATTAAGATATTTTGGTTTCTCCTGGAAAATAAAAAGTGCATGTAATCTAGCCCATTGTGGTTTTAATCACAGCAAAAATGATAACAGGATTTGCTCACAGCTTCATTTAAACATCCTTGTGAATAAGCACCCCCTCCCCCGAGATTCATTCCAGCCAAGGAACACAGGCCATAAGCACTGGTCAGTTTCCCATCACCCTGGTTCTGGTCTGGTGGAGAGAGTGAAATATTCAGGTACTCATGACTTCTCTGCTTTCCAGTATATTCTGTCTCAATCTAATTCTAAGTAAGCTTAACAACTCCAGAAAACTCTGTTTTTGTGGCTAAAATTGAGTGTCAGTATTCTTTCCTACCTATCCTAGGCTAAAGCCCAAACACCACTCCCTTCTTGCAACCACAGATGCTCCTGAGCTGAGAGAATAACAGAGGAGCCCATGGACTCATTGTTCCTGCATGCTCATGCATGGCGTAATAGAGATATAAAGGTTGGCACAGAATGTTGTATGGAGGGTGTTTCTAGGGTCCATCCACAGCAGGCATCAGAATGGCTAGGAATAACCATGCACTGGTGTTGCTCAATAATTTGCTTTCCCAGTGCTAATGAGGAAGGAAGAAGCTGTGCGTGATGGGGCTTTGTGGTTGCTATGAGGAGTGTGTCGCTTGATCTGATTACTAATGATATCTCAGGCTTATCATAGCTTCTCTGAGCAACCAAACAGGCTTATGAAGGGCTTTCCACAACCTCAGAAGTTCCTAGCAGAGAAAATCCATGTCCAGGAGCAGCTGCATGGAGAGGAAAAGAGGAAAAGAAATGCAGAGAAAAAAGGAGGGCATGGAAAATAAGAGTAAGAACAGAGAAAAGGGAGGAAAAGGAGAGGAGAAAAAGATGTGTGTTTAGGGAAGGCTACAGTCTGTGGCTGTAGCCTTAGCTTGTCTGGACTCCTAAATTAAATGGACATAGGGATCTCTGCCCTCATTTTCCAGGAAAAGTTTGATTTCATATCATGTTCCTTATTGTCAGACTGTGGATCTTCAATTTAGATTCACAAAAGTAGCCATCCTGAGGAAAGTACATACAAATAAATGCCCTCCAAATTACATGAGCTTTACAGACATATTTAACAATCAACTTCTGATCCTGGTAAGCATATTGAATGTAGCCTATTATTGAGAGCAATGAGTTATGTACATTACAATAAACAGTATTAGCTTTAGTGATTGCTTCTCTGAATTAATCATGGCCAGCAGGGATTTCTTGGAACTAACTTTTGTTTTATTCACGTGTTTTTTTTTTTTTTTCAGGGTTGGGGGTGGCGGGGTACTGTGTGTGCTGTATTTAGCTGGCATTTGTAAAATGCTGGTACTATTGTCGAAGTCAGGTATCTAATTAGATTGGGCAATTACTGGCATTTAGCTATTGGGTGGTTTTGGTTTTAATTTTAATCCAGTAGATGCCATTTAAAGGGTAACATTAAAAAAAAACTTTTACAGAATGAATAAATGGTTATTGTAGAAAATTTTCAACATATAGGACAAAGGAGAAAATAAATATTACCAGTAATCTACTCAAGAATAATGACTAATAACATTTTGGATTTCTATTTGTAACCTAGTCTTTTCTTCCACAGTGCAGGTGAGTGAGTGTGTGTATAGATGTGTGTGTGTGTGTGTGTGTGTGTGTGTACTTCTTCCATGGCTATAAAAATTGAGATCACATTCCTACATACTATTATTTTGTGAGCTGGGGTTTTTCCACTTAACATTGTCATGAATTCGTTTTCATATCATTAACTTTGTCTTCTGTAGTATATTATCTAATAGGTGTATTTTATTTTATACTAAAGATACATTACAATTGATTGAACAGTTCTCTGTTATTTGATATTAGCCAATTCTCAGATTTTGTTTAAAAAATCCTGATATAAATATCCCAATCCATCAACTTGAGGTTACAACTGTAATGATTTCCTTAGAGAAAATGCCTGTAAACTGAACTTTCTGAGTCAAAGAGTAAGAGCATTTTAGCGGATTCTGATGTGTATTGTCTAATTACTCTCCAGACTCAAAAGCAGTGTGAGTAATGCCTGTCCACTGAGCCTTTGCCAACACTGAATATTGACTATTAGTACATTTCAAGTTCTTATTGAAGCTGTATTGATGACATCATACTCATGAGTTATAAAATAATAACAGCTATACACTGAGCCCTTCCTAAGGCCAGATCCTATGGTGTGCACTTTACACATAACCCTCTTTCTTAAAACTCCCAATAATTGTAGGAGGTGGTGTTATATTATCTTTTTTTTCAGATGAGAATATGAAGATAAGGATGATTAAGTAACTTACCCAAACTCTCACAACTAATAAGTAGAAAGTGAAACCAGGATTGTCTAATTTCAACACTTGAGTTTTTACTGACAAAATCATCTGCTTCAGTAGTGGCTACATCCTAAAACTTTAAGTTTGCAGATGCTATATAACTTCTACCTTAGGTTGGTTCCCCAGAAAGGGACTCTGAGATTTTGAGACTGACATGCAGGAGGATTACTGGGGAGTGCTCTTGAAAATAGCCCTATAGGTGGGGGCAGGGGCAGAAAAGCCAGATGGGCAGAGGGAGAAGTTGAATAGCAAAGCAGCTGTGGCAAAGCCTGAAGTCAATTCCACAGTGAATCTTGCAGCTGGGGTGGCAATTCGAGTGTCCTGTGCTGGGGCAAGAAGTCTGGACCTTTGCAACTGATTGAATGTGAGCTGTGCCAGATCATGGCTTAACTTCAGGTGAGTCAGCTCCATTAAGCCAAAGAGAATTCCCAGAGACTCAGCTGTGAGCTGTCATGCAGGGACTCCCCCAGAAGCCAGGGGAATGAGCGCCTGGGTACTGAAGGAGGGTCTGGGCAGCACAGCATAACCACCACTGAAAACTCCACAACAGCTTTTCCGGGAACTGACATCATGAATCCAGCACAGGTCCAAATTCTTGCCTGTCTTTAGTCCTGTTAGGATAATTCTACCTTTCTGATGAGTTTTGGCTCCCTTTCTAAGGACTAGCTGGGAAAAGTCATTGTCTGAGGCCTGAGGCATATTCAGCTTTAGAACATTGGTGATGGGACTGGGGGAAAAGTATAGAGGCTGTGGCCAAAGGAAACCAAGGAGGACACTGTTCATTAGCTGGTAATGACACAAAGGTTCCTGTAGGCGATGACTTCTGTAGTGCCGTGCCAATAATCCTCTTTCACATCAGGAATCTCCCCAAACCCACTTTCAGTCCACGTGGTTCTGATGGAGCTAACCCTCCCCTCAACCCTAGGAAAGGGCGCAGGACCAAATGCTCCTGACCATAGTGATTGGGTAAAGGACAAACAGATGACTTCTCCAACCAATGGGAGTTTTGGGAAAGAGAGTCTCTTTCTCCAGGAGCTACTGAATATAGGCCTTGAGAGGCTGGTGGCTATCCTCGCCTTCACTTGGAGAGAAGACACTTGGAGAAACTGGAGGGAAAGAGACACAGAGAGAGATAAAAACAAAGAGGCACAAACACAGAGACAAAGACAGAGAGACACCGAGTTTGGCAACATGGCTTCAGCGCTTGAATTCAGAAAAGCGTTAATCAGGCTTTTCAATTACCTGAGAAAATAACTTCCTTTTTCTCCCTCTTAAGACTGTTTGAGTTGGTTATGACCTTTGGTTTTGAAATAGTTCTGACGACAACAGAGATGGCTAAAGAGCTCAAACACCAGAGAACAGGGCTTCTTGGCCACCAGCAGCAGGTGGGAGGGTTTAACAACCATGAGCAGCACAGAAGGCTGTCCTGAGGACCAGAGAGGAGACAGGGCCTTCCCGGGATTGCACAGGTGTTGGAAAAATTCAGTCAGAAGGCATACCTCCTGGCAGACCTCCCAAATGCAGAGAAGCGGGTTAAATATACACTGACCTTCTCAAAAATATTTATTTAATAACCTAGGTATTGATGGATGGTTGGGTGACATGGACTCCAGTATGTGCCATGAAGGATACGAAGATGAAGCTGTCATGAACTCTGCTCTCGAGAAGCTACTGTCAAAGTTTGTTTTTTTTAAACTTGATATATTTGAGGTAGAATTGACAAGATTTTAGTATTGATGAAATAAGATAAAAGGGATGGTGAAATTAATGATGACTTTAGCCAAAATAATTAATTCAGGTGGGGAGGAGAGAAGGGGATTGACTGAATTCTAGTTGACTGAGGCTTACTCATAGTGGGAAGAGCTGTGAGCCATGTACTGTTTTATTTATTGTTTTGTTTTCGGGTTTTGTTTTTCAATACCAAAAGTGGATATTCATGGAGTCTGAGAAGCTAGGATTAGAAATGCAGTATGTGACAGCAGAATGGCAATGTCATAAACCGTCACTGTGCTAGGTTCTAGAAATAAAATATAGTTGATCCTTGAACAACACAGATTTGAAGTGCCTGGGTCCACTTACATGCAGATTTTCATCCACTTCTGCCATCCCTGATACAGCAAGAACAACACCTCCTCTTTCTTCTCCTCCTCAGCCTTCTCAATGTGAACACCACAAGGATGAAGACCTTTATAATGATCCATCTCCACTTAATTAAGAATAAATATTTTTTCTCTTACTCATGATTTTATTAATGGTATTTTCTTTTCTCTAGCTTACTTTATTATAAAAATACAGTATATAATACATATAGCACACAAAATATGTGTTGATCGACTATTTATGTTATTGATAAGGCTTCCGGTCAAAAGTAGGCTAATAGTAGCTACATTTTTTGGCAAATCAAAGGCTAATTACTTGGATCTGATCACTATACATTATGTATATCACAACATCACTATGTGCCCCATAAATATGTACAATTATTGTGTTTATTTAAAATTTGGAAAATAAAAAGTTACAAAACATTTTTTTAAAATTTAAAATTTAAAAGTTCTATGTGGATTTTTGAGTGCATGGGTAAGTTGTCACCCCTAACCCCCGTGGTTCCAGGATCAACTGTAGTGTGTATTCTTACTGACTCAAAATTCTTTATATTTATCTGCTTCTCCACCACTCGCCACTTCAAATGAACAATTAACTTGTCAAAGATTATTTTCCTCAATACACAACTTCCTATTTCTCACTCTCCCTCATCTCCTCTTTCTTTCTTCTTGCCTCTTATTAAAACCCAAAAGTTGATAAGAAAGTGGAATTAAAGATAGAATTTGTGTATAAACAGACTTAACTGTAGTGTTCATTCTTTTCCATTTCCTAAATTGTCCAATTTCACCAGACAATGACCTCAATCTAGCCTAGAATAATAAAAACAATTACCAGCTACTCTATTGCATGAATAAGCCCTAGTTTTACTTTGCAAGCATCCCATTAAGTGTTTGCTGGATTTTTCTATTTTCCTTCTCTATGTCAGAGTCAAGGCAAGCATCACAAGCCAAGTAGCCACCCTGCTAACTGGAAGGTAAAAGAAGAGCCAGGGGAGGGAAACAGACTCAGAGACTATCAATTTTCCCTGAACTAGAACAACCTATTCTTATCAGAGAAGATGAGCATCACTTAACATTTGACAAACCACTGTCCCCAGAGTGCATTACCATGGTAATCCAGGGCTGCAGAGAATAAAGCATCTGAATCAGTCCCATTTGATGGTCATTGGTCACATCATGTGCCATCTTACACTCACTGAATGCCTACTATGTGCAAAGTCTGTAGTGAACCTTATCATTACTGAATAGAATTTGGATAAAACTCTACCACCTCTTTCAATTCAAAATGTACCTTAGAGATAAGTTTGGGAAAAAGGTAATTCTATTCCCCTGCCCTGAAATTATTTATATTTGTATACATTTGTAAGGGGACCCAACATACATCAAACTCAGTCTGATGCTTCAGACAGGTTCATGTTGGCGCACTCCACAGGGATGTGTTCAAAATGCCAGCATGGACACATGAACAGCAACAGACACATATTCAATCGACTACACAACCAGAGAAAATGCTGGAGAAAAACCAAGCTAAAAGTATCCTTCCAAGTCAGGGACATAATACTCACAGATAGACCCATCAGCCAATCTGTCTTTTGACATGGAATTGGGAAGGAAACTGAAATTGGATACATGCCACAAACCTCAAAAAAACCTGGAAAAGAACAGGGTGACACTTGGCAAACAATAACCCTGCTTTCAGATAAATGCACAGAACTGTGCCTAGATTACCCTTCCTCATCTCCAGCTTTTGGGTTCTGACTCATCCTCCATCATCAGAAATTCTCAGCAGGAGCTCTAGACCTATGAGAGTCTTGCCAAATATTAATATTCAATGTTTTTTGAGGATTCCCTATCAACCTGACACTCTGCTGAAAACTTTATAAGAATGATCTAACTTAAACCATCCAACAACTTTGTGATATAGTTCGTAACTAATCCCATTTTAAAAAGGGAAAACTGAGGCTTAGAGAGGTTAATTAACTTGAGCAGGGTCACACTGCTGTGAGGCGGTAGATCCAAGCAGGCTGGCCCCAGAGCCTATCGTCTTATCAGCTCTGCTTAGCTGCCTTAATGTGGTCACACACCCTGGAAAAATACCCTGGCTGCTCTAGCTGGCAACAAGAACTAGGGAAAACTCTCTACATAGTCTCTAGGGCCCACACAGAAACAATTTTCCTGGGCTGTGCTTTAATATTGCTCCCTCTGCTTTGCCAGAATGTGAATGAGAGAATACCCTGGGTGAACCATGCACTTGTATCATTTGTGGAAATGTGGTGAAAGGTATGTGTTCCCTGCTATTCACTAATCTAATACAAGGATTGAGTCAATTCATTTCTAAATAGTTTCACAGATTAATTTGGAGGCAATGTGTCTTAGTGGTAAAGAACACGACCTTGGGTCAGCCTGCCTGGAACAGGTAGCAACCCCACCTCCTACCGCTAACCTGCCTGAACGTCAGGTCCTTCATTTGTAAAGTAAAGATAACTATAGTTCTCAATTAATATGACTGTTGTGAAAATGGAATTAAAGCACTTAGAGGTATGCTGGGCATACTTCTAAGTATAAGCCCCCAGCAATCATTAGCTGTTAAGATTATTTCTCAGCTTGCTGTTTTCAGAAGGTAAGTGCAGTCCCAAAATCCCTTATCTAAAATTCTTGTTGCCAGGTGTGCTTTGGAATGGGAAATTTGGGGGATTTTAGAAGGTAAAGGGAATCTGTACTATGGACACCCTATGATGAAACTTCCTCAGTACGGTCTAGGTCAGTACACAGGATTATTTCTGCACCAAAGAGTATGACTTTTTACTCTAAGTGAGATTAATAGAGAAACTAAGAAGCTTCATGTCAGTTTTTGTGGTCTGGTGAGTTTCCCTGACACTCCCAACAAGTAAGTGGATAAATAAATAAGTGCATAAATAAATAAATAGGCTCCTTTCCAGAACTTTTTACACTTCAGAATTGTGAACAAGAGACTGTGGATTCCAGCTACAGGACAAAAATTTCACTGAGTGTATTAGTCCATTTTCACACTGCTATAAAGATATTTCCTGAGACTGGGTAATTTATAAACAAAAGAGGTTTAATTGACTCACAGTTCCTCATGGCTAGGGAGGCCTCAGGAAACTTACAATCATGGCAGAAGGCAAAGGGGAAACAAACACCTTCTTCACAAGGCAGCAGGAGAGAGAGAGAGGGGAAAGAGAGAGACAGAGAGAGAGAGAGAGAGAGAGCATTCAAGGGAAACTGCCACTTTTAAAACCATCAGATCTTGTGAGAAAGCCCTCACTATCATGAGAACAGCATGGGGGAAATTGCCTCCATGATCCAATCACCTCCCACCAGGTTCCTCCCTCGACTTGTGGGGATTACAATTTGAGATGAGATTTGGTTGGGGACACAGAACCAAACTATATCACTGGGCATCCAAACCCACTCCCAGCTTCAGTTATCTCCTAGCTGGAATGAATCCCTTATCAGCACTTCTAAGATTCATGCATCCCTACATGACCAGCTGCAGGAAAGACAACTCTTTGACACTTCCTACTGGCACCCCTGACCTGACTCATCACGTCTTCCCCAGCAGACCTGCTGCACCTCTTGAGGAATGTCATCCCAGGTTGCAATCACCTTGAGATCCCACCTCTCCAGCCATCGAAAGCCCCACACACTCAAGACTGTATACCTGGGCCTTACTGTATCCAGTGTGGATTCCTGAGGGGTGCTCAGACCTATTGCTGACTCTTTCTGTTCTCTAAGTCCCTCCCACATTGTCTGTACTCATTGATGGGGACCCTTATTACTGTCCTAATTGGCAGTCCCAGCCTGCCCGGTTTACACAAGTTGCTAGGTTGATCTCCCCACTGTGCTGTTGAGATTATGGCCCTCTAAACTTCAATAATCCATGTTGCATTCAGGAGGCTCCTACCTTGCTAGCCAGCATTTGAACACCTCTATAACCTCCTCTCAGCTTCCCCTTCCAGCCTCGTCTGCCCCCGCTTCACCATACCTAAGGACTCACTGTCTGTCACAGGCCTCTGCAGCTATCTCTGTGGGCTTCTGTGTATCTTGCACTGTGCCTAGAGTACCCTTTTCCATCTCCACCTTTTGGATTCTTACTCTTCCTCCAAGGGTGGAGAGAAATTGCTTTCTTTCTTGAAGATTGCTTTGATTGTTCCCGCAAGAAGTGTTCCTCTCCTCTTCTGAGGTTATTTAGTTATTGTTTCCCTTATATTCCAGCTCTTCTCCTCCTCATGGCTATTTGTAGGGAGGCTGTGTAGCATCATGGTCAAGAGTGCAGGCACACTGCCTGGATCCCAATTCTGCTTCTCACATTTGTTAATGGGAAGCCTCTTTATAAGCCTCAGTTTCCTTATCTGTAAAGTGGGGAAACCAAAATTACCTCCCTCATCAGGTGGTCTTTAGAGCACTCACTGATTTGCTGCATTTAGCAGAATGTCTGGGCTACAGTGAGTGTTTGACAAATGTCTGAGATCATTTTCATCATTCTTATTATTCTGTACATTATACCATGAGCTCCCCAATGGAAGAAACAGCTTAAGTTCATTGTTCAAATCTTCCACACTGTTTTTCATAACCCCTCACACTCTATGGGTGTAATAAACATTTGTCCAATGGAATTCTTATACTGTTATACTCCACCTTAATATTTAAGTAGCCTCAAGTCTTTTATGGAGCAAATGTTTTGGAAACTCAAAATAATGAAAAAGTGTATCCAAAGGAATAAGATTAGGTTCACAGATATAACCTTAGTATTTTTATTCAAATACATAAAAGTTACAAGGCAATATATCCATTTATTTGAATAGCTCAACCTAAATAAAATTTGGAAAAGTATGTATCCATCAGTGCTATTGAGGAATAGTGGTATGAGTAATAAATGAGGAATAAATCAGTCTGGGGTATGAGAGAAGGACCATCTGGCAGAGGCAATGGGAAGCTTCATTAAAGCTGTTAAGCCCCAGATACTAGGTCAAAAACAGAGGGATTTGTTTTGAGCTCTCTAAAACTGCAAGTATGCATAATTGCACTGTGTAATCCAGCAAACCTTTGCCCCTTCCGAGGTGCTCTGCTGCTAATCCTGCCACTGTTGCAGATGTTTCCCTTCATCTCAAAGCTTCTCCTGTGAGTTAAAGTGAGCCACAGTGGCTGAGGGCATCCTGACAGCTGTGCTGGTGTGGTTAGGGCTTTCTTAGTGGAAGCAATGCTGGAACAGGATTTATTGTGAATAGGCCCCCTTTTGTAGGCCACCCCAGGGAAACTCACGTGCATGATGTGTGATTTTCTTACCTGCTGCTAAGACTGAGAATTCACAAGGGAGTATCAGCATCCCTGGCGGTTGTGAGCAACCTGACTTGAGGCACATCTGTTGGGGACCCCATCCTGTCCAAGTGTCTGGATTCCTGTCATAGCAAAGCAGAGGAGATAAAGGCCTCTCATTTCACTGGAATTGAATGCCTTTGCCACCAATCCCTCTACCACAGTCCTGCAGTATCTGATCAGACCACCTCCTATGGTGACGGTGGGAGATCCAGCTGGGGAGATGAGGGCTGAGGCATAACAGAGACAAAAACATAGAAAAACTGCGTCTAATCCAAGTTATCAGATTTAAGGGAAAAAATGCCTTTTACAATTACAGCGTTTTCAGGCATACAGTTGAGCTGCAATGTGAACTCAACAGCATGACAGATAGAGTAGAGAGAGTCAGGCTTCATTTATTTCCAGTCCTGGAAGTAGGTGGGCACTGCCAGCACCCCTCAGAATTCCACACTGGACACAGTGAGGCCCAGATATACAGTCTTGAGTGTGTGGGGCTTTTCATGGGTTCCCCCAATTCATAATCCGTTCGTAAGTGTACCTCGATTTCTTCTAGGGGAATTATCCTTCCCAAGATGTGCAGTCAAGAATGTGGTGGCAAATCCAGGGCATATGTTCTCCCATTTTACTGTTGAATATTCCAGACCAAGACTTTTCCCTTTACTTTGATCCTGCCAGCATTCCCATAGTCTTCCAGAAAATCCCCTTACTGCAGAAGTTTGCCAGAGTAGGTTGCTATGGTTTTCAACTGAAGAACCCAAACTCAGACTCTCTCCAACCTGATGGATATCCGAAAAGGAGTCATTTTTCTTTGGCATTTCTACATACATCATGTCCATTCTTTCTATTCCCCTTCCAAGAAAGCTTCCAGGCATAGGAGCATTGCCCAGATAAGTAGAAAGAAACAAAAGACTCCCATGAGTGAATCAGCCAGGGCACCGGCTGTGAGCATTTTGAGGAGCAGTCTGCACTCCCTGGAGGTCTCTGGAGCAGCTCGAGCTGGCTGGAACCTTGTAGGAATGTGTGGGCCGAGCTGACCGGATCTCTGAAGTCTCACCAACCTAAGCATCCAAACTGTATTTAGGCTTCTGGGTTGGAAGTTTTTCCAGAATTTATGGATATGTTTTAAATTTTTGCATCAAACTGTAATGTGATGGTCCCCTCAACACCTATGTCTTGGCACAAATAAAAATGTTTAATTCTATACTAATTCCTCTGCTACTTAATTGCCTCTGTGCATTTTAGAGATCCCCTTTTTCCTCCTTTTCAATAGTCATCTTTCATTTCTCATCACCAAATTCATGTCTGCATGTTATATCCCTCTCTTAATTTTCTATTGGCTTAGAAACCAGAATATTAAGTTGGTGAAAACTGATGTAAAACAAACACGAAGAGGGCTTTCCTGGAGGGTAAAATACATAAATCTCACTGCATCGACTTTGTGGCATCCTTTCCTTCTAAAAGAGTTTTCTGTTGTATTTCAAAATGATGAGGTTGTTAGAACTGGACTTGACACAGGAGATCCCACTATGGTAATAAATGAATTTTACTTCTCTCATATCTTGCTTAACTTTCTCAGCTGCTTTCCTCCCTTCCTGTGAACTGCTAACCATCTCAACACCATTCAAAAGAAATCACCGAGTTGTAAACAGGCTGTTTTTGCTTAGACGTGCACATTAGAGGCTATTCTTGTCAGAAAGGAGGCGTGAAATATGTATCGGTTAGCTTTTGTTATGTAACAAGCCATCCTAAAATCTAGAAGTTTAAAAGGATAATCTTTGTTTATTTGTTTAGAATTTTCTGGGTCAGAAATTAGGACCAGATTCAGCAAGGGTAGCTTATTTGTGCTCCATTTGGTGTCAGTTGGATATTTCACCTGGGACACCTGGGATAGCAGGGAAGTCTGGTCTTCTCTCACCTCATGGTCTCTCTTTCTACAGGAGGCCAGCTTAGCCTTCTTCCCATGGATACAAGGTTCCAAGAGAATGGAAGTTATAAGGCCACTTGACACCCACACTCAGAAGTCCCACATTGTCATCCCTGCCATATTCTTTTGGTTAAAGCAAGTCATAAGACCAGTCCAGACTCAACAAGTGGAGAAATAGATGCCACCTCTTGATGGGACAAGCTTCAAAGAATTTGGCTATTTTCAATCTACCACAGCAGGAAATCCTAAATTAATTATTTTATAAAAGACTAATTAAGCATAAAGTCCTCTGATCCTAAAATAATCACCTTCCTCTGGCCCTAACCAGCCTTTCATTATTTGATTAGTAGTTGTGAATTAACAAAATGTTTCACATTCATTATTTTATTTATCCATATAATAAGCTTTTGAAGTATGTCACCTCCTGTTTTCAGATAACGGTTTGGATGCCCAGAGAGATTAGTGACTTACCCAGGATCCCAGCTACAAAACGACCTTAAGTCCTATCCATGTCCTCTACACTCTTCTTATAAATAACTTTGTTTATTTCAAGAGAGGCTGATCTGCTTAATTATCATCAAGGTTGGGATCAGAATTGAAGCAATTTTTCCCCAAGGCTTAAGCTTGCTAGCTCAGAGATACTATTGAAAAGGAGCACGCTGCTTGTCTGAGATGCTCTTGCCCCTAACCCATAGCCACGCTTACAAATTCCAGACATGCTTCCCAAAAGGCTGGTTTATACCAGTAACTAGACTGGCTTTACTGGGAGTAAAAGTATATACATCTGTTATTTCTCACAAAAGAAAAGCAAACAGAGTAATCTCACAAATAAAAGTAGCAGCAGATAGGGAAATTTTATGGCTTCAAAGCATACAGGGTGAAATTCTCCAAACCCCTTCCCTTCAGAAATCTACAGTGTCTAGCTTTTCCATTAAATGAGGTATGCATGCCATGTTTTATCTAGCACAACTTAAGGTTTTGTATTCAGCTGGAAATATATTTAAGCTGTCAAATACTCATCTAAAAAGAAAGAGAGAACAACTTTCCCCAAACTCTTTGAGAATTTTGAGAATTTACTAAGAAAATGCTTTAAAATGAAATCTACATAAATTGAATCACGGAGCTGAGCATCTACACTGGAATAAAAGTTCAAGAATATGTGGAGAAATTAGAGATCATTATCACCAACTAAAAAGGAATGTGAGTCAGTCTTAAAATGACTATGCTGGTACATTATTTATTTACTTACTGTTATTTCTGTGCTTCCTCCATTCTTTTTCATCTTAGATGTCAAAGAATCAGAGGGCAGCATTTGGTGCTTAGTGTAATACTGTCATTGATGTGGCTTTTGAGGCTTTGCATTTTTATCAAGTGAACTTGATTTCTTGCTTATAATTCCTCTTTTTATTCTCAACTCTTAGAGAGAGCCAGGGCAATTTCTCCAATGTGCAAGTGAGGAAACAGAGACTCTGAGAAGCTAATAGGCTACTCTAAAATAACAAAATTAGTCAAGCCAAAAGTGAGGCTTAAACCCATATTATGACTTATTCCACTGATCATATTGCTGGCATATGTTAATACATATATAATACATATATATGTGTTAGTCCATTTTGCATTGCTATAAAGGAATACCTGAGTAATTTATAAAGGAAAGGGGTTTATTTTGGCCCACGGTTCTGCAGGCTATACAAAAAGCATAGGGTTGGCATCTGTTTCTGGTGAAGGCCTTAGGAAGCTTACAATCATAGCATAAAGCAAAGGGGAAATAAAATAAATAATGTATATATAAAGAAAAGTCTAAATAAGAAAGTAAAAAGTTTCTAAAATTCCACCACCCAGAAATGATGACAGTTAACAATTGGCTCCATTTCCTTTGTCTTCAATATTAGTGGAATTATATGTGTACATTTTTATCCAATGTTTTGTTTGTTGGTTGGTTGCTTTGATTAACCTTAGATCAAGAGTATTTTTTCATGTTATTACAGAATCTTTGAACATACAACTGTAAAATGTTGCAATGACATTATGTCATATGATTATTCCATAATTTATTTAATCAATGACCTATTGTGTGGCACTTAGGTAATGTCTTACTTTTTGCTCCAGTAAATAACAATGAGATGGAAATATTCACATGTAAATCTTTTATATTTTTGGGTTTTTCCTTAGGTCACAGACTTATGGGATTACAGGGTCAAAAGCCATTATGATTGTTAAGGCACTTAACATTGCTGACATATTAAATCTGCCTAATAAGTTCAAGTGAAATGCAGGCTGTGCAAGACAATATCTCAACCAACAACAGAGTTCTTTCCTCTGGAAATTCTCTTGTAGGAGAATTAGACACATATTCAATGAATGTGGCAATCTAGGCTCTCACATATAGACTCTCCATAAAGATTGGTAATAACTTCTTTAATGGGCTTTGCTCTCTGTGTTAGCTCATTTTTCATTGCTATAAAGGAATATCTGAGAGTGGGTAATTTATAAAGGAAAGAGGTTTATTTTGGCTCATGCTTCTGCAGGCTATACAAGAAGCATAGGGCTGGCATCTGCTTCTGTTGAGGTCTCAGGAAGCTTACAATCATGGCATAAGGCAAAGGGGAAGCAAGTTTGTCACATGGAGAGAGAAAGAGCAAGACAGATGCCAGGCTCTTTTAAACAACCAGCTCTCATGTGAATTAATAGAGTGATGACTCACTCATTACCATGGGGAGGGCACCAAGCTATTCATGAGGGATCTGTCCCCATGACCAAAACACCTCCCACCAGGCCCTACCTCCAACACTGGAGATCACATTTTAACATGAGATTTGGAGGGGACAAATATCCAGACCAAATATCCTCCTCTCATTGTCCTTGTTCTAGGATCTTGCTGTTACCTGGTTGACTTGATGAGAATCTGTTAAGGCAGATCATTGTTATACCAAACACACTCTCTCTGCTATTCCATAATTTATTTCTTTGCTCACTACTCTGTTAGACTGGTTTTTGAGAAATAACATTGTCTGTATATTTTCTACTGTAAAACTACATAACTATTAATAATAGTTCACTCTGGGATTTCAGCCATCTGCTCTTAGTTTTCAAAAGAGGAAAAATTCTTCACTTTATCTAGATTGGAGAAAGGCAAGAGATCAGTGAGGGTAGGAAGAGACAGAGACTGCTTTATAATAAAGTCTTCTCTATAGTTTGTATCCTTAGATGACTCCTCTTTCCCTTCTTCTCTTTTATCATTTCTCTTTTCAAAGTAGGTCGTTATTTATTTGTTAGGTCAATACTGTGTGTCAAGTTGTGTTCTGGACTCTGAGGACAGAGAGGTGAATAACAGACATAGAGCTTATGCTCTGGGAGCTTACAAATTAGTGAAGGTGATAGATAATTAATTAAAACAAAGTTTGGTGAATAATTGGATATAGTGGAGGATCAGAACCTAGTCAAGTGGCCTGCAAAGGCCTCCACATAGAAGTGGGATTTATGTTGAAACTTGAAAGGTAACAATAAACTAGTCAGACCAAAGTGGATAAAGGGAAGTGAAATGGTCATGTAGGAAGAAGAATTTCAAGCCAGGAGGAATTTAAATTTTCATTTATGATTTAAAAAAATTCTCAGGAAATTTGAAATATAAGGACACTTTCTTAAACTGGGAAAGGATAACTATAAAAAAAACCTACTGCAAGCATACTTCATAGTAGAATGTTAATGCTTTCCTACGTTGAGAATCATGTCATCAAGAGAAATTTTAAAATAACTAAATAAATAGGTGGATATACTATTTTCATGGACTGAAAAACTCAATATTATAAAGAAGTAATCTCCCTTACTTGATCTTATATTTCAATAGAATACTAGTCAATATTTCAGAATACTATTTGCGGAAGATCAAAAGCTGATTCCACAAATAAAAACCATAATGAGCTAACACTACCTGTCCACTAGAATGATAAAATGACAAAGACTGGCAATGCCAAATGTGATGGTGAATTTTAGATGTCAACTTTACTGAATTAAGGATTATCTATAGATCTGGTAAAGGATTATTTCTAGGCGTGTCTATGAGGATGTTTCTAGAGGAGATTGGCATATAAGTCAGGGGGCCTAGTGGGGAAGATCTGCCCTGAATGTGTGTGGGCACCATCCAATCAGCTAGGAGCCTGGATAGAACAAAAAGACAATTTTCTCCCTCTTCTGGAACTGGGATACACTTTTCTCATCTTCATGGATATCAGAACTCCAGGTTCGCTGGTTTTTAGACTCCAGGACTTATACTAGTGACCCTGCCTCATCCCCTCGAGTTCTGAGAGACTTCTGCCTTGGACATAGAATTTTATCATTGGCTTCCCTGAGTTTGAGGCCTTTGGACTTGGACTGAGCCACACTGCTGGTATCACAGGGTCTCCAGCTTATAGATGGGCCTGGCCTGTTGTCTCCATAATCATGTAAGCCAATTCTCCTAATAAATCTCCTCTCATACATCTCTATATACATCACATTGTTTCTGTCTTTCTAGAGAATACTGACCAATACACCAAATATTTAGCAAGGATGTGAAGGAGCTGGAATTCTTTCAACTGCTATTGGTGAAAGCACTTTCAATACTATTTCTCCATTAAAGTTGAGTATATACATTTTGTATGATCAATAATTTCATTCCTAGGTATATATTCCCTCACCTCCAATGCCTATAAAAGCTTCAAACTAGAAATAACCCAAACGTTCGTGATCTCTAGAGTGCATCAATAAATTCACAGTCATGCAACAAAATATCATTCAGCAATAAAAATCAGTGAACTAAACCTACTTGCAGCAATAGGAATGAATCAGACAAATATAATACTGAGTGAAAGAATACAGGCACAAAACAATGCATACTGTATAAGTCCAATTCAAACATAGGAAAAAATAGTCTATTAAGTTAAATGTCTGAATAGTAGTTGCCTTTTAGAAGGCATGCAGTGATGATTGGAAGGAGATATGTAAGTGACTTCTGGGGTACTGGTAATATATTATACTACCCAATTCTGTGGGTATGTTGACTTTGTGATAATTATTTAAACTATATAAGTTGAACATATTTATATGTTATACTTCACATAAAGTTATAAAAACCTATAAGAGGAAACTAAAGTGAACCTAAGACCAATTTATAGCTTTAAATGCACATGTGTGAAGAAGATGGAATAACAATGGGCTAATATCCTCTTGAATAGAAGATAAATATAAAACAAATTAAATCCAAAGGAAGTGAAAGAGGGGAATCACATAAGAAGGATCAGAAATTAGTGAACAAGAAAAGAAATATGCAATAGCTAGGATACACAAAGTTAAAAGTTTCTTTAAAGATGAATAAAACTGACAAACCTCTGGCAAAATGAACCAAGATGTCAGCAATAAAAAGGAGATATGACTTCATATTATGCAGATATTTAAAAATAAAGGAAATTATGAAAGAGTTATGCCAATAAAATTAAAACTTCAGATGAATTGGCCAATTTCTTAAAAAACTTTATACAAAGAACAAAAAATAGAAAATTGAAGACATTAAATCCATAACTTAAAACCTTCCAAGAAAGAAAACTCCAGAGACTACTTCATTTGTGATTTTTATAAAATAGTTAAAAAATAATGCTATACTTTTACAAAATCAGAGATCAAAAAAGAGGGTGTAGCTTTTTAAAAAATTTTAAAAATTTTGTATTGAGACAGGGTGTCACTATGTTGCTTAGGTTGGTCTTGAACTCCTGGGCTGTAGAAATCTGTTCGCCTCAGCCTCCCAAAGTGCTGAGATTACAGGCATGAACCACTGTACCCGGTCAAGAGGGAGTAGCTTTAATTTATTAATGCAGAATAACCTTGATAACCAAACCCGACAAAGACATTAGGGAAAAGGAGATTTTATAAGCCAGTCTCACTAACATACATTGAAGGAAAAGTCCTGAAGAAAACAGTAGTGAACCTAGATTAAATCCTCTAAATGAAAACATGGGAAAATATCTCCATGACCTAGTAGGAACAAAAAATCTTAAATGAAATGCAAGAGATAGATAAGTTGAGCTTTATTGAAATTAAAACTTCAATTCCACAAAATACATTATTATGAGAGTGAAAAAGAGGGTGAGCCAGGTGTGGTGGCTCACACCTGTAATACTAGTATTTTGGGAGGCTGAGGCAGGAAGGTCGCTTGAGGCCAGGAGTTTGAGACCAATCTGAAAAACACAGTGAGACCCTATCACTACAAAAAATTAGCTGGGCATGGTGGTCTGTGCCCGTAGTCTCAGCTATCTGGAAGACTGAGGTGGGAGGATCTCTTGAGCCCAGGAGATCAAAGTTGTAGTGAGCCATGATTGTACCACTGCACTCCAGCCTGAATGACAGAGTAAGACCCTCTCTCTCTCTCTCTCAAAAAATAAATAAATAAATAATAGTAATAATTAAAAAATAAAAGGAAGATAGGAAACTGTCAGAGGCTGTTACAGTTATCCAGGGCCCTCCTTCCTTCCTGCAGGATGCTGCCTCTATTCTCTCTGCCTGGATGCTCAGTACATACACTCTTTCTGCCTAGCTACTCTAACTTGCCCTTCAAATATCAGCTCAGTCTTTCCTTCCTCTAGGAAGCTTACATTTTCCTTCTCTCCATTAAACTTCATTGTGGGTTTCATAATATTTATGGCTCGATTATGAGAATTATCATATTTGAAGCTTTACATTTATTTGAATGCTTAGTTGGTTAGTATCTGCTTCATCTACTAAATTGTGAAGATCAATCATGTTTGATTTTTGCACAATTACTGTATCTTCAGTGCTTGTATATAGGGGCTTAGTAGATATTTTTTGTTTGTTTGTTTGTTTGTTTTTTTGAGGCAGTCTTGCTCTGTTTCCCAGGCTGGAGTGCAGTGGCTTGATCTCGGCTCACTGCAACCTCTGCCTCCTGAGTTCAAGTGATTCACCTGCCTCAGCCTCTTGAGTAGCCAGGATTACAGGCATGTGCCACCATGCCCGGCTAATTTTGGTATTTTTAGTAGAGACGGGGTTTCATCATGTTGCCCAGGCTGATCTCAAACTCCTGACCTCAGGTGATCTGCCCGCCTTGGCCTCCCAAAGTGCTGGGATTACAGGTGTGAGCCACCACATCCAGCCAATATTTGTTAGATGAATACGTGAACAAAGGGATAGATGAATAAATACAATTCTGCATGAGCATCAGAATAGAAGTCAGGAAAAAGTAGGGGGAAGAGTACGAATATGGCTATAAAAGGGCCATATGAGGGATCCTTATAGTGATAAAAGGGTTCCCTTATCTTGACTATATCAATGTCCATATCTGGGTGTAGCAAAATATTACTACTGGGGGAAAATGAATAAAGGGTACATGGGATCTCTCTGAATCTACAATTAACTCAAAATAAAGTTTAAAAAATAGAAGTAATGCCCAACCAATAGAAGTTGGCCTAAAACACTTTTCTCTCCATTGAGTTAAAAGGTGAAGAAAGCCCCCAAACAATTTAGTGTGGCTGCTGATAGATTTCTCCATTAAATGACAACTGTCACAACAGTGGAGTCGATATGCACATCTACATTCTCCTCCTGTAAATGCTTGGCTAGAGGAAAACACTCAGATGCAATTTTTGGGAGGTATAGATGGTATCAAATTTGAGTTAAATGTTCCATACATTTTGCTACAGTTTGGGAGGAGCAAAGGGTGGCCCTTTTGAGGATGCTATATCCTCTGAAGTCATAGTCTGGCATTACTGGTATTGTAAGAGATGAGCACAGGATTCAGATCTATCTTTAAGTATCCTGGAGAAATATATCTTCTCTTCACGCTGTGCTCAGCAGAAATACTAAACTTATGATGGAAGTGACTATAACTAGGCCCTGGTCAGAAAGTTGTCTGTGACCTGCAGAAGCCAGAGTATTTGCCATTGGTTTAGAAAGCTGAGAGAAGAGAACTTTTAATGTATCAGCGGTAGCTGGGCTCTATCCCAATTGGGAGAAAAAAATATTGCAAAAATGTCTTAGTGAGACGTTATTTGGGGACACATAAAACAGGAGAGAGACTCTATAAATGAGGTTATATTCAGAGATCTATATAGATGATCTCTATTACTTTCTCTCTATATATATGCACACCCATAAACATGTGTATTTCTTATATAATCTGAATATGACTATATATACACATATTTATAATCTTATATTAGGATTTTCTTTCTCTTTAGGCATGTTGTGGTAGTTGTGGGAGATTCCTTCTAGATTTGGTCAGTGTCTGGTTAGTATAAATGTGCATTTTTTTTCCTAAAGCATAAGGAAAATTTTATTTTAAATTCTTATAAACTAACTTTTCAAAAAATTCATTTGTGTATTTTTTATATAGTTCGAGTACTTCTTTTGATTTTTCCCATAAGTTACACCCTGCCTCCTCCTTTCTACTATTTTCTTTGATTACTATTCTCTCATAGAATTTGCAGGACAAAATAACCCTGCAATTGTATATTGTAACTGCTCAATAATAGCAAGCTTAGTGCTTGAGAGCTTCACACAATGGGTTGGTACAAAGATAGGACCCCTTCAGGTCATCTCTGCTGAAGATATTTATCATCATACAGATGTGAATAGACCCATCTGAGAAAATGGTTTATGAAAAAAATAATAATTCAAAGGATGTTGGATGAGAGTGGCCAAAATTCCATGGTCCACAAACCCACTATCAAATGAGAATAACAAAATAACAGAACACATAGAAACAGCATTTGATTGTTGCTGAAATGAAAGAAGGTTTGTGGGAAGGAAGCTGAAGATCACTGGGTAGAATCAAGCCTTGTTTGGAAATCCGATTACTAAGAAATGAGAGGGAGTAAGCAGCCTATTAGATTAAAGGGCTCATGAAAACTTATCAGCCACTCTGAGCACAGTTGCAGAGGCAGTAATGAAACCACTAAGATGTGCAAAGATAGACATAGATTTTCTGGGGGAAGAAATATCAAGAAAAATGGGGGTGAGAGTTGGCAAATACTTTCTTGCCAACCTTCAAAAGCTCTATTCTTTGCAACTAATGGATACTATGTTAGTCTTTATAAAGCTGAGCTCTAGGTAATTATTTTTCTTATATAACAAAGTGCCTTAGAAAATAGACCCAAAACAAAACATTGCTAGGAAAAGAACTTAAAAAACTTAGGTTGAAGATTTCAGAGGTAAGTTATTTATGGCTTTCTTAAAAATCTCTAAAACTAAGCAGAAATTATGATCAAGGTCACAATATCACATATTCAGAATAACTATGGGCTAATTGAGTTTTATGTTCTTAGGTAAAGAAAGAAAAAGCAACAAAGAAAAGTGAACAGGCCTCAGAGACATGTGGTAGAGTCAACAAAAGAAAACAGGGAACCATGAACTGTCTATTGGAGACATACTTTTGATTCAAAGACACAAACAAGTTGAAAGTAAAAAAAATGGAAAAAGATATATCATGAAAACAGTAATCAAAACAGAGCTGGATGGCTACACTAAAATCAGAAAAAAAAAAGCTTTAATACAAAAATTTATACTAGAGACAAATACATTTGTAAATCCATATTCATCTAACAACAGAGCTGCATGAAGCAAAAATTGACTTTGAATTAAAGGGAGAAATAGACAATTCAATAATAACAGTTGGATACTTCAATGACCCATTTTCAATAGTGGATAGAACAACTAGACAGAGACAAACAAGGAAACAGAAGACTTAAATAAGTATATTAAGCAACTAAACCTAACAGGTATCTATAGAATGCTCTACCCAACAACAGCAGAAACACATTCTTCTCATGTTACATTGTCTAGATTGGCCATATATTAGGCTATAAAACAAATCTCACTAAATTTGAAACAAATGAAATCATACAGCTTTGGTGCTACAAACACAAATAAATTAAATTAGAAGTCAGTAACATGATGAGATTTGGAGAAGTTGTAAATATGTAAAATTAAACAACACACTCCTAAATAACCAATGGGTCAAAAATATAAAATTAGAAAATACTTTGAGATTAATAAAAATCAAAACATGACATACCAAAATGTATGGAATACAGCTAATGCTGTGCTTAGAGAGAAATGTACTGCTATCAGTGCTTATATTTTTTTAAAAAAGGAGAAAGATTGCTGTTGATAGTTTCTTTTGCTGTGCAGAAGCTTTTTGTTTAATTAGATCCCATTGTCAATTTTTGTTTTTGTTGCATTTGGTTTTCTATGTCTCTTTCATGAAATCTTTGCCTGGTCCTATGTCCAGAGTGGTATTTCCTAGGTTATCGTCCAGGATTTTTACACTTTAAGGTTTTGCATTTAAGTTTTTAATCCATCTCGAGTTGATTTTTTGTATATGGTTTAAGAATTGAGTCCAGTTTCAATCATTTGCATATGGCTAGCCAGTTATTCCAGCACCGTTTATTGAATAGGCTGTCATTTTCCCATTGCCTGTTTTTGTCAACTTTGTCAAAGATCAGATGGTTGTAAGTGTGTGTCATCATTTCTGGGCTCCTATTCTGTTCTATTCTATGTGTCTGTTTTACCAGTACTGTGCTGTTTGGTTACTGTAGTCTTGTAACATAGTTTGAAGTCAAGTAATGTGATGCCTCTGGCTCTGTTATTTTTAATTAGGATTGCCTTGGCTATTCAGGCTCTTTCTTGGTTCCGAAGGAATTTTAAAATAGTTTTTTTTCTAATTCTATGAAGAACGTCTTTGGTAGGTTGGTAGGAATAGCAGTAAATCTATAAATTGCTTTGGGCAGTTGGTCATTTTAACAACATTTATCTTCCTATTCATGAGCATGGAATGTTTTTCCACTTGCTTGTGTAAACAGATAACCTACAGAATGAGAGAAAATATTTGCAAACTATGCATCTGACAAAGGTCTACTATTCAGCATCTATAAGGAACCTAAACAAATTCATAAGCAAGACAACAAGCAACCCCATTAAAAAGTGGGCAAAGAACATGAACAGACACTTTTCAAAAGAAGGCATACACACGGCTAACAAGCATATACTAAATGGCCAAAATTACTAATCATTTGAAAAATGCAAATCAAAGCTGAAATGAGATACCATCTCACACCAGTCAGAATAGCTACCATTAAAAAGTCAAAAAAAAAAAAAAAAAAAAAAAAACCCTAAAACAGATGCTGGCAAGGTTGTGGAGAAAAGGGAATGTTTATATACTCCTGATGGAAATGTAGTTCAGCCATTGTGGAAAGCATTTGACAATTTCTGAAAGAATTTAAAACATGATTGCCATGTGACCCAGCATTCCCATTATTAGGTATATACCCAAAGGAATATAAAACATTCTACCATAAAGACACATGCAAGTATATGTTCATCACAGCACTATTCACTATAGCAAAAATATGGCATCAACCTAAATGCCTGTCAACAGTAGACTAGATAAAGGAAAATATGGTACATATACATCATGGAATACTATACAGACATAAAAGAGAACAAAATCATGTTTTTGCAGCAAAATGGAAGGAGCTAGAAGCCATTACTCTAAGTGATTAGCAGCAATAGAAAACCAAATGCTACATGTTTTCACATATAAACGTTGAACACACATGGACACAAAGAAGAGAAAAACAGACATTAGAACCTACTTGAAGGGGGAAGGGTGAAAAGAGGATGAGGATTGAAAAACTACCTATTGGGGTACTATGCTTATTACCTGGGTGATGAAATAATCTGTACATCAAACCTCCGCAACATGCAATTTACCTGTATAACAAACCTGCACATGTACCCTGAACCTAAAATAAAAGTTAAAAAAAGAGATCTCAAATAAAGAACCTAGTCTTTCATCTTAAGAAACTAGAAAATAAAAAGCAAATTAAACCTCAAATAAGAAATAAGGAAATAAAGGATAAGGCAGAAATAAAATAGAGAATAGAAAAATGATAGAGAAAATCATTCAATAAATATAGTTCAACATTTTTATGTGTCAGGCATTGTGCTAGGTGTACTTGTCACTATGTCTGTCTTATCCACTTGACTATGGGCTTCTAGTAAAGAAGAAGTTTGACTGAATTGTTTTTGTGTCTCCAGTAGTGCTTTCTACCTAATATTTAATGACATTTGCATTTGTATAATGTGGTCCATCCGATTGAATAATTAGTACTCACGGAATGGTATACTTTTATCAACAACACTCAGATGTACCTACAATCGGTTATAACTCTTTTGGTAATAATATCAATAGCTAGAAATAAGTGAATACTTTCTAAGTTGCAGACTGTACCTTAGCTCTGATGTCCACAGAAATTTGGAAAAAGGTATGAGTAATCACGGCTTGTTTTCAATATATAAAAGTCAAATGTATTTTTGTTTCTTCTACTTTTAATTCACACACAATGCTTGTATATATTTATCGGGTACCATTTGATGTTTTGATGCATGTGCACATTGTGAAAGATCAAATTAAGGTAATTTGCAAATATATCACCTCAAACATGTATCTTTTTTTGTAGTGAAAACCCTAACAATTCTCTCTTCTAGCTATTTTGAAACATACAATATATTGTTTTTAATTATAGTCACCCTACTATGTGATAGAACACCAGAACTTATTCCTCTTGTCTAATTGTAACTTAAGAAATGTCTATTTAGGTCATTTGCCCATCTTTGAAATTTGATTATTTGTTTTGTTTTTGTGTTTTGCTATTGAATTGTTTGCATTCCTTATATATTCTGATTACTGATCCCTTGTCAGATGGATAGTTTAAATATATTATTCCATTCTGTGAGATATCTCTTCACTCTGTCGATTGTTTTCTTTGCTGTTCAAAAGCTTTTCGGATTGATTTAGTCCCAATTGCCTATTTTTGCTTTAGTTTCCTGTGCTTTTGAGGTTCCATACAAAATATCTTTGCTAAGATCAATATCCTAAAGTATTTCCCCAAGTGTTTTCTTCTAGCAGCTTTCTTCTTTCTAGTAATTTTAGGTCTTACATTTCATGCACATCCGTGTGAAGAGACCACCAAACAGGCTTTGTTTGAGCAACATGGCTGTTTATTTCACCTGGGTGCAGGCGGGCTGAGTCCAAAAAGAGAGTCAGCGAAGGGAGATAGGGGTGGGGCCATTTTATAGGATTTGGGTTGGTAAAGGAAAATTACAGTAAAAGGGGGTTGTTCTCTGGTGGGCAGGGGTGGGGGTCACAAGGTGCTCAGTTGGGGAGCTTCTGAGCCAGGAGAACAATTCACAGGGTTAATCACTCAGTTAAGGTGGGGCAGGAACAAATCACAATGGTGGAATATCATCAGTTAAGGTGGGGCAGGACCTTTTCACTTCTTTTGTGATTCTTCAGTTACTTCAGGCCATCTGGGCGTATACGTGCAAGTCACAGGGAATGCGATGGCTTGGCTTGGGCTCAGAGGCCTGACATTCCTGCCTTCTTATATTAATAAGAAAAATAAAACAAAATAGTGTTGAAGTGTTGGGGTGGTGAAAATTTTTGAGGGGTGGTAGGGAGAGAGAATGGGCGATGTTTCTCAGGGCTGCTTCAAGTGGGATTAGGGGCAGCGTGGGAATCTAGAGTGGGAGAGATTAAGCTGAAGGGAGGTCTTGTGGTAAAGGGTGATATTGTGGGGATGTAAGAAGAAACATTTGTCATATAGAATGATTGGTGATGGCCTGGATACGGTTTTGTATGAATTGAGAAACTAAATGGAATAACAGAAGGAGAAAAACAGGTATAAAAGGTCTAAGAATTGGGAGGACCTAGGATATCTGATTAGAGAGTGCCTAAGGAGATTCAGCAGAGTCCTGCCAGCAAAGATTATTTATTTACTTCAAGAGTTTAGAGTGGCAGTTTGGGGATAGCACCAGGAGATATCAGCTGTGATGTCTTGGAGAAACAGTGTAAACCGGCAGTGTAAAGAAGAGCAGGGCATGTATGAGTAGTTGAGAACGGTGAACAGGAGTATGACTAACAGATGAGGATGAAATTTGGGCTTCACTGAAGTAATGGGGGCTGTCTGTGAAGCCTTGTGGCAGTGCAGCCCAGGTAATTTGTTGAGCCTAATGGGTGTCAGGGTCAGTCTAAGTGAAGGCAAAGAGAGGCTGGGATGAAGGGTGCAAAGCAATAGTAAAGAAAGCATGTCTGAGATCCAGAACAGAATAATGGGTAGTAGAGGGAGGTATTGAGGATAGGAGAGTATATGGGTTTGGCACCACGGGGTGGATAGGCAAAACAATTTGGTTGATAAGGTGCAGATCCTGAACTAACTTGTAAGGCTTGTCTCGTTTTAGGACAGGAAAAATGGGGGAATTGTAAGGAGAGTTTATAGGGTTTAAAAGGCCATGCTGTAACAGGCGAATGATAACAGGCTTTAATCTTTTTAAAGCGTGCTGCGGAATGGGATACTGGCATTGAGTGCGGTAAGGGTGATTAGGTTTTAATGAGATGGTAAGGGGTGCATGATCGGTCGTCAAGGAGGGAGTAGAGATATCTTATACTTGTGGGTTAAGGTGGGGGTATACAAGAGGAGGACACAAAGGAGGCTTTGGATTGGGAAGAAGGGTGGCAATGAGATACAGCTGTAGTCCAGGAATAGTCAGGGAAGCAGATAATTTAGTTAAAGTGTCTCAGCCTAATAAGGGAACTGGGCAGATGGGGATAACTAAAAAGGAGTGCTTAAAAGAGTATTGTCTAAGTTGGCACCAGAGTTGGGGAGTTTTAAGAGGTTTAGAAGCCTGGCCGTCAATACCCACAACAGTTATGGAGGCAAGGGAAACAGGCCCTTGAAAAGAAGGTAATGTGGCGTGGGTAGCCTCCGTATTGATTAAGAAGGGGACGGGCTTACCTTCCACTGTGAGAGTTACCCATAGCTCGGCATCCGTGATGGTCAAGGGTGCTTCTGAGGTGATCGGGCAGTGTCAGTCTTCAGCTGCTAAGCCAAGAAGATCTGGGAAGGAGTCAGTCAGAGAGCCTTTGGCCAGTGTTCCAGGGGCTCTGGGAGTGGCTTCCAGGTGAGTTGAACAGTCCGATTTTCAGTGGGGTCCCACAGAGATGGGACGTGGATTAGGAGGAATCCCGGGCTGCGGGCATTCCTTGGCCCAGTGGCCAGATTTCTGGCACACGAAGCAAGCTCCTATGGGAGGAGGTTCTGGAGGAACGCGTGGCCACTGCAGTTCAGGCGTTTGGAAGTTCTTGTGTGCTGGAGATGTGGCTGGGGTTTGTCTCACAGTGGAGGCAAGGAATTGCAACTTTTTTCTATTATTGTACACCTTGAAGGCGAGGTTAATTAAATCCTGTTGTGGGGTTTGAGGGCCAGAATTTAATTTTTGGAGTTTTATTTAATGTCAGGAGCAGATTGGGTAATAAAATGTATTTTGAGAATAAGACGGCCTTTTGACCTTTTAGGGTCTAAGACTGTAAAGTGTCTCAGGGTTGCTGCCAAATGAGCCATGAACTGGGCTGGATTTTTATATTTGATGAAACAGAGCCTAAACACTTCTGATTTGGGATAAAGAAAAAGGAGCATTAACCTTGACTATGCCTTTAGCTCCAGCCACCTTTTTAAGAGTAAATTGCTGGGCAGGTGGAGGAGGGCTAGTCATGGAATGAAACTGTGAGCCAGACCAGGTGTGAGGAGGGGAGAGGTGGTAAAAAGATTATAGGGTGGAGGAGCAGAGGCTGAGGAAGAATTGGGACCTAGCTCGGCCTGGCGAGGAGCAGCCTGGGGAAGAAGGGAGAGGTCAGATGGGTCTGTAGAAAAGGAAGATTAGAAAGACTCAGCGACGCTTGGGGTTGGTACTGAGGGGACAGGTGGGAGGGAAAGAAGGAAGATTTGGGACGAGTTGCACTGGGCACAGAGACTAGGAAGGGACTGATGTGTAAAAGAATGCCTGGACGTCAGGCACCTCAGACCGTTTGCCTATTTTACGACAAGAATTATTTAGATTTTGCAGGATGGAAAAATTCAAAGTGCCATTTTCTGGCTATTTGGAACTACTGTTGAGTTTGTATTGGGGTCAAGCAGCATTGCAGAAGAAAATAAGGCGTTTAAGTTTTAGGTCAGGTGTGAGTTGAAGAGGTTTTAAGTTTTTGAGAACACAGGCCAAGGGAGTAGAAGGAGGAATGGAGGGTGGAAGGTTGCCCATAGTGAAGGAAGCAAACCTAGAGAAAAGAGAGAGTAGAGAAATGGAGGGAAGTGGTTCAGGTGTTCTCACCTTCCAGAAAAGGGGTTGGGGCACAGAGATAGATCAGGGTGCAGAAATAAGGGATTGGGGTGCAGAGATATAAGAGGTTGGGGCGTGGAAATAAGGGATTGGGGCACAGAGATAAGAGGTCAGGGTGCAGAAATAAGGGATTGGGGTGCAGAGATAAGAGGTTGGGGTGTGGAAATAAGTGATTGGGGGGTTCTTGCCCCCTAGGAAAGCGGGACTTGCCACTAAGGGTGAAGGAGAAGGGGTTGAGGGGTACTTGCCCCTGCCCCAGGAAAGCGGGACTTGCTGCTAAGGGTGAAGGAGAAGGGGTTGAGGGGTACTTGCCCCTGCCCCAGAAAAATGGGACTTGCTGCTAAGGGTGAAGGACCAAGGCAGGTGTCCCTGCATGGTCTGACACCTTTGAAACGTGGGTGAATAATCAGAGAGGTGTCCCTGCAATGATTAAACACCAAGGGAAGGCTGCCTTCCCAGTCCGTGACCGGTGCCAGAGTTTTGGGTCCACGGATAAAACGTGTCTCCTTTGTCTCTACCAAAAGAATTGAAAGGAATTGAAATTAAGAGAAGGGAGAGATAGAAATGTGGGGCCAAGATTGAAAGGAGAAAGAGGTTGAGGGATAGTGAGGGAGGTTGGAGAAGAGAGTAAAAAGAGGCTGCTTACCGGATTTGAAATTGGTGAGATGTTTCTCAGGCTGGTTGTTCTGAGGACCTGAGGTCATTGGTGGATCTTTCTCATGGAGCAAAGAACAAGAGGACAGGGTATTGATCTCCCAAGGGAGGTCCCCCGATCCGAGTCATGTCTCCAAATTTCATGCGCGTCCGTGTGAAGAGATCACCAAACAGGCTTTGTGTGAGCAACATGGCTGTTTATTTCACCTGGGTACAGGTGGGCTGAGTCCGAAAAGAGAGTCAGCAAAGGGAGTTAAGGGTGGGGCTGTTTTATAGGATTTGGGTAGGTAAAGGAAAATTACAGTCAAAGGGGGTTGTTCTCTGGTGGGCAGGGGCTGGGGCCACAAGGTGCTCACTTGGGGAGCTTCTGAGCCAGGAGAATGATTCACAGGGTTAATCAGTTAAGGTGGGGCAGGAACAAATCACAATGGTGGAATGTCATCAGTTAAGGCGGGGCAGGACCTTTTCACTTCTTTTGTGATTCTTCAGTTACGTCAGGCCATCTGGGCGTATACATGCAAGTCACAGGGGATGCGATGGCTTGGCTTGGGCTCAGAGACCTGACATTATATTTAAGTTTTAATCCATTTTGAGTTAATTTTTGCATATGGTGAGAGATAGGGGTCTAGTTCCATGTCTGCATGTACATACTCAGTTTCCTCCACACTATTTATTGAAGTGATTGCCCTTTCCCCAACGTGTATTTTTGGCATCTATGTTGAAAATCAGTTGGTTGTAAGTCTGTGGATTTATTTCTAACTGTATTCTAGTCCCTTGGTGTATATGCCTGTTTTTATGCCACTACCATGCTATTTTGGTTATTACAGCTTTGTAGTACATTTTGAAGCCAGGTATGTGATCCCTCTAGCTTGGTTCTGTTTGCTTAAGATTGATTTGGCTATTTGGGGTCTTTTGTGGTTCCATACACATTTTAGGATTTTTCTTTCTATTTCTATGAAGAATATCATGGATATTTTGATAGCTATTACATTGAATCTCTAGATTGTTTTGGGTAGTATGGACACTTTAACAATTCCAATTCTTTAAATCAATGAACATGGGGGTATTTTTCTGTATCCTTCTATTTATTTGTGTCCTCTTCCATTTTTCATCAATGTTTTATAGTTTTTGTTGTAGATATTTTTCACCTTCTTGGTTAGGTTTATTCTTAGGAATCTTATTTTTTGTGCTATTGTACTGTAAATGAGATTTTTTTCTTGATTTTTAAAGATAGCTTAATAATGCCATCTAAAAATACTACTGATTATCGTAAGTTGATTTTGTATCCTGCTACTTTACTAAATTTGTTTATTAATTATAACAGGTTTTGGTGGAGTCTTTAGGGTTTTCCGTCTCTAAGATCATGTTGTCTGCAAACAGGAACGTTTTGACGTTTTTCTCTTCAATTTGGATGCCTTTTATCTCTTTCTCTTGTCTTGTTGCTCTGGCTAGGACTTCTGGTACTATGTTGAATAGAAATGATGAATGTGGGCATCCTTATTTTCATGCGCATCTGTGTGAAGAGACCACCAAACAGGCTTTGTGTGAGCAATAAAGCTTTTAATCACCTGTGTGCAGGTGGGCTGAGTCCGAAAAGAGAGTCAGCAAAGGGAGATAGGGGTGAGGCCATTTTATAGGATTTGGGAAGGTAATGGAAAATTACAGTAAAAGGGGGTTGTTCTCTGGTGGGCAGGGGCGGGGGTCACAAGGTGCTCAGTGGGGGAGCTTCTGAGCCAGGAGAAGGAAATTCACAGGGTTAATCATTCAGTTAAGGTGGGGCAGGAACAAATCACAATGGTGGAATGACATCAGTTAACACAGGGTAGGGCCTTTTCACTTCTTTTGTGATTCTTCAGTTACTTCAGGCCATCTGGGCATATACGTGCAAGTCACAGGGGATGCGATGTCTTGGATTGGGCTCAAAGGCCTGACATTCCTGCCTTCTTATATTAATAAGAAAAATAAAACAAAATAGTGTTGAAGTGTTGGGGTGGTGAAAATTTTTGAGGGGTGGTAGGGAGAGAGAATGGGCGATGTTTCTCAGGGCTGCTTCAAGTGGGATTAGGGGCAGCGTGGGAACCTAGAGTGGGAGAGATTAAGCTGAAGGGAGGTCTTGTGGTAAGGGGTGATATTGTGGGGATGTTAGAAGAAACATTTGTCATATAGAATGATTGGTGATGGCCTGGATACGGTTTTGTATGAATTGAGAAACTAAATGGAATAACAGAAGGAGAAAAACAGGTATAAAAGGTCTAAGAATTGGGAGGACCTAGGATATCTGATTAGAGAGTGCCTAAGGAGATTCAGCAGAGTCCTGCCAGCAAAGATTATTTATTTACTTCAAGAGTTAAGAGTGGCAGTTTGGGGATAGCACCAGGAGATATCAGCTGTGATGGCTTGGAGAAACAGTGTAAACCGGCAGTGTAAAGAAGAGCAGGGCATGTATGAGTAGTTGAGAATGGTAATAGGAGTATGACTAGACAGAAAATAGTAGGGATGACAAGTTTTTTTTGGGAGGGGGGCACAGTCTAAGTTGGTCTGGTGTCTGGAATGAGACTGGGGCCTAATAAAAAGGAGCGTCTATACAGGAGCTTAAATGGGCTGTACCCTGTAGCATTCTGACAGGCCTGAATTCTGAGAAGGGAAAGTGGTAGAAGTATTGTCCAGTCCTTTTTAAGTTGGTGGCTGAGCTTGGTGAGGCGTGTTTTTAAAAGACCTTTAGTCCATTCTACTTTTCTTGAAGATGGAGGACCTTAAGGGATATAAAGGTTTCACTGAATACTAAGAGCCTGAAAAACTGCTTGGCTGATTTGACTAATAAAGGCTCGTCTGTTATCAGACTGTATTGAGGTGGGAAGGCTAAACTGAGGAATTATGTCTGACAGAAGGGAATAAATGACTGCCGTGGCCTTCTCAGACCCTGTACGAAAGGCCTTTACTTATTCAGTGGAAGTGTCTATTTAGACTAAGGGGTATTTTAGTTTCCTGACTTGGGCATGTTGAGTAAAGCTAATTTGCCAGTCCTGGGTGGGGGCAAATCCTCGAGCTTGATGTGTAGGGAAGGGAGGGGGCCTGAATAATCCCTGAGGAGTAGTAGAATAGCAGATGGAACACTGAGAAGTTATTTCCTTGAGGGTAGATTTCCACGATGGAAAAGAAATGAGAGGTTCTAAGAGGCAGGCTAGTGGCTTGTACTATAGCATAACCTGCCTTTGCTGGTGTGTGGCGATTAGGCCTGGTGGAACCGCCATCAATAAATCAAGCATGATCAGGGTGAGGAAGAGGAAAGAAGGAAATTTGGGGAAATGGGGTGAATGTCAGGTGGATCAGAGAGATACAGTCATGGGGGTCAGGTGTGGTATCAGGAATAATGTGGGAGGCCGGATTGAAGTCTGGGCCAGGAACAATGATAATTGTGGGAGACTCAGAAAAGAGTGAGTATAGCTGAAGGAGCCGGGAAGCAGAAAGTATATGCGTCAGGTATGAAGAAGAAAATAGATTTTGGAAGTTATGAGAACTGTACAGTGAGTTGAGCATAGTTGGGGATTTTGAGGGCCTCTAAAAGTATTAAAGCAGCAGCAGCCGCTGCAGGCAGACATGAGGGCTAGGCTAAAACAGTAAGGTCAAGTTGTTTGCACAGAAAGGCTACAGGGTGCGGTCCTGGCTCTTGTGTAAGAATTCTGACCACACTAACTATGCCTAGGAAGGAAAGGAGTTGTTGTTTTGTAAGGGATTGAGGTTTGGGAGATTAATCGGACATGATCAGCAGGGAAAGCACGTATGTTTTTATGAGAATTATGCCGAGATAGGTAACAGGTGAGGATAAAATTTGGGCTTGACTGAAGTAATGGGGGCTGTCTGTGAAGCCTTGCGGCAGTACAGCCTAGGTAATTTGCTGAGCCTAATGGGTCTCAGGGTCAGTCTAAGTGAAAGCAAAGAGAGGCTGGGATGAGGGGTGCAGGGGAATAGTGAAAAAATCATCTTTAAGATCAAGCATGGAATAGTGAGTTGTGGAGGAAGGTATTGAGGACAAAAGAGTGTACGGGTTGGGCACCACGGGGTGGAGAGGCAAAACAATTTGGTTGATAAGGTGCAGATCCTGAACTAACTTGTAAGGCTTGTCTGGTTTTAGGACAGGTAAAATGGGGGAATTGTAAGGAGAGTTTATAGGGTTTAAAAGGCCATGCTGTAGCAGGCAAGTGATAACAGACTTTAATCTTTTTAAAGCGTGCTGGGGGATGGGATATTGGCATTGAGTGAGGTAAGGGTGATTAGGTATTAATGAGATGGTAAGGGGTGCATGATCGGTCGCCAAGGAGGGAGTAGAGGTATCTTATACTTGTGGGTTAAGGTGGGGGGATAGAAGAGGAGGACGCAAAGGAGACTGGATTGGGAAGAAGGGCAGCAATGAGATACAGCTGTAGTCCAGGAATAGTCAGGGAAGCAGATAATTTAGTTAAAGTGTCTCAGACTAATAAGGGAACTGGGCAGATGGGGATAACTAAAAAGGAGTGCTTAAAAGATTATTGTCTAAGTTGGCACCAGAGTTGGGGAGTTTTAAGAGGTTTAGAAGCCTGGCCATCAATACCCACAACAGTTATGGAGGCAAGGGAAACAGGCCCTTGAAAAGAAGGTAATGTGGAGTGGGTAGCCTCCATATTAAGAAGGGGATGGGCTTACCTTCCACTGTGAGAGTTACCTGAAGCTCGGTGTCCTTGATGGTGTAGGGTGCTTCCGAGGCAATCGGGCAGTGTCAGTCTTCAGCTGCTAAGCCAAGAAGATCTGGGAAGGAATCAGAGAGCCTTGGGCTAGAGCTTTAGGGGCTCTAGGAATGGCTGCCAGGTGAGCTGGGCAGTCTGATTTCCAGTGGGTCCCTGCACAGATGGGACATGGCTTGGGAGGAATCCCAGGCTACGGGCATTCCTTGGCCCAGTGGCCAGATTTCTGGCACTTGAAGCAAGATCCTGTTGGAGGAAGTCTTGTAGGAATGCTTGACTGCTGCGGCTTAGGCATTTTGAAGTTCTCATATGCAGGAGGTGTGGCTGGGTTTTCTCTCACAGCAGAGGCAAGTAATTGTAACTCAGAAACGCGTTGCCGTCTGGCTGCTTCCTCTCTATTATTGTACACCTTGAAGGTGAGGTTGATTAATTCCTGTTGTGGGGTTTGAGGGCCAGATTCTAGTTTTTGAAGTTTTTTCCTAATGTCAGGAGTGGATTGGGTGATAAAATGCATGTTAAGAATAAGGCGGCCTTCTGGCCCCTCTGGGTCTAGGGCGGTAAAGCGTCTAAGGGTTGCCGCTAAGCGGGCCATGAACCGGGCTGGGTTTTCATCTTTACCTTGGGTAGTTTCTTTAAGTTTGTCACAATTAACAGCTTTGTAAGCTGCTTTTTTAAGCCCTACGACTAGGCAGGAAAACATGTAATATCGCCTAGCTATACCTGGGGAATTTGCCTGGTAGTTCCATTGGGGATCCTCTCGGGGAACTGCTCTAATGCCTTCCTGGAGGTCTGGCTCATGAAGCCAGCAGTTATCAGCATGAGATTGGGCCAGAGAAAAAATTCTTTCCCGTGCATCTGAGGAGAGGGTAGACGTCAGGATGACATTTAAGTCACTCCAGGTTAAGTTGTAGGACAGAGTTAGATATTGGAATTCCTGTATATATTTAGTGGGGTCTGATGAGAAAGAGCCTAAACATTGACTGATCTGAGAGAGGTCTGATAGAGAAAAAGGTACATGTGCCCTGACTGTGCCTTCAGCTCCAGCCACCTCTCTAAGAGGAAATTGTTGGGCAGGTGGGGAAGAGCTAGTCGCGGAACTAAACTGTAAGCCAGACCGGGTGTGAGGAGGGGAGGTGGTAGAAGGATTATAAGGTGAAGGAGCAGAGGCTGAGGAAGAATTGGGGGTGGAGAAAACAACATTTTTGTTGAGATTTAGTTTATTTGAATACTTGGGATAGCCAGGAGTTAAGGAGATACCTTTTAGTCATACACATCCACATGTCAAAGCCATCACATTGCAGCTATGGGTATACATTTGGGTGCCATGCACTTAATGATGAAAGTTTAGATGGGAAGATGTTGGGCATTATGAAAGAGAGAGAAAAGCAAGGGAAAGAGTAAAGGCCAAAGAGAGTATCAGGTGGTCAGAATGTCAAATTTTGCAGATAAGTGGGCAGCAAAGTATTTTTCGTGCTTGGGTGATCACTGGCAACATTAAGGAGAACTTTTAGTCTAATGCTGGGAGTAGGGTCTAGAAATAAAAGTCCCAAGTGAGGCAAAAATAATGAAAGAGAGAGAGAGACAGAGCTCTCCATCTGGTATGGTTTATTTTGTGACTTGAACTGTGATGTGCTGTTAGGGTGGCCAGATTGAGTTAAGCTGATCAACCATCCCAGTTTGCTCAGGACAGTCCCGTTTTAGCACGAAAAATCTGCATCCCAGGAATCTCCCTAGTTCTGGGCAAGCTGGGATGGTTTGTCACCCTACAATTCTTAGGGCAACATACGGCACTTAGTAGGTTTTCAGTAAGTATTTGTTCAGTGAATGAAAAAAAAAAAACAGAGACAGATCAACATCTCTGGGGCTAAGTTCCTTAAGTTTGTAAAATGAGGTTAGAAATATCTGTAGTAGCCAGCACATGAGGTTATTTTGACAACCAGATGTTTCGGCACCAAATTTCATGCGCGCCCCTGTGAAGAGACCACCAAACAGGCTTTGTGTGAGCAACAAAAAACGGCACCAAATTTCATGTGTGTCTGCGTGAAGAGACCACCAAACAGGTTTTGTGTGAGCAACATGGCTGTTTATTTCACCTGGGTGCTGGGGGGCTGAGTCCGAAAAGAGAGTCAGGGAAGGGAGATAAGGGTGGGGCTGTTTTACAGGATTTGGGTAGGTAAAGGAAAATTACAGTCAAAGGGGGTTTGTTCTCTGGTGGGCAGGAGTGGGGGTCGCAAGGTGTTCAGTGGGGGTGCTTTTTGAGCCAGGATGAGGCAGGAAAAGGATTTTCACAAGGTAATATCATCAGTTAAGGCAAGGACCAGCCATTTACACTTCTTTTGTGGTGGAATGTCATCAGTTAAGGTGGGGCAGGGCGTATTCACTTCTTTTGTGATTCTTCAGTTACTTCAGGCCATCTGGGTGTATACGTGCAAGTCACAGGGGATGTGATGGCTTGGCTTGGGCTCAGAGGCCTGACACTTATAGACCTTAGAAGAAAAACTTTCAACCTTTCATTATTCACTGAGATATTAGCTATGGATATGTCATATATGGCTTTTATCATTTTCAGGCACATATCTTCTGTGCCTAATTTGTTGAGACTTTTTATCATGAAGGGATGTTGAATTTTGTCAATTGTTTTGTCTGCATTTATTGAAATAATAGTATAATTTTTGCTCTTCATTTTGTTAATATGATGAATAATATTTATTGATTTGCAAATGTTGAACCATCCTTGCTTCCATAGGATGAACCATACTTAATCATGGTGAATTATTTTTTTAATGTGCTATAGAATTCAGTTTGCTATTTTGTTGAGGACTTTTGCCTCTGTATTTATCAGAGATATTGGCCTACAGATTTCTTTTTTGTGATTGTTGTGCCCTTGTATAGTTGGAATAAGGATAATGCCAGCCGTATAGAATGATTTTGGAAGAATTCTGTCCTCTTTAATTTTCTGGAGTAGATTGAGAATAACTGGTATTAGTTATTCAAGTGTTAGAATTCAGCAATGAAGCCATCAGGTCCTGGGCTTTTCTTTGATAGAAATTTTTTTTATTAATAATTCAATCTTGTAACTCATTATTAGTCTGTTCAGATTTTCTGTTTCTTCATGATTCAATCTTGGTAAGTTGTATTTGTTCAGGAATTTATCCATTTCTGATAGGTTCTCTAATTTTCTGGCATATGGTTGTTAATAATAGCCTCAGATGATCCTTTGTATTTCTGTGGAATTAGTTGTAACATCTCCTTTTAGTCTCTGATTTTATTTATCTGAGTCTTTTCCTTTTTTTCTCAATTAGTCTGTCTAAAAGTTTATGTGTTTTGTTTATTTTTTTAAAAAGCAACTCTTCATTAACTTTTGCACTTTTAATTCTTAGTTTCATTGATTTGTTTTATCTTTATGACTTATTTCCTTCTACTAAGTAAGGGTTTTGTTTGTCCTTGTTTTTCTTACTCCTTGAGGTGCAATATTAAATTTTATATTTGAGACTTTTCTTCTTCTTTGATGTAAATGCATTGCTATAAATTTTCCCTCTGAGTACTACTTTTGCTGTATCCCATAGGTTTTGGTATGTGTGCTTCCATTCTCTTTTGTTTCTAGAAGTTTTTAAAATTTACCTTTTAATATTTTTATAATTCATTCGTTGTTCAGGAGCATGTTTTTTAAAATTCCCATGTATCTGTATGGTTTGCAAAGTTCCTCTTGTTATTGATTTCTACTTCCATACCATTGTAGTAAGCACCAATTCTTAATACAATTTCAATTTTTTACAATTTGTTGAGACTTATTTTGTGGCCCACTAAATGGTTTATCTTGGATGATGTTACACGTGCCCTAGAGAATAATGTATATTCTACTAATGTTGGATGGAAAGTTCTGTATATATCCTTAGGTCCATTTTGTCTTAAGTATAGCTCAATTTCAGTAGTTTCTTAATTTTCTGTCTGCTTAATCTGTCCATTGTTGGAAGTAGGGTATTGAAGTCCACAACTATTATTGTTTTGCTATCTGTTTCTCCCTTCATGTTCATTAACGTTTGCTTCATTAGGTGCTCCAATATTGTGTGCATATATATTTACAATTGTTATGTCTTCTTGATAAGCTGGTGCTTCATCATTAAATGATGACGTTTGTCTCTTGTGGCAGTTTTTGACTTGAAGTCTATTTTACATGACATAAATATAGTCACCTCTGCTCTATTTTGGTTACCATTTTCATGAAATATCTTCTTCCTCCCATTTACTTTCAGCCTATGTGTGTCCTTAAGGTTTAAGTGTGAATCTCTCAAAGGCAGAATATATTTGGATCTTCTTTTTGTAAAATGCATTTAGCCCCTCTGTGTCCTTGGATTGGAGAATTTAATTTACATTCAAAGTAATTATTAATAGGTAAGGACTTACTACTGTCAGGTTGTTAATTTCCTACTGGTTGTTTTGTAAATGCTTTGTTCCTTTTTTCCTCTCTTGTTTATCTTTGTGATTTGCTGATTTTCTTCAGTGTTAATTTTGATTTTTTTATTATACATGTATTTGCTATAGTTTTATTGCCTCATGAACATCATGAGGTTATCATAGAACATCTTATAGTTAATAATAGACAATTTGACATTGATAAATTCAGTCACATACAAAAGCTCTATGCTTTTACCCTTCTCCCCACAATTTATAATTTCGATGTCACAATTTATATTTTATATTACATATTTCTTAACAATTTGTTGCAACTATTATTACTTTTGACTGTTTTGACTTTTAACCTTCACACTAGATATATGTGTGAATTATAATACGTCATAACAGTATTGGTCTATTTTGGACTTGACTATATATTTACCTTTATCAGTGAACTTTTTACTTTCATATGTTTTCATGTTAGTGATTAGTATCTTTTCATTTCTACTTTAAGAACTCCCTTACGCATTTCTTATAGGATAGGTTTAGTGATGATATAGTCTCTCAACTTTTGCTTATCTGGAAAATACTTTTTTTTTCCTTTATTTCTGAAGTACCTCCTTGCTGGGTATAGTATTCTTCACTAGCAATTTTTTTTCTTTTGGCATTTAAATGCACCATCCCATTCTTTCCTGGCCTGCAGGATTTCTGCTGAGAAATCAGCTGATAGTTTAATAGAGATTCCCTTATACATGATTTGATGCTTTTCTCTTGCTGCTTTTAAAATTGTCTGTTTGTCTTTGACTTTTGGCAATTTAATTAAATGTGCCTCAGTGAGGACTTCTTTGCGTTAAGTCTGTTTGGGAATCCTTGAGTTTTATGCATCTGGCTGTCCACATCTCTTCCAAAACTTAGAAACTTTTCAACAATTATTTCATTAAATAAGCTTTCTGTTCCTATGTTTGTCTTTCCTCCTTGTTGAATTCCTATGAATGTTTGTTTGCTCAGCTGTGTTCCATAAATCCTGTAGGATCTCTTCAATCTTTTTCATTCTTTTTTTTTCCTTCTAACTGGGTAACTTCAAAAGATTTATCTTCAAGTTCAGAGATTCTTCTGCTTGATCCAGTCTGCTGTTGAAGGTCTCTATCATATTTTTTTATTTCATTCAATGAATTGTTTAAATAAAAGATTTCTGTTTGATTCCTTTTTATGACATGTAACTTTTAAGTTTTTCATTCAGATCATGATTTTTTTTCTGATTTTGTTGAATTGTCTGTCTTCTCTTGTATCTTGCTGAGTTTCCTTAAAATCATTATTTTGAGTTTCTCTTCAGGCACTTCATAGATTTCTTTTTCTTTGAGGTCAATTCCTAGAGCATAATTATGTACTTTTGGTGTTCTTATATTCCCTTGATTTTTGATGTTTCTTGTGTTCCAGCATTGATGTCTCCCCATCCAATGGAACAATTATCTCTTTGGAACTTTACAGGGTGGATTTTTTCAAGAAAGACTTTCACATGGAGAAAGGTCTTAGTGTGCTGGTTGGGAAGGGTGTAGTGGTTCTATTTTTGAGTAGATGCAGTGGTATAGCCTCCATGCAGTTTCTTCAACTGAAACCAATATCAGTGAGGACTGTGAGTGTCTTAGTGGCCTAGGCTGTAGGAGTTTATGGCAGCAATGGCAGCAGCATAGATTGTTAGGGTCCACAGTGGCAAGGGCTTTTGGGACCCTCCTATTCTTGTTTTCCCTGCAATGGGAAGATTTAACTGAAGGGTCTTAGGCTCAGGGCTTCATGAACCTATTGTGGTACTTGGGACTTAAGGTTCAGGTTCACTCTTTGAGGCAGAGCTGAATGTAGATTGTCTATAGTGCTAGTTAGCTATGACTCTGAGGCCCCTTAAAGCAGCCTGGGCACTGGGGCTGGGTTATAGCTGTGAATCTGACCATATGGGGTGGGGCACAGCACTGGCCAAACTTTGGGGAAAAATGAGTGGTTTGGAGGTTTGGGCCCAGAAAGCTACAGCTACAATTCAGGAACCACAGCCAATAGGGCACTGTGGCAATTCAGATCCTGAGGGATGAGTTATTGTATACTGATCACTCTGGACCCTATACAATACCTCATCACCCAGGCATGATATGACTTGGAAGTACCCTAGACTTTCTGAGGTAGGTACGGTAGCAACAAGGATCCCAGAATGTCAGAACACAGCCGTCACTTGAGCTGTGGAGGGCAGTGAGCACAGTGATGACTTCACTCCCTATGGAGGAGGGTGTCTCAGCTCAGACTCTAGAAGACTAATTCAAGTTCAAGGAAGCAGGGCACTAGAGTTGTTTGGCCTGAGGACCAGTGTCTCAGCTCAGCCACTTCTCTGTTTCCCTGGATGAGGGGTACCACATCATCTCAGTCCTGGGATGCCTGACTGCTTGGCTCAGCAAGCCTCTTGGCCTCATCCCCAAGAGGCAATGGGCCACTTCAGCTCAGGCCTTGGGGACATGACTTCTCTGGGAAGCCAAGGTACCGTCTTCCCAGGAGGCAGGCACCACTTCAGCTCAGACACAGAAAGACAAGACATACAGTGACTAGGAGGAGTAGATGGAGCAGTTCTGCCAAGGAGCTGTTTCCTTGGGAGACAGTGAACAGCTTCAGCTCTAGTCCCAAGAAATAAGGTGCAGAAGTTACTGGGTGGCAGGGGTCAGGTAGATGGAGCAACTTAGCCAAGGCATGTTTCTCCAGGAGAGAGTGCACGGCTTCAGCTCAGGCCCTGAGGGGCAAGGCACAGCAGTGACTAGGAAGGGTAGATGAGGCAGCTTCAAGGCCACGTGCCACCATGGGCTAGGATGTAGCGGCAGCTTGGCTGAGAGATGGTGAGCCACCAGACAGGGGAGGTTCAGTGGTGACTAAAACGCAGGAATGGAATGGTGTTGTGGCCATTCACTCCTGGAGGAGAACACACTCCAGCAGTAGTTCCAGTTCCAAGATGGTATAGTGCAGTAGCCACATGGGCCACACAGGGTTGGGGCACAGTGTCAGCTCCTTCCCTTGGAGAAACACAGCTGTGTGGCTCTAGGCAGATCCCTCAGCTGGCCTTAGTGACTGTGAGAACTGCAGGGGTCCCTAGTGGTAAGGACTGTAGGTGTCCCAGGTATTAATGGGGGCTGCTGGGATCTGTTTATCTTTTACCCACAGGGAGAAGTCCCTCCTGGTTCTAAGCTGATCCTCACTGGGGGATAGGGTGGCAGAGGCCAGGTGTTCCCTTTGGTTCTCAATGTGGCCATCCTGGGTTTCTGTGCTCTACAAAGACTTTTAGACTCTTTTGATGTACTCTAGTGCTCTCCTTTAGTTATTTTCATCAAAGTGTGGTTTATTCATTGTTTTGGCCATCTTGGTTGTGGGGGAAGAACACTAGAAGCTTCTAGCCAGCCATTTTGCTGACATCACCTCGAGTTTACTGACCTTTTTATAAATGAGAGGACTGAAGTTTGAGTTCTAGGTCAAGGACACATAGTAATAAGCGTATTAAAGGAGAGTTTTAAGCCAAAGCCTGTAGTACTATTCCCACCATAACATGCTAAGTATTAAAGTAAAGCCTCGCTTGCAATTGGACAGATTATTGGGTACAAACAGGACACTAAAGGAATCCTTGTCCCAATGTGCTCAAATAAGTGACCTCTGAGAGCAGCTGTCCAGGCAGGCACAGCTCTCCATGAGGGATGCCTGTGGCAAGCTCTCTAACAGTGGCTGCTGCCTGTCGTGGACAGCTAGCTTCCAGATCTCAATGCTGACACCCATGTAAGGCTTCTCAAAATTGACTTTCCCCTGTATAATGGCTTTTGTACCCTTTAGCAACCCAGGCTTATTTTTTGATTGAACTAGACCCTAGTAATTTCCAGACTTAATGGATTTCAGAAGTTTTGAAATGCTGAACTGTTAGAGAAATACACAACCTACATGTGGCCACAGAGAATCTTCCTCATAAGCCAACTGCACTCTAAATATTGAAATGTCATTTTCACAGCTATGCAGTTTTTCCAGATGGATTATTTTTCAAAATGGTTGACATTAGCAAAAAAACTCTTGCTATTAAAAAACTGCATAATGTTCTGTTAATGAAAATGTGAATAAAAATGTCTCTAATGTCACTTGTCCCTAATTAAATTTTTCACAAGAATGTTTTCAGCAACATACTGTGATTCTGTTAAATAGGAAAAGGAGTTACATTATATGGCTTAACAATGTTCCTGGAGTTACTTCCATAAGGAAAAGTGATTAGAGCCATTCCAGCTAATGACCACAATGTACAATAGTCATCTGAAGTAAGCATCCTCAGATTGCAATCAACAGTTCCACATAATAGCAAATTTGAAATTTTATCTGGTTTCTGGGTTTATCTTAGTTGGTGCCTCATTTTATGTTTCCCTGTGATTTAATACCAAGTGTCTGTGTTGCAAAGTTTTGTTTTGTTTTAAACTTTCAAAATTGAGGCACAACATGCACAGATAGGTGTATAAATCTTCAGTGAACAACTTAATAAATGTTTGCATATGTATATGTCTGTGTAGTTACCACCCAGGTCAAGTTATAGAATATTTTCAGCACCCAAGAAAGGTCATTTGTGCCCCTTTTCAGTCAACAACATCTTCAGAGGTCACCATATTTTTCCTTCTATCATTATGTATTTGTTTTGCTTGCTCTTGAGCTGCATAGCAGTACGCTTTTTGCTTCTGGTTTCTTTTGCATAATACTATTCCTGTGAGATTCATTCATGGTGCATGTGGCAGTAGTTCATTCTTCTTTGTTCTGTGTAGTATTCCATCATACCACGTTTACTTTTAAGAATCATAGCTGGCCAGGCACAGTGACTCATGCCTGTATTCCCAGCACTTTGGGAGGCCGAGGCAGGTGGATCACCTGAGGTTGAGAGTTCAAAACCAGCCTGGCCATCATGGTGAAACCCTGTCTCTACCAAAAATACCAAAATTAGAAGGGCCTGGTGGCAAGTGCCTGTAATCCCAGCTACTCAGGGAGGCTAAGGCACAAGAATCACTTGACTCCCAGAGGCAGAGCTTGCAGTGAGCCAAGATCCCACTACTGCACTCCAGCCTGGGCCACAGAGCAAGACTCCGTCTCAAAAAACAAAAACAAAAAAACATAGCCAAGCTAATCACAGACTCACTCAATGCGGGGTGAACCTCTCCATCACTGCCTGCAAAGGATAAATTAAATTTTTAAAAATGCTATCATCTTATTTCCTCCTACAGAGAGGAAAGAACCGCCATCATCTACCCAGAAAAATTTCATCTCACATAGGCAGACGAGTCAGCCCTTTATTGGGTCAGGGCAATTTTACTTGTTAAACAACTGCCTCTATGATGCTTTGCAATATCCAGGGATCCCTGATAAGAAGGTGGTATTGTTAATTGACAAGCATGGAAGAAAATATTGCCTGTTTGATTCATAATCAGTAAATCATATTTAGCGATATAAATATCACCAGCAGTTTGAAGAGGAGACAGTTGCTAGGAGCAGTTCACTTAAGTCAAGCATTGATAGTACTCAGGCCTGAGTCACACTGATGCTCGGTGCAGAGACCCAGGTAGAATGTATGAGGACCATAAAGAAAGAGGCTCCACAGACAGTACTCACCACAAACATAAAGGAGCAGAACAAAATAAGATGGATAATGAGCTTTAACAAATGAAACTTTTGCTAAGGTAGATTTTACATAGAAATACAATAGTGTTATGTATCTGGACACATATAGAAACACAGGGGTAGAGATCAACAGAGAAATCAGAGCCTAGAATATCTCTTAACACTTAAGGCTTGTTTTTACAATCTTGTAGGAGATTGAAACATTCTGGTTTCAGCCTGCCATAAAGTAAGTGCATGGAAGTCCAGACCTTATCAGTGCATTGTCATAGTGAAAGCCAGTCATCCAAGTATTTATGAAAACTAGAAGCAGAGGAACATTTGATGAAAGAGAAAAAAAAGAGGATGTTATAAGATTCATACGTAATGAAAGGATGAACTTGAGAGAGCAGAGTTTTTAAACTACTTTAGCTCTACCATTTCAATTTTATTAATAAAATAAATACTTAATCGTGTCTATGACTTACTAATTTGTTCATTCAGCTAGTTTTATTGAGCATCTTCCATACACCAAAACAGAGAAAGAGCCTTGTAAGTAGCAATGCCCTTTGTCGAAGGCAGCTACCCTGAATCTGCATCTTTATTTTCCAAGGACATTTTTTTTCCCATAGCTGTTTTTGCTGCCTGCACTTTCAAGTCTGTAACTATATTTACAGTTTTCTTTTTGCCTTTGACATTTGCACTTCTCAACTCAATGCTTCAGTAACTCTCCATGCCCTTTACATATCCTGCAGCTAATAACTATGCTGCTTACTTAAGAAGTTACAAGGAGCCTCAAGTTGGAATGCTTTGAGAAATATGAGCCAACAGCTCCTATTCCCTGACTGCATTTTCTGAGCATGGTTTGCAAAGTAGAAGCTTTGGGGAATGCTTAGGTGTGGGAAGAAGGAAAAGGAGGCATCTGCCTAAAATTTGAAGTCCTTGTAATGAAGCCCCTGGACTTTTAAAGTCCCCTATAATAAGAGAGGAACAATTTCCTTCATTAATTAGTCGTAGATGGTTTGAGAAACTTTGCCTACTATGCAAATTGCACAGTGCTCAGGACAGGAAATTCAAGAAGAGATGTCATTCTGGAGCTCAGCTGGGTTCATTCTGGCTTGAGAAAGAAGGTTCTAGGAGGAGGAATGGAGAAGACATAATGGACCAAGAGAATTGATCTTGAAAACAGACAGAAAGCATCAGACTGCAGTTGAAGTTACAATGTTACAACATGTGTCCCATTTGTTGAGCACTTACGTGTCAAACTCTGTGTCAGTCCAAGAGCATGTAGTATAAACTTCCCAACAACCCTATGGGGGCAGTTACCATTATTTTTGTCATATCAAAAATGAAGAGACTGAAGGTCAGATGTTTTCTGTAGATCACAGAACTGGTAAGTAGCAGAGCTGCAACTCAAACTCAGGCCCGAGCGACCCCAGAACCCACGGTTTTAGCCATGTGCCATGTTATCTCCATATTATCTCTTTGTTGAGATAAGGGAAGATACACAGGACAGGGTGATTTTCACTGGAAAGTGAAGGTGGTCAGGGGCAGGGGTACCTGCATGTCTGGAGATGGAGAATGGAAGGATGAGTCTTTGGCTTTTATAAAAGCCAGTGTTCTCTGAAAACCTCATAATACCCAGTATGTCAGGCAGCTCTACTTGTGGATATCACTGCCAATCAAAACTTGGATATGTCCTTCTAAGGAACCCTGGTTTTCTCATCTCTGTTCCTCAACCACTCTGAAGCTAAGCAAGAACCTCTTTAACTGGAGCAGCTTGTTAACCTTCCAGAGAGCTCTCTTGCTTCTGACACCTTGACTGCCTCTCATCATGCTGCTGATGTTATTATTCTCCTTTCACAGTGGAGACTGAGCCACAGGAGCCTACACAGAATCTGAACTAGATGGGTTCCTGCCCCTGTCTTCTTCCTCAGGCTGGCACAGTTATTTGTGGTTCCATCTATGTAAGCATAGAACAAAGAACCAGTGTAAATTTTGGTCAGAATTTAAATTAGATTCCAGAAGGTTCACAAACTTGCCTTCCTCTTTCTCTTCCTCTCTTTCCCCTCCTTCTCCTCCTTCCTCTTTTTTATTGCTTTTATTTTTCCTTTTAAGAAAACTGATCTGAAAGATTCAATGCACTTGGTCATTAGAGTCCTTCTAGAGCCAGATCCATGAACTGTTTCTGAGAGACGCAGAGAGCAGTGGCTCATCCAGCCAAGTTGAAGACCCTGGCATGGGCAGAGCAGCAAAGACCCCCAGAGTGTCTGGAATCACTAAGAATTGCTGCATGCCCACAGCTGGCTGTATCCACTAGAGTTGGGCTATGGTCTTATCCTAAAAGGCACTGACCCTTTACCATGTGCCAACTCTGCCAGGAGCTAGGCTGTGTGCTGGGGATTTGGAGTTAAATAAAACATAATTCAGGTGAAGTGTGTGGGGGGATAAGCATCGTAACAACGTGCCCTTGATGTGCTAAGATGAAGTGCAAAATCAACTGTGTCAATAATATACTACAGTACTGCTGAAGAAAAAAGAATCGATCATGCATTGGGTAAGGAGAAGAATTGGAGGAAGCTGTGTTGGGCTTGGAGTGGTGTGAGTAGAATTCTACAGCAGGAGCATTATAGATAAAGGTGAGAAAACAGGAATGGTCTGAAAATAATAATATCAAAGACGGTTCTGTGATTTTAATACTTAAAGCATGATCCATTTATTTCTTTATTCAGGAAATTATTTGCTGAATAACTTGTGCCAAGAGCTAGCTAGTTACTGAGTACACAGCACTGAGCAAGACTGGCCAGCTCCATGTCCATGGGGGGGGGGAAGTCTCATGGAGGGAGATAGAAGAGAATATGCCATTTACACAGTCATTTCTTTGTTAACGGTCATGATAAATAAAAGTGAAATGGTGCCACAAATGTGCCTAGAAAAGGGCCTGATCTTGTCTTTGGAATATGGAAATGCAGTTAGGATGTGTTTCCTCAAGGAAGTGACACTTGTGTTGAGATCCAGAAGATGATTAGAAATTAGTTAAATGAAAGAAGCACATCCTGACACAGAGAGGTTTTATGCTCTGAATTTTGTCCCCCCAAAATTTATATGTTGAAGCCCTAAGCCTAGTACCTCAGAATGTAACTGCTTTTGGAGATAGGGTCTTAAATGTGGTGGTTGGGTTAAAATGAGGCCATTAGGGTGGGCCTAATCCCATCTAATTGGTGTCTCTACAAGAGGAAATGTGGATGTACAAAGAGTGACCAGCGATGCAGGTGCACAGAGGAAAGTCCATGTGAAGAAACAGCAAGAAGAGAGCCATCTGCAAGCCAAGGAGACGGGCCCAAGAATAATGCAAATAATAATTGCCAGCCTCTAGAACTGTGAAAATTAAATTCCTGTTGCTTAAGCCACCCAGTTGAGGTATTTTATTCTGGCTGCCCTGTTTGTTATGGGTTCTGCTTGAAGATAGGGAAGATGGTAAGTGTGGCTTATGACATTCCTTCAGTCTGTGGCCTGGGTAAGTCTGTCTCCTATTCTTGGGACTGGGAGTTGCCTCCTGTAATACAAATGCCTTGGACTGATCATTCATCTCTGAGGTTCCTTCTGGGTTTTTGATGCTGTAAATTCAAAGACTTAAACCCTTATAATTCCAGGACCCTAGGAAAGAAATTGGCAAGATGATTATTTGAGAATCCCTTAATAAAACTCAGAACACTGGAAAAATTCTTGATTCATCAAGTCTAACAGTGGATGATCAATAAATGTTTGTTGAAAGAATGGACACTTGGATGAATAAACCAACATTTATCAATAGGTTGAAGGATAGCTAGCTAGGTAGAGAGAATTCTGATGCTAATATGCAAAACAGTAAACTATTTTCTTTCAACTTCTTGAGGTATTGCTCCTCACAAGAGGGCATTAGCTGCGAGGGTCTGCCTGCAGACCCTGACCCAAACAACGGATGGATAAAACGTACACTGACACACAGATATTCTGTTTTGCCAGTCCTGCTGAATGTCTGACCACCTACACCAAGAGAGGTTTGTCACTGCGGCCAGCCCCGATCAGCTCAGGAGGCTTGCATTTATTCATTAAGATTAGCTAACAAAAGCTTGAGTTAACACCATTAGAGGTTAATTGACATTGAGGACTTCCTGAGTAAAAAGCATACATCAAAGGCTTAAGGCTTAAGACCACATGAGTAAACAAGCTAACTAGATAACTTCCCCACATCCTGTTGTTTACTACTCTAATTTATGTAACTAAAGGTAATGTGACCAGGCTGCCTTCTGCCTGGTCTATTACCGAAGTCATATGAAAACCCCAAAAGGGTTTTGTGGCTATCATAACGAATATTTTTCCCACCAGCCTGATCAAATCCCAACAAGTTTTATTTTAGAATCATGGGGTGCATGGGCAGGTTTGTTACAAAGGTATATTGCATTATGGTGAAGTTCGGGGTATGATTGAACCTGTCACTCAGGTAGTGGGAATAGAACACAATAAGTAGTTTTTCAGCCCTTGCCCTGTTCTCTGTCTCTCCCCTCTAGTAGACTGCAGTGTCTATTGTTCCTATCTTTATGTCCATGTGTATCCAATGTTCAGCTCCCACTTACAAATGATAATATCTGGTATTTTGTTTTCTGTTTCTGCATTGCATTAGTTTATTTAGAATAACGGCCTTCAACTGCATCCATGTTGCTGTAAATACATGGTTTCATTTTTTATGGCTGTATAGCATTTCATGGTATATATCTATCACATTGTCTTTATCCAGTCCACCACTGATGGGCACCTGAGTTGATCCCATTGAGAGGCAAAGCCAGCTGGACTTCCTGGATCCACTGGGGACTTGGAGAACTTTTCTGTCTTACAAGGAGATTGTAAAATGCACCAATCAGTGCTCTGTAGCTAGTAAGAGGTTTGTAAAATGCACCAATCAGCACTCTGTAAAAATACACCAATCAGTGCTCTGTAGCTGGCAAGAAGTTTGTAAAATGGACCAATCAGTGCTCTGTAAAATGGACCAATCAGCAGGAGTCTAAGAGTAGCCAATCGCACGGAGGATTGAAAAAAGGGCGTAGGACAGAAACAGGACATGAGAGGGGACAAATAAGGAAATAAAAGCAGGCCACCCCAGCCAGAAGCAGCAACCTGCTCAGGTCCCCTTCCATGCTGTGGAAGCTTTGTTCTTTCGCTCTTCACAATAAATCTTGCTGCTGCTCACTCTTTGGGTCCGTGCCAACTTTAAGAGCTGTAACACTCACTGCAAAGGTCCACAGCTCCGTTCTTGAAGTCAGTGAGACCACGAACCCACCAGAAGGAACCAACTCTGGACACACCAACTTTTTAGTATTGTGAATAGTGCTATAATTAACATATGGGTGTGTGTGCCCTTTTGGGTATATACCCATTAATAGGATTTTCCTTTGGGTATATGCCCTTTAATAGCATTGCTGGGTCAAATGGTAGTTCTGTCTTAAGTTCTTTGAGCAATCTCCAAACTGCTCTCCAGAGTGGCTGAGCTAATTTACATTCCCACCATTGTCCCCTCTTCTCCACAGCCTCACTAACATCTATTATTTTTTGGACTTTTTTAGCAAAAGCCATTCTGACTGGTGTGAGATGGTATCTCATTGTGGTTTTGATTTGCATTTCTCTGATGAGTAGTGGTGATGAGCATTTTTTCATGTTTGTTGGCCACATGTATGTCTTCTTTTGAGAAGTGTCTTTTCATGCCCTTTGTCTACTTTTTAATGTGGTTATTTTCATGCACATCTGTGTGGAGAGACCACCAAACAGGCTTTGTGTGAGCAACATGGCTGTTTATTTCACCTGGGTGCAGGCGGGCTGAGTCTGAAAAGAGAGCCAGTGAAGGGAGATAAGGGTGGGGCCGTTTTATAGGATTTGGGTAGGTAAAGGAAAATTACAGTCAAAGGGGGTTTGTTCTCTGGCGGGCAGGAGTGGGGGTCACAAGGTGCTCAGTGGGGGTGCTTTTTCAGCCAGGATGAGCCAGGAAAAGGACTTTCACAAGGTAATGTCATCACTTAAGGCAAGGACCAGCCATTAACACTTCTTTTGTGGTGCAATGTCATCAGTTAAGGTGGGGCAGGACCTTTTCACTTCTTTTGTGATTCTTCAGTTACTTCAGGCCATCTGGGTGTATACATGCAAGTCACAGGGGATGCGATGGCTTGGCTTGGGCTCAGAGGCTTGACATTCCTGCCTTATATTAATAAGAAAAATTAAACAAAATAGTGTTGAGGCAGCAAAAATTTTTGGGGGGTGATATGGAGAGAGAATGGGCGATGTTTCTCAGGGCTGCTTCAAGCGGGATTAGGGGCAGCATGGGAACCTAGAGTGGGAGAGATTAAGCTGAAGGGAGGTCTTGTGGTAAGGGGTGATATTGTGGGGATGTTAGAAGAAACATTTGTCGTATAGAATGATTGGTGATGGCCTGGATACGGTTTTGGATGAATTGAGAAACTAAATGGAATAACAGAAGGAGAAAAACAGGTATAAAAGGTCGAAGAATTGTGACGACTCAGGATATCTGATTAGAGAGTGCCTAAGGAGATTCAGCATAGTCCTGCCAGCAAAGATTATTTATTTACTTCAAGAGTTAAGAGTGGCAGTTTGGGGATAGCACCAGGAGATATCAGCTGTGATGGCTTGGAGAAACAGTGTAAACTGGCAGTGTAAAGAAGAGCAGGGCATGTATGAGTAGTTGAGAATGGTGAATAGGAGTATGACTAGACAGAAGATAGTAGGGATGACAAGTTTTTTGGGGGGCACAGTCTAAGTTGGTCTGGTGTCTGGAATGAGACTGGGGCCTAATAAAAAGAGCGCCTATACAGGAGCTTAAATGGGCTATATCCTGTAGCATTCCGAGGATGGGCCTGAATTCTGAGAAGGGATAGTGGTAAAAGTATTGTCCAGTCCTTTTTAAGTTGGTGGCTGAGCTTGGTGAGGTGTGTTTTTAAAAGACCTTTAGTCCATTCTACTTTCCTTGAAGACGGAGGACCTTAAGGGATATAAAGGTTTCACTGAATACTAAGAGCCTGAAAAACTGCTTGGCTGATTTGACAAATAAAGGCTCATCTGTTATCAGACTGTATTGAGGTGGGAAGGCTAAACTGAGGAATTATGTCTGACAGAAGGGAATAAATGACTGCCGTGGCCTTCTCAGACCCTGTAGGAAAGGCCTCTACCTATCCAGTGAAAGTATCTATCTAGACTAAGAGGTATTTTAGTTATCTGACTCAGGGCATGTTGAGTAAAGCTAATTTGCCAGTCCTGGGTGGGGGCAAATCCTCGAGCTTGATGTGTAGGGAAGGGAGGGGGCCTGAATAATCCCTGAGGAGTAGTAGAATAGCAGATGGAACACTGAGAAGTTATTTCCTTGAGGATAGATTTCCACAATGGAAAGGAAATGAGAGGTTCTAAGAGGCGGGCTAGTGGCTTGTACTATAGCATAGCCTGCCTTTGCTGGTGTGTGGCGATTAGGCCTGGTGGAACTGCCATCAATAAATCAAGCATGATCAGGGTGAGGAAGAGGAAAGAAGGAAATTTGGGGAAATGGGGTGAATGTCAGGTGGATCAGAGAGATACAGTCATGGGGGTCCGGTGTGGTATCAGGAATAATGTGGGAGGCCGGATTGAAGTCCGGGCCAGGAACAATGGTAATTGTGGGAGACTCAACAAAGAGTGAGTATAGCTGAAGGAGCCGGGAAACAGAAAGTATATGCATCAGGTATGAGGAAGAAAATAGATTTTGGAAGTTATGAGAACTGTAGAGAGTGAGTTGAGCATAGTTTGTGATTTTGAGGTCCTCTAAAAGTATTAATGCAGTGGCAGCCACTGCACGCAGACATGAGGGCTAGGCTAAAACAGTAAGGTCAAGTTGTTTGGACAGAAAGGCCACAGGGTGTGGTCCTGGCTCTTGTGTAAGAATTCTGACCACGCTAACCATGCCTAGGAAGGAAAGGAGTTGTTGTTTTGTAGAAGGTGCTGGGGTTTGAGAGATCAGTCAGACACAATTGGCAGGGAGAGCACGTGTGTTTTTATGATAATTATGCCGAGATAGGTAACAGATGAGGAATAAATTTGGGCTTGATTGAAGTAATGGGGGCTGTCTGTGAAGCTTTGCAGCAGTACAGCCTAGGTAATTTGCTGAGCTTGATGGGTGTCAGGGTCAGTCCAAGTAAAAGTGAAGAGATGCTGGGATTAAGGGTGCAAACGAATAGTAAAGAAAGCATGTTTGAGATCTAGAACAGAATAATGGGTTATAGAGGCAGGTATTGAGGATAGGAGAGTATATGGGTTTGGCACCACGGAGTGGATAGGCAAAACAATTTGGTTGATAAGGCGCAGATCCTGAACTAACTTGTAAGGCTTGTCTGGTTTTAGGACACGTAAAATGGGGGAATTGTAAGGAGAGTTTATAGGGTTTAAAAGGCCATGCTGTAGCAGGCAAGTGATAACAGACTTTAATCTTTTTAAAGCGTGCTGCGGGATGGGATATTGGCATTGAGTGGGGTAAGGGTGATTAGGTTTTAATGAGATGGTAAGAGGTGCATGATCGGTCGCCAAGGAGGGAGTAGAGGTATCTTATACTTGTGGGTTAAGGTTGGGGGATACAAGAGGAGGACGCAAAGGAGGCTTTGGATTGGGAAGAAGGGCAGCAATGAGATACAGCTGTAGTCCAGGAATAGTCAGGGAAGCAGATAATTTAGTTAAAGTGTCTCAGCCTAATAAGGGAACTGGGCAGGTGGGGATAACTAAAAAGGAGTGCTTTAAAGAGTATTGTCTAAGTTGGCACCAGAGTTGGGGAGTTTTAAGAGGTTTAGAAGCCTGGCCATCAATACCCACAACAGTTATGGAGGCAAGGGAAACAGGCCCTTGAAAAGAATGTAATGTGGACTGGGTAGCCTCCGTATTAAGAAGGGGACGGTCTTACCTTCCACTGTGAGAGTTACCTGAAGCTCAGTGTCCGTGATGGTCTAGGGGGCTTCCAAGGTGATCGGGCAGTGTCAGTCTTCAGCTGCTAAGCCGAGAAGATCTGGGAAGGAGTCAGTCAGAGAACCTTGGGCCAGAGTTCCAGGGGCTCTAGGAGTGGCTGCCAGGTGAGTTGAACAGTCCGATTTTCAGTGGGGTCCTACACAGATGGGACGTGGCTTAGGAGGAATCCCGGGCTGTGGGCATTCCTTGGCCCAGTGGCCAGATTTCTGGCACATGTAAAAAGCTCCTGGGGGAGGAGGTTCTGGAGGAATGCCTGGCTGCTGCGGTTCAGGAGTTTGGAAGTTCTTGTGTGCTGGAGATGTGGCTGGGGTTTGTCTCACAGTGGAGGCAAGGAATTGCAACTTTTTTCTGTTATTGTACACCTTGAAGGTGAGGTTAATTAAGTCCTGTTGTGGGGTTTTAGGGCCAGATTCCAATTTTTGGAGTTTTATTTAATGTCAGGAGCAGATTGGGTAATAAAATGTATATTGAGAATAAGACGGCCTTTTGACTTTTTAGGGTCTAGGGCTGTAAAGTGTCTTAGGGTTGCTGCCAAAAAAGTCAGGAACTGGGCTGGATTTTTATATTTGATGAAAAAGAGCCTAAACACTATCTGATTTGGGATAAAGAAAAAGGAGCATTAACCTTGACTATGCCTTTTTAAGAGTAAATTGCTGGGCAGGTGGAGGAGGGCTAGTCATGGAATGAAACTGTGAGCCAGACCAGGTGTGAGGAGGGGAGAGGTGGTAAAAAGATTATAGGGTGGAGGAGCAGAGGCTGAGGAAGAATTGGGACCTAGCTCGGCCTGGTGAGGAGCAGCCTGGGGAAGAAGGGAGAGGTCAGATGGGTCTGTAGAAAAGGAAGATTAGAAAGACTCAGCGACGCTTGGGGTTGGTACTGAGGGGACAGGTGGGAGGGAAAGAAGGAAGATTTGGGACGAGTTGCACTGGGCACAGAGACTAGGAAGGGACTGATGTGTAAAAGAATGCCTGGACGTCAGGCACCTCAGACCATTTGCCTATTTTATGACAAGAATTATTTAGATTTTGCAGGATGGAAAAATTCAAAGTGCCATTTTCTGGCTATTTGGAACTACTGTTGAGTTTGTATTGGGGTCAAGCAGCATTGCAGAAGAAAATAAGGCATTTAGGTTTTAGGTCAGGTGTGAGTTGAAGAGGTTTTAAGTTTTTGAGAACACAGGCCAAGGGAGTAGAAGGAGGAATGGAGGGTGGAAGGTTGCCCATAGTGAAGGAAGCAAACCTAGAGAAAAGAGAGAGTAGAGAAACGGAGGGAAGGGGTTCAGGGGTTCTCACCCTCCAGAAAAGGGGTTGGGGCACAGAGATAGATCAGGGTGTGGAAATAAGGGATTGGGGTGCAGAGATATAAGAGGTTGGGGCATGGAAATAAGGGATTGGGGCACAGAGATAAGAGGTTGGGGTGTGGAAATATGGGATTGGGGTGCAGAGATAAGAGGTTGGGGTGTGGAAATAAGGGATTGGGGTGCAGAGATAAGAGATTTGGGTGTGGAAATAAGGGATTGGGGCACAGAGATAAGAAGTTGGGGCATGGAAATAAGGGATTGGGGCACAGAGATAAGAGGTTGGGGTGTGGAAATAAGGGATTGGGGGTTCTTGCCCCATAGAAAAGTGGGACTTGCCACTAAGGGTGAAGGAGAAGGGGTTGAGGGGTACTTGCCCCTCTCCCAGAAAAGCAGAGAAGGGGCAGAGACAAGGAGAGAAGGGGTTGAGGTACTTGCCCCTTCCCCAGAAAAGCAGGACTTGCCACTAAGGGTGAAGGACCAAGGCAGGCATGTCTGCGTGGTCTGACACCCTTGAAACGTGGGTGTATAATCAGAGAGGCATCCCTGCAATGATTAAACACCAAGGGAAGGCCGCCTTCCCAGTTCGTGACCGGCACTGGAGTTTTGGGTCCATGGATAAAACGTGTCTCCTTTGTCTCTCCCAGAAAATGAAAGGAATTGAAATTAAGAGAAGGGAGAGATTGAAGAGTGGAAAGGAGAAAGTGGTTGAGGGACTGTGAGAGAGGTTGGAGAAGAGAGTAAAAAGAGGCCACTTACCTGATTTAAAATTGGTGAGATGTTCCTTGGGCTGGTCAGTCTGAGGACCTGAGGTCATAGGTGGATCTTTCTCATGGAGCAAAGAACAGGATTACAGGGGATTGATCTCCCAAGGGAGGTCCCCCGATCTGAGTCATGGCACCAAATTTCATGTGCGTCCGTGTGAAGAGACCACCAAACAGGCTTTGTGTGAGCAACATGGCTGTTTATTTCACCTGGGTGCAGGCGGGCTGAGTCCGAAAAGAGTCAGCAAAGCGAGATAAGAGTGGGGCCATTTTATAGGATTTGGGTAGGTAAAGGAAAATTACAGTCAAAGAGGGTTTGTTCTCTGGCGGGCAGGAGTGGGGGGTCACAAGGTGCTCAGTGGGGGTGCTTTTTGAGCCAGGATGAGCCAGGAAAAGGACTTTCACAAGGTAATGTCATCACTTAAGTCAAGGACTGTCCATTTACACTTCTTTTGTGGTGGAATGTCATCAGTTAAGATGGGGCAGGCATATTCACTTCTTTTGTGATTCTTCAGTTACTTCAGGCCATCTGGGTGTATACGTGCAAGTCACAGGGTATGTGATGGCTTGGCTTGGGCTCAGAGGCCTGACAGTTATTTGTTTTGTGCTTGCTCCATTGTTTAAGTTCCTTATAGATTCTGGATGTTAAACCTTTCTCAGATGCATAGTTTGTGAATTTTTTCTCACATTCTGTAGGTTGTCTGTTTACTTCCTTGATAGTTCCTCTTCTGTGAAGAAGCTCTTTAGTTTTCTTATGTCCCACTTGTCAATTTTGTTGTTGTTGTTGCAATTGCTTCTGAAGACTTAGCCATAAATTCTTAACCAAGGCCGATGTCCAGAAGGGTATTTCCTAGGATTGCTTCTAGAATTTTTATTGTTTGAGTTTCTTACATTTAAGTCTTTAATCTATCTTGACTTAATTTTTGCATATGGTGATAAGCAGGAGTCCAGTTTCATTCTTCTGCATATAGTTAGCCAGTTATCCCAGCTTCATTCATTGAGTGGGGAGGCTTTTCCTCATTGCTTATTTTTGTCGAGTTTGTCAAAGATCAGATAGTTGTAGGTTTGTGGCTTTATTTATGGGGTCTACATCTGTTCCATTGATCTATGTATGTGTTTTAGTCACTGTGGCTTTGTAGTATAGTTTAAAGTTGAGTAATGTGATGCCTCTGGCTTTGTTATTTTTGCTTAAGATTGCTTTGGCTATTCTTTTATGGTTTCATATGAATTTCAGAGCAGATTTTTTCTAATTCTGTAAAAAATGATGTTGGTAATTTGTTGTGAATAGCATTGAATCTCTAACTTGCTTTGGGCAGCATGGTCATTTTGATTATATTGATTCTTCCAGTACATGAGCTTGTAATGTTTTTCATTTATTTGTGTCATCTCTGACCGTGTTTTGTAGTTCTCATAGTTATCCTTTACCTCCTTGGTTAGATATATACCTAAGTATTTCACTATTTTTTGTGGCTGTCATAAATGAGATTGTCTTCTTGATTCAGCTCTCAACTAGGATGCCATTGGTGTATAAAAATGCTACTGATATTTTTCTGTTCTGATTTTGTATCCTGAAACTTTACTGAAGTCGTGTATCAGTTCTAGGTGCCTTATGGCAGTCTTTAGGGTTTTCTAGGTATGGAATAATTTTACCAGTGAAGAAAGACACTTTGACATCTTCTTTTTCTATTTGGGTCCCCTTTATTTCTTCCTTTTGCCTGATTGCTCTGGCTGGGACTTCCAGTACTATATTGAATAGGAGTGGTGAGAGTGGGCATCCTTGTCTTGCTCCAGTTCTTAAGGGGAATGTTTCCAGCTTTTGCCCATTCAGTATAATGTTGGCTGTGAGTTTACCATAGATCGCTCTTATTATTTTGATGTATGTACCTTCAATGCCTAGTTTGTTGAGCATTTTTATCATGAAGGAGCGTTAGATTTTAACAAGTTTTTTTCTGCATCTATTGAGATGATCATATATTTTTTGTTTTTAATTCTGTTTATATGGTGAATTACATTTTTGACTTTCATATGTTGAACCAACCTTGCATCCCAGATATAAATCCTACCTGATCATGGTGAATCAACTTTTTGATGTGCTGCTTGATACAGGTTGTTTGTATTTTGTTGAGGGTTTTTGTGTCTATGTTCATCAACGATGTTGGCCTCAAGTTTTCTTTTTTCATTGTGTCTCTGCCAGATTTTGGTATCAGGATGATGATTTAGTTAAGGAGGAATTCCTCTTTTATTTTTTGGAATAGTTTCAGCAGTATTGGTACCAATTCTTCTTTGTACAACTGGTAGAGTTAAGCTGTGGATCCATCTGGTCCAGGGCTTTTTTTGGTTGATAGGTTTTTATCACTGATTCAATTTTGGAACTTATTATTGGTCTGTTAAAATTTTCACTTTTTCCTGGTTCAATCTTGAGTGGTTGTGTGCTTCCAGGAATTTATCCATTTTCTCTAGATTTTCTAGTTTGTTTGCCTATTGGTGTTCATAATAGTATCTGATAATCTTTTGAATTTCTGTGGGATCAATTGTAATGTCATCCTTTTCATTCTGATTGTGTTTATTTGGATCTTCTCTCTTTTGTCCTTGGTTATCTAGCTAGCAGTTTATCAATGTTGTTCATTCTTTTGAAGAACTACCTTTTTGTTTCATTGATCTTTTGTATGAATTTTTGTCTCTCAATTTTGTTCAGTTTATCTCTAATTTTACATTTTTCTTCTGCTAGCTTTGGGGTTGGTTTTTCTTTCTAGTTTCTCTAGGTGCATTGTTAGATTGTTAATTTGAGATCTTTCTAATTTCTCTTCTTTCTTTTTGTTTTGAAAGAGAGTCTTACTCTGTTGCCCAGGCTGGGGTGCAGTGGTGCAATCTCAGCTCACTGCAACTTCTGCCTCCCAAGTTCAAGCGATTGTCCTACCTCAGCCTCCCAAGTAGCTGGGACTACAGTTGCACCCCACCATTCCCAGCTAATTTTATTATATTTTTAGTAGAGACAGGGTTTAGCCATGTTGGTCAGGCTGGTCTCAAACTCCTGACCTCAAATGATCTGCCTGCCTTGGCCTCCCAAAATGCTGGGATTACAGGCTTTAGCCACCATGCCAGGCCTCTAATTTCTTGACATAAGCACAAAACAGTAAACTATTCATAGCTAAAAGTTACTTCGAATTTCTCTGCACCAAACTCAGTATTAAGTGTTTCCGACTCAGTATATTTAATCTTCATGGCAACTTTTTTAATGTAAGCATTATTTTGTAAATGAATAAATTGAGACAGGGAGGTTAACCTTCTCAAGGATGCCCAGGTGCTTTGTACCACAGGAGAGTAGAGATGGTAAAACACACAAAGGAGAGCTTCTGTCAACTTTGAGTTCGGACTGGCAGTGTGACTGCCCTATGGGGAGGCTCAGGTGATGGTATGGCCAGTCCCTATCCATGGTAGACCCTTAGTGCCTTGTGAATTTGCTTTTTTTCCTTCCTCAACTTCCTGATTCCTACACCTAATAAAAGGAGCTGTGGGACGACAGACAAGATAGTCTATTTCAGAACACAGTTGACAGTTTATAGATACTTCCCAGCTGAGTAAAGAATGCCCTTTACTGAATTAACCAGCCACCCTGTACTAGAAGGCTTGGAGCCTGTTAGTATAACTGTGCCAGTTCATTTGGTTCCATCAAATATCGTCACGACACTGCAGGTGACCTTCAAGGAAGTATTGGCTGCTTCTCGGTGGACCTGCTGGAGCTAAACCAAATTTTTCCTCATTATTGACCTCATCCATGAGGATGTGAATATGAATATAAAATATTCATATTCATATTTATATCTAATGTGATGTTCCCATCAACCCTCTGAAAAGACTATGCTTCAACTAGAGTTGGTTTTGTAGAACACCCACTATCATTATATTTTCACAGCCAGCTTCTGGAAGAAAGAAACAAATCACCCGAGGTTGTTTCCATACAGGAGAAGGACAGAAAATTGGCAACCAGGCATCAAAGTATGGCTTCTGTGGACTCTAGAGAGTCACAGCTCCAGTGCTGGAAAGAGTCACCCGAATTGCAAAAGGAGGCCTCGCTGCCCATCTCATAACAAGGATGCTTCCTAGGGCCTTCTCAAGTAAAATAAGAGTGGAAACTGGCTTTGGATCACCTTATGTGGACTGCAGAAGCTCAGCTCAGACTAGAAAATAGTGCTCCTTTGGCCACACTGCTTATTTGTTAATTTTTAAATTTGTAGATTGCACAAAGATCTAAAACTGTTGTAATTCACTGTGCTCCATTCACAATCATTGTCTTCCTTGCCTACACTCAAAACTGTCACCATTATCTTTGAAGTACTTCTTCCTCTAACTTTGCCCATCCATCAACCCAGTTTCCAAAAGGCCATTTTATAGACCAACTCATCACAATCAACTGAGTAGCTTTGTAGATCTACTGATCCCAGGCCCTCATCTGGTAATCAAAGAGATTCTTATTCAATAACTCTGTGGTGGAGCTAAAGAATATTTTAAGAATATTGCCCCACAATATCAAATGCATTGGCAAGGTCTCCCGGGAGGGAATCTTGGTGCCTGGGACAATGGCGTAGTGGTGCAGGGGATCCTTTTCACTGCATACCTTTTTCAGTATTTTAGATTTGTATCCAGCGAATGTTTTACTTATTTCTACAAAACAGAATTCACAATGAATGCATAAATAAACAAATGCATAAAAACATGTTCCCTTGGTGATTCTGCTGCACAGCCAGGTTTGAGAATCACTGCATTAACTCATCACAAGGGAAAAAAATAAATTCAAATTGATTAGCCCATTTACCAATCTTCCAGTGTAGACATCTGCCTTGTATCCCCAGTGATTAATACACGGCCTGCCTGGAGGGTAAGCAATAAATATTTGTTGAATTTAAATCAGTCTTCATCTGTCCTTTACAACAGACTGAGGTGAACATCATCTCTTGAGGTTGAGTTCTGTATGTATTTTTATATGCCCCCTGCAAAGCTAGGGGCCACAGCACCATATCTTGTGTGATAAATTCCAGTTTCTAAGTGTCTAGCACTGAAGTGCATTTAATCAGGCTGGTCCCAGGGAAAAATGGGATACCGTCTCTGATCCTGTTCTTTAAAGAATATAAATAGTCATCTTTCAAGATAAATTTGAAAAGGGCCTTGGGTCAAAAGTCAGAAGTTTGTATATACAGGGAGTAGTTAGGGATTAGGGAAGTCTTCATGGGGGAGAAAGGCACATCTTGACCAAGCTCATCAGAATGATTAAGATGTCAGTGAACGGTGATATCATAGGAAAGGCGGACTCAGGGGTTAAGACATTCCAGGTGGAAGTATAGGAAAGGGAAAGTGTAGCATTGGAAAGGCCACAAGTGGAAAAGCATATTTGGGAAAAACAGGGAGCAGCTAGCTATAGGAAAGAAAAACTGGGACACATAGTCTGGAGAGGGTGGGGCTGGGTTGTGGGAGGCCTAATGTAAGTAATGCGAAAGTCTTTGAAATGATATGCGCAGGCAGGGAATCATAATTGTTATTATAATTTTTAAGTCCTGGTTGGTCCTGTAGGTAAACTGGGCTACTATTTTAAGCAAGAAATATGCTCCAAAGCTTGCTGCAAAAGCTGAACAGTACACGAGGAAGCAGGCTCTTTGGCAAAAGAATGTGTTCCCCAGACAGATTCAGCCAGGTTTTGATGTTGAACCCGCTGAGAACAATGAGAAGAGAGGTAGTGAGTGGAAAGAATAAAAAGATAATTACTACTTAAAGAAAGAAATGTAGAAGCAGATAAAATAACTGTTTTCTCCTCTCAAATGTAACAGGGAAAGAAATGCTGAGATGGGTAATGATAAAAAGTGGCCCAAGATGAAATAAAGTATGCAAGCGACAGAAATCGATTCCCTGACTATTGTGTATCCATTCTGGGCTCAAAGGCAGAGCTAACCTGGACTTTTGTTCCACATTCTCAGCTCAGTAAATTCCTCTTATTTTCCCTGAAGCACTTCCTACTGAGGCATTGATGGGAACGGTGGAATATGTTCTTCCTTCCAGATTTAACGCTGCCAGCCAGCCATAGTGTGAACTCCCAACAGGTGTTGAGGAGCACCAGAAACATAGGAGTCCAAGCTAATGGAAAATAGAGCAAATGAAAGCATTTCCTAAGAGCGCTGTTTGCCCACAAATGTTTTGAGGGGGGACATATGAAAGAAATCACACAAAATTAACTTCTTTCAGTGTCAGTTACATTCCCCCAGGACAGCGATGAAACCTGGTGAGCATGGATCACACTTATGAATTTCAGCCCCAAACTAGATGTAGTTATTTGTTTTACAGACTAAGCAAAGTTTAAGAGGTGGAAGTTACCTTTTGACGCAACCGGAAGCAAAATTTCCCCTGCTTTCTGACACTTGATGTACTTACTTAGTTTTAGGTCTTACAAATCAAGGCACATTGCTTAACAGATTATTCTCTCTCTCTCATTTTTAATTTTCATGCTCCTATTCATAGCTCTTTACGTAGGAGATGAGGATAAATATAGAGAAGATGCTCCTCACTCAAGCCATTCTATTCCTCTGTCTGGCTGAGCGGAACTTCCCCTTAGGATAACACATAACTAGTTTACTCTGCTTTAGTCTTTAGGGAGCTATGAGAAGTAAATTTGCTTGGGAAAAGATCCGGAAACAAAACTAGGCATTGAAAAAGCAGGACCAGCACTCAGGTGAGGTGAATAAAGTAAGTAAGGCACACAATTTAAGAAGTCACTCCCGCTCCGGGTCACACAGCACAGGGTTGGCCCTGGGAGTGGACACCTCCTTCAATTTTAATCCCTGGGTGTCTCACTTGCCTCACCCTAGTCTCTGCCTAGAGCCCCAGTGTTCCATTCATAAACACCCAAGTCGCCTTGATATTTCATGCAATCAGTTCACCATTTATTCAGGAGATACATATCTGAATATGATTCACAATATCCAGACGTTTTTCAAGTTGTTTCATCTGTTTCTTTCACTGGCAATGGCCCCAAGCATGTTAACTTTGTATTTTCCTTATTGCTTCCTGCAGAGAATCTTAGAGGCACTACAGGAAGCTGACATTAAGTGAATTTGAGAAAGTAAAATAATAGTGAGGTGTTAATGATCACCTCCAAAATTTATCTGTTTTATATTTTCTTGTTTTAATTTTCTACAAGTTTGAAACTTTCTATACATTTGGATTCCTGAAATTCACTGTCCCACAGGCCCACCAGGAGGCTAAACAAAATGAGAGCAGCCATTGCTCTCTTTATTGTCAACTGATCCTGCATAAGATCTCCTTCAACGCTATATGCCATATTGCCATGTCTTAAACTGCTGGCTGCTGGATTCTCAGGGATGAATTAATTGGGAATGTACTGTTAACCACCTGGAAAAGTGGATTCTTTCATTCTAGGATTCTGATTTAGTACCTTGCCAAAGAAAATGATCTCTATTAACTCGATAACAGAGGATTAGTTAGAATCCTTAGTCATTGCTGAAGGCTATGGTGACACGATAGCTGAATGCCTAAGAAGGATGCTGCTTTTCAGATGGTCAGCTGTATTAATACTTTTCTTTGTGACTATTTGCTTTTATCCTTAGCAAGTTTTTTCCTGTTTACCTATATTATTTTTCTTTTTGATTTTTCATTTAAAATGTACTGAACTCTTTTATTCTTCTAGAATTTCTTTTTGTACATGTTCTAAGGAGAACATCTAAATTTATTTTTCTCTGGTTAGTAAAGCAATTCACCTAATACTATTCATTTCAGAATTTCTCAAGTCTGTGTACACATGAACCCCCTTAAGCACATAAAAAATAAACTTTCAAATAATTAAGGACAAGGAGAAAAGGCTTACTATGCTACATTAACTATAAAACATCAGATACAAAACTGAATCAATTTGATCCATGTATAATGTTATACACTATACATGAATATAAATAAAATGTGTTTTACTTAAACATTTAAAAAGGTTAAAAAACACACCTAATTCTTAGTAGTTGTATGTATCTCGGGTGATAAAATTATAGGCAATTTTTATTGTTTTCTGTATACTTTATGAGTTTTCTGAATATCCTCAATGGGCATATATTATTTTTATAATATAATGGTATCAAGATTAAAAATTTAAAACTTTTTTGCCTATTACATTAGCAAAGTGAAAAATACATATATTCAGGAGAATTCTGAGCAGAGGGTGGCAATGGCTATAAAGTTTTTCAATCTCTGAATGCCCCCATAAAATTTGAGCAACTTTATGGCAAAACACAGACAACATTGACAACAAAACTAGGTGAGGTGTCCCCACAAACCCTAAAATATAAGCCACCAACAGCCACAAGATCTATGGGGTATTGGCGTTTTTGTGGAGAACACAACTGAAACTATAGGCCAGCATTTTATAGGGCTGAGAACAGAGAACCCCAAAAACTTAATAGGTATTCACCGGAAAGTACCACAGGCTAACTAGAGAACAGCAGCTGAAATGAGGGTGGGGTTTACTCTACCCCATATCAAATGAGTGCAAGAAATCTGGTGCTAGAGAGGTGTGAGGGAGCTGCAGCCATCAGCCAAAGCTTGAGATGAATTCTCAAAATAGCCAGAGCTCCTGCTAGGATGGGCCCGCCCTCAGGAATAACTGCTGGGAGTAGAATCAAAATTGAGCAGGAGATGGACACCAGGGACAAGAAAAGACAACACTGGGGAGGAGAACAGAGCTGGGAGACCTCAGGAAGCAGGCTGCCTATTTTGGAGCATTATGAAACAGACGAGGGAGCTCTGTGAAGTTATAAAAGCTTTCCTGAACCACGCCCATTCTAAAAGTGCAGAGAACCAATTACACATAAAAATGGGCAACAGAAAAGTATGAAGGCCAAACCCATACTCAGTTATTATAAGAAAAAAGAGAATAAGGGGCAGAATAACATCTCTGCAGACAATGAAAGCATGTTAGAAAGATATGCTCCCAAACAACAAAACTATATCCTACAATTTTAAAACTAAAAGAGATTAAGAAAATGATATGACATTAAAGAACAATACAAATCAAAATTAGAAAAACATAAAAATGTGATGACAAAACTTGAGAAAGAACTAAAAATAATAAAAAAATGGTGATAGCCCTATAATGTTTTTTAGACATAAAGAGACATAGACATGAGCATCAGTTGTCAGCTTATAGGAATCTATAGAACTAAAACTAAGTGAGAGCTAAGAAGGGGAGGATAGAATTCATAAGTACTATGTATTATGACAATGCAGATAGAGTAGAACTCCAAGAAATACAGGAGAAGAATGTGTAAGTCATATGCAAAAATAATTGTAATATTTTCAGGAATTGTATTCACTAATATTAGTATTAGTCTCAATATTATTATTTGGATACTGTTGTATGTATAATATGTGAATAAACAAATGAGTAATTATGGAATATTTTCATTCTATCACACCTGCTGTTCTTGAGAACCAAGATTCTCAGTGTGAAAGAAAGGAGATGCATATATAATAGAGGGAAAGTTGAGTAAAAGTTCTGTAGGCTTAAATTTGAATTAGAGGCAGCAAAATAAACTTATGTGGTCTTTTATCTTTATATATGTATGTGTGTATGTGTGTATTTCCTAGCTCTGGATACTAATGAATGGAGAAGCCTAGAGACAACGATCATCCCAGTAGCAATGAGCTCTAGTACCCAGATTGTGGTATTGAAATAAAATTTGTCTCTAAAAGAAACCTAGGCTCCGTAAAGAAATAGCTAATGGCTGGGAGTGGTGACTCATGCCTGTAATCCCAGCACTTTGGGAGGCCAAGCCAGGCAGATCACATGGTTGGGAGTTCGAGACCAGCCTGACCAACATGGAGAAACCTCGTCTCTCCTAAAAATACAAAAGTAGCTGGGCGTGGTGGTGCATGCCTGTAATCCCAGCTACTCAGGAGGCTGAGGCAGGAGAATCACTTGAACCCAGGAGGCGGAGGTTGCAGTGAATGAGGCCGAGTCCACACAGTTGTGGGCTGCCAAGTCAAGGTGATTGTTTCAATAGGCCACAAACACTTTTAAGGATCTAATCATGAGATAAGAGAAGATGAAAGATACCTCTAGGTGTCATCAATATCTCCAAAGAATGGAATAAATAAGAATATCATCAACAGGCAATGAGCCCAACTTGGAGGGAAACTCAGACAGCTAACAACTATTTCAGCTGATTTGCTCAGCTTCATTTGAAAAGGAAATAAGGCAGAATGGAGTCCTTCAATCAGATGGTTTAATCCTATCTTCAGGGAAGGCAAAAATCATTCTGTTAGAGATGAGAGCTGCCTTTTTAAACCAGTTAAAAACACTTAAACAGATAAAACACAAAAGCTGATGAGAAAAATAGGGCATTGAATCAGGCAGTTTTTTTTCAGATTCTTGATAAACTTTCATCACAAGGAGATTTATTATTGGAAATCAAAGAGGAATGAGCTATTAATAAATGTATTAATGGGAGTAGAAGTATTACTCATACTTTTAGTAATATTTAATATAATTAATAGCAAAAATGAGACAAATATCCAAATGGTATCAATTTGAATATTTTATCTACAAATGTGTAGACATACAACTTTAATTTGATAACAATCACTAAAAAATGAAACTTAAAGGGTGATTTTTGTCCTTAATTTTAACCATTTAGGGGAAATGGAAATTAAGGTCATTTCATAAATTAACAAATAACTCAAAACTAATAACTAAGGTAAAAATTCAAAATAAAAATAATAAAAAACTGATTATTAATATTTAGCCAGAGCAGAGTGATTTTAAAATGGTAAAGATCACTATTTCAAAATGATAAAAAAAAACTCAAGGACTTTATAGATGCTGACATTTTTAGAGAAATTTTAAAATTCTCACTTTTGTATGAAGAGTTTATTTTATCACCCTGAGACAAAAAATGTTCTGGGTATTTTAGCCAAAGTTAAATAATACTTAAATTTGCAAGATTTTTATTGAACGCTAAAGGCCATTGATTCTCAATCATGGTTGCACATTAGAATCATCTGGACAACTTTAAAAATATTAATTCTGCATCTTAGTCCAGACTGATTAAATTAGAATCTCCGGGAATAGGGTTGGGCATCAGTTTTTTCAAAAGTCCTCCAGATGATGCTATTGTGCTGTCAGGGTTCAGGACCATTAATTTAGATAGTGAAGAGAAAATTGTAAACATGATGAGAGTAAGAACGATGTGTGATTTATTCAACACGGTGCTTGGGGCACAATAAATGCTCAATAAAGATGGAGTGAATGGAGTAATTTAATAATCATGTGGCATATCTATAATTAGGAAAGCCTACCAATACTTCCTATCCCCATCATATCATTTTTAAAGTTGTCCATGCTGAGTGATAACTTATTTTTAGTTCTTCTTGATTATACATTCAAATAATATTTTCAAATCCAAAATCTAAAGAAATGAAATATCTTTTGAAATGAAGTTGAATTTTAATGTGCCTACTTCTTGTCCTAAAGGAACCAGCTGCCTGTCTTGTTACCATTATAACAAGCACCTCATAGGTGGTGCCCCTAAGCACCTCATATGTGGTGACACAGTGCTGAGCTTGTGGCCTAAGGAGCCATGCCTTCATACATTTTTTATGGTGACCTGCTGTCACATATATTTTACATCAGAGCCAGGATATCCATAAATTTAAATCTGAAACAAATATCAATATTAACCTTTAATATGTGAAATAATCTCTGATATGTTCTATTTAATTCACTAAAAATATTAGTAAAATCTCAATTTCATGACCACTAGGGAATCTTTAAAAAACTTTGAAAAACACTGCTAGTGTATGCTACTGAGTTTTGTACGTTGATTTTGTATTCTGAAACTTTGCTGAAGTTGTTTATAAGATCTAGGAGCTTTTGGACAGAGATTGTGGGGTTTTCTATCTATAGAATCATATTATCTGCAAACAAAAAGCAGTTGCAACAAAAAGAAAAATTGACAAAGGGGACCTAATTAAACTAAAGAGCTTCTGCACAGCAAAAGAAACTATCAACAAACTAAACAGACAGTCTACAGAATGGGAGAAAATATTCACAAACTATGCATCCAACGAAGGTCTAATATCCAGCATCTACAAGGAACTTAAACAAATTCACAAGAAAAAAAACCAACCAACCCCACTAAAAAGTGGGCAAAGGACATGAAAAGACACGTTTCAAAAGAAGACATACACATGGCCCACAACCATATGAAAAAATATTCAGCATCACTAATAGTTAAAGAAATGCAAATCAAAACTACACAAGATACCACCTCACACCAGTCAGAATGGATATTATTTAAAAAGACAGAAAAGACGCTAGTGAGGTTGTGGAGGAAAGCAAATACTTATACACTGCTGGTGGCAATGTAAATTAGTTCAATCATTATTGAAAGCCGTGTGGTGTTTTCTCAAAGAATTTAAAACAGAACTACAGTTTGACCCAGAAATCCCACTATTGGGTAAATACCCAGAGGAATGCAAATTGGTCTACCATGAAGACTTATGCACACATATATTCATCACAGCACTATTCACAATAGCAAAGTCATAGAATCAACCTAAATGCCCATCAATGGTAGACTGTATAAAGAAAATATGGTACATATTCACCATGGAATACTATGCAGCCATAAAAAGAACAAGACCATATCCTTTGCAGCAACATGGATGATGCTAGAGGCCATTATCCCAAACAAACTAATGCAGGGACAGAAAACAAATACCACAAGTTTTCACTTATAAGTGGGAGCTAAACATTGACTACACATGGGCACAAAGAAGGGAACAACAGACACTGGGGCCTACTTGAGGTTAAATGGTGGGAGAAGGACAACTATTAAAAAATTACTTATCGGGTACTATGCTTATTACCTGGGTGATAAAGCAATCTATATACCAAACCCCCATGACATGCAATTTACCTAGATAGTAAACCTGCACGTGTACCCTGAACCTAAAAGATAAAAAACAAACAAACAAAAAATGCTATAACTGAACAGTGCACATAGCATGGCCAAGGCGAAGCAGCAATGCTCTTCTTACCATGGAGGAGAAAATAGATTTTCAGTGATTATAGCTAACTCATAATATCCTGGCATTGTACTTGCTATAAATAGATATTTTATTGTTTACTCTTTATTTCTTGCAGCATGAATCTATGCCTCATTGAGGGCAGGACTTTCATCTGCCTTCTACATCATTCTATCATGAACTAGGTATAAATATGGTGCCTAATTCATATTAGAAACTGAGCAAATGCTGGTTAGATGGATGAACACATAAATAAATAAATCACAACTATAGTTGTGTAAACCATATGAAAGTTTCAATTATTTTCCAAAAGCTCTCAATTCCAAAGTCTTAGTTGTACAGTTTGCATCCTCTTGAAGAGCTAGGCATATCATCATTATTTTATAAAGGGATGCATGGTATTCAGTGAAAAATATCATGAATCTCCTAAAACTCAACCAAGGATTTAAAAAATAATATTTTCCCTGAAGTTTATAGCCCTAAAACCAAGAATAATATCCCCATCAGCTGAGAGATGGAGGCAGAGAGAGAATGAATCTATTTTTTGAATAATTTTCTATGAATAATAATAACTAAATATCTTGGCAGTGAAGAAGGCAGGCCTTGAAAGTAAAAGAGCCGTTAAATCAAAAGCCTGGGAGCCATGAATGGTGAACGCCAATGAGACCACCAGATTTTAGGATGGTTTTGGCCTCTGAGGGGATTGGGAAAAGCAAAAAAGACCAGTAATAGGGAAACGATGGCAAAAATAAAGAAATCATATGTTACCTGGCAGGGTATCTGGGAGTACCTGCCAGTACTCCCCAGGGAGTAGCAACCCAGGAACTCCCCAAGCAACTCAGGGAAAGAGAAAACCGGTGAGAACATAGATCAACAGATACTCATCCACATGCACACACAAGATATCATAGATATACAAGTCAATGTAAGCCAGCGCTCATGTTGCTGAATGACTCATACGCTTCGATTCAAAGATAAGTTGCACTTAGAGGTTTATAGCCCAAGCTCTGATATTGGTAGAGAATGAAAATCCATTCATTTACTTAGTCAATAAATATTTATTGAACATTTGTCCTATACAAACATTAGGAATAGAATGGTTAGCATGGTAGACACTGTCCTTATCCCCATGACATTTCTATTCTAATGAGAAATTTAAACAACTATAGTATTAACAAATTAATTGCATAGTTATTGATTATAATTTTAAGAGTTATGAAGGAGGTGTTCAATGGTACCATAAACGCTTGAGCTGTGGTCTAAAGCATGAAGAAGAGCCCACTGGGGCATTCCAAGCAGAGAGGACAGTATTTGCAAAGGCCCCGTGGCAGTGGGAGTATGTTTCATTTGAGGATGGTGTGGCTAGAATACATGAGTGAAGGCAGAATCATGAGTGAGGAAGTCATTAGGGTCTGGACCATGCATGGACTTTCAGGGCATGTTAAGTTTTGGAAACTTTATTCTGAGATTAATGAGAAGCTGCTCAAGGGTTTTGAACAGAGTTCAGAGGGGTAGTGTTGAGGAGGATCAGGGATGGGAATTAATGTGAGTTATCTGGCTCAGGTCTGTTCTGTGGCAAGTGTACCAGCATGATGGCTGTCAATTGTCATGAACATCTCATTCTAATTCTGACTGAGATAGTTGTGTTAGGACAGCTTTAGTTCTGTTACTGAATGATCTTTTCATTTTATCCCTGGATCTGCCCAAATTGCTGTATAAAGAAGTTTTCCAGTTTAAACCATTTCTCATTAGAGAATGATTTAAAAAGAAAAAGGCTTTGCCTGTCTATTACTACTGAAGAAAATGTTCTGGAGAGAGAGACTTGCCTTAATCTTGGGCCTACAACTTATGCATTCCAAATATGATTTTCAATAAATCTGTTTAAATCCTCATTGTGTCTGGGATTCCTAGCTTTCCAAAGAGCTCTATCTAGACAGAGAGGATGTATATACATCTAGGAGGTTTTCTTTCTTTTTTTTTTTGTACTGCTTTTACGGTTAGATAAAATTAAATTGTACCATAAACTATGATTTTTTAGAAAACCTATTCTTGAAAAGTCTAGGTGTGAGAAATCTGAACTTACATGAAAGTAAGTTTGGTACCAGATCCAGCAATGACGGAAGATTACAATAATTCTTTTAAATATGTATTAAGCAGTTACTGTGTGCCAGGCACATGCGGAAGCTTTAGATGCATTATCTCATTTTACCCTCATAACTATTCCAGGAAATAGATACTGTTAACATCTTCATTTTACTGATGAGGAAAATGAAGCTTGGAAATGTTAATTTGCTGCCTGAGAATGTGGTAGGGCTGGGATCTGAACCCAGTTTATACAACTCAAACACTCCTTCTTTAATTCCGACATAAAATGTAACACAATTAGATTAATTACCTATCACGTGTAAATATAAGACTTTTTTTAAACAGGTTCCTAACATTGTGCAATATTGTAAAGTTATTAACGCAGGCTAGCATCTAGGAAAGACAATGACTTGAGCTCAGAAATAGAGCCCCACCCTTCGTCTCCTATAAAGTGATTTAAAAAAATACCAAAAGAATCCAAAAAATAAAAAGGAACACAATTCTGTCATTAGTGGCAACATGGATGCATGGATAAGCTTGGAGGACATTATGTTAAGTAAAATAAGCCAGGCAAAGAAAGATAAACACTGCATCTTCTCATTCATATGTGAAAGCTGAAAAAGTTTATCATATAGAAGCAGAGAGTAGGGCAGTGGTTGCTAGAGGCCAGGGGAGGGCAACAGGGAGGGCCCTCACTGTTCTTTCTTGACATCACATGCGGTACAGACACCACCATTAAAGCATTTTCATAGTGAAAAAAAATTATCCTTTCCACTTAAGAGCTAAAAGAGAACAAATAAAAAAAAGACAGAAATCAATCAGAATGGCAAAACGTGGGTATTGTAAAATTGGGTGACAGGAGAATTCTTTATGGTATTCTCTTCTGTGTATGGTTGAAAGTTTTTATAATAAAAAGTCCTAGATTTGGAAAATAAATTCAGGAGTAAAGTTGAAGATTACAAAATTAATGTACAAAAATTACTAGCATTTCTATACAGCAATAATGATCAAGCCAGGAAAGAAATGAAGAAGGCAGTCTCACAATAGCTACAAAAAATTAAAATACCTAGGAATAAATTTAACCAAGGAGGTAGAAGATTTCTACAAGGAAAACTACAAAACACTGTTGAAAGAAATTGAAGATGATCCCAACAAATGGAAAAACATCCAATGCTCACGAATCAGAAGTCAATATCATTAAAATGATTATATTGCCCAAAGAAATCTACAGATTTAATGCAATTCCTATCAAAATAACAATGTCTTTTTTTTACAGAATTAGAAAAAACCAATCCTAAAATTCATATGGAATCAAAAAAGAGCTTGAATAGCCAAAGCAATCCTAAGGAAAAAGAAAAGAATCTAGAGGCATCACATTTCCTGACTTCAAAACACATTTCAAGGCTATAGTAACCAAAAAAGCAGGGTGCTGGTATAAAAAATAGACACACAGACCAATAGAACAGAGTAGAGAACTCAACAATAAAGCCACACATTTGCAGCCAACTGATCTTTGACAAAACCAGAAAGAACTTAGAATGGGGAAAAGGTAGCCTCTTCAGTAAATGATGCCGGGAAAATTGGAGAGCCACATCCAGAGGAATGAAATTGACCCCTATCTCTCATCATATACAAAGATCAAGTTAAAATGGAGTAAAGACTTAAATGCAAGACACAAAACTATTAAATTACTAGAATAAAACCTAGGGAAAAATTTCCTGGTTCTTGATTTAGGCAATGAATATATGACTAAGAGCTCAAAAGCACAGGCAACAAAACCAAAAAATAGGTAAATGAGACTTTATTAAGCTAAAAATCTTCTTCACAGCAAAAGAAATCATCAACAGGGTGACGAGACCTCCTATTGAATGGGAAAAATATTTGCAAACTATTTATCTTACAAGGAATTAATATCCAGAATATACAAGAAACTAAAAAACTCAATAAGAAAAAAATCAAATAATACCATTAAAATGTAGGCAAAGGACATGGATAGACATTTATCAAAATAAAACATACAAGTGGCCAATAGGTGTATGAAAAAAATGCTCAGTATCACTAATAATCAGAGAAATGCACATCAAAACCACAGTGAGGCATCATCTTACCTCAGCTAGAATTGCTATTATTAAAAAGACACAAAAAAACAAGTTGGAGAGAATGTGAAGAAAAGGGAAAAGACTTCCCTTCAATTCGTTGGTAGGAATTAAAGCTAGTACAGCCACTATGGAAAACAGTATGGTGATTTCTCAAAAAACTAAAAATGGAATTCCCATTCGATCCAGCAATCCCACTACTGGGTATCTACCCAAAGGAAAATAAATCAATATATGAAAAGGATACCTGCATTCACATGTTTATTGTAGCCCTATTCACAATAGCTAACATATGGAATCAACCTTAGTGTCTATCAACGAATGTATGAATAAAGAAAATGTGATGTATATAAACAATAGAATACTACCAATAAAATCATGTTATCTGTGGCAACATGGAGAAAACTGGAAATCATTCTCTTAAGTGAAATAAGCCAGACACAAAAGACAAATATCGCATGTGCTCACTTATATTTAGGAGTGGAAAATAGATAACAAGGCTGGGGATGTGAGTGGGTGGGAGGGGAAAGGATGAAGAGAAGTGGGCTAAAGGGTACAAACTTATGGTAAGATAAGATGAATAAATTCAAGTTTTGATAGCAGAGTAGGATGACCATGCTTAACATTGTACTTAAAATCAAACTTAACATTGTAAATATATTGTACTTGGGTAATGGACACTGAATACTGTCTTGATGGAACCACATTATATACGCTACACATTATTTTGTAACAAAATTTTTCATGGACCCCATAATTTTTCACAAATAAAAAAAGCAAAAAAGAATAGGAAGAAGAAATATGCATCAGTATGGGAAACCAGAGATGGTATCATACTCATGTCCAAAACTTACATGAGTTTCTGTTATGGTACAGAAATTGCATAGGAAAGTGGACCGGCTTTGATATAATTAAGCAGAAGTGAATATGCAGAAATTGGATATTCCCTAATTGGGACTCCTGTTGGAACAGAGTGGGGCAGGCTGCTGGACAGAGGGTTCTCCCTCTGAGTACTCTTCTACACTGCAGATCAGTCAACAGAATCAGCACAGCAAGCAGTGTTCCAATCAAAGGAAAAGCCTTGGGGAAGAGGACTGCATATTGAGAGGCAATTTAAGACCCGCTGGGTGGATTTTCCCTCTATCTATGATGCCAAGAAGTAACAAAATGTTACCTACAGCAAACATTTCAATCAGAATATGCAATTCATTCAGAATACAAATGGTTTCTTAGAAAGACAGGTAGCCTGTTTGAAGGACTGAAGCATACACTTGTTTACTAGCCTTGAGATTGTACAGGGAAGAGTCCATTGATATTTGTGGCATGGAAAGAAAGATGATGTGGTATTTGCTGGTTTTGTGGTGCAGACATTTGACTGTTTATCATTTCTTTTATCCCATGTCTAAGGTGCACTCCCTCCTCATCCTCCAAGACTCAGCTCAAATGCCCATTCTTACATAAAACCATTTCTTGTTATTCCATCCCAGTTTTTATCCTCCTCAGCTAGAAGTAATATTTATCTTTCTTTTTGTTGGTTGATCCCTCAGGAAAATTTCTTCATTAACTTTTCCAGCCATTTTTTAACTGCCTCACTCCATGCCAGAGGCAATGACTTTCTGAATTCTGCTACAATGTATCAGTTTTTAATATTCTTATACTGAATATAAATGAAATAATATAGTACACAGTCTCATGTTCTTTTATTCTTTTTCCTTGCTGAGTAGTATTTTATTTTGTAAAATGTGTTTATCCATTCTCTTTTTAATAGACTTTCTGATTTCCTCTAACTTTTTCTTCTAGAAAGCTCTATATTTTTAAGCTTTTATATTTAGATATATGATATTAAGTGAATTAATTTTTGTGTATGGCATGAAATGGGGGCTGAGGCTTCTATTTATTCATACAAACATCCAATTATTCTAGCACCATTTGTTAAAACAGCTTTCTCCACTGACTTTGTGCATTGAAGTTCAGTTGTCCATATATGTGCACATACGTATTTAGATTCACAATCTTTCCCATCAATCAATTGATCTAACACTATCTTTATTACTGTAGCTTTATTTTTAAATCATAAAATATAAATTATCCAACCTCATTGCTCTTTTCAAGGCTGTTTTTCTTATTATAGACCCTTTGAATTTCCATAAAAATTTTACTTTATTATATATTTACTTTCATAAGTTCGACTTTTATTCTAGATTCAGGAAGTACAAGTGCAGTTTTGTTACTTGGGTATATTGCACGATGCTGAAGTGTTTGGAGTACGATTGATCCCATTGCATAAGTACTGAGAATAATACCCAATAGTTAGTTTTTCAGTCCGTTCCCCTTCCCTTCCTCCAATGTTTAGCTCCCACTTATAAGTGAGAACATGTGGTACTTGGTTTTGTGTTCTTGAGATATTTTGCTTAGGATAATGGCTTCCAGCTCCATCCATGTTTCTGCAAAGGACATAATCTCATTCCTTTTTATTGCTGCTTAATATTCCATAGTATAAATATACCACATTTTCTTTATTCAATCCACCATTGGTGAGCACCTAGATTGATTCCATGTCTGCTATTCTTAATAGTACTTGAATGAGCATATGAGTGCAGGTACCTTTTTGGTAGAAATGTTTATTTTCTTTTGGATATGTGCTCAGAATTGGGATTGTTGGATCAAATGGTAGCTCTGTTTTAACCTCTTTGAGAAATCTCCAAACTGCTTTACACAGTGGCTGAGCTAATTCACATTCCCACCAATAGTGTATAAGCACTCCCTTTTCTCTGTAGCATTGCCAACATCTGTTGTTTTTTGACTTGTTAATAATAGCTATTCTGACTGATGTGAGATGGTATCTTATTGTGGTTTTGATTTTCGTTACTCTTATTAGTGATGTGGAGCATTTTTTCATATGTTTGTTAGCTACTTGCATGTCATCTTTTGAGACATGCCTGTTCATGTCTTTTGCCCACTTTTCAATGGTGTTATTTGTTTTGTGCTTGTTCAATTGTTTAAGTTCTTTATAGATTCTGAATATCAGGCCTTTGTTGGATGTATAATTTGTGAATATTTTCTCCCATTCTGTAGGTTGTCTACTCTGTTGATAGTTTCTTTTGCTATACAGAAGTTCTTTCGATTAAGTGCCAATTTTCAATTTTTGGTTTTGTTGCAATTGCTTTTGAGGACTTAGTCATAAATTCCTTGCAAAACTGATATCTAGAGAGGTTTTCCTTCTAGGATTCTAATAGTTTACCTTTAAATCTTTAATCCTTCTTGAGTTACATTTTCTATGTGGCATCCAGTTCCATTCTTCTGCATATGGCTAGCCAGCAATCCCAGCATCATTTGTTGAATAAGGTGTCATTTCCCCATTTCCTATTTTTGTCAACTTTTATCAAAGATCAGATGGCTGTAGATGTGTGGCTTTATTTCTGGGTTCTCTATTCTGTTCCATTGTCCTATATGCCTGTTTTTGTACTAGTATTGTGCTATTTTGATTACTGTAGCCTTATAGTATAGTTTGAAGTTGGGTAATGTAATGTCTCTGGTTTTGTTATTTTGCTTAGGATTGCTTTGAATATTCAGGCCCTTTATTGGTTCCATATGCATTTTAGAATAGTTTTTTCTAGCTATGTGAAAAATAACAGTGGTGGCTTGATAGAAATGACGTTGACTCTGCAGATTACTTTAGGCAGTTCGGCTATTTTAACAATATTGATTCTTCCAATCCATGAGTATAGAATGTTTTTCTATTTATTTGTGTTGTCTCTGATTTCTTTCAGCAGTGTTTTGTAGTTTTCCTTGTAGAGATCTTTCACCTCCTTTTAAAGATATATTCCTAAACATTTTATTTTTGGTGGCTATTGTAATGAGATTGCATTTTTGATTTGACTCTCAGCTTGAACATTATTGGTGTATGAAAACATTAATGATTTTTATACATTGATTTTGTATCTTGAAACTTTACTGAAGTCATTTTTCTGTTCCAGGAGCTTTTTGGCTGAGTCTTTAGGTATAGAATCATATTGTCTGTGAAGAGAAATAATTTGACTTCTTATTTTTCAATATGGGTGCCTTTTATTTCTTTCTCTTGCCTGATTGCTCTGGCTAGGACTTCCAGTACTACATTGAACAGGAATGGTGAGAGTTCTCAAAGGAAACGACTAGGTTTTTTGTTTGTTTGTTTGTTTGGTGTGGGGGGGTCTTACTATGCTGATGAGGTTGGCCTTGAACTTCTGGGCTCTAGTAATTCGCCCACCTTGGCCTCCTAAAGTGTGGGATTACAGGCATGAGCCATCACACGTGATTGAATGAGTCTAGTTTTTGACTGTTCAGTATGATATTGGCTGCCAGTTCATAATAGATAGTACACGGGCTTTGGGGGTTGGTAGTTTGTTTTTTTTTATTACTGATTCAATTTTAGAACTCATTATTGCTCTGCTCAAGTTTTCATTTTCTTCCTAGATCAATCTTGGGAGATTGTGTATTTCAGGAATTTATCCATTACCTCTAGATTTTATAGTTTGTGTGCATAGAGGTGTTCATAATAGTCTCTGAGGGTCTTTTGTATTTCTGTGGGATCAATCGTAATGTCACCTTTGTCATTTCTAACTGTGCTTATTTGGCCCTTCTCTCTTTTATTCTTTGTCAACCCTACTAGGTAGCTATCACTCTTCTTCATTCTTTCAAAAAAAAATTTTGTTTTCATTTGTCCTTTTTATGGATTTTTTGGGTCTCAGTTTCATTCAATTCTGCTTTGATTTTAGTTATTTCTTTTCTTTTGCTAGCTTGGGGTGAGTTTGTTCTTGTTTTTCCCTAATAATTCAAGAAAATTTCCCTAATCTTGCAAGTGAGATAGGCATTCAGATACAAGAAATTCAGAGAACACTTGTAAGATACTACATAAAACTAACGTTACCCTGGCATATAATCACCAGACTGTTCAACGTCAATGTTAAAGAAAAAATCTTAAGGGCAGCTAGACAAAAGGCCAGACCATGTACAAAGGACACCCCTTGAGGCTTACAGTGGACTTCTCAGCAGAAGCCTTACAAGCCAGGAGAGACTGGAATCTAACCATGCATTTCATATCCTGCCAAACTAAGCTTCATAAGCAAAGGAGAAATAAGATCTTTTCCAGTCAGGGAAATTTATTACCACTAGATCAGCCTTACAAGAGATTCTTAAGTGAGTTCTAAACATGGAAATTAAAGAGATACCCACTACCATAAAAATACACTAAAGTACATAGCCCACTGATCCTATAAAGCAACCACACAATAGAAACTACAAAGCAGCCAGCTAACAACTTCATGATAGGATTAAAGTCTACATATCAATTTTAACCTTGAATGTAAATGGTCTAAATGCTCACTTAAAAGGCAGAGTGGAAAGTTAGATAAAAAAAATAGGACCATCTATTTTCTGTCCTCAAAAGACCCATCTAACATGCAAAGACACTCAGCCTCAAAGTAAAGTGTTGGAGAAAGAAACATTGTGCAAGTGGAAAACAAAAAAGAGCAGGGGCGCTATTCTTATATGAGATAAAGCAGACTTCAACAATAGTGAAAAAAAAGACAAAGAAGCGCACTAGATAGTGATAAAAGGGCTCAATTCAACAAGAAGACTTAACTACCATAAATATACATGCACCCATCAATTGGAGCACACAAATTCATATAACAAGTACTTCTATAGTTAGGAAAAGACCTAGATAGCCACATAATAGTAGTGGAGGACTTCAACATCCTACTGACATTGTTAGATCATAGAGGCAGAAAACTAACAAAGAAATTCTGGACTTAAATTTGACACTTGGTCAGTTGGACCTAATAGACATTTACAGAGTACTCCACTGATCAACCAAAGAATATACATTCTTCTTATCTGCATATGGATCATACTCCAAGATTGATAACATGCTTGGCCATAAAGCAACTCAAAATTTTTTTTTAAAGTGAAATCATACCAACCATACTCTTGAACCACAGTGAAATAAAAATAGAAATCACTACCAAAAAGATCTCTCAAAACCACATCATTACGTGGAAACTAAACAACTTGTTCTTGAATTGCTTTTGGGTAAATAGCAAAATTGAGGCAGAAATTAAAAAAGATTGAAATAAATGAAAATGGAGACACAACATACCAAAAACTCTGGAATGCAGCAAAAGCAGTATTTAGAGTAAAGTTTATAGCGCTAAAGACCTACCATAAAAAGTTGGAAAGATCTCAAATTAATAATGTAACTTCACATCTAGAGGAATTAGAAAAATAGTTAAATTTCAGATTTTAAATACCTATTAGTTTTCCATTTTCTTCAACGTGCTCTGCTGGGATTTTAATTTTGGAGAGAATAAGCACCTTGACAATTTTGAGGCATCTGATCCATGAAAATTATATACCTCTCCATTTATTTGGATTTAACATCATTTCTGTTTTGTTTTCAGTGTAGAAGTATTGTACATCTTTTATTAGGTTTATTCTAAGGTGTTTTATATTTTGGTTGCTATTATAAATGGAATTTTCCAATTCTTTATTATCAGAATAATGCAAGTACAATTGATCTATGTATGTTGCATACACATTATGTTATTTGTTTTTTAAATGTTTGTATTCACTGTATTAGCTTGCTAGGACTTCCATAACAAAGTATTACCAACTGGGTGACTTAAACAACAGGAATTTACATCTTCACAGTTCTGGGTGCTGAATGAGGTCCAGGTGTTATCAGAGTCACTTCCTTCTGATGGTCATGAGAAAAGAATCTGCTTCAGGCCTCTCTCTTTGGATTAGATATGGCCATCTTCTCCCTGTGTCTTAACATAGTCTTCTCTTCGTGTCTGTGTCCAAATTTCATATTCTTATAAGGACCCCCATCGTATTAGATTTGGGCTCACCCCAATGACTTCATTTTAATGTAATTACCACTTCAAAGACCCTGTCTTCAGGTATAGTCACATTCTGAGGTCTTGGGACATAGGACTCCAAAATATAAATTTGGGGAGGGTGCTAAATTTAGCCCACAACAATGTCCTATAAATTCTTTGTTTCTTTGTTCCCTTTTTCCTCCTTTCCTGCCTTCTTTTGGACAAATCGGGCATTAAAATATTAATTAATGTTAAGATATTAGTATTCCATTTCATGTTATTTATTGACATCTTTGTTATACTTCTTTGTGTTAATTTTTAGTGGTTGCTCTAGAGATTACCATCTGCAAATTTAACTTTTCACAGCTACCTTCAAATAATATTATACTATTCATAAACACATGAAGGATGTTTCAAATTGTAATTCTATACACCCCACCCTGACCTTTGTGCATTTTTTCCATATATTTTATTTTACTTCTACATCTGTTATAAAGCCCAGAATATATTTTTATTAGTTTCACTTTAAAAGTCAATCAACTTTCAATGAAATTTTTAAAGGGAGAAAAAGCAGTATTAAAGAAATTAAACTATATATATATGATATTATCCTGGTAAAAAATAGTATTTTAAATAAATATAAAAACACACATATATTTATTCCTATATATATTGATGTGTTAATAACAATGTATATAACATTTTATTTTCATTTATCAGGTTACAGATGCTGTTTTCTTGTTTCTGGCCTCCACTGAAACAGCAATTTCTAACTTTAGCTGCTGTGGCCATAGAGATGAATGGGCAAAGAAAAAGTTTCCATGAAGGAAAGAACTTTGTCTTCCATGTAACATTGGATTTCGAAAATACCACTCCCCACCCAGACATGGGAATGCTGTATTCCTCCTCTTACTGTTGCCTTAGTATGTTCTTTGTCAAGGCTCAGAGGGGCTTCTTCACCCTGGATGAGAGATACATGTACAAATTTTTAACATCAAGTGAGTCTGTACAGGAAATCACTGATGGACTCTGTACTCCTCTTGCTGTTTACCCTTTGCAAAGCACAAAAGAAAATGGAAAAGGAGAAGACAAAGAGAAAACAAGGTCTTCTAAAAGATAAGAATATTCTGGTTTATAGGAGTGACTCTGGTGAAGGTTGGAGAAATATTTTGGCATGTAGTTTTGGAGCATACATGTGAGGATTGAGCGATTTTGAAGATCCTCTTTGTCCCACCAAGCACACTCATTCTGCTCATGACACAACCTTAGGGTCTTGAAGGTAGAAATGATAATGAAGATGTAATGTGCAATGTGTGGGCATCTGCACATTAGCAAGGGCAGTGCTTTGCAAGCACATTATCTGTCTTTGCTTCACCTACTCTGTGGTATTATCCCAGTAGTGGCTGCATGCATTCTGATCTGAGATTTCTTTTGAGGAGACCTTAAGGGCTAAACTATTTCACAGTATCCAAATGCCTGAATACAAAGTGGATTACTAAATTTAAAATGAGACTAAGTTGGGGTAAGTGCTTTATCTAAATTATGGTGCTTCAAGATTTGTCATGTGCAAAAATATTATCAATCAGTGATATTCTGAATGCAGTTATCTTAACTGATCTTCAATTTTGAATATTAAATCTCATTAGAATATGCCATTATGCAGTAGTCATTATGATCTGATAGATTTGACAGATATTCACATATCATATTTCCAAGTATAGGCTGATATTATGAATATACATAGTGAATTATGCTTAGAAAATGTTGTTACAGATATTTGTTCTACACAAGTGGTTAACACTTGGAGTGAACATTCACAGGCAGTAAATTGAGGCAAATTATATAATGCCAGAGACTGCTTGTTCATTATCATCAGTTAGGGATTTTTTGTCGTAAGAAAGAAAAAAGAATAAAAAAGCCAAATTAAGCAAAAAATGGGGGTGAGGAAGGCAGTTCTTGGCTCATAAACCTGAAAGATTTAGGAACATTTCCGTGTTTAGGTGATACTTGATTCAATAACACATATATTATAACCAGAACTTGATTTTTCTTTTTGCTCTATCTTTCATAGTGCTGGCTTCATCCTCAGGCTTCACACATTGCTATCTTCCCCATTCCCAGCCCTCTTTTCTTATTTATGAACAGCTACTGCTAGTTGCAAACTCACAGCCTTAAACCATTCTCCAAGGGAGAAGGAGGGCCACTTCTAGTTGTTCCTGCACAAATCCTTAGACGCTCTCTCTCTTATTGGCTCAGATTTGCTGATATGTCCATCCCGAACCAATTATGGTTGACATAGGGAGAGGAGACCACAATCAGCTTAAATCAATCAGGGCCTGGTCTTCAAACATAGAATGGGTCAGCTGCACCAGAACCATATAATGTCAGAGGGAGGGAGGATAGGTTGGTTCCCCCTACTCTCTGGGTACACTTGCCTGACAGAGGATTAGCATTTTACTCTCTGGGGATGGTGACATAGGGAACTTAAAGTTGCAATGCATTCAATCCTTTCCTTGTGCAAACCCCAGGCTTTGGAATTTTCTCTATCAAAACTGATGCTCCCATTCAGGGCACCTATAGGCATATCCTACCCTTAAAAGGGGCATTTCCTTCTTGTTTGGGCAAGTTTTCCTTCTAGGGATGAGTTCTTCTTTTTCTTCTTTTTTTTTTTTTTTGAGACTGAATCTCACTCTGTCGCCCAGGCTGGAGTGCGGTGTCTCGATCCCAGCTCACTGCAACCTTCAGCTCCCAGGTTCAAGCGATTCTCCTGCCTCAACCTCCTGAGTAGCTGGGATTACAGGCATGCACCACCACACCCAGCTAATTTTGTGTATTTAGAAGAGAGGGGGTTTCACCATGTTAGCCAGGCTGATCTCGAACTCCCGACCTCTGGTGATCTGCCCACCTCGGCCTCCCAAAGTGCTGGGATTACAGGCATGAGCCAACACTCCCAGCTGGGATGAGTGCTTCTAATTCAAAGGCCTCTAGGAACAAAATTAAACAGTGCAAGTTTCATTTCAAAGCATAAACAGCTCTTTTATTTCTGGGCACTCTGACCAGAAGGGCACTCATCTGAAAGCTGCAGAATTGCTTGAATTATCCTTGAATTATCGTCATCATCACCATCATCATCATTCTCATCATCACTTTCACTGAAGACACTGTAGGAGACACATTGCACATAGTGCTCTACTCCAATCTTAGAAGTAATCCTTTTTCTAATCCTATACATGTTTCAAGGCCAGGTTCTGATCTTCCCTTAGAAATTCTTCACAATCACCCTGACCTTCATAAATATTTTCTTTGGGTGATCTTTTTTGTCTCAATTATTTATCTTACTCTTCCTTGTCCTGTCTTCCCACTGGGTTGTTAGCTGCTTAAAGGAGGAGACCTTAGATTCTAACTTCATGTATCCTCAGAGCCTAACACAGTGGCCTTGAACATCATTCAAGACTGTGGAACTCTCATTTCTTAAAGAAATCAGAAAACCATTGTACCACAGGAGAAAGCTGTTTGTACAGTTCACATTTCAGGACAGTCATCTTTGGCTGCATACTTGCAGGCTTATTCTGCAGAATTACATTGCTCTAAACACTTCTCACACTAAGGAGACTGAAGATTTAGGGCCAGAAATGTCTCCCCTAGCAGTTTTCCTTTCAGCTTCATTCCTGAAATGGGATTGGGATAAGCATTTGTAATATCTGATCTTTGTGAGAGTTAGAGCAGGCTGGCAAAAAGCAAAAAGATCACAGACCTTGGAATCACACAAGCCTCAGTTTAAATTCTAAGTCAGCCACTTAGTAACTGTATTATCTAATGGGAATTACTTAGTGTATTTAAACATTAACATATTCCCTGTAACTTGAAAATATGATTCCTACATTTGAATGTTGGGAAGTATTCCTGCCTTTACCACAACTAAATATACTGTAATACAATTCAATTTAATGTTAACCACCTGAAGTTAGCATCAGATCAGCATGGTTCATAACAAGACTGTATATTAGACATCAATTATAAATTATGTGGATCCACAAGCCACCTGCATTCTGACTAACAAACTACCAATCCAAGACTTTTCTACTCTGCCCCTCGTGTTTGATAATTTGCTAGAATGACTTACTGAACTCAGAAAAGTAATACTTATGATTACAGTTTTATTATAAAGTATACCCATAGGGTGAGGTCTGGGAGGAAACACGGAGCTTCCATGCCTCTCCCTGTGGACTGAGGGTGAATCACTCCCTTGGCACATCAGTGTTTTAATAAATTAGTAAACTCCACTGAGCCTTGTTGTCTAGAGGTTTTATTGAGGCTTGATTGCATAAGCATAATTCATTAGCTCATTAGCCATGTGATATGGTTTGGATGTTTTGTCCTCTCCAAATCTCATGTTGAAATGTGACCTCCAATGTTGAGTTGGGCCTGTAGGGAGGTGTTTGCATAATGGGGGTGGATTCCTCATGAATGGCTTGGTGCCATCCCCATGGTAATGCATGAGTTCTCACTCTGGTAGTTGATGTGAAAGCTGGTGATTTAAAATAGCCTGGCACCCCGTCTTGCTTCCCTTTTTGTCATCTACTCTAATTGTTAGCTTCCTGATGCCCTCACCAGAAGCTGATGCCAGCACCATGCTTCATGTACAGCCTGCAGAACCATGAACCAAATAGTCCTCTTTTCTTTATAAATTACCCAGTCTCAGGTATTTCTTTATAGCAATGCGAACAGACAAACATACCATGTGACTTAACTCAATCTCTTGTTCCTCTCCTTTCCCCCAAAATTAAGATCGTCTAAAGTGCCAACTCCCTAATCACATGGTAGGTTTTTCTGGTGATCAGCTCAACTCGCCCAGAAGAAGCTATCTAGGAGTCCACCATGAGTGACCTAATTAGCATAGCAAAGACTCTATCACTCAGGAAATGTCAAGGATTTTAGAAGTTCCATGCTAGGAACCCAGGACAAAGACTAGACAAATTCTTTATCATACTACTGGAAGATTATGAAATAATGAATAAAAATACACTTTCGTTGAGAAAAAGTGGACACAGAATAAAGCACTAAGTTTAAAAAACTAAGTTTTTAATTTCAATAGTTTCAGGGGAACAGGTAATTTTTGATTACATAAATAAGTTTTTTAGCAGTGATTTCTGAGATATTGGTGCACCTGTCAACCAAGCAGTGTCCACTATGCTCAATATGTAGTCTTTTATCCTTCATCCCCCCATCATTTTTCTCCCCAGGTCCCCAAAGTACATTCTATCATTCTTATGCCTTTGCATCCTCATGGCTTAGCTCCCACTTATAAGCAAGAACATACAATATTTTGTTTTCCATTCCTAAGTTACTTCACTTGGAATAATGGTCTCCAACTCCATCAAAGTTGCTGCAAAAGCCATTGTTTCACTTTGTTTTATGGCTGAGTAGTATTTCATAGTGTACATATAGCACATTCTCTTTATCCACTTGTTGGTTGATGGGTGCTTAGGTCAGACCTAAGTTCCATACTTTTGCAATTGCAAACTGTGCTGTTATAAACAGGCATGTGCATGTGTCTTTTTCATATAATGACTTTTTTTCCTTTGGATATGATGTGGTTTGGCTCTGTGTCCAACACTAATACATGGTGTTGCACCTATGGGTGCACAGAAATTAAGAATTGAAGTTTGGGAACCTCTGCCTAGACTTCAGAGGATGTATGGAAACATCTGGATGTCTAGGCAGAAGTTTGCTGCAGTAGTGGAGCCCTCATGGAGAACCACTGCTAGGGCAGCGTGGAAGGAAACTGTGGGGTTGGAGCCCCCACCCAAATCTCATTTTGAATTGTAGTTTCCATAATCCCCATGTGTTGTGGGAGAGATCCAGTGGGAAGTAATTTAATCATGGGGACATTTATCCTCATGCTGTTCTCATGATAGTGAGTGAGTTCTCATGGGACCTGATGGATTTATAAGGGGCCTTTTCTCCTTTTCCTCAGTACTACTTCTCCTTCCTGATGCCACGTGAAGAAGGACATGTTTGGTTACCCTTCTGCCATGATTCTGAGTTCCCTGAGGCCTCCTCAGCCCTGCAGAACTGTGAGTCAATTAAACCTCTTACCTTTATAAATTACCCAGTCTTGGGCAGTTCTTTATAGCAGCATGAGAACGGACTAATACAGTAAATTGGTACTGCAGAGAGTGTGGTGCTGCTGTAAAGATACTAGAAAATGTGGAAGCAACTTTGGAACTGGGTAACAGGCAGAGATTGAAACACTTTGGAGGACTCAGAAGAAGACAGGAAAATGGGAAAGTTTGGAATTTCCTGGAGACTTGAAGGGCTCAGAATATAGGAAGGCGTGGGAAAGTATGAAAATTCCTAGAGACTTGTCGAATGGCTTTGAAAAAAAATCTGATAGTGATATGGACAATGAAGCTCAGGCTGAGGTGGTCTCAGATGGAGATGAGGAATTTATTGGGAACTAGAGCAAAGGCGATGCTTGTTATGCTTTAGCAAAGAGACTGGAGGCATTTTGCCCCTGCCCTAGAGATCTGTGGAACTTTGAACTTGAAGGAGATGATTTAGGATATCTGGTTGAGGAAATTTCTAAGTGGCAAAGTGTTCAAGAAGCAGAGCATAAAAGTTTGGAAAATTTACAGAATGATGAAGCAATGAAAAAGAAAAACCCATTTTCTGGGGAGAAATTTAAGCCTGATGCAGAAATCTGCATAAATAACGAGTAGCTGAGTGTTAATCACCAAGGCGATGGGGAAAATGCCTCCAGGGCATGTCAGAGACCTTCACAACTGCCTCTGTTATCATAGGCCTGGACGCCTTGGGGGGAAAAATGGTTTCATGAGCTAGGCCAGGGCCCCCCTGCAGTATGCAGCTTTGGGTATGGTGTCCTGTGTCCCAGCTGCTTTAGCTCCATCTTTGGTAAAAAGCATCAAGGTACAGCTTGGGCCATTGCCTTAGAGGGTGCAAGCCCCAAGCCTTGGTGGCTTACATGTGGTGTTGGACCTGCAGGTGCACAAAGGTCAAGAAATGAGATTTGGGAACCTACACCTAGATTTCAGAGGATGTATGGAGACAGCTGGATGTCCAGGCAGAAGTTTGCTGCAGGGGTGGAGGCTTCATGGAGAACCTCTGTTAGGGCAGTGTGGAAAGGAAATGTGGTGTTGGAGCCCACACACAGAGTCCCCACTGTGGCACTGCCTAGTGGAGCTGTGAGAACAGGGCCACCATCTTCCAGCCCCCAGGATGGTAGATCCACCAACAGCTTTCACCATGCACCTGGAAAAACTGCAGACACTCAACATTAGCCCATGAAAGCAGCCAGGAGGGGTGCTGTTTTCTGCAAAGCCACAGGAGCTGAGCTGCCCAAGGCTGTGGGAGCCCACTTCTTACATCAGTTTGCCCTGGATGTGAGACATGGAATCAAATGAGATCATTTTGGAGCTTTAAGATTTAGCTGCCCTGCTGGATTTCGGATTTGCATGGGACCTGTAGCCCTGTCCTTTGGCTGGTTTCTCCCATTTGGAATGGGTGTGTCTACCCAATGCCTGTACTCCCATTGTATTTAGGAAGTAACTAACTTGCTTTTGATTTTACAGGCTCATCGGTAGCAGGGACTTGCCTTGTCTAAGATGAGACTTTGGACTTGGACTTTTGGGTTATGCTGGAATAAGTTAAGATTTTGGGATACTGTTAGAAGGGCATGATTGTGTTTTGAAATGTGAGGACATGATATTTGGGAGGGGACAAGGGTGGAATAATATGGTTTGGCTCTGTGTCCCCACCCAAATCTCACCTTAAATTGTAGTTCCCATAATCCCCATATGTCATAGAAGGGACCTGGTAGGAGGCAATTTAATCATGGGGGAGGTTACCCTCATGCTGTTCTTGTGATAGTGAGTGAGTTCTCGTGAGATCTGATGGTTTTATAAGGGACTTTCCCCCCTTTTACTCGGCACTTCTTCCTGCCACCAAGTAAAGAAGGATGAGTTTGCTTCCCCTTCCACTATGATTATAAGTTTCCTGAAGCCTCCCCAGCCCTGCAGAACTGTGAATCAATTAAGCCTCTTTCCCTTATAAATTACCCAGTCTTGGGCAGTTCTTTATAATAGTGTGAGAATAGACTAATACAGGGTAGATACCGAGTAGTGGGATTGCTGGCTCAAATGGTAGATCTCCTTTTCATTCTTTAAGGGATCTCCATACTGCTTTCCGTAGTGGTTGTACTAGTTTACATTCCCATCATCAGCATAAAAGTGTTCCTTTTTCATCACATCCACACCAACATCTATTTTTTTATGTTTAAATTATGGCCATTCTTGCAGGAGTAAGGTGGAATCTCATTGTGATTTTCATTTTCATTTCACTGATAACTAGTAATGTTGAACATTTGTTTTCATGTTTATTGACTGTTTGTATATCTTCTTTTGAGAATTATCTATTTATGTCCTTTGATCACTTTTTAATGGAATTGTTTTTTTCTTGCTGATTTCTTGTTTGAGTTCCTTGTAGATTCTGGATATTAGTCTTTTGTTGGATGTATAGTTTGCAAATATTTTCTCCCACTCTGTGGGTTGTCTGTTTGCTGATTATTTCTTTGGCTGTGCAGAAGCTTTTTAGTTTAATTAGGCCCCATTTATTAATTTTTGTTTTTGTTTCATTCGCTTTTGGGTTCTTAGTCATGAATTATTTGCCTAAGCTAATGTCTAGAAGAGTTTTTCTGATGTTATCTTCTAGAATTTTTATGGTTTCAGGTCTTAGATTTAAGTCTTTGATTCATCTTTAGTTGATTTTTATATAAGTTGGAGATGAGGACCCAGTTTCATTATTCTGTATGTGGCTTGCCAGTTATCCCGGCACCATTTATTGAATAGGAAGTCCTTTCCCCCACTTTATGTTTTTGTGTGCTTCATGAATCAGTTGGCTGCAAGTTTGCCAAAGATCAGATGGCTGTAAGTATTTGGCTTTACTTTGGGTTCTCTATTCTGTTCTATTTGTGTACATGGCTATTTTTATACCAGTACCATGCTGTTTTGGTAACTATAGCCTTTTAGTATAATTTGAAGTTGGGTAATGTGATGCCTCCAGATTTCTTCTTTTTGCTTAGCATTGCTTTGGCTCTAGGGACGCTTTTTGCAGTTCCATATGAATTTTAGGATTGCTTTTTCTATTTTTGTGAAGAATAATAATGGTATTTTTGTGGGAATTGCATTAAATCTGTGGATTACTTTTAGCACTGTGATCATTTTCACAATATTGATTCCACCCATTAATGAGCATGAAATGTGTTTCTATTTGTTTGTGTCATCTATAATTACTTTCAGCAGTGTTTTGTAGTTTTCCATGTAGAGATTTTTCACCTCCTTGATTAAGTACATTCACAAGTATTTTTTAGTTTTTGCAGCTGTTGTAAAAGGGATTGAGTTCTTAATTTGATTCTGAGCTTGGTTGTTGTTGGTGTATAGTAGTGCTATTGATTTATGTATATTAATTTTGTATCCTGAAACTTTAGTGAATTCATTTATGAATCTAGGAGCCTTTGGGACGAGTCTTTAGTGTTTTCCAGGTATATTATCACATCATCAGAAAACAACAACAGTTTGACTTCCTCTTTTCCGATTTGGATGCCCTTTATTTCTTTCTCTTGTCTAATTGCTCTGGCTGGGACTTCCAATATTATGTTGAATAGAAGTGGTGAAAGTGGGCATCCTTGTCTTGTTCCAGTTCTCAGGGAGGATGCTTTCAACTTTTCCCCATTCGGTATTATGTTGGGTGTGGGTTTGTCAAAGATGGCTTTTATTACTTTAAGGTATAACCCTTCTATATTAATTTTGTTGAGAGTTTTTATCAAAAAGAGTGCTGAATTTTGTCAAATGCTTTTTCTGTGTCTGTTGAGATGATCATATTTTTGTTTTGAATTCTGTTTATGTAATGTATCACATTTATTGACTTTCATATGTTAAATCATCTCTGCATCCCTAGTATGAAACCCAGGTGATCAGGATGTATTTTTAAATATGCTATTGGATTTAGCTAGTCACTATTTTGTTGAGAATATTGCATCTATGTTCATCAAGGATATTGATCTCTGGTTTTCATTGTTGTTGTTATGCACTTTCGTGGTTTGGGTATTAGGGTGATACTAGCTTAATAGAATGATTTAGGCAGGATTCCTTCTTTCTCCATCATTTGGAATAAAAATCTAACTTTTATGATAAACTATTATGCTGTTCTCCACCTTCCTTCCTCTTTTTCTGCTCTCCAGAACTCTGTCAATATTTCAGCCATTTAAAAGATGCAGTCTATGTAATGGGTATTGTATTCATGGCATAACTCAACATGAAAAAGAATCTGTTATAACTTATGTTTGTACTTAATTGATAAAATAAGGAACACTTCCAATGAAATAGTTTTAGCCACTTTTCAGAAATGTTTTTAAAACAGAAAGAAAAGAGAATTCTGGGTGACCTCCCCAGGATAATGTAATGAGAAGGGATGGTGATAAAAACAAAATCTGATCTTGTCATAGTAACAAACATGGTAAACTCACATGCTGAAGACTTAGATGTTCCAAAAAGATCTGTGATCTGCACATTCACCAAAGCCATTTTACTTCTGCATTCAGGCATGAATGCTTTTGAGATGTTTTCTTTTGAGGTTTCTACATCACCTGTGCCCACCAGGTCTTGAGAGTGGGCAAAAAAATGCTCACACAAAGCCTTTAGGTGGGCCTACTGCAGGAACCACTGTGAGCCACACATCATTTCCCTGTCATGAGTTTGAACAACACTTTTTTGAGTTTTTTTTGTTTCTGTCATCCCAGAGTTTATTCCTATCATCTTGAAATGTCAGATAATCAGAAACATAAAAATGTGCAGAGGTAGCATGACCTCTGTTTAATAGTCTGATGAAAGGAGAAAGGAATTAATTCCATGCTAATCTTTCATTAGATTGTAAGCTCCTAGATCATGGATATTAATGTTAGTCACCGTGTGTGTTCAATACAAGGTCTCCTGTCTGACATATAGCAAGTAGCTGATGTCAGATAGTAGAATAATACATGAAGGAGGCCCTCAATAGAAATGGAATGCTGGGACCCACAGTAAAATTCATTTTTCTTTTATTCCCCTGGGGATCACAACAAGCTCCCTCTGAGTCTTTTTCCAGTTGTTTACATCACTGGAATGATGTGTCATTGTAAGGATATTATAAGAGGTCAGTGCAAGTGATATAGACAAATGTTCATATTACCATATTTAGTGAAGAAAGAACTAGGTTACAAAATTAAGTATCAGTATAATTCCAGCACTAATCCTTAGATAATATTCACATATAGGAAAAAATATTGGGGCAGTATATCAACATATACTTTTTAATAAAACATAAACTTTTTAATCATGGCATTACTGTTTATGGTTCATTCTCTTCTTTATTCTCTTCAACATGTTTACAGTGCTTATGCATTCATTTAATCATAATAAAATTATTCTAAGAAAACACTGTATGTTTGTGTATAAATTGTCCTGTGATTATTTTCACCCTATTTCCTATGTGTCTGTATGATAATCTTATCTCCCAAGTGGAATTAAACTCCTGCACAATAGGCACAATGCCTCCCACTGACTCCAAACATGGCACATTATTTCCCTTAAAGAACAGGCTGATGATTCAAACAAGATACCTAGGAGCAGAATACCTTTAGAATGGTTCCAAGTCAAACAAAGGGGTGGAGCAAGATGTTGGAGTAGGACTCTCCAGTGATTGTTCTCTAGTGGAAACATCAATGAGAACAATTGTCCATGCACAAATAGATTTTCACAAGAACTAAGGAAACTAGGTGAGAGATCATAGTACCTGGTTTTAGGATAATAATTTTAAAAGACACATTGAATATAGTAAAAAGGATTTATTGCCCTCATTACCACTTCCTCCATCCCATGCAGTGTAGTATGGAAAGAGACACCATAAGACTGGGGAAAAGAGAGGGGAGTAAGTATAGGACTTTGCCTTGGAATTCAGTAATGACCCACCACTGGGATAAATGCCATGACCCTTGACTCCAGGCCAGTTCCTGCAGATGGAGCCTATAGATCCACCCTGATGCTAGATGAGAACTTATGGCCCCAGCAAAAAGAACTCAAATTCTGTGTTGCATCACTGCCAACTGACTACAGCAGCCTCAGGTCCTGTATAAACCTCAGCAGCAGGCAGACTGTAGCCCATGGGCTTTGGGCATGCCTCAGTACTGTGCCAGTCTCATCAGCAGTGAGCACTGTGTTTGACTGAGCACTTCATCAGCCTCAGTGGCCACAAGACTGCCATATCACTCCTCCCCAAGCTCTGGGCAGTGTAGCACAGAAAGGGATACTGTCTGCTTGGGGAAGAAGAGGGAATTAAGCATATGACTTTGCTTTGGAACCTAGAACTGGGCCCACCACAGTAAAATCCAGCACTGCGAATAACCCCATGGCTCATCAATTTAGGCTGGTGCTCAGAGACAGAGCCTCTAGATCTGTCCCAATGCCAGATGGGAATCTGTGGCTCCAGTAAGACAGACTAAAATTTTAGCTTTCATAATCACCAACTGACTACAGGGACTTTGGGCCCTTAATAAACTTCAGTGGCAGGCAGGCCATAGAGGCTGTACTTCCCCAGTGCTGCACTAATCTCAGTAGCCACGGGCTTCAGGTGCATGAGTACTGTGTCAACTTCAGCAGCAATGGGATTCTGACTGAGTCAGTCCTGGGCTTAGGGCACTCTCTGGCACTATACTGGCTAAAGAGCTCATGGGCTTAGGGACTTCAGGAGTACACCTTTTTTTGAATATTGGGACAAGCTTACTGTTGAAGAACTCCCCTAAACAAAGCTAGACTGTGAAGACAGAATTAGGTACCTATATCAATGCGGATACATCAATGCATGGCCTTAAGCATCAAGAATAATCAGGGGAATATGACATCACCAAATGAACAAAATAAGATGCTAGTGACTGACCATAAAGAGATGTAGATAAAGAACTTCCTGACAAAGAATTCAAAATAATTGTTTTAGGAAGCTTAGTAAACTTCAGAAAAATACAGAAAAAAATTTAGAAATTTATCAGAGAAATTTGATGGAGAAATTGAATTAATTTTTTAAAAGTGGAGCTGAAAAATACAATAAACAAAATGAAAGATACAAATAGGGGACATCAACAGCAGAACTGATCAAGCAAAAGAAAGAACCAGTGAACCTGAAGGCAATTTATTTGAAAATATATATACAGTGAGAGGAGAAAACAATGAAAAAGAATAAAGTTTACAGGGTTTATGAGATAATATCAAAAGAGCAAATGTTTGAGTCATCAGTGTTCAAGAGGGAGTAGAGAAAGGAGTAAAAAGTTTATTTAACTAAATAATAGCACAAAATGGTTCAAAACTGGAGAATGATGTGAATATCAATTTACAGGAAGGGCAAAAGTTGCCAATCAGATTCAATCTAAAATACAGATACCAGATAATATATTATAATCAAGCTGTCAAAAATCAAACACAAAGCGAGAATGCAGAAAGCAGCAAAAGAAAAGAAGCAAATAACATATAAGGGAGTTTCAATATGCATAAAGCAGATGTCTCAGCAGAAATTTTACAGGCCAGGAGAAAGTAGGATAATATATTCAAAGCACACACACACACACACACAATCTTTCAACTAAAAATACTGTACACAGCAAATCTGTACTTCAGAAATGAAGGAAAGATAAATACTTTTCTAGATAAATAAAAGCTGAGGAAGTCCATTACCACCAGACGTGTCTTACAGGAAATGCTAAAGGGAGTTCTCCAAGCTAAAAGAAAACGATGCTAATGAGTGGCACAAAAAACATCTGAAAGTACATTTTTCATACTCACTGGTAAAAGAAAGGACACAATCAAATTGTGAATACTCTTATGATATAATGGTGTGTAAATCACATATCTTTAGTATGAAGGTTAAAAAACTATTAAAGTAATAGCAGTAACAATTCTTAAGGGATATGCAATATAAAAAGATGTAAATTGTGACAGCACAATTCAAAATGTGAAAGGTGGAGACTGGAGTTAAAGTATAGACTTTTGGTGGGTTTCTTTTTCTTTTTATTAATGAAAGTTGTTATTAGTTTAAAATAACCAGATACAAACGTAAGTATGATAGTTTTTTTGTAAGCTTCATGGTAGCCACAAAGCAAAAACTTAAATATATATACTAAAAATAAAAAGCAAAAAATCAAACACAAAACTGAGAAAATTATTTAACCACAAAGGAAGACAGTGGGAGAGGAAGAAAGGAAAAAAAGAATCAACAAAACAACTAGAAAGCAATGAAAAAAATGACAATAGTAAGTTCTTATCTAACAGTAATTACTTTGAATGTAAATGAAGTAAATTTTACAATTAAAAATTATACAGTAGCTGCATGGATTTTAAAAAAGAAAATTATATGCTGCTGACAAAAGACTCACTTTACTAGTAAGGACACACATTGACTAAAAGTGAAGGGATGAAAAAAGACATTTCATGCAAAGGGAAACCAGAAGAGAGTGGAATAGCTATAATTATATCAGATAAAATGGACTTTATGTCAAAAAGTAAAAAAAGAGGCAAACAACGTCATCATACAATGATAGGCAAGGGGATATAAGAATTGTAAATATATATGCACTCAATATCAAAGCACCCAATGTCAAAGTCAACTATTAATAGTTCTAAAAGGAGAGATAGATTGCAATACAGCAACAGTAAGAGATTTCAACATCCCTTCTTCAGCAATGAATAGATCATCCAGATAGAAAATTAATAAAGAAATAATTGGGTTTAAACTGCTCTAGACCCAATAGACCTAAAAGATATTTACAGAACTTTTCATCCAACAGCTGCAGAATACACGTTCCTCTCAACTGAACATGGAACATTCTCCAGGATAGAACATATGTAGCCACAGAACAAGTTTTAACAAATTTAAGAAGACTGAAATCATATAAAATATCTTTTCAGACCACAAAAATACAAATCTAGAAATCAGTAACAGGAGAAACCTTGGAAAATTTGCAAATCTATGGAAACTAGAAAATATGCTTCTAAACAATCAATGGGTCAATAAAGAAATTAAAAGGGAAATTAAAAAAATTTCTAGAGACAAATGAAAATGGAAACACAACATACCAAAACCTATGGGGAACAGTTATAAGAGAGAATATTACAGCAACAAATGTTTACATTAAAAAAAAAAAGCTCAGTGGCTCACATCTGTAATCCCGACACTTTGGGAGGCCAAGGTGGGTGGATCACCTGAGGTTGGGAGTTGGAGACCAGCCTGACCAACATGGAGAAATCCCATCTCTACTAAAAATACAGAATTAGCTGGGAGTGATGGTGCATTCCTGTAATCCCAGAAACTCAGGTGGCTGAGGCAGGAGAATTGCTTGAACCCGGGAGGCAGAGGTTGCAGTGAGCTGAGATCGCACCATTGCACTCCAACCTGGGCAACAAGAGTGAAATTCCATCTCAAAAAACAGGCAAACAAAAAAGCAATATCTGACATAAACAACCTAATAATGCACCTAAAGGAACTAGAAAAAACACCCAAAACTAGTGGAAAGAAAGAAATAATAAAGATTTAAGCAGAAATATGTGAAATAAAGTCTAAAAGTAATTTTAAAAGATCAATGAAACAAAGACTTGTATTTTCAAAACGATAAACAAAACTGACAAACTTTTAGCTAAACTAGGAAAAAACGAGAGAAGACCCAAATAAAATTAGAGAGGAAAAAGATAACATTACAACCAATAACACAGAAATAAAAAGAATAATAATAGACTATTAGGAACAATTCTATACCAACAAATTGGAACACCTAAAAGAAATGGATAAATTCCTGGACACATACAACATACCAAGATTAAACTAAGAAGAAACAGAAAACCTATATAGTCCAAAAGATGTGTAATAAGATTAGATAAGCAATAAAAATGTTTTCATCAAAGAAAAGCCCAGAACCTGATAGTTTAATTGTCAAATCTTACCAAGAAATTAAAGAACTAATAGTAATTATTCTCAAACTATTTCAAAAAAATTAAAGAGAAGTGAATTATTTTAACCTTTTTCTGTGAGGCCAATATTACCCTGATACTAAACCAGACAAGGACACAACAAAAAAGAGAACTGCAGGTAAATATCCCTGATGGACATAGATGCAAAAATCCTGAATAAATATAGCAAACTAAATGCAACAACACATTAAAAAAATCATTCACCATGATCAAGTGGGATTCATCCCAAGGATGCCAGAATGGTTTGACATATGCAAATCAGTAAATGTGACATATCATGTTAACAAAATAAAGGCCAAAACCTGTATGATCATTTCAATAGATGCAGAGAAAGAATCTGACAAAATTCAGCATTCCTTCATGACCATAAAAATCTCTTCATAAATTAAATATAGATGGAATGTATCTCAACACAATAAAGGCCAATTAAAACAAACCCACAGCTAACATAATACTGAATGGGAAAAAGTTGAATTTTTTTTCTCTAGGATCTGGAAAAAGACAAGTATGTCCACATTCACTGCTTTTATTCAACAAAGTACCAGAAGTCCTAGCCAGAGCAATCAGGTAAAAGACTTGGAACCAACCTAAATGTCCAACAACGATAGACTGGATTAAGAAAATGTGGCACATATACACCATGGAATACTATGCAGCCATAAAAAAATGATGAGTTCATGTCCTTTGTTGGGACATGGATGAAACTGGAAACCATCATTCTCAGCAAACTATCACAAGAACAAAAAAACCAAACACCGCATGTTCTCACTCATAGGTGGGAATTGAACAATGAGAACACATGGACACAGGAAGGGGAACATCACACACTGGTGACTGTTGTGGGGTGGGGGGAGCGGGGAGGGATAGCATTAGGAGATATACCTAATGCTAAATGACGAGTTAATGGGTGCAGCACACCAACATGGCACATGAATACATATGTAACAAACCTGCACGTTGTGCACATGTACCCTAAAACTTAAAGTATAATAATAATAAAATTTAAAAAAAAAGACAGAAATGAAAGGTAACGAAACTGGAAAGAAGGAAGTTAAATTGTCTCTGTTTGTGGATGACATGATTTTATATATAGAATACTCTAAAGACTCCACAAAAAACTGTTGAAACTGATAAATAAATTCAGTAAGTTGCAAGACACAAAATCAACATACAAAATTAGTGGCTGGGCGTGGTGGCTCATGCCTGTAATCCCAGCACTTTAGGAGGCTGAGGCAAATGGATCGCTTGAGGATAGGAGTTCGAGACAAGGCTTGGTGAAACCCTGTCTCTACTAAAATATACAAAAATCAGCCAGGCGTGGTGGCAGATACCCATAATACCAGCTACTCGGGAGGTTGAGGCATAAGAATCACTTGAACTCAGGAGGCGGAGGTTGCAGTGAGCCAAGATTGCACCACTGCACTCCAGCCTGGGCAATAAGATTGAGACTGCATCAAAAAAAAAAAAAGAAAAGAAAAGAAAAGAAAAAAGAAAAATTAGTAACATTTCTATATATTAATAGCAAACTATCTGAAGAAGAAATCAACAAAATAATCCCATTTACAATAGCCACAAAATTTAGAATACCTATGAATAAATTTAACCAAGGAGGTAAAAGATGTCTACAATAAAAACTATAAAACATTGATGAAAGAAATTGAAGCAAATACAAAAAATGAAAAGATATCTTGAGTTATTAATTGTAATAATTAATATTGTTAAAATGTCCATACTACTCAAAGTAGTCTACAGATTCAATGCAATTCCTATTAAACCCCAATGACATTCTGACATTCTTCATGTAAATAGAAAAAAATCCTAAGTTTCGTGTGAAACCACCCAAGAGCCCAAAGAGCCAAAACAACCTCAAGCGAAAAGAACAAAGCTAGAGGTGCTGCACTACCTGACTCAAAGTATATTAAAAAGCTATAATAACCAAAACAGAACGGTAATGGTACAAAAACAGGCACATAGACAATTATAACAGAATAGAGAGCCCAGAAATAAATCCACACATTTACAGCCAACTGATTTTTTTTCACAAAGATGCCACAAGCACACGTTGGAGAAAAGACAGTCTCTTTAATAAGTGGTGTCGGGACAATTAGATATACACATGCAGAAGAATAAAATTAGACTCCTTTTTTTCACCCTATGCAAAGATTTACTCAACGTGAATTAGACAATTAAATGTGAGACCCAAAACTAAAAAACTACTAGAAAAAAACATAGGGGAAATACTTTTGATGTTGTTCTGGGCAAGGATTTTTTGGTTAATGCCTCAAAAGCACAGGCAGTGAAAGCAAAAATGGGATTACATCAAACTAAAAAGCTTCAGGAAGCCATCAACATAGTGAAAAGACAACCTGCAGAATAGGAGATAATATTTGCAAACTATATATTTGACAAAGGATTAATATCTAAAATATTTGAAGAACTCAAACAACTCAACAACAACAACAACAAAAATAAAATCAGATAAAATTTAAAAATGGTCAAAAGACCTGAGTAGCAGTTTGGCCTAATAGTAAATGGCCAACAGGTATATGAAGAAATACTCAACATCACTAGTCATCAAGGAAATGGAAATCAAAACCACAATGAGATATCACCTTACCCCAGTGTGAATCACTATTATAAAAAAAAGATAAAAGATAACAAATGTTAGTGAGTATGTGGAGAAAAGGGAATTTTTATATTCTTTTGGTAGGAATATAAATCAGTACAGACATTATGGAAAACAGTATGGAAGTTCCTAAAAAAATTAACAATGGAACTAACATAGGATACAGTAACTTCATTACTGGGTTATAGCCAAAGGAAATAAAATCATTATGTTGAAGAGATAGCTGCATTCCATGTTTATAGGTGCACTATTTACAATAGCAATGATAGGATATCAACCTAATTGCCCATCAAAGGATGAATGCATAAAATAGGTGTGTTGTATATATATACAATGGAATACCATTCAGTAAAAAGAATAAAAGGATAAAAAAGAATAAAATCGCCATTGGTGACAACGTGGATGAACCTGAAAGACATTATGTTAAATGAAACAAGCCAGGCACAGACAAATACCTCATTATTTCACTCACAGGTGGAAGCTAGAAAAGTTGAACTTGTAAAAGTAGAGATTAGAATGGTGGTTACCAGAGGATGAGGAGGTTAGTGGAGAAAGGAAGGTGAGACGACGTAGGTCAAAGGATGTGTAAATACAGGAGAATAAATATGAGAATGAATTTCAAGAGATCTCTTGTACAGCAAAAGATTATAGTTAATGATACCTTGTATTCTTAAAAAAGTAAAGAGAGTGGATGTGTTTTCACCACAAAAATGATAACCTTGTGAGTTAATGTATTTGTTAATTAACTAAATTTGACCATCCACAATGTATATATACTTCTGTCAATTTCACATAAATAAATAAATTAGTTTTTTTTTAAAGAATGGGTTCCAGTTCATTTCTAGAACTGCCCTGGGAGGAAAAATTCGGAATAAGTACTGTTTTATGGAATATTCCATAACAAAATCACTCATTGATTCAAAATATGTCATAGTAGAGTCTGTAGAAAATGATGGAGAAAAAAAAGTCTTTATTTCATAAAAGTTATCCTGTTAATGTGGAGAAAAATCTTCTCAGCAAATATGTAACTTAAGGGCATTTGCCCAAATTCTATGATGCCTCGTTGTATATAGACGCCGGCTATAGAAATAGCTTACCTTTGAGCTTGAAGACAATTCATTTTCTCTCTTGCTATTTCATTCATTCAATCATTCATTCACCAACCCACTCATTCATTCAACAAAAATTCAACAATTATTTGGGCCACCTAAAATATTCATTATAGTGTGCTCGGCATTGAAGGGGATAAGGAGTAGAACACTTGGTCAGGTAACTTTCTAGTGAAAATCATCATGTGATAGACATGATGCTTCTGATCCATGTCATGCATTATCTGGATTTCAAAGTTTCCCTAGCCCTCTTAGTTCTCAATTTAAAATAGCTAAGTCATGTTTTTTTTCTTTTTTGCAATATGTTAAATATAAACTTGAACCTAATTTCAAACACATACATTTTTAATGTAACAAATTTTAAAATTTTGCTATATGGGCCTCCTTCTCATCCCCAAATAATTGAGAAGTAAGAAAACAAGATTTTCCTCTGCATGATAACCTTTAAATCAAAGTAATAAAGAACTCCGTTCTCTGGCCCATGGGCACTGGCATTGGTGGCCAGAGCTGGCTTTCTATTCCAGTCATGCCCCTGCCACTGCCGTTAGCCAAATCTGGACAATAGAATCTTTGCCATGTGGAGCCAATGAAGGAATTTAGAAAAGTCATACAAACTTAAGAGGCCCAATGGTAAAATATAGGTATTACTCTGTGAAGAAGCAGGCTTTATAAATGTGTTGTTTAGAAATATATTTTCTTGGTGAGCTTGAGAAGCTTTCTCTCTCTTTGTAATATTAAAAAAGAAAAGAACCCTGGAAGAAAGTCTTATATATCATTTTTTTTCCTGCCAAGGAGAATTCCAAGATAGGCATTTTCTAGTAAATGTCTTGTTTGCAATAATTGCTTCCTTGGCATTGTGATATAATGTTGCCGTTTCCTTTAATCTGAGTCATATATGTTTCAATATCTGACCATTCAAGCCGTTGTAACAAGAGACACAAAAAGAAATTGCTTTGGTTGGTGTCCTGAGATGTTGGGATAGATGCTGTCATTTACAGCCACAGGTTAGGAGAAATCACTTTAAAAAGCAGGGAATCTGTCTGAGGAGCCTTATCTGTTTTATTGCAACATGATGGAATATGATCACCATCATGTATTGTGTTTTCATCCCCTGATTGATTTGGTTTCTAGTCTTGAGTTGTAATGACAAATACAAATACAAATACTCAATGACTTACCAGCAACAGAAATAGGGATTTAACATCAATCATCTTATAAAAAGCTCAAAATGCAATTTGAAACAAGAAAAGGAAATGCGACTGAAATGGAAATTTCCCATGGTGTTTGTGGCCCATCAGTCACAGCTTTATGTCTCTATTAAAAAATAGCCCTGTCTCCATACAAGGTGAGCAGCTGGCGCATGATCACAGCCCGTGGAGTGAGTCCACTGAGCTTGTGCTTCATTTCCACAAACGGCCTCAGGGGTTTCCCTTTCTTGGCAAATATAATTTGTGTAGGAATTGATTTGCTGCTTCAATAGGAGAATTACATTACTGATGTGCTGTGTACCTAAAATCCTAGATTATTTTCATTAATAAGTCAAATAATGGGTCAGTTTAGTAAACAGATCAGTTAGGTCTGATATCTAATCAGCCTTTATTTAAATTTTGCACCATCAGAGAGGATAGTTCTTTCATGTCTAAATATGTATGAATTATATGAATTAGTTTATGCCAGGCAACATTCTAGACCTTGAAGTTTTGTTGGTAAATGACACAGACAGATTTCCTTCCCTCATATTTGTAAATTGGGGGAGACCCACAATAAGTGAATTAACAAATTAAAAAGGCAAGAAAGAAAGAGACAGAGACAGATAGGGAGGGGGGGAGAGAGAGAGGAATAAGAACTCCGAAAGCAACAAAGGATAGGATATATGTATGTAAACCACAGCATTTATATGTATCACAACTGTAGCTCAGGAGAACATACAAATTAGAGCCACTTGATTTTAAGGTCGGAGACCTATGCTAACACGGCAAGTGTTAGTTATTTCACTGAAGGGGAATGGCCTTGTTGGTCTTTGCATTGTTCCTAAAAGAATGTAACATGGAAACAAGACCCCACTCCCTAGCCCCACAACAGAAGGAGTACTGAGTTCCAATTATACTTGCCCCACTTGAAAAGTCATAACTGATATTATCTGAGACTCTGGAAAGGCTGGTAATTCCTGTTTCATCTATTATTTTAATACTGAAACTTTTTTCCTGTCCCACTTATTAACCTTCCACCTTACTTGTGTTCTAACAGTTATCGCATGGGTAGGAAGACTAGGGGAAGGGGGATCATTAAATAGAAAGCTTTATGCACCTGGGCACTTAACACTACTGGAGAGTAGCCAAAAGACAGTTCAAGAGAAGCACATACTCTCTAGGAATTTATAATCTCAGTATGTGACAGCTCAGTTTATGAACAGCCAATCTGTGTCAGTCCTGGGGATAGAGGGATAGAGAGATGAGTGAGACACGGTTGTTTTTTTTTTTTTTTTTTTTCAACTTTTATTTTAGATTCAGGGGTACATGTGCAGGTTTGTTTATATAGGTAAATTGTGTGTCACAGGGGTTTGGTGTACAGATTATTTCATCATCCAGGTAATAAGCATAGTACCCAATAGGTAGTTTTTGATCCTCACCCTCCTCCTATCCTCCATCCTCAAGTAGGTTGTTTTCTTCTTAGTGTTCACATGCACTCAATGTTTAGCTGCCACTTATAAGTAAGTCCACACGGTATTTGGTTTTCTTTTCCTGTATTAGTTTGCTTAGGATAATGGCCTCCAGCTCCATCCATGTTCCTGCAAAGGACATGATCTCATTCTTTATATGGCTGCATAGTGTTCCATGGTGTATATGTACCACATTTGCTTTATCCAGTCTGCCACTGATGGACATTGAGGTTGATTCCATGAATTTGCTATTGTGAATAGTGCTGTGATGAACATAAGCATGCCTGTGTCTTTATGGGACAACTTATATTCCTTTGAGTATATACTCAATAATGGGATTGCTGGGTTGAATAGTAATTCTGTTTTAAGTTCCTTAAGAAATTTCCAAACTGCTTTCCACAATGGCTGAACTAATTTACATTCCTACCAGCAGTGTATAAGCATTCTGTTTTCTCCACAACCTCTTCAGTATCTATTTATTGACTTTTTAATAATAGCCTTTTTGACTGGTGTGAGATGATATCTCATTGTGGTTTTAATTTGCATTTCTCTGATGATTAGTGATGTGCAGCATTTTTTCATACAGTTGTTGGCTGCACATATGCCTTCTTTCAAAAAGCGTTTATTCATGTCCTTTGCCTACTTTTTAATGGAGTTATTTTTTACTTGTATATTTGTTTAAGTTCCTTATAGATTCTGGATATCAGCCCTTTGTTGGATGCATAGTTTGCAAATATTTTCTCCCATTCTATAGGTTGTTGGTTGACCCTGTTGATAGTTATTTTTGTTGAATGCAGCTTTTGCCCTCAAGAAAACAGAGTATAAATTAAAATCTGTATTTCAGTATTACTTGTTACAATCAAGAGAAGGGTCCAGAATAACCAGAGAAGCACAGAGCTCATTTGGTTAAGCCTGGACAAGACATGAGGGGTATTATAGAAGGGACGATAATTGCATATACAAAATTTCCTGGATAATAATCCATGATAGCACAACATCAAAAACTGGGTCATAGTTCAGATATAGTTCAGGAATTCAGAAACTGGAAGAAAGATTCTGGGATATTTGGTCAGGTATGGATTTCCACAGAGATAGTGGAACATTAGCAGGGTCTTGAAGGAAGCAGGCCTAATAATTAGCTTTAATCATCTACAATTAATAATAATAATATTATATTAAGTATCATTAACTGTAATGGAAACCCTTCTCTGCATTATATTTGTGGCAGACACTGCACAGCACCTACCTCTCCAACAGCCCTCTGAGGTGACCATCACGGCTGCATTCTTCTGTAGATAAAAAAAGGAGCTTTGAGTGTTCAGAGAATTTGCTCAAGTGCACCTCAAGGTCAGGGGAAGGGCCAGGATTTTAGCCAGGCATGATGCAGACATTCACGGTCTTCACTGTGACGCTGATTATGTTATTTGGACCCGATGCCCAATGATAGGAGAGGAGTCTTTTAGAGTATACTGTGAGTTATATGAAAGATAAAGAAGTACTCCTTATGTACAAAGTAGCTTTTTATGTAGCATGCTTAACTATACCTCCTCATTCCCTTTGGATTCCTAATACACAGGATTTGATGAAAAAAAGGTACAAAATACTCAATAACTCTATATGAATTTAAGTCTGCTTAGATCGGTGCTGCATAATGACACCAAAGGAAATTTTATTTTGTGTTCAAAGTTCATATCCCATTTATAAAAGCTCCTCTCCCCAGTGCTGCTAAGTTTCCAAAAAATTAATACTAAATATAGACTTCAGAATTCTTTGTCTCCTTAAAGAAGATAAAATATGGAAATGACAAGAAAGGAGGACCTATATTTAGTAAGAAATTCTTCAGTTAGAATCAAAGTTGTTGTGATATTGAAATTACAGGTATTTGTGAGTTTCCCTACTCTTGGAGAAATAGAGCTTACAAGTCAAATCTCAATGCCATAAGTCCTTTGGAACTTTCTACTTATGTCATCAAATTTGCTTGATAAAGAAGAGGTCTGCTTCATCTTACATATATCTCCATTTGAGAGAAAGACCTGATTGGGGTCTATTTTTTCATGTTGTTAAGAAATCATACTTTTTATTCATAAAGTTTTACACTTCACTATTTCCCCAAAGTATTTTTTAACTTTTATTTTCGTTTCAGGGGTACATATGCAAGTTTGTTACATAGGAAAATGTGTGTTGCCGGGGTTTGGTACACAGATTACTTCTTCACCTCAAGCATAGTACCAAAAATTATTTTTTTGAAAAAGAAATTATACCTGTCACAGAGATTCAAGAATGTCAAATATATGCAAACATTTCTAAATTTCATATGAGATTATTCATTACATTTGGTGCTAGATGTGCCAATGCTGGTTTGATTCTTTCAATTAGGAGGCATAAAACATGCATGGAAAAAATATTTTGTATGAACACGGGGCAGATTGATTTGCCTTTTAATGCTACATGGAAGTGGTAGATTAGTAATATTTCAAAGGAAATACCAGAACAGTGAGATTTAACTCCTGTTTCCAGAGCTTTAGTTTCCTCATATGTAACAGTAAGCTAAGTAGAGAAAATATGACAACTGGATAAACAAAAGCTTTTTGGCCTTCTTTGACTCAAACCTGGGCTCCTTCTTCACAGCCTACTTCTCCCGCAGCCCTTTTAAGAGGTAGGTAATTCTCTCTCCAAGCGGATACTTCAGGGTCAGCTACTGGAGTATACCCCCTTCTGGTTTTCTATTGTCATTTCCAAACCACTCTCAGCCTCTTGGCAAAAAAACACCAAACAAGCAAAAATCTTCTTTGAGCCCTATGACATTCAGACTCTCCACTTTTTGCTCCTCAAATGCTTTTCCTCTGCCATCACCCATTGACTTCAACAGTCACATGGACATTTCATCCTGTAATCTGGCCGCTCAGCTCCTTGACCTCTTCATCTTCAGTGTCTAAGTTATTCTACCCCACACTTCCTGTCTGTTTCTTATCATCATCTAAAACTGTTGACTAGAGTTGCTGACTAATAACAACTATTATTTCAGACTTCCTCTCCTCTAACTGATCTTGGCCACTTTATCTTCTTTTCTACTATCTCTCAGTAATTGACCCAACTTGTGACTCAGAGAAAAGTGAAGTCATCATGTGGGAAATGCCCTCCATTTCCAAATGCTAAATCTACAGACCTATTTACACCTGTCCTCATTTTTTCTCCTTTTCTCCTTTTCTCATGCCCACTTAGTTTTTCTCAGGGACTTCACATGGACTATAGATTGTCCTTGTCTTTCTCCCATCAATCTTTCTTTGGAACCAGGTCCTTCCCATAAGCATCTAAACATGCTCAAGTTCCTCTATATTAAAAACAAACAAAAGAGCAAAATCAAGTCTCCCAAAAATCTCTCTTCTGACACTACATCTACCCCCTGAGACACTTATCTTCTCTTTACAACCTATTTCTTTTATAAGAGCTGCCTTTACTTCCTGTCTCCATTTACTTACTTCTTACTTACTCCTCAACCCACTCTGAAGTGGATTACAATCATATCAAGCTAGCAATATAATGCCCGCTAAGATGACCACTTTTCTAAATCCACCTTTCAGCTCCCTATTATTTGACCTCTTGGTCACATATCTTCATGTTGACTGTTCACTCCCCTCTTGAATCACACTCTATTTTGGCTTATGTGACATGACATCTCCCTTATGTTCCTCCAGTATCTCCATCCACTGCCTCTTTAGGTCATTAAATATTAGTATTTATCAAAATTTAATCACAGTCACTTCTACTTTTCATTATGTACTCTTTTAACTCTATGTTTTCTGCCTAGGTTTTCTTATTGATACTCATGGGTTCAATTGTTATCTATACATGATAACTCATTAATATAAATCATTAGCCTAGCTTCTAGATCTGACTACTTATATGACATCTCTACATAGATGCTTCTAGGTACCTTGATCTCATCCTCTCCAAAATATGGATTTAGTCCCTTTCCAATGTCCTCTGTCTCAGGGATTAGGATCCCCATCCATCCAGTTTCATAAGCCCAAAACCTATGAACCAAATGACCTTCTTCTCCTTTACATCTGCATATTCAATCTATCAACAAGCTCTCTCACCTTCCAAATCTGTGCACATCTCTTTCCACTGCCACAATTTTAGTCTAAGTGGTGATCATTTGTCATTTGTCTCCACTATGCAGTTAGTCAAACATTTGCAAAATGCAAATTGGCCATGCCTCCTGTCTGCTTTTAGTTTGAAGACTAAAATCTTTAACACGGTCCTCGAGGTCCTTCTTGTGTTAATTCATGGATTAATTGATTGATTCATTCATTTAAGAAATATTTATTGACTGCAAACACTGTTCAAAGCACCGTGGATACAGTGGTAAACAAAAAAAACAATATTCCTGCTCTTGTGGAGCCACAAAATATTTATTCTAGTGGGAAAGATCAACAATTCAAACATATACAAAAAAGAAGTTTCTTTTTGGGGGTGATAAATATGATGAATAAATGTTAAGCAGCATAAGGAGTTGAGGAGTAACCAGCAGAGTAAATTTAGAAAGGAGGTGGAGGAAGCCTCTCTAAAGAAAAGACTCCTATGCAGAAAACTAAAGGAAGTGAGAACACACTTGGGGCCCGAGCTCTCTGCTCTCCTTTATTCTCTGTGCTCTAGACTTGTTGACTTTTTTTATATTCCCCAATGCCTAAGGCTACCTGAGGGCGTTTACACATGTCCTTGGCTCTTTGTCCTTCTCCTCTTCCTTCTTCCCTTCTTCTCCTCCTTTTCCTCCTCCTCTTCCTTTTTCAGTACTTGAAACATTCTTCTCCCTTCCTCTCACTGGACCTGGTTTCCTCCTAATCTTCAAATCCAGGCCAAATTCACCTCCCCTGGGAAAATCCTTCGTCACCTTCTAGATAAAATCAATTTTGGTATTATGTGTTCCGCCTGATCATGTTCTTGTCTTCAGGTTGTCTGCTGAGTTTTATGTTGTATGCGAATGGCTTTTACACATTCAATGGGGTATTTACTATTACTTATATTTTAATTAATACTAAAATTATGAAAAAACTTGCTTTTCTTAAGCATTAATCTCAGTTGGTGAATTATGTACTTTTACTTATAATCTAGCTATTTTTGACATACATTAAAAAATGTTTAACTTGTTATTTGATTAATATAATTTGATTAATAGTTAATAATGAATTTAATAGATTAAATTATCTATAACATTTAACATAATTTTCTTAATTAATATATCCTTAGATGTTTCAAATTACAGTCACAAATGCAATGAATCTAATTCTCTCAGGGCATAGCTGTAGGCAGACCTACAATTCTAACATGATTTTCTTAGGCACTTAAAGACTACTTTCAAAACTAATTAATCTCAACTTTGGGATGTAACTGATCAGATTATTAAATCAACAGTGTTTACAAATACAATCAATCAAATTATCTAGACATTTCAAATTAAAATCACAAGTGTGTTACCAAATAAACAGTTAAAATCAAAATAACAACTCTAATGGGTCAGATGGACTTAACTGTTTCATATACCTTAAATAGATGGTTACTTATCAGTATGCCCCAAGACTTGACTTGATACTCTCAGCCTTTAGGGCAGGCAAGTGGGGCTTGAGGTGGCCAGAATCCATGGGGCTCTTGGCATCCTGCCAAGAACAGCTTCATATAGGGCTCCAAATCCCTCTGGAGAGTAACCCTAGTATTCCTTTGTAATATTATTTATTCTATGACATGGTAAATGTTGGCAAGCACTACCATAAATGACAAACACACAAATTGTTATGATTGCAAAACCTTCCAAAGCAAAATTTGTTCATACCTTGGGTGTGGCTTATGTATTTTACCAGCTGAGGGCTTATTTCCAATTTTCCCAGGGTACAAAGACACTTCCCCATATAAGGAGAGCAGATTTGCCATTTCTGGCCAACTGAGGTCACCAGTGTAAGACCTAGGGTACTGATGGATTTGGCTACACGTCCAGAATAATTCTACCTGAGCCTTAGATTTAAAAGCTGAGGCTTGTTTTATATTCAGGCTGTGGCTTCTTTCTCAGCTCTTAAAAAGACTGTAATCTGTCTCACAGTTGTACTGCCTGATTGTTAGTTGGCTCTATTCACCCTACCTAGATGGTAACTAACCCTTTCCTGACACTTTGAAAATTCTTTCATTCCCTTGGTTTTAGTTACCTCTCTCGCACGCACACCATCATTATTCTACTGTTCTTTATTTATATATAGCGTTAGGACAGCTTTAATATTACATTTAAGCCCTTGATGACGCGATTATTATCTATCTTCTTCACTAGACTGTGAATTGCATTAGGGCCAAGACTGTGTCTGCCTTTTTCTCACCATCTTATCCCTACCATGCAGTACAGGATAGCTACATGATAAATTTACCAGTGAGCAAATGAAGAATGAATTATTGCCCAGGGAAGGTGTGGAATCCACTACAATAGAAATCATATAGATAATATGAAAGTATTACATTAAGGGGTTATATGTCTTTTCAACAAAAATTTGGCCGTAACAAATATCTAACTACCCTCTGAAAAATGAGCAAAACACCCAAAACATAATGGTTCAGGGTACATAGGCACAAAGCCAAAGCCAGAATATATTCTAGGCCCACAAGATTGATTTGATTTCTCAACAAAAGCCTACTACGCAGTGAGGTACTTAGCAAAGGAGACACTGACATTACCCATCTCAGCAAACTCCAGAGAAAAAGGTGCCCAAGGATACCTGGTCTGGTCTCTAGAAAACTGTGTCTCTGTTGTAGAAATAGCATCCAACTTCAGACATCCCTGCAGAGAAAGAGGCATATGGCTTATGAGCCAACAGAATTAGGAATCATAGGACATTCTTTCCCGCTTTCCAGTCCCCCACTGCCCACCACCACCACACCCAGCTCTCTCCTTTCTTCCTCTTTCAGCCATCCTTCAGGTCTCAGCTTCAGGATGACCGCCCCCAAGTTTTCCCCAGCTCCCCTCCCCCTTACCCTGCTCCCCATGCTGGCAGAGATGCCTCTGTTCTGGGCTCCCACACCATCGTACACTTTCCACATCACGTTATATGAGTTCCACGTTATTTCATACTCACTTGTAGCCAGTGTACATCCTTAATAGATTGTGAGTTACTTCATGGCAAGAGTGATTATGATTTGTTCATCATTCACAGTGCCTCATACGGAGCCAGACTCATAGCAGCCGTTCCATTAATAGTTATTGAATGAATAAGTTGTTCTGATCTCCTGCTTAGGTGGCCACTTGTTGTTTTTGGTTGTTGTCGTTATTGTTTTGAAACGGAGTCTTGCTTTGCTGCCCAGGCTGGAGGGCAGTGGCGCGATCTTGGCTCACTGCAACCTCTGCCTCCTGGGTTCAAGCAATTCTCCTGCCTCAGCCTCCCAAGTAGCTGGAGCTACAGGTGCACACTTCCACACCTGACTAATTTTTGTATTTTTAGTAGAGACAGGGTTTCATCAAGTTGGCCAGGCTGGTCTTGAACTCATGACCTCAGGTGATCCACCCACCTCAGCCTCCTAAAGTGCTGGGATTACAGGCATGAACCACCGCGTCCAGCTGGCCACTTGTTGATTATCACTGGCCTTCACATGATGTGAGTTACACAGGGGGAAGGGAGAAGGTCAAAAGAGGAACAGGCATGCTCCCCTTAAGAGTTTGAATTTTCAGTGGTAAGTTATAAATTGGTGTTCTGGTTGACACATCAGTCTCTGGGCACTTAGTAAAAACACGTCCATTCCTGAGAGAGAAGTCATGTTTGCCAGGTCCTACCTGATAGCAAATGTCCCCAGCCCTATCAGCAGCCTCCCTCAGGCAAACACCCTCGCTGTCTGCATCTCTTTCTCACCCTAAGCTTTGCTTTTGAAACATTCATACGTGGGAGGAAAAATGCTTCAGGACTTAACCTGAAGGCAATTTTATCCTAGAAGAAATGAGCAAGCAAATGATAAACAGCAGCTTACACAAAGACCACATTCATTGGAGGTGCCCTGATGCTAGATTTTTATTCAATTTAGGAAATGTGTAGCTACTTAGCTCTTGAATGTTAGGATCTAAATTTACTCTGCATTGAACCTGTAAAAAGTTCCTGTGATGAAAACCTATAACGAAAAAACAGCTTCTTTTTTTTTAAACTGGTTTCATCCCAGGAACCTATTTTTCACCTTACCTGCAATATTATTTAGGGCTTTATTTTCCTCTTTTTCCAGAAGCCTTGGGTTGGGGTTTAATGAAAATGAAACCTAAAGTAGATGTCAGAAAAATATGGAAGGGGCTTTCAGTGCTGTCTTGAGACGGTGGTGCCCAAGAAAGAGAGTGTTTTCCATGCAGAGACAAGCCCTTGTCTCTTGATCACTTTATTCTGAGCTTAACATTCCTACTGATTAGCTGACAATAAGGAAGAAATAAAAAAGTTTCAAGCCTTCAGAGGCCATTTGAGAAACTTTTTTTTGTCTTTAAGAATGGACCCTGATTATAGTCACTTCAGCTAGTAGGAAGAATTACCATGGTTATTTCATGTTTGCAATGTGCCAGACCCTATGCTAAACCCCTGCTTTGCATTTATCTCCTTTGATCTTTGCAATGACCCTAGAAGTTCAACACCCATGCCCTTGCCTTCTAAGGCTTATGGAAGTTAAATGATTGCCCAAAGTCATGGAAAACGAATAGGTAGTGCTAAGGTTTATATCCATGTCTGTCTGACTCAAAAGTCCATCACCTTTACCACTGTGGTGTCCTGGCTCCACAAAAGCAGGCGACATTAAGTGCTAAACACTGGCAGTTCTAACTCAGGTGCCCACTGCCACCACCATGTCCCACTTATCTTCTGTGATTTCTGTAGCTCTTTGAGGCCACAATCTCCACACTTGTCAGTGATAATACATCAGTTATCATTATTATAGGACAGCCATGCCAAAAATAAGAGTTATATAAAAATGTTTCCCAGGTAAACTAGAGATAAGAATCACTCCAAATTAACCAAGGGAAAAATGGAGTCTTTCCTGCTTTCCAAGGTAAGGGTTTTGAGCACTTTTAGAAAAGAAAGACATACACGTGTGAGAGAACATGTCATGTTCAAGGTGAAATAGAGAGAGTAGTTAATACTCATATAAGGACAATAATTTGTGTTTAGTGGAAATAAAATAGCATTTGGTAAAAAGAAGCCCAGTGACATAAAACCAGCCTGCATTATTTTGTTTAACAATTATTTTATTCAATAAATAAGATAAAAATTTTTTGTTCAACGAATATTTATCGAATGTTTAGTTTACATCATGGACGGCTCTGTCCTAGATACTAGAGAATTTTTTTTTCTCTTAAGCTTCTCTTATGGTTCTCATATTATAATGTAATCAAGACAAATGGTGATGACCAAAAGGTGACACATAATCTGAGACAGCATCCCCTAGAGCCAGGCACAAAGTTTCCCTCTCAGGGACAGGGAGTTCTGCCGGAGGCTTGCCATGCTGTCACCTGGCAATGTTCTGTCTTAGAGACTAGAGATCTGCAGGGGAGTCCCTTCTGCATCAGAGAAGAAGGCATTGCCAAATCTAGGACACAATTCTGACCCTTCAATGAGGATTCTGGAGAAGGAAAAAAATGGTGGCTGAATAACATTCAACTTTTTATTGAGCATTATATCAATGTGTTTTTCAAATGTCTGGAAGAAAGCACTGTAGGATTGCATTAGTCTATTCTCATGCTGCTAATAAAGACATACCTGAGACTGGATAATTTATAAAGGAAAGAGGTTTAATTGACCCACAGTACAGCATGGTTGGGGAGGCCTCAGTAAACTTATAACCATGGCAGAAGGAGAAGCAAACACATCCCTCTTCACATGGTGGCAAAGGAGAGAATGAGTGCCCAGTGAAGGGGGAAGCCCCTTATAAAACCATCAGCTCTCATGAGAACTAACTCACTATCATGAGAACGGGATGGGGGAAACCGCCCCCATAATTCAACTATCTCCATCTGGTCCTTCCCACGACACATGGGGATTACGGGCACTATAATTCAAGATGAGATTTGGGTAGGGACACAGCCAAACCATATCAAGGATATTTCAGGATGTAGGATAGTCTTAATTTGCTTTGTTTACTTATTTTGTTTGTCTTTGTGATGGTTAATTTTATGTGTCAACTTGACTAGGCTAAGGAATGCCCAGATAGCTGATAAAACACTATTTCTGGATGTGTCTGTCTCTCAGGTTGTTTCTAGGACAGATCAGCATTTGAATATCTGTAGTTCACATAAAGCAGATGGCCCTCACCAATATGGGTAGGCATCATCCAATTGGTTAAGGGCCTGAATAGAATAAAAGTTTCCTAAAAACAAAAAGAAGAAGGATGAATTTGCTTCCTGTTTGAGCTGGGACTTCCATCTTATTCTGCGCTTGGACATTGGTGTTCCTCGTTCTGGGCCAGATTTCAGACTCCAACTGACACTACAGCATTGTCTTCCCTGGTTCTCAAACCTTTCTTCTCAGGCTGGGAGTCACACTACTGACTCCCCTCCCTGGTTCTCAGGCCTTCAGACTGGGACTGAATTACCCCACCTGTTTTCCTGGTTCTGCAGCTTGCAGATGGCAGGCTGTGGCCTCAACTTCATAATCAATTCCCATAGTAAATCTCGTGTGTGTGTGTGTGTGTGTGTGTGTGTGTGTGATCTCTTATTGTGTTTGTTTTCTGGAGCACCCTGACTGATACACTCTTCTAAAACAGAACTTTGTAGATGAGGTCAATTGAAGTTCCGTGCTTCTTTTTCTCAGCTTTGTGTGTCTTTAAGATATACAACATCTTCCTTCTGTACCAGTAGACTCTGTGGCCTGTCTCTTCTCAAATTTCCAAGAGGACTTGCCTAATACAGAAAATATAATGTCACAGCTAACATTTTACTGAGGATTTACTTCATGCCAGGCTCTATACTAAGCAGTGCTTCTTCAGGCCAGTTTTCTTCTTATGCCCATTTTATAGATGAGGAAAACAGGGTTAGCAGGTTTTGGTAGCTTGTGCAAGTAAATGGCAGAACTGGGACTGGATCTAAGTCTGACCTCAATGGCCCTGACTTTAAAGGACAAATATGCTCACCACTGACCACATAATTATGGAGTGCCTACTGTGTGCTAGATACCATAAACTCTGAGGCTATAGAGGGGATCAAAATACACAAACTTCCTGCCTGTAGGGGTTTCTCTGGGGATGTGAAGGGAACAATCGACAATAAAATACACATGAAACACGATATCAGGGAGTGAGTTGTGTGAGCAATGTGATCGCCTATTGACAGATGCACATGTATGTTTATATTAGAAACATGCCCAGAAAAAAAGACTAGAAAAAATCTACCATAAGGGTGAATATCTCTGGGTGGTCAGATTTCAATTTTCTTCTTTATATTTTTTGTAAAACTTTCAAATATTCTTCAGTATCTGTAAATTTCTGAAGTAATCAGATGCGACACACAAATATTATTAAAACATACTTTAATCTTAGACAAACTGCATATGGTTTAGGTGGTCTTCTCTTACCCTCTTTCAATTCAGTTCTTCATATTAGAAACTAATCATAGTTTGCTTTTTTTCTCAGCTGTAGCAATGTCTGAAATATTTGTTCCTTCCCAGGAACCTTGTGGGCTCTCTCTGCCCCAAGCTTTTCTGAGTTCATGCTTATCTGGGGTTCTCAACCCTGGCTGCATATTTCAATCTTCTGAGGAAGCTCTGGGGTGGGGCTGGCCCCTCTCTGTATATTCCAAAGTCCCCCAGGTGACTGGTGTGCAGCAGGGATTGAGACTCCCAGAACAATGGGCTCCTTCCTCCTGTTCCTCAGAGCCCCTGACACGTTTCCTGGGGAGTACCCAGGGCAGAGAGTAGTTCAAGGCCTCCTTAGCCCACCTTCCTTTGCTCTGTCTCACTGGGTCTGGGTTGGCCAGGGAGGAGGAGAAGGGATGGGCTAGAGCAGGTGCCAGAGCCAGGCAGAAAGAAGACAAGCAAATCCCTAGCCCTGCAGTGCCTGGCTCCCCAGCCCCTCCCTCCTGACCTACTTACTCAGGGCACATGGTGTGGTGTGAGGGACTCATGGCTGGAGGACAGCAGAAATTGTTAACAAAAGCAGAGCGCTGTGCAGGTGGGAGCCGAGGACACACTTCGGTCCCGCTAGACTTCTCACCGTTCCGGAACGCAGCACTCACTGTCTCAGCTTTGGGCCTTTGCCCTGGCTGCCCTTTCAGACCAAAATGTCTTGTGAAGCCATTTCTCTTCTTCCCTGAGGGCTGAATTCTACCCTTCGTTGAAGGTTAAGCTCTCTGAGGCCTCCCTTGACCCCCTCCCTCCCAGGCTGGATGAATCCCTTCCCTCTTCCCCATCCCTTGGCACCCACAGGAATTTGTCACACGATTTATGCAGCACTTAGCACATTTCATTACTCAGTAAAAGTGTCTGCCTCCCTGGCCAGTCTGGGAATCCTCCAAGGCAGCATCACGTCCTGATTCATCACACACAGTTGCCCCCCACCCCCAGCCCTCACCTCACAGGATACCTGGCAAGTGGATGAGCTCAGGCCTTGAAGTTCAACTAACCAGGTTCAACCCCAGCTCTGCCCTTTATGGCTGATGAAATGGGAAATCATGCCGCTTCTTGCTATTCACCTAGAAACAGATGAGAAATGCGAATCTAGGATCAGACCAGGACCTGCATTTAGTAAGACCTCCGAGTGATTCAGATGCACATTAAAATTCGAGAAACATTAGTAGTTTCTTTAACCCTTAACTTGCTTGGCTGTGAAATGGGAATAATAACTGCTAACTTACAGGGTTGTTGTGAGGTTTAAAAAGGCAACACACTCAAAGTATCTACCACAGTACAGAGCACATAGGGGATATTTTTATTGTTTCTGCCTGATGAATGCTGTCTTAGGAGGGGGCGGGAGTCTGCCGTGGCCCACATTAAGAGTTCTGGGGTCTGCTCCAGCGCTCCAGTGAGCCCTGGGGCACTGTAGTGGAGCAGGCTTAGCAGCCCACAGAAGGAAGAGTAAGGGAGGGGAAACAGAATCTCAGCATGGCTCAGGTTTTAGTAGGTCTTATGATCTCTTTCCAATTTTTAAGGGGCCTTAATCACTGAGGACAAGTGTATGCTGACCTGTAATGCTGGGGCTTCCTGAGCCAGCCCATCAATGAAGGACTGTGCCATCAGGGCCCACCTGGATCTTCCTCACATGATGAAGTTCATTATATGAATTAGGTGAAATTCACAGAGCTTCAGTCAATTTATGCATGATCAAGCTGTGGAACAGGAAAGTGGTGGCTGTTTGGATTGGGCATTTTTGTGTTAATTAAACATTAGCGCTGACTAATAACTCCATCCAACACATGGAACATATCACATTTGTGAGAACTTACTTTGCATAGACCATTTCATTTTATACTGGCTTATTTAGTTTTTGAAAATCATGACGAAACTGTACACTGAGATCCATTTGGAGGTAGGGGGCGATTTATCAGCATTTCCGCAAGATAGCTCCCATGTAGTGATGCCTTTTCCTCTCAGAATTCCCAGACTCAGTTGCTGCTGGAAAGAGAGGACCTACAAGTCTGCCTGGCCTGCAGGCTGCTCCCCTGGGGGCAGGGATCGAACGGAGACATCTTTCTGCTTATCCCGGGTCTGCTCTCATCAGATCATACCAGCCCATAAGGGCAGGTAACCAAGCGGGAATGATGTTGATTCAATGACACCAGCTTCAATTTCTAACCTTCAGGCCTTGCTCCCAGACAAATTAGATTAGGGTTGCTCCTAAAGCCACTCTGGCACACGATGGAAAAGCCTTGCCCAGGGAGACACATACGCGCACTGGCAAAAGGCATGTGAGTCCTTCAGTGACATGGCCTGAGGTTGGCTCAGCCTAGGATTGAGATTTGGGGACCCTGGGCAACACACAGGCATTACTGGCAGGGATAGGAGTCAGTGGCCAAGGTGGGGCTAGTTGCCAGGGTGGTTTCTGCTGTGCAGTCTCAACTCAGGACATACTTAGAGATTGGAATTGCCAGTAAGGTGGGCAGACCAGGGCACAGGAAGCCACAGCAGGGCACTGTTCTTAGAGCAGGCTCAGCCCCAGGGGCATCTAAGTACAGGATTTGCCTTCCAGGACCTTATAATCCAATAGGAGAGATTAAACTCACAGCAACAAAGAGTCCAGATAAGTGCGGTTGTTGCCACAGTGAGTCAGCATCAGCTCTAGCCTTAATTCTCAGATCAGAGCATGGGGATAGTGGAGAGAGGATGAAATCAGAAGGTGAAGTGTTGAACTTGTTTTTACCTAGCATTATTGAAGGTACATGCAAAAACATGCAATAAACTGCACATACTTAAATGAATATTTTATATATTTTGTCATACGTTTATACCTGTTAAATCAACAGCACAAACAAGATAATAAAATCTGTCACCCCCAAAAGTTTCCTTATGCCTTTTGGAAATTCTCCCTTTCATCTCTCCCTGCTCCCAATCCCCAGGTAATCACCAATCAGCTTTCTGTCATTGTGGAATAGTTTGCATTTTCTAGAATTTCACATAAATAGACTCAAACAGTATATACTCTCTTTTGTCAGACTTCTTTCATTTAGCATAATTATTTTTATTTTCCCCCAGGTTGTTGCATAAATCAACAGTTCATTCCTTCTTATTGCTGAGTTGTGTTCTCCTGCATACCACAATTTGTTTATTTATTCACTGGATAACAGACATTCGAGCTGTTTTCAGTTTTTGTCAATGAAAAATAAAGCTGCTATGAACATTCAAATACAAGTCTGTGTATGAACATATCTATCTTTTATTTCTCTTGGGGTAAATAGGAGTGAAATGGCTGCATCATATGGTACATATATATTTAATTTTGTTAAGGAACTGCCAGACTCTTTTCCAAAGAGATTGTATCATTGTTATCCCCACAAGCAATGAAGAAAATCATCACTAATACATGGGATTGATATGACCAACTTTTAAAAAATTTAAGCCATTCTAATAGATGTGTAGTGATATTTCATTTTAGTGTGAATTTGCATCTCTTTAATGAGTAAGGATGTTGGATATCTTTTCATGCACATATTTTCTGTCCAAATATCTACTTTGGTGAAGTGACTGTTGAAATAGATTGTCCATTTTAAAAATTGGGTTGCTGTTTTCTTATTATTTAGTTCTGAGTTATTTCTATAATCTGGATATAAGTCCTTTATCAGATGTGTGATTTGCAGATATTTCCTTCCTATCTGTGGCCTTTTTGTTCATTTCCTTATGATGGTCTGCCAAACAGTTGAAGTTTTAAATTTTTGATAAAATGGAATTTATCATTTTGTTGTTTTATTCTGCTTTTGGTGCCCTACTAAAAAAAATCTTTACCTAACCCATGGTCACAAGGTTTTATCCTATACGTCATTCTGGAAGTTTTATAGTTTTAGGTTTTACAATCAGGATCTATGATCAATTTTGAGTTAATTTTTTTATTGGTGTAAAGTATTGATAAGTGTTTGGGTCTTTTTTTTTTTTGCATGTGTATGTCCAATTGTTCCAGCACCATTTATTGTCAGATCATTTTTCTTCAGTATGTTGCCTTTGCACATTTGTTGAAAATCAGTTATCCATATATGAAGGGTTGAAATTTGATAAAAATTTTTCCAAATGTTACAGTTCTGGAGGGAGGAAAATAAAATGTGTTTGAGATCTAATAGGTGGTTGGTCACATAGTTAATTGTTTACATTCATAATAACTAATGCTAGTAAATAATAACAACAGACTCGCACGTACTGAACACTCACCATGAGCAGGCTGTGTGTTGAACACTTTACATGCTTCGTCTCCCTAATCCTCATCACAACCCTATGAGATAGGGTCTATTTTTGCCCTCACTGTTCAATGGAATAAGTTGAGTCTCAAGAAGCTTAAATAACTTGCCTTTGCCTAAGGTCATAAGCAAGTAAGAAGCTAAAAAGAGCAGTATAAGAGCAATCCAGCCTGGATTCAAATTTGCAGATTCAAATTTAGATTCCGTATCACTCCAAAGCATATGCCATATGATCCCTTAACTATATGATCATTAAGCCATATGATCCCTTAGATCAACATTTGCATACAACACAATTTTTATATCTTTCTCAGACACCATAATGGTCAGTGTATCATGAAATAACACTAATAGCCATGACTGTTTATTTTACTGAAACGTTGAATGTGTAAGAGTGAGAAAAGTTTAGTATGGCAGGAGTTCTTTCAGCAGAAAGGCAAATTTTAAGTGTCAGATGGAACCTCTAAAAAGCAACTCAAAATACTACATGGGCAAATCTGTTCAGTGCAAGCCTCATGCCTAGTAGCTGCAATAGATCACCCAGCTCTAGTGGGTCCATGCTAGAATGACCTAGGAATATCAGAAGCAGGAACTAGTCAAGTCTCTGGTGCTCAGTTACTGATACCTCTCTGAGGAAAAAGAAGCACATGTCTGGAGCAGAAGGATTAATCTTACCAGCGATAACCAGAGTCTTTTGGGGGCACTTGCTATTCCCTGTCTCACTCTGCTCTCCAGGCCACAGCTGCTTGAAGACTCCTTCCCATCTTGTCTTGCAGGGGGATGGGTACCTGCCTCCAGAGTTGGTCCTATTCCCAAGGGTGTGTGGATGAAGCTTGCACTTAGTCTCAAATACCATTCCCAACTTTCTTCACAAAATTCTATTGAGTCACAGTGCTACCCTGCCTGGAAACACCCTCACTGAATGTTACTTTACATCTGGTTATGCCCGGTGACTTAGTTCAGGCCAATGAAATGAGATTTATTGAATAATTTGTTTAGTATACCTATGTTCCGTGCAATATTGGGGATATACTTTTAATTTTAAAAATATTCTTTGTTTATCTGATATTTAAATTTAACTGTGTGCTCTATATTTTATCTGACAACACTATCCCCAGTTAAAAGCCCAAGATTGGACTACCATCTCTTGGTCCAGTAGCTGGCAAATTTTTTCTGCAAATAGTAAATATTTTTAGGCTTTATGGGTTATACAGTCTCTTTTGCAATTACTCACCTATGCCATTATAGGGCAATGGCAGCCATGAAGAATATGTAAATGAATGAATGTGGCTGTGATCTAATAACATTTTATTTACAAAAATAGGAAGCAAGCTGGATTTGGTTCGCAGACCATAGTTTGCTGACCTCTATTTTAGATCACTGATCCTTAAAGTGTGGTTTCAGGATCAGCAGTATCCTCTGGGAACATCATCTGGGAACTTTGTAGAAAAGCAAACTCTCAAACTCTGTCCCAGACCTACTGAATCAGAAGCACTGGGGATGGGGTTCAGCTATGTGAGCCCAGAAGATTCTGATGCACACTAAAGTGTAAGAACCATTCTTACGAATTCTTAGTTCTCAAACATGAAGGATCATCAGAACCACCTGGGGTACTTCTTAAACTACAGACAGCTGAACCCTCCGGACCCTGTGAATCTGAAACTCTGTGGGTATTCAGGATGGAGGGGGACAAGATAAATTAGTGTATTTCTACATTTCCACAGGTTACTCTCAGCTAGAGCTGAGAACAGTTATGAAGTCATCAATGAATGTTAGATCCAGAACCTGGTATGTTTTAAGATTTCAAAGCATGAATGCTGAATTAATCTCCCCAAAGGAATAGAACATTTGCACTCTCTGAGCTACCCCATAATAAAGAGATACATAAAGGTTCATATTAGGAGTATAAAAACAATTATGTCTTTTATTCAAAGGTTGATTTTCTTTGCCAAGAAACTAAAAATGCATTTAATAAATTGCATTAACCACAGTCCTGTGATGCTGTTCCCCTAGGCAGAGTTAGGTAAGCTAGTGCTCTCTCTTCCTCCTTTCCCACTGGGTAGGAAGCTAATGTAAAGTAATTTATACAGGGCAATGCACTGCCGTTCTTCATTCTAAAGGATATTATTCTAAACAAAGAAAAATAATTAAGCCAGCCAGCCATATTTCCTTTTGGCTAACTCCTCGTCCCTAGCCTCCCAAACACTTCCTCCCCAGACAAACAGCAAATACATAAAGTGTTACAAGCATAGGAAAGGAAAACATGAAAACTCATTAGATGCTTATTCTCCCATGAAAGAACCTCAGTTAAGGTCTTAAATGTTAACATTTCTGTCTTATAGTTATTGAATTGCTTTATTTCATTAAGAACAAGTGATCAAAGGGCTTTGGGCAGAGACTTTTGGGGATTGTTCTCCTTCAAAAGGAGTATTATTAATTAGTTAGCAAAATGAAATGTCCCTTCACAGTGGGATTGGGGAGTTGGTTATAGAGATCCAGGCAGGAGAAGTTCTTGAGTTTTCCCCTACAAAGGAGAAAAAGGTAAATAAAAACCCTGGACACTGGGGAAAACAGCAGCTTCCCTTTTCTGCTTTTTGAAATTTTACTTTGAACATTCCATCAAGTTGAACTGGCAAGTAAAAAAAAACAGTAACTTGGGTCCAAGTTAATTAAGCAACTCTGAACAGGAGCTCACAGGTTGGGAAGAATAAGGCACATGATTGGAAACCAGTCTGGCAATACTTTACTGAGAGTCACGGAGTTCATCATGACTTTTGGACCAAAAGAGGAGAGAGAAGGAATTCTTCCATACAGCTGCAGATCTCTTTCCAAAGTGTTCTTTTTGTAATATCTCACATGGATTATTTTTCTCTTGAAAATCCAATGAATATAAAGGGATGGGAAATTTGAAATACCTGTGTTTACATAAATATATGAAGAATACCAAATATAACCATCCATGGAGGAAAGGTATTCACTTTTGCAAATGTAGGTAGTAGTTGTTAATATCTCCCAGTAGGGCACTTCTGAGAAATTTTTCCTTTAGTGGAAATACTCCTACTTTTTATTATTTGCCAGTTGACTGGTCATGGTTACTGCAGCTGTCTTTGAACAGCTGATCTGCTTAAAAATAAACCTAGCATCCTGCAGAAGCTCAGTTCATAGGATAGAATAAAGATTTCTGAATAAGTGATCAAAATGTTGAACACAGCTTCAAATTCTTAGAGTCTGCTCCGTGCTATATCTAGTTGGTCCTAAGTGTTTCACAATTTTTAAAGGATTTATTTCTCACAAGAACAAAAGTGTTCTTCCTCAAAGGAGGAAGTTACCATTTTTCTTAATTAACAGATCAGCAAATTGAAGGGCAGAAAAATTAAGTAATTTACTCTAAGGTGACAGCTGATTAGTAAGCTAGTAGGGATTGGAACTCAGATCCTCCAAGCTTCGAAGTCTTCTCCACCACACATTTTTTCTGTTGCTCTGTTTCTTCCTTCCTTCCTTCCCTTTTTTTTTTTTTTTACTGAGTCTCACTCTATTGCCCAGTCGTCCAGGCTGGAGTGCAGTGGCACAATCTCTGTTCACTGCAACCTCTACCTCTCAGGTTCAAACGATTCTCCTGCCTCAGCCTCCCAAGTAGCTGGGATTATAGGTGTGCCCCACCACACCCAGTTAATTTTTGTATTTTTAATAAAGAGGGGGTTTCACCATGTTGGGCAGGCTGGTCTAGAACTCCTGACCTCAAGTGATCTGCCCCCCTCGGCCTCCCAAAGTGCTGAGATTACAGGTGTGAGCCACTGTGCCTGGTCCCTTTGCTCAGTTTTTATGTAACCGTCCAGACAAATGAGCTATAAATAATAATAAATTGCATAGTTTTATCACCATTATTTCTCAGTTCATTTTTTTCCCCTACATCAACAGAACATAATACTTGTAAACAACTTCCAAAATGTTAAAGTTGGACAACAGTTGGGAAAAGATTGGGAAACAGTTGGGAAAAGTTGGGAAAAATCAACATAGTAAGGCCTTGCATTCTTGCTAGTGTTTAATTGGAAATGCAGAATTTCTTCCACTGAATTCTCTTGGGGTCTAGAGATAGAACAGTGGTCAAAACCATGGACTCTCAGGTGAGAAAAATCCAGACTCTACTGCAAACTACATAATTTTGGGAATGCCTCATTCTCCTCATTTGTATAGTTAGGATAATAATGACATCTATTTTTTGGGATTGTTGGAGGTGGGTATTAACATGAAAACCTCTGGCCTTGTCAGCACATATGAGCATTCACCAAATTTTATTTCCCTTTCTGCTTTTATTCTAGTCTTGTTTGCAACTACTTCTTACCTCATGCTTGATAAACATAGCAGGCAGATACACTCTGCTTATTACGGCAATACACATAGATTGGACCTATGGGCCAGCATCAACCTTCAGGAACAGTATGTGGGTTCATCATTATTATTATAAGAGTAATTATTTCATTCAGCTTTCAATAATTACTTCAGTTAAAAATGCGTCATCTAAATCCTTTCTGCCATTTTTTGAGTAGAGAATATTTTTCCAAATATTTCCTCTTCTAAAATTTTAGTCATTGAGGCAAATAGACTAAAGAGACCACAGCCAAAACCAACAACAACACCAGGAAGAAAGTGTCCATCACTCAAAAATAGAAGGAAACTTCCCCATCTTAGAGACCTTAAAATTGTCCTTGAAGATTCTTTCAAAGAGAAAAAGAAAGCACCTTCTTCATTCGGAGAGCAGGGTCAGCTCCCTTGCCCCTCTCAGCCAGACACAGAACCAGTGTGTGCTCCAGGGGAATCATGAAGATGGTGAGGTGAGCCAGATCGGAAGGTTTCCACGTGCTGGGAAGCTCTTCGCCCACTTTCTGTCTCCTCTACCCACCTGCAACAGGCAAAGTTTAGCTCCTTTAGGAACAGCTTGGAGATTCAGCTCATGATCAGGGTTTCTCAAATGGTCTTTTCACCACCAACAAAGTGACTTCATTCTTCTCCATGGAGCATTTTTCCAGAAAAGGCTTTCTTACTTTCTCTGTAAGAAGCCGAAAGGAGATTTGGGGCTTGCAGTGATGTCTTCCTTTGAAGAGTTGGGGAGAAGTGACAGCAATGAACAGCCCTCTCTGACAGTCAGTAATCTTGGTATGTCCATGTATAACAGCTACCACCTATTGGACACCAGATGGGGCTACCAGTACCATATACAAGATCACACTGGACCTTGGTAACAACCTTACAAAACAGTTACTATTACCATCTCCAGTCTACAGATGAAAAAGCAGAGGCTTAGAAAGCCCAGGTTACCTTCCTAGGGACATACAGCCACAACTCAGCCAGGGTTTAACCACCAGTGTGTGCCTCTTTTCTGTCTTTAAATAAACAAACACTAAAGCTTAAAAAGGGTATGCAGAGACATGAATACATAGTAATTCTACCTGCAAGTGGCTCTCAGTTTCTCCATCAGGTCCCTCCTGGCCTGACATTTCAGAAAAAGGTTTTGATGCCGGGTATTGACTTAGCGACCTGAACAACGGGCTACTTTTGAGGAAGTAGCTTCATACTAATAAATTATTAACATCAAGAGTCCTCTTCAATATGCCTGGTGTGTCTGTAATTGGTTTGTCAGAAGGTTTTTATGGGGGAAATCCTACACTGTACACACTGCACCCTCCCTGCACAGCCTTGGCCTCCAGTGGGTGACAGACGCTTCTGACCATTCCCCACCTTTTCTAAAGACCCTTTAACAAGGTCCCTGTACTTGGATTCCACCATCTGTTAGATGTCTGCAATGCTCTGCTACTGTCTCATCACAGGGCAGGAGGCTAGGTGAGAAGTGGGTATTTCTGGTTAACATTAGGCAAACAGATGTGATTCTACACTAGGTGCATTACTTGGCTCCTTAGTGGCATCATGGCAGCTCTGAAGCCACATGATATTTCTCAGTAACAACTGTCCAGATGAGCAAATGTCCCTAGTTCTCTCTTGGGGACAGAGCTAACGTAGCAGCGGACTTCATCCTCCTTCATTCAGGCCTTTATGGTCCTCTCCTTGTCTCTGCCTCTGTGTGGCTTATTTGGAAGAGGATGAAAGGACTTACTAGTAAAGAGGGAATGAGAAGGACATATTTATTAGCTGTGGCCAGCTAAAGCCTTACTAAGGACGCTTGTGGTGGGTTTGAGAACCTGGAATGGAGAATCTCAGTTGACACCGCTTTGTTGTTCTGCTTCTGCTAATGGCATTTGCTGCCCTGGTTTTGTGGAAGCATCCTGGACCTCAATTGCCTCAAAGGTAGTAGAAAAGGGCATGGAAGATGGTAAAAAACTACAAAAAGAAACAGTTTACAGCATCATGCAATATGCTTATGTAACAAACCTGCACAGGTACTCCCTGAATCTAAATCTTTTTAATGTAAAAAAAATAAAAGAAACTGAGTTTGGAAATAATGCATTAAAATTGGTTTGAAATCATAATGTTAAAATGTATGTTACCACCCCATGTATGCACTGGGGACCTGTAGGAGCACACAGGCTGCATGAACATATATGAAATATGCATGTGAAGTCATCATCCTATGGCTCACTATGCACCTGTCACATCCAAGACTAGAAGCTTAAAGTCAAGTAGCAATCAAAGTTATCCAAAATGTGTGTCAAATAAGTGCGAAGAGCAGAGACAGGCCCAAGTGTCTCTGAAGTGGTCAGAGGAAGTGAAACTTGATTTGAGGCTTGAAGGAAGGGAGCTCACAGAATGTAGAGAAAGAACAGGGTAAGGCAAGCAGGGACCAAGAGATAGCAAAAGCTCAGGGCCTGAGAATCGATAGGATAGAGTGATACATGGGATGGCCCTGGAATGACTGAACCGTCCTGTGGACCTGAGTCTCTGCCACCTTGGCATTGTCTTAGTACCTTCTTAGAATCCCAGAAATTGATCTAGAAGGCGCCTCAGAGATTATAGTGCAACCCTCTCCCCCTCTGGGGACAGAAGGCTGGATATGCATTGCTTAGGATCCCACTCCACGCTGGATCCTGGCCTAGCCACTGATTGGCTGTGAAACTGACCAATCACTTCCTCACTACGGACCTCCTTCTCTTTCTGAGAAACAAGAGAAATTATTGACTGCCTCAAAGCATGGGTGTGAAGATTCAGTAGGATGCCACAGGTAATTCCATAGTATGCCCGGTAATGACACAATAAATGATTATTATTGTTCTCATCATTATTACTTTCTTGACAGTGAAACCCAGGCTGAAGGAAATTAAATAGCTTGCTGGGGTTACCCAAATTAGAGGCTGTGTCAGGCCTACAACCTGGGTCTCCTAAGAGCCAGCCGGATATTCCACCTGTAGGGAGAAATAGAATTTGTGGTGGGAAGTAGAGGTGCATATTGATAAGAGACAAAATTTGGTGCCAAAGGGCTCCACCCCTTAGGAATAACACAACTGCACAAATTACCTAATCTCTCTTGGCTTCATCTTCCACGCCTGAAAATTGGAGATGCTGTCATCTGCCTCACAGAAAGGGTGAGGGTTCACTGATGTGAGACCTGGGAGGGGCTAGCAGGCAGCCAGGCACACAGAAAGAGCTGGATCCATGGACCACTTACTAATTCATCTCAGGACAAGCAGACAAGATCCCTCTGGCCCCAGGTGTGGCATTTGCATGAAAAAATGGGATCTTGAATTTATTATTTGGCAGAAGGTTGCTTCATAGCATAATTGGAGACAGCCCACAAAGGTGGTAAAACGAATGCTGACCTGCTGCCTGAGAAGCCTTCAACCTGGGCATCCCCTTGAAAGAGCCAGGTAAACATGCATGTCCTGGAGACAAAGAAGCTTTCCTCAGAAAGGCTCTGAAAGCTGCCCTGCAGGCCCACCATATCCCTTGAGATGTACCCAGAGAGGGAGGGAGAGATGGCCATCCCATTGTGCCGCTGCCCCTAGCTGCTCTGGGCATGCCACAGCACATTCACCTCTTCCTAGCTTTCTGTTTTTGCTGATTCTGGAGAAGAAGCCAAGTAAACTCAATATTTATGGAGCACCTTCTATATGCTGAGTGCTGTGCTTACCCATATATCCTTGTGACCCACCGAGGATAAGAACTAGAAAGCATCCACAGTCCCCTCAGCACCACCAGCCTGGGTGATGAGGGATGATTCATTACTTCATGAATGACAGCTACTTCATAGATATCTGAAATGTGCCAAACAATGAGCTAAAGTACTTCTTAGGCATCATTTTGATGAATCCTTACAGCGTCCTAGTGAAGTTGGCCCTATTCTTATATGTGAGGCTCAAAGGGGTGAGATAGCTTATGGCCATAGAGTTAGTAGGTGGTGAAAATGCGTATGCACTCAGGCCCCAGAGTCCACTTAATTAACCAGATCAGAAGGCTAGGTGAGCTAGGTAACAAAGTGAGGGCAAGGAGTGGGGCTTCTCTGTCTCTTGATCAGCTCCTGGGTAGCATTAGGGCTGAAGGGTTGATGCCACATAGCTCTTTGGAACAGGAGCCTGGCAACAGAAGAAGAAGGAATCTAGAGTGACAGCCCTTGCTCCAAGAACTCCCTCTGGGCCTCTGCTCTTCCACACCCCAGTCCAGCCATCTGCTTGAGTGGTTCCACCCAGGCCAGGTGCTCTAGAATCAGACAATCTCTGTTTGGGTGCTTCCTGGCCCAGTGACCCTGGACAGGTCCCTTAGCTTCTCTGAGCTTCAGTTTGGTTCACTACAGGAGGAAATGGGATTACCCAATTCCTGAAGAGCCTAAGGATTAAATGGGTTCACACGTGTATAAGAGTATCTGCCACACAGTAAGCTCTCAATGAACATGAACTTTCTCAGCTCTCTGAGAACGCGCCAAACCATCCATCTTAATCCAAAAGATGCTGGCTGCCCTCTGAGCCAGGACTTACTGTAATTATTCACTTCTGCCTCCCTCTTGGGATTGAGCAGAGACCTGATACATTAATTTAATTCAATAGTGTGGGCTCTAGGACCAGAATGTCTGGATTCAAATCCAGTCATCATCACTTACTGCCTGTGTGATCTTGAGCAAGTTACTTGAATTCTCTGAGCCTTGGTTTCCTTATCTGTAAAAGGGGATAGTAATGGTGCATATGTTTAACATTTACTGAGCACTTATTTTGTGCCAGACACTTTGCCAATTGCTTTACAAAAAAGAAAAAGAAAAAGAAAAAGAAAACCCACAGTGATAAAACAGATGTTTCTGCAATAGCTTCTGTGTGTTAGACTCAGCACTAGATGCTGGGGACACTCTAGTGAGTAAGACTGACCTGGACCTAGCCTCCTGGAGGTCACAGTATCCACTGGGGAAGATCTACACACCAGTAAACCAATAAATAAATCTAACATTCCACATTTTAGTACATTGTAGTACAGTCCAAGGAGAAAATGAACATGGTTTGGTGATAGAGAATGGGTAGGACCTACTTTGTGAAGGTCAGGAAGTTTGTGAAGTCTGGAAAATCCTGCATACTACAGTTCCCTGTTAGAAATTCATAATGTTCATTAACATATTAAAGACATGAGAAATCTTCAGCAAGGAAATGACAAAGCCAGTTAATTTTGTGTAACCTAGATATTTTTCAATTGTTTTGACTATAGACTATATTTCCCAGCAGAAGATCTTTTAATCATCTTTTAAAAATTAGTGTTCTACCAAACACATTTCAGGGACTTGAAATCAGCTAATATTTCTCTGTAATTAGGTGTTTTTGGCAGCCTCAGGTAGGAATCTTTCATTTGGTTATTCTTTAGACTAGAATGACAATACTGCTGGTGAAAAATGTGTTTCCAGGTGTCGCATTCATCCTATTTTTCTTCAGTGTTATTGATTCCTTCTCTCTCTTTGAAATTTTCTTAGTACATTTCTTCATATCTCTCTGTTAACAAAGTGGTTTTCACCCTGACTTTTTGCAGAGGGATGAAAAAACATTCTCTTCAAGGAGCAATGAATTCAGGTGAGTTATGCAGCGGGCAGCACAGCATGGAGCCTTGGCAGCATTTTCCTGGGGCCAGCCCAAGGCATCCGTACCTGTGTGGTGAGAGCAAATGTCCTCTTTAGAATTCAGGAGTAACAATGAGGCTGCCATGCCAGCTGGCAGAGATGTCCTGGGCATACCTGGCCAACACCAGCAAGTAAAAAGAGCTGTAAAGCTCAGTATGACTCTCCCAAATAAATGAGGCTAATCCACTGCCACTAAATATCAGGATAGAGCACAGAGAAGGCAAAAGGTGACATTGGAGCACAAAGAGATGGCCTTGTGCACAAAATAATTCATATTTCAACCTTGAGAGAGAGTTAGAAAGTCTACCATTGAGCCTACCATTGAGAAGGCTCAAAATGCAGGCATTTCCTGAAATTAAATTGCAAATATTTTATAAACTTGGGAGCCATATGGGCTTGCCTTTGAATCCTGACTGGCACCATGCTAGCTGTATAACCTTACTTACCTGCTCTATGCCTCAGTTTCCTCATCCATCAAGTGGGGATATTGCCACAAATCTCATTATGAGGATGACATGGGAAGGTGGCAACAGTACAACAGCAGGCACTTAGAAGGGAGTTTTGAAACACCATTTTTGGGCCGGGTGCAGTGGCTCACGCCTGTAATCCCAGCACTTTGGGAGGCCAAGGCAGGTGGATCACGAGGTCAGGAATTCGAGACCATCCTGGACAACATGGTGAAACTCCGTCTCTACTAAAATACAAAAAATTAGCCAGGCATGGTGGCACTTGCCTGTAATCCCAGCTACTCGGGAGGCTGAGGCAGGAGAATTGCTTGAACCCGGGAGGCAGAGGTTACAGTGAGCCGAGATCATGCTACGGCACTCCAGCCTGGCAACAGAGCAAGACTCCATGTCAAAACAAAACAAAACAAAAAAGCATGTCACTTTGCCTCCCCTGCTCCTTGTGAGTCACACTCAGCTGTTAACACCATAGGATGAGTTGTTCATGAGATCAATCCTATCAGAAAGCTTGGGGTTGGGGGGCATGCAGTTGTGAGGAATAGAAAAAAGAATTGAAAAAGTGTAGGAGTGCCAGAAATGTCAGTAGCTTGGGCACTCCAAGGCCTGCAAACCATTGGCTGCAAACTCTAAAGTGTGGGAGGCTTGTTGGCACACAGAGAAGGAAATTAGTGCAGAGGGGCTCCCTGGCATCATGGCTCAGAGCAAGATGCGGGCCTGCAACATACAGTGACAGCCAAGAGCCAGCTGTGTGATTTTGGCAGTGATGTTCCTCTCTGTATGCCAAGTGGGCACCTGGTCAATGGAACACTCCTTTGTGAGGATGCCATGATCATTTGCCATAGAGAAATGCACAGCACAGAATTTTAAATAATCCACCTTACTCAACTTCCTCAATCGACAGGTAGGGAAACTGAGTTATGGGAGAAAGACTGTCTTATTCGGTGGGTGATATAGTTTGGAAGTTGTTCCCACCCAAATCTCATGTTGAAATGTAATCCCCAATGTTGGAGGTGGGGTCTGGTGAAAGGTAATGGGAACAGGGGGTTAGATTTCTCATGAATGGTTTAGTACCATCCTCTTGGTACTATCTTCATGATAGTGAGTGAGCTCTTGCGAGATCTGGTTGTTTAAAAGTGTGTGGCACCTCCCCCTTCTCTCTCTTACTGCTGCTCCCACTGTGCGTGATGCCTGGTCCCCTTCATCTTCCACCATGAGCGGAAGCTTCCTGAAGCCTCCCCAGAGGCACATGCCACTGTTACCCTTCCTGTACAACCTGCAGAACCGCGAGTCAATTAATCCTTTTTTCTTTATAAGTTACCCAGTCTCAGGTATTTCTTTATAGCAATGCAAGAATGGCCTAATACAGTGGGAAAGTATGATCTAAGAAACCTGTTTGCTTAACTCCCAGTTTCTTCTTTCCACTTGATCTAATACTACACACTAGGAAAAATAGTCCTGAATGTCTTAGTACCTGGCACAATGCACAGGGACAGCCTGTATATTTGAACAGAAGAATTAAGAAGCCATTTTGGAGACATCTTTTATTCTTCCTCATTATTCCTCCTTCCTTTTGGCTTTTTTGGAACATGGTAATGGTACAGCCACCATCTTGCGACCATGAGGATACCCTGAAGATGCAGCCCGGCACCAAGGAGGCACAGCAGAAAAGAGGAGGAGGCTGGGCCGTAGAAGGCATCACAGAGCCATCATAATAGTCTGGACTGTCAACTCGAGGCTTATTTTATATGAGAAAAAAGTCTCTAGTTTACTCTGAATGTGTGTGTGTGTTTATGTGTGTGCAATGTAGACTGATGTGAGACATGTATTGCATAAACTGATGTCACCTTCAAATCCTAGCTCTGCAAGACTTTAAACAACTAGTTAATTTTTTCTCTGGAGCTTCTATTTCTTGATAACAATATAAATAATAATTGTCATAAATTAGACACTCTGAGCCAGAAGCTGTGCTACCTACTTTCCATGCATCACAGAGTAGGTGCCACCTCCATTGTACACATGAGGAAACTGAGGCGGATATTGGCAAGTAACTTGGGTGAGCAGGGATTCAGACCCAGGATTATCTGATTCTGGATGCTCTACACCTGCCCAAGGAAAACGGATAGACAGTATCTACCTCATAGATTTGTTGGGAGGGCTGTGTACCAAATGGCATGTAGAAAGCACTCATTAAATGGTGGATAGTATAATAATTCTTAGATAAATAATGAGAAATAAGAATTATACAATTTATATAATTATAGAATTATAGAGAATTATGCAATTCTATTAAATAGCAATTATAAATAAATTATTAGATAAGGTTATATTTCTTAGTTTTCATTTTATTTGTTGGTTTTGTTTGTTTGATTTGTCAGACATTGTAAAAATTTATGGAAGAAAAGGAGCAATCCCAAGAGGTCAAGAAAAAAAACTAGGGTGAGAGGGAAAGTTTTCCTTTGCCATTCCTGGCAGTGGCCAATTATCGATAGAAAATAATTAGAAACCCATATTTTCTATTGTATCTGGAGGCCACCTAAAATGGGCCCTGGACTTGGAATAGCAGGAAATGAGCTTAGTACTGTATGTATTAGTAGCTCACTATGTGACCCTAGGCAAACTCCATTCATTTTCTGAATCCCAGTTCTCCCCTCCATTAAAGGAGGTGGCTTCATTAAACATTGTACACATGTAGAAAAAAAATTACACTGTACCCTGTAAATATGTGCAATTATTATGTGTCAATTAAAAATAATAATAAAAAGAGAGATAGAATACATTTAATATTAAAACTGAGAGGAGAAAAAGGGAGGGGAGGGAAAAGAAGGGTGGAGGTTGATAGAATACATTTTGCATGAAAGTATTTTCCAAGTACTTGAAGTTGATAGTTACCGTTCAAATTCACTTATAGTATGGAAGGCAAAACCATGTGAATGAACACAAATACCAACAATAACACAACTAATAATGACTTTCTAAAAAGTAGATGTTTGGATTGGATTGGCTTTAAGGGTCATTTCCAGTTGCTTTTCTGAGAATTTCAAGTTCATACAGAATGGGCATACCCCCTACAGAGTATTTATTAATGAAGTTTTCATATTTAGTCATTTTCAGACACTACATGTTCATTTTCAAAGCATCTGTTAATTTCAAGACCACTACTGATGACATATGTTAATTTTAGCATCTTATCATCAAATCATTTTCTCTTAAGATATACACTACAGTTACTTCTTTAAAAGTTCTTTTTAAGACATTGGAATTAAGGAGGAAAATGTACAAATAAAATCAAAATATCAATAATCCTCAAATCTGACTTTCTTTCCACATTATGTTTTGTTCAGTTTACTGTTAAAAATGAGTTTGTATTTCCTGTCTGACAGCAACAGGAGGTGTTACAAGCTTCCAGGATAAAAAGAAAGCAGCCCAAATTACTTATGTGTTCTTAGACGTGCCATGAAGTCCCTTGAGTGACTCTGGCTGTACTAATAAAGGCTGCATCCTGTACTCCTCTGGCCCATTATGCATTCCAAGATCCCAAAGCTTCCAAGCTGTCAGCAATGAAAATACTTGTGACAGCGATTCAAAGACAGTCTTGGGGAAGATTCCTATCTAGAAGATTGCAGGGAATTGGTATTATATTCTCAGCACCTAGCCCTACATGCCCATCAGCACCCAGAGAGTAGAACAAGAACCCATGATCAAAGATAGTTAGGAAAACATAAGGAAGAACTTCCTAATGACCAGGCACTTACAGGTGGTGACCTCCTTGTCACTGTAAGAAGGCAAGTTAATGTTAGGTAACCTCTTAATGGTAAGGCCAGGAGATAAAACTTTAGGTGGAGGGTTTGGCCTTCATAAATGTCACCTTCCCTTCCACCAATGCTCTTGACTAGAAATGCTAGCTTTTTGTTTGTTTGTTTGTTTTTTGCACTGTTATTAACTAAACACTGTAAACACCAGGCTTTACTTGGATTTCATTACTTTTTTCAGTAGATGACCTCTTTCTGTTACAGGAGCAAATTCAAGAAACCACATTGCACTTAGTTGTGTCTCCTTTGTCTGGAATCTGTGTCTTTCTTTACTCTTTCTTTTTGTGATGTCGGCAATCTTGAAGATTACTGGCCAGGTATCCTGTAGAAATCTTCCAATCTGGATTTGGCTGATGTTTTCCTCATTATTGGACTGGTGATATGGGTTTATTTAAAAGATTATATAGAGGTAAAGTTACATTATATTAGAGGGTACAATGCAACCACATGATATCAGTGATGATTTTAACCTTTATCATTGGTGGTGCTTGTCAGATTTCTTCACTGTGAATTTACTATTTTTACCTTTCTCTCTATTCTTTAAATATGTCACTAAGTTTGGCCTACCCTCAGGAGGCAGGGCATAAACTAAGCTATGAGCTTAATGGTATTGTTCTAAATTGTATTTTCGAATTGTTTTTTTTCTTGGTATTTAAAACTATAATTGATTTTTGCATATTGACCTTGTATGTGACAATCTTGCTAATTTACTTATTAATTATTTTTGTGGATTCTTCTGAGATTTCTATGTACAAAATCATATCTACTGTGAAAAATGATAATTTTACTTCTTCCTTTCCAATCCTTATACATTTATATTTCTTCCTGCCCTATTACATAGACTATGCCTTTTAGTATAATATGAAATTGATGGTAGGTATAGAAAGCACCATTGTCTCATTCTCAATCTTGGAGGAAAAGTTTTCAACATTTTACCAGTAAGTATGTAAATAAAACTTGTGTTACTTAGAAAGTGCCTGTATTAGTCTATTCTCACTCTGCTGATAAAGACATACCTGAGATTGGGCAATTTACAAAGGAAAGAGGTTTAATGGAGCTCTCACAGTTCCACGTGGCTGGGGAAGCCTCAGAATCATGGTGGAAGGCAAGGAGTACCAAGTCACATCTTACGTGGATGGCAGCAGGCAAAAAAAGGGCTTATGCAGAGAAACTCCCATTTTTAAAACCACCAGATCTTGTGAGATTCATTCACTATCACAAGAACAGCCCAGGAAAGACTCGCCCCCATAATTTAATCACCTCCCACCAGGTTCCTCTCATGACATGTCGGAATTGTGGAAGTTAGAATTCAAGATGAGATTTGGTTGGGGACACAGCCAAACCACATCAGCTCCTTTCTATTTCTATTTTGCTAAGACTTTTTATTATGTGTAGATGTTGGATTTTAACAAGTCTTTTTACTATATCCATAAATCTGGTCATATTATTTTATTCTTTTATTTTGTGAATGTTGTAAAATATATTGACCAGTTCCAAGGTTAAATCAACCTTGGATTCCTGGAATAGTGTGATTAGGATGTATTGTCCTTCTTGCATATTGCTGTATTTGATTGACCAATATTTTGTTTAAAAATTTTACAGCTATGTTATCAGTTATTTTAGCATCATTAAATGAGGTAGAAAGTATTTCTGTTTTTTTTTTTTTTCAGTAATCTGGAAGAGTTTTTCTAAAATCATGTTATTTTCTCCCTTAAATGTTTGGTAAAATTCACCTAATGACCCACCTGAGTCTGGATTTTGGTGATGAAGTGTTGGGGTGCAGGGGTGAAAATTTTTAATTATGGATTAAATTTTATTAGTAGTCATAGAAGCACTCAGATTTCTATTTCATCTTCTATCAGTTTTGAAATTTGTGTTTTTCTAAGAATTTGACTAGTTCATCTAACCTTTTAAATTTATTTGCACACATTTGTTTATAATATCCTTACCTTGGAGTGTTGTTTTTCTTTGCTGATGTTGGTTATTTGTGCCTGCTTTCCATTTTTAAAACTTAATCCATCATGTCATTTTAATCTAACTTATTAGCCTTTTTTAAGACCAATTTTGACTTCATTACTAGGAGTGTTTTCTTTCCATTTCATGGAGTCCTGCTCATATCTTTGTTGTTTTCTTCCTTTTACTTTGTATTTGGCTTACTTTTCATTTCCTAATTTTTATTTTTTTAAATGTTTTATTTTTTTTAGTTTCAATAGGTTTTTGGGGGAACAGGTGGTGTTTAGTTACATGAATAAGTTCTTTACTGGTGATTTCTGAGATTTCGGTGCACTTGTCACTTGAGCAGTGTACACTGTACCCAATGTGTAGTCTTTTATCTCTTACCACCGCCCCCCCCACCCTTTCTCCCATGTCCCTAAAGTCCAATGTATCATTATTATGCCTTGCATCCTCATAGCTTAGCTTTCACTTAAGAATGGGAACATACATAAGATGTTTGATTTTCCATTCCCTGAGTTACTTCACTTAGAATAATAGTCTCCAATTCCATCCAGGTTGCTGTGAATGCCATTATTTCATTCATTTTTGTGGCTGAGTAGTATTCCATGGTGTGTGTGTGTGTGTGTGTGTGTGTGTGTGTGTGTGTATATTTCTATCTGTATATATATTCTATCTGTATATATATTCTATTCTGTATATATATACGTATATCACATTTTCTCTAACCACTTGATTGATGGGCATTTGGTTTCATATTTTGCAAATTGCAAATTATGCTGCCATAAACATGCATATATATGTGTTATTTTCATATAATGATTTCTTTTCCTTTGTGTAGATACCTATTATAATAGTGGGATTGCTGGATCAAACAGTAGATCTACTTTTAGTTCTTTAAGGAATCTCCACATTGTTTTTCATAGTGTTTGTAATAGTTTACATTCCCACCAACAGTATAAAAGTGCTCGCTTTTCATCATATCCCCACCAACATCTATTTTTTTTTTTTTTTGATTATGGCCCTCCTTGCAGGAGTGAGGTGGTATCAGATTGTGGTTTTGATTTGCATTTCCCTGGTCATTAGTGATGTTGAACATTATTTCATATATTTGTTGGCTATTTGTATATCTTCTTTTGAGAATTGTCTATTCATGTCCTTAGCCCACTTTTTGATGGTACTGGTTTTTTTTTCTTGCTAATTTTTTTGAGTTATTTGTAGGTTCTGGGATAGTAGTTCTTTGTCAGATGTATAGATTGTGAAGATTTTCTCCCACTCTGTGGGTTGTCTGTTTACTCTGATGACTGTTCCTTTGGCCATGCAAAAGCTCTTTAGGTTAATTAAGTCCCACCTATTTATCTTTGGTTTTATTGCATTCACTTTTGGGTTCTTGGTCATGAAGTCTTTGCCTAAGACAATACTAGAAGGGTTTTTCTGATGTTATCTTCTAGAATCTTTATGATTTCAGGTCTTAGATTTAAGTCTTTGATCCATGTTGAGTTGATTTTTGTATAAGGTGAGAGTTGAGGATCCAGTTTCGTTCTTCCACATGTGTGTTGCCAATTATCCCAGCATCATTTGTTGAATAGGGTGTCCTTTCCCCACTTTATGTTTTTGTTTGCTTTGTCAAAGATCAGTTGGCTATAAGTATTTGGGTTCATTTATGGGTTCTCTATTCTGTTCCATTGATCTATGTGCCTATTTTTATACCAGTACCATGCTGTTTTGGTGACTATGGCCTTATAGGATAGTTTGAAGTCAGGTAATGTGATGCCTCCAGATTTGTTATTTTTGCTTAGTCTTGCTTTGGTTATGTGGGCTCTTTTTTGGTTCCATATGAATTTTAGAATTGTTTTTTTCTAGTTCTGTGAAGAATGATGGTGGTATTTTGATGGGAATTGCATTGAATTTTAAGATTGCTTTTGGCAGTATGGTCATTTTCACAATATTGATTCTACCCATTCGTGAGCATGGGATGTGTTTCCATTTGTTTGTGTCATCTAGCTCATTGATTTTATGCTTTTCTGTTTTTTAAACTTACATGTGTTTCAGACCATAAATATCTCTTTAAGCACACCTTTAGCTTCATCTTAAAATTTCAGTGTTTATCTTCCTTAATATTTGGCTCAAATATTTTCCAGTTTCCATTATAATTTCTTTATTGATCCATGGTTTATATAGAATTGTGTCTCTTAATTTTGAAATATATGGGGATTGTCTAGGACAAACACACTCATATGTGCACACACACCATCTTATATACTTTGTCTCTATTTTCTGGTTGTTCTCAGTGGGAAGATTGGTCTTCAATAATTAGTAACTGATTATCAGAAGCAGAAATCCCACTCCACTTTATTTCTCAACATTTCATAAAGGTTTACTTCTTCATAAAGATTTCCCTAATTATCCCAACTTCAGTCTCTTTCCTTGGTATATTCTATCCAGTTCCACACAGTGTAATCAGCTCCCGTATTTCTGTCAAGAGGGTGGTGCTTTTCCTTCTTTCCTGATTATATTTGGACTCCTTCTCACCACTCCTTACACCAAGGGCATCATATTTAAGTTCATCCAAGTCTCACCTCACATATAGGATGACTCTTCAAGGGTGTATTCTAACACCTGGCTGCCAGGTGAGTCTGCTGCCAGCCACACCCCTTAAGTGTGCAGCAACTATTGTCTGGCTAGTGACAGAATTTTTTTCTCAGTCCCTTTCAAGCTGAGACCTCTGGCTGGTGATGCTCCACCCAGGCCTCCCTCAGCCATGCTACCTGCTGCAGGAGATGGCCCACTCACTCAGCCTGCCTCAGCCGAGTCTGGCTTGTGTACCAGTTCCTGAGTTCTTGTCCCACATCCAAAAAGAATGAGGATACACTGACAATCAAAGAGTGAGCAAGGTGAGGAGTGTTATTGAGTGATGAAAATGGCTTTCAGTGGAGAGGGGATATGAGGGTGGTCCCCCTATATGAAGGCAGTAAAGTCCCCCCAATGTGGCTGAGTCTGGGGCTTTTACGGGCTCAGAATGGGGGAGGGGCAGGCTCTAGGTAGTATTAGAAAAGGTAACATTTGATTGGTTAAAAGGCACTATTCAGAAAGAATCCATTGGGAAAGGGTGGGCAAACAGAAACAGAAGTTCTCAATCTGTGTCATAGGTTTCATCCAGGACCAGCAGTCTGGTCTTTCAGCCTTTAGGCTGTTTTTGGGCTTGAAGGTGGGGTTTCACTGGGGACCCACCCCTGACTGCCTAGGCATTTGTCTGTCTCCTGTCACTTTTACTGGCAGAGGTGCTGCATGTCTTGCCCCATAGGTCAGTGACTGACTTTGATGCAAATAGTTGCCCCACCAGACACATGGCTGGACACTCTCACAGAGAAGCAGTGCGTGTGTTCCCACCCAGCCTCTCTCCTTATATATCTGGCACTATGGCTTTGTTTTCTGAGGTCAGAAGCCTTGACAGCCATAGGAGCAAGATGAGTGCATCAAGCCCTGGCATTTCTGGAGCTCAGATGAGGCACCCTGAGGAGATTCTGTCAGCTCAGGCTCTTATCACAATTGTTTAGAGAAAAAAAAAATGAGGGTACTTGGGAGTGATTTAATTATATGGACTGCAATGACTTGCTCTGCTATTGATTTTATATATTCAAGGAGTCTTTAAAGTGATTATTCTTGGAATGGGCAACCACCACTACATTGATTTCTATGAAGTCAACAGTATCTGGAGAGGAGCCAGTCCTGCTGGGCAGAATACATTTGGAAGCAAAGTCACAGACCCTTTTGAATGAGACTCTGGGGGGAAGATGTTGAATGTGGAGGAATGAGCAAGGGGGATGGCTTGAGGCAGATTGCTTTAAACACAGCCAGCATGGTCCATTTGTGCTCCTTTTTTCTTCATGTGCAAATCTAGTTTTATCCTTAGGACTGGACAGTCAGTTTTCTCCCTACCTGCTGCAACCCTGGAGATTCTGGAGGCTAGTACAAAAGAGGCACCAGAACATTTTAAATAAATGCCAATTGCTTAGTCTTAATACCATTTATACTCGAGTTTATATTTTCACATGAAAAGAAACATATGACTCAATAAAAAGGGCTAACATATTAGCAGCAACCATCTTTTGGTAGACAAAGCATGGTTTATTATAGTTTTCCACAATAATTTTTATATTCATAAATACCTTGGTATAGCTGAAAGTATATTTCAAGAAAGGACTATATGCTCTGACCCAATATTCTTACTTCTAGGTATATGACCTAGGAAAGTAATTTGAAATACAGAAAATATATTTATATATAAAAGGATGATATATAAAGAAATATTTAGAACAGTGAATGAGCTATACTTTACACTTGATCTTAGCCAAAAGGCCAAGAAGTGATGAATGAGCTATACTTTAAAAAATAATTTAAATATTCAGTAATAAGGATAGGTAGAAGGAAATGGAGGTTTATGCAGTTATAGTATGGAATATTATACAGCCTTTAAAAATGTTTACAAACAGGTTTTAATGATTTAGGGGAAGAATAGTAAATTTTGTGAAAAGAAAAATGCCAAGTTACAAATTTTATTAATAATACAATAACTTTGTACTCCAATTTAACTCTATAAAATATACATAAAAATATTCTCAGCTGGGTGCGGTGGCTCACGCCTGTAATCCCAGCACTTTGGGAGGCCGAGGTGGGTGGATCATGAGGTCAGGAGATCGAGACCATCCTGGCTAACATGGTGAAACCCCGTCTCTACTAAAAATACAAAACATTAGCCAGGCGTGGTAGTGGGTGCCTGTAGTCCCAGCTACACGGGAGGCTGAGGCGGGAGAATGGCCTGAACCCGGGAGGCGGAGCTTACAGTGAGCCGAGGTGGCGCCACTGCACTCCAGCCTGGGCGACGAGCGAGACTCCGTCTCAAAAAAAATATATATATATATGTATATATATATATTCTCAATAGTTAGCCCTGGAGGGCAGGATCCCAGGTGACTTTTCTTTCTCTATTTTTACTTTTCTATATTTTCTAAGCTTTCCTTAGTGAACAGAAATATTACATATACACATATACACGCATGCATTGAAAAATTCATATTAGAAGGAACTTTGGACCCTGAGAGTTAGACTTTTGCTTACTTAAACTCTTCAGAGACTAAATGAGGCCTAAGTGAATATAAATTTTTATATCCGTTTAATTTTCCACCTAAATTCAAGCTTAAATGCTTATGCAATTATTGAACCAATACCAAGAGCAATTTCACCAATTATTTGGAACTCATGTTAAATGTGAATGCAGAGGCACACAACAGAAATAAGCCAAAGTGTCTGAGGCCAGATGTCATTCCATTTTCAGAAGATGATACTCCACTATGAGCATTAATCAGCCTCTGTCTTTCTCTAAATCCCATTCCCCTGGATTGATGTAGGAGAAAGATTTCACACTTGCTTATTCTACTTAGAGACTGTGGTCTAATTTGATTCACTTATATTTGAGAGGGTTGGCATTTATAATTCACTATGGGTTTGGATTATTGCTACATTTTTTCACAGAGCCACCAAACTGCACATCTCTGAGAAGAGCCGTTTTGTGCATACAGCATGCTCTGGAGCACTGTGTGCAGGGCATCGCAGGGAATTTTTTTCCAGAGAGCATTCTTCATACAGCATTCTGGTGGGCACTACGCCCTGGAGTAGCAAGGGTCCTGAATTTTACACAAATTCCTGCTTTACTCTAACTGATTCCTCACCTGTCTCCTTCCCTCAAACTTTATAATTTTGTTGGGTTGAATTATTTATGCTAGCCATGAATTGGAATAAGGATCAATGTAGGAGGAAGATGAGGTGGTAAAAATTGTAGGGATATTTGACAGACCTTACCCAAATCAGATTCTATAATCCTTAAAATAGTAAGTGTTTTACAACTTACTTCCTTAATAGTTTCTACTGACTGTGCCATTATGGAAAACGGTGATCAAATCAATACTGCATATCATTAATATTATATTGTGATGTGCCCAGTCTGAATGAGAGCAATAGGTTTCAAGCAGGGCCATTAGTCTGATTGGTTAAATTAAGTGGTCGATCATCATGATTATGGTATATGCAAAGATTTAATCAAAGCCAACTGCCCTTCCAAAAAACAAAGAATAAATGTATTTTTTTAAAAAAAAGATGGAGTACATTAGTCAGAATGGCTAGTCTAGTCTATGCTGCAGTAAAATAAACACTCCCTAGTCTCAGACTTACAATAACAAAGATTTATCTTTTATTTACATCAGTCTGATATGGACTTTACTGATTTACTGATTTACTCTCTTCCAGGCGGTGAGTCAAGAGCTCAGGCCACCTTTATCCTGCTTTTTCATCACCTTGGAATCCCTTGTTTCTGATAGTGTAGATTACACAGAAAAGGAGGAAACAGAACGTGTTTTCATTCTTAATTGTCTAGGACCAGAAGCAACAGATCCATTAGACTCAATAATTAGTCACATGATTCCCCAAAAGATGCATACATACTGGATATTAGGTAGGGATTAACAGCCTCTGCCACAGGCAATAAGTGAAATATTGTATTCTAGCTGGGAGAGTTTGTTTCCATGAGAAAGCTCATGCAGGCTTGCATGGCAGCCTAGTGCCTGGTGGGCTCATGTGTGAGTCCCCCAAGGAGAAACAATCTGTCTAGAGGGCCAGAGAGTTCCCAACATCAAACTCAGTCATCCCTTCAACCATAGCCCACTTTGGTCATATTTTCTTTAAACTAACATGTGCATTCACACATTACTCCAAGAAATGTGTGTATCCTGTCACTCCAGTTTTCTTGGGAATTGAGACATTCCTATCTGGGCTTTTGTTTGCCCTATTATTTTTGCCTATAATGACCCCCCTATTCTAACTGCAACCAATAATTGTTGAAAGCCTTACTTTCTTAAGACACATTTAGAATGGGTACACTTAGGAAGCCTTCTCTGATCCTATCGACCAAATGTTCATTCACTTAACAGACATTTACAGCAGCAAATAACATAACAAATTTTCTGATCTTGCAGAGTATACCTTCTAGTTGAAGGAGAGAGTAGTAAAGAACAAGTTTTTTTTAAATGCCAATTATGGCAACAGCTATTGAGGAAAATAAAATGGTATTGTAATGAAGACAGGTGGGATACTTTAGTTTGGGCAAAGAACTTTTTGAGAAGGTGGCATGTGGGCTGACACCTGAACACTTGAATGTGTGCTCTGTCTTCCATCTGGGGCCCCCAGAAATGTGTTTGTACTACTTAAAAGATACTTCTCATAATCTATATGGTATTTATTTTGTCTTCACCTCCTGGCCCATTCTTTTAGAGTATGAGCTCTTTAAGGGCAAAAACTGTTTTGTTTCTCTGTTCATTGAAACTTAAAGTTTCCATTTAAATTTTGACATTTCATTAAATGGTTAATGCCTAACATGATGTCTGACCCTTCATAGTTGCCAAACAAATAGAAACTCTTAGCTTACTGAAGACACATATACCTTAAGTGTTCAAATCTGACTGTTGGATAGAAGAGAATTGGATTGACTAAATATATCATCAGGAGTAACTCACAATGTTAAAAAAACAGTTTCCTCATGTCCATCCAGCTTGACAGTGAATCAATCTTTCTGTGGCATCTTTTAAGTCAAACAACATAACGAGTCATCTCCACTTCTTCCATACATCACTCTGAGTGCACGGCTAACCCAAACGGTTTTCTTGGCATCCAAGCACATTCCTCATGTAATGTGCTGGCTAGCCCTCATGCTTAAAAGAATAGGGTAACATACGTTTTCCTGCAGACTATGGCATCTTGTTAAAGACTACATGGAGCAGGCTGAACTGCTGTAGCTATCAATCAGTGCAGTCTTGACCAATTTCTGGGGTAGTGGGTGTAGAAGACTAAAACGGACTTAACACCCTTGTCAGTACAAGGTGAGTGATATCATTCTATTATTATTATTATCATTATCATTACTATTATTATGTGCCTGAACAAAGTCCTTGGCATGTTTTATTTCATTTAATCCTACCAACAGCTTTATGAGATAGATTTGATTATTTTCTCCATTTTACACAGGAAAAATGGAGGCTTCATGAAGTTGAGAAACTTGTCAGGGTTGCAGAGCTAGTAAGTGGTACAGCCACATTTGGAATGTGCAGTCTGATTTCAGAGCCCATGTATGACATCATTATTCTAAGACAGAAAACCTTTCCTCAAATTTATACACAATTCAGGGCAGCTCTTGTCTAGGCCAGGAGCCCACATAACTGTCTGTCTGCCCAATGCTTTAGGACTTACCAAGGGCTTTCACATCTATGATCACACTTGAAACTCATAAATACCCCACAAAACATCTAGGGTAGGGTGAAGTGGAGAAATACCTAATGCATGTGGGGTTTAAAACCTAGATGACAGGTTGATGGGTGCAGCAAACCACCATGGCACATATGTAACAAATCTGTGTGTTCTGCACATGTATCCCACAACTTAAGTATATTTTTTTAAAAAAGCAAAAAAAAAAAAAAAAGCAACACATAAAGAAATGGAGACAAAAATCCAAGGCTTAGGGTGATTGAGAGAGTTTGCTGCCCTTCATAAGATGCTGGTGAATTGGAACTGGTCCTTGTGATGCTACTTTGCCTTTTCTTTCCTGAAATTTCATAGATACCACCATATTTTCCAATAAATACCCTTGCTCCAGTCTTTGCTTGAGGGAAGTATAAATAAGAGTGTTATTCATAACTGAATGAATCTTGACCATGGTGTAGGATCATTTCCCCATGTGAAAGACCAAGGAAGTGAGTGACATTTCCTATTCTCACAGGTATAAATGCTAGAATGAAGGTTATCTACCCCAGTACAGTGCACTTTCCACTCTAGTAAGCTGACTCTTTAGACTTTGCAATTCAAGCTACTATTTTATACGTTGCTTACTTGGATCTCAAACTACCAAATTATGAAAAACTCATAAGATATTCTGACACATAGCCACACATTGCATTCTCTTAACTGGGCACTGCCTGTCTTGTCTAAGGCAGGAAACTACATTTACCAGGATTCCCTTCCCCACATGAGAGGACTTGTCTGAGATTTTGGAAGCAGAATTGAAGCAGGACCATACTCCCACTGGTTGAAGCAGTCAGGCACAAGGATGAGCCAGTACAGAAGTGCCTGGTGAGCCTCAACCAGCCCTTGCTCTCTTCCTGTTGTTCATGAAGTTCATCTGGCTCTGCTGGCCCCACAGCAGATTGAGGCCCACTCCCAGATCCATGGCCACAGGCTGCACAGTAGCAAGGTTCAAAGAGGCATCTGATTCCACAGGGGCAGCAGTTTACCAGACCACTCCAACAACTCCCCCTTTGTGGTCCCGTGATGCAGTCAGTTGCACAATACTCATATTTTCCTGCGAGTTCTGACTTGGACAACCTCACCGATGCAGCAGTCGGATGGGCTAGTGACTCTCTGATTCTCCGACACCCATGTCAAGATGTTCACTTTCCCACATCCATCATTTGCATAAATAGCAATTTACCAATTAAATCCTTTATTCTCATAAAGAATTCTCATAGAGCTCTGTTTTCATCAATGACACACATGTAAAGTGGAAATGATAATAAAAAATAAATGACAATAATAAGACCATCACTCACTTCCATGTATTGAGTGCTTATTACATTCCAGGCTCATGCTAAGGGCTCTATGGGCATTACCTGGTGGTCATCCAGATTCACTCTTATATGGGGGCATTTCTGAGTTATGGTGGCCATTCTTTTAGCAAAGAAAAGGATTAGTTTTGTAAAAAAGTAATTTATGACTAAAAATACCAACAAGATGGCTTTATCAAACACAGATAACTTTAGTGCTGAAGGACCTGCCTGTTTAATTGCACTCTTTAGTGCTCTAGTCTCTGCCAAGGATTATTTTCATGAGCCAATAGAGCCTCAACTCACATGGCGATGTATATTCTTATTTGCCACAATTGAAAGGCATTAATCAACACTCTTACAAGATAAGTCACCAGGAATATTCTTGCCAAACAAGGATTTGGTGTTTCACACAACTCCCATGTTAAAATGAATGTAAGCTTCTAGTCTCACTTCACATCTTTAAAAATCTCTTTTCCCCTTTAACAATCACTCTCCAGTTCCATGAGCTGTGTGATAAATATTTTTATGCAAAATATTAGGCCTGCAAAGGGCAAGCATTGTCATTATTTCATGAGAACATCCATAAATGTTTCATTCAAGGATAATGAAGTTATTGACGCCATCATTATCAATTATTTGTGATTGACTTAATGGCCATACCAGGCTGTGTCCTTGACATACCACACCCTGTTCCCATGACTTAAGAAGCTGGCAGTCTCCATGTGTGGAGTCGTGAATCCCCACATTGCCAGAATCCAGGAACCTATATGCAACTTTTTGTTCAGCCGCTAAAATTTGTTACACTGTGTGAGCCAACAGGCCTTCAAAGACTTGCAAGGAAAAAATATCCTGCCATTTCCCAATTGCTGTATGCATCTATACATTCCACTTGAGAACCTAAAGAGCCTAATGGTAAGAACATCTAATCCTCATCTCACCTCATAGAACAGAGGGTTGTGGGGTCTAGGCCTGGAACACCCATAAGAGGCTACCTGTGGTAGGCATGTAAGAGACCAATGATTCTGAAAGTGGGAACCCTGTAACCAGAACCCTTCTTGGGGACAGTGTAATGAAGTGTCCCCTGCTCCCTCAAATGAATCTTTGACCCAATTCACCATAAGCCCATAGGCTTAACAACTATTCTTCTACCTCCCACAAAGAAAATACCCAATAAATAGTAGATGAAGAATGGCAAATGAAAATGTTTATAAGAATCCACATGCAAGAGGATCAAGTGCAGTCTTGAAGTGATTCTTCCAATAGCAGTTACTGTGCCACCTGAGAGACAGGCATGTTTTCAGGTAGAGAGATGTGGATCTGATAGGAAGCACCATGACTTTACCCAGACCCTTGTATTGCCAGAGGTGCATATTTACAAAATACCTCCCTGAGATTTTATGTGCAATGTATGGTCACAAGATCCACCAATCCACCTGGATAATATGGGTTTTGCTTCATCGTCCCAACCTTCTAACAGAGCAAGTTCCTGTAACACCCTGTTTCCATCTTCACTGACTTCAGTGTTTTCTACAAGTAACATATGGTGAAGAGGAAAACTGGCAATAATAGCAATGGTGATAGTGAGCATTTAAGAAGGGCTTACTACATGCCAGGACTCCCTTTAAAATTTAATTTCCATGTAGTAATAGCTGTTATTCTTATTTTACAGATGAAAAGGTGAGATCTTAGAGAGATTAAATACCTTGCTAAAGTTAATTAGGGCTTAATCTACTAACTTGGTTGATCCTTTGAATTCTGAAGAACCTTTACTTTCTCCTGTTGTTCTAACTAATAATCGAGTATCAATTCTTTCTACCAAAGTCTTACGAAATGCCTATTTTATATTTCCCTCACGATTCATAAGAAAAATGAATTGCAGTTTGTTAAATTCCATTTTGATTTTCCTCAGTAAAATTCAAATTACTTCCTTGGGCATGCTGACCAATAGTAGAGTGGAGTAAAAATGTTTTTAAAACCACAAAAATTAGCACAGCATCATTTATGACAGCAGCCACAGCAGCATACACATAAAGCTATCTTAGAATGTTTTAAGCACACATCATGTTTCTAGAATCTAATTTATCTAAACAGCATCAAGAAGAAAAACAAAACATACAATTACAGTGATTTTTGGAATGACACATGGATTTTGTGACAAGCTGTAGGCTATGTCAGGAAAGAGTTATTTTCTGGTTCCTTTCTAAACGATGCTGTTTGGGAATTCTTCCCAGCGTTGTTAGAGATGGATGCAGACCATCTAGTCTGCATCTCTTTGCCAACTCTGTGATCATTCAGTAGACAACAGATTTGAGCAGGAGCTGGAAAATTCTGTCAGCCCATCTTACATGGCCTTTCCTCCTTGGCTGATAATAGGATGGGGACAATGATGCCAGCCCTGAGTGGTAGGATATGCTGTTAAAAGGCAAAGCACAAAAAAGGGGTGCATGGTGTGGTGATGCAATGTTCGTGTGGAATTTTCACGGGAGGGTCCCCACAGAATTTGACCAACATCTGACCCACAATATAACTCCCACCTCCACCCCCTTATCTTCACTTTTCTGAATACCCAGACCTCTGAGCTATTCAGAAAAGTAAAAGGACTCTGGCCTTTTCAGCTTTGGACTGGTTGTTCTAGTACAAACACAACAAAACTAAACTTCAGGAAACTGAGTAATTATAGATATGCTGGAGGCACATGCTGAGAAACAGGAAGGATGCTCTTCTTGTATCATTTCAAACCAGGTTCTGGGGGCAGGATTGGGTTTTATGAATGCCAAAGGGCCAATCCTGAGAATGATCGCCGTTCAAGTCTTTCCTCCTGGGTTTGCCAAGATATGTTGGGTCTGGTGCACTTCCCTTCCTCCTCTGGTGACATGCACTGGCATTTTGGGAAGCCCACCACATCACTGCTTACCTCTGCCTGGATTTACAACATCTCACTGCAGGGTGAACCAGCGGGGTGAGGAGCATGGTGTCAGGCCTCGAGAACTACCTGTCAGATTACTGAACAATTCATCCAAATCTGCAAGGTCTCCTCTATTTCATTAAGTCATCTCAGAGACATTTGCTATCAGATTTATTTCACTGTGCCACCTGTAGCTTAGGCAGATTTTGTGACTTTAAGTTTTGTACTTAGGAAGCAAATGGTTTTCATGCTATTTTTTTCCCCAAGACTCCTTAGACAATATATAAGCCAATATTTTATTAACTCCAAGGCACAGGAATAATGGTATTTATGCAATGTATTAACTTCATTGAGCCTCGTTCCTATTTCCAAGATGCATGTTCCTATGAACACATACCTAAATAATAATAATTATTATTATTTTACTTTAAGTTTTGGGATACATTTTCAGAACGTACAGGTGTGTTACATAGGTATATGTGTGCCATGGTGGTTTGCTGCACCTATCAACCCGTCATCTAGATTTTTAACCCTACATGCATTAGGTATTTGGCAAACATATGTCTTTTCTTCTTTGCTTACCAGATATTTATCAGATTATATAATAATAAAGTATTCAATTGGCTTTCAGTTGCACAGAAATGGGCATGCTTTGGGAGACTAATGGAGTTGTAAGACCAATAAGAAGATTTCCTTAAAGATTTATTGTGCTCTGACAGCAGAATTGTGAGTGGGAGGCCATGTTAATGGAAGTTATATCCAAAGGTGTAGAGCTGCACTGAGCTGTATCTCAACCCTGCTTGGGCACTGACTGCCTCTGTGACCTAGGCAGACCTCCTGACTGCTCTCAAGCTTGGAGTTTTCAACAATAAGAGGACTGATTGTGCTTAGGTCATAGAGTTAGTGAAAGGATTATATGAATTTATACCAAAAAGTGCTTAGCACTGGGCTGAAGACATATTAAGTAATTGTTTACAAGGTAGCTTTTATAAATACAAAGGACTTCAGAGAGGGGGCTGGACAGGCTCATAGACTATTATTGACTGGGACCCTGACATCAGGACTTGTGTGAATCTGTATGTGGATTTACAATGCAGGAAATTAAATATCAGCTTTCCACAAGGCACTGACTTGCTCACGGAAGTCACAGCACAATTGGTTATTTTCACACAGAAAAATAATGTCAGAAAATAACATTTTTGGCTTTATATCTTTCATCAGCCAGTTCTTAAATCGCTTCTAATACCAGTACATGGAGCATGCCATACATAATATTCTGATATCTGTTCCAGTGTGTTTCTCCCCCACCTCACCCTCTATTCACACACACACACACGCACATGCATACACAGTATTACATAAAATCAAATGAGATAATAATGTCCATAATATTTTTTGGCTCAATTTTTAGCACTGAGTGAAATATTGTGAACATTTTTCATATCATTAAAAATTATTCTACCTAATCGAATTTGACATCATAAATTGTTTGAAACTTATTTCCACTTTTAAAATATTCTAAATGACATTTTGGTAAAGATCTTGAAACATACATCTCTGTATATACTACTATTACAATCTTATAAAAAACTTCTAGATACAGAAGTTTTGGGTCAAAGGATGTGCACAGTTTTAGGACTTCTGTTATATCTTGTCAGATTTTTCCATGGGAAATGCTAGACCAATTTTCACTTCTGCCAGAAGGGTGCTAGTTTCCCCTCACTATTGCCAACTGGGTATTTTAATTTAAAAACACTTACCAATTTAAAAAATGAAGATGGTTTATCAGCCTTCTCAGTCTGATTTGCATATCTTTGAACATTTTCACACATTAATTATTTTTTTTCTCGTTAGTAAATTGCCTTTCCTAAAGTTTTTCTTTGTTAAAACACTGATGAGCCATGGAAAGAAGATGGGAATATAATTTCTTTTAAATATTTTGTTGGTTTTTGAGACTGAAGGTAAATTAAATTCAACAGCAATGTCACACCCTTGTTCCTTCAGAGCAGAAACTCATCCAACAGAGCACTGAACCTGAGAGACGCCAGACATGTGGACATCTCATGATTAGAACAAGGTTTCCCAATAGTAAATGTGATAATAATGAGGGATCTTAGGCCCTACATAGCTATCATGGGATAATAAAGAAAAAGCCCTTCCACCTTACAATAGGAAGTTTATTTTAGCCCTCCCATGAATGCTACTTGGACCAATTTCCAGAGTTTTTCAGGGAATCTGGAAAGACAGTTCTATATGTCATAGAATATCAAGGTAACAAAGAAACTTCGAAGAACAGAGACTACAGAAGGCCAGTCTTATATCATTTCTGCTTCTGTTTTATAGTAAGGTATTCAACAAAATCTGTTGCATGAATGGCAGCCATGGTAATCCTCATGCTTAAATTGTTCATAGACTTAATATTCAAAATAAAAATCCCAGAAGGAAACTTCTCCTATAAAGTAATGTGCCTTGGAGGTCAAATAGTGCCCACCCAAGTCCATGCCTAATTAAAGCTGATGTGTTCATTCTTCCTAGTCCAAAACACTGTAAAGTGTTAAGTCTTGGTGTGTGAATGGGTGTGTGTGTGAGTGTGTGTGGGCTTATAGGAACACATAGGAAAATCCATGATTATAGGGTGACAATCCCACAACTTTATGAATCAGGGGTCAAGGATTATAAACCTGGATGCTTAAAATAGAAAGATTGTCCCACAGAATTTGAGAGATGTAGCTGCAATTTAATTTGTCTCCCTTTCTGTGATCCAAGGCCAAGTGAAATGCTTGTGTGCTTTGCTTAAGTGAAACAGACCCACTGCTCTTACTAACCCTGTCATGCAGATACACATATGCACACACTGCTCCCTAACTTCCATGGCACCACCTTCACAGTCAGCTCTCATTTCATGCACATTTTCCAAGGAGGTATATAAGACACAGATACTATACCTTCTCTGACCTTGTCGCTCAGACATAGATCACAATCCCAAAACCTTTCTCCTCCTAGTTTAAAGAGTAACACAGAGAAGAAGTGAACAGTGTTTGCTTCAGAGACTGATGAGGTTTCACTTGGTCTCTGCGACTTCTCCAGCCCTGTGACTTTGAAAAGATTACTTTTAAAAAATGAAAAGTTACCAGTTTCCTTCTCAGTGAAAAGAGCATAAAAATAATATCACCTTAGCAAGGTAGTTGTGTGTATTAAATGAAATGTGTGCAAAGGATTTAGTGAAGTGGTACATTGTAAGTGTGCAGTAGCTGTAAGCATTTATTATTATAGTCATTACTGAAACTCTTCCAAATAGATCCTGCAGTTACGAGCAATACTGGTTTTGCACTTCCCCTGGAAATGGAGGCAAAAGAACAGCGGAGATTTGTACTATTTAATGAGAAAACAAAATTGCCAGACATCTCCGTAGATTTTTTTTTCTCAGCTCCTTTCTGTTACTAGCTAGTTCTCAGAAAAAGCATGTGTACCTACTTAAAATTCCAATTACAAATATCACAAAGCCATTTTGATTTCATTTTAAGAACTGAATGAGGGAAAGACAATCTGTTGAGGAAACTAGGATGCTCCTCCAGCTCCTAGGAGGAAGGAGCTGAGGCTCCCCTACACACAGAGTGTACTCAGTTGGAACTCTACTCCCACCATGGGTGTCTGCTGCCAATTATGAGGCAGCTCAGAGCTGAGCCAATTTCTTCACTAAGGCAAACGTCCCAAGCTGGCATAGTAGTCAGTCCCTTCACCTCAGCTGTAAAAGGAAAGAGAATGTCTAACAAAATTTGGTATTTTTCCTTTTAAATGTTATCCCCATTTTAATTATAAAAGTAACACATTTATTATATAAAATGTTGGAAAATACCCCCAAAATCAAGTAAAAAAGTTCAAGTCACTGTAATCATACCATCAGTGTCAAAGGTCACTGTTAGCATATTAGTGTATATCCTTGCTGACATATATATACATATTTTTTTAAAGATAAGATACTATTTTAGCATCACTTCCCCCACTTAATAGAACATGAACATATGTCCATATAAATATTTGTATCTAAAACATGTAAAATTGTGATGGTTTCATAGTATTCCACCTTGAAATGATACTCTTAGTTATTTAACCAACCTCTCATTTTTATACAAATGTCTTGTTTCTTATAAACAACTAATTGACAAATAGCCTTCTAGCGACATCTATGAGTCTATCCAACAATAGTTCCTTAGGAAGAAGTAGAATTGTGGGCTAATAGGCATACACAGTTCTAAGGGTTTTAATATGTTCAGGGGATAAGACTTGGCTAATCTAAGTCAACTGTGGTAATTCCATCTTCCTTCCCAGTGACCAGGTTTAGTCATAGGCACATGGCCAATTCTGGCCAATAGAACGTGAATGGAAGTATATTTGCAGGTGTCCAGGAAATGAGTTCCTCTGATTAAAAGAGACACAGAAGGGAAATACGTTTTCCCTCAATGGACCATTTTTCCAGTTCTTAAAGTGGAAGGGAATGTGTAGAAAAGAGCTCCTGCACCCATAGGGTAATCACGAGAAGATGTGTGGAGGGGAAGAGACAGTGCGCAGAGGACAATGGAGGGAAAGATGGAAAACTTTCCATCTTAAAACCTAGATGATGGGTTAATAGGTGCAGCAAACCACCATGGCACGTGTTTACCTATGTAACAAACCAGCACATGTATCCCAGAACTTAAAATTAAAATGCCATTCCTGGACAGCATGACAACTCACTTAATAAACTGCCAGGGAACAACTCCACACGTACTCTTTGTGCAAGGTAATAAAAGTTTGTATTTTCTGAGCTATGTTTTGTCAGGTTTTCTGTAAATCACAATGAAAAGCATTCAATCAGGGTAAGAAGCAAAAATGATATATAATGATCTTAATTTCCATCTTTGATTACAACAAACTTAAGCTTTGTCTTTTTAACCTGGCCACTTACATTGCTCTTTTTGTGAACTGCCTTTTATGTCTGTTGCCATTTTTCTGCAAGGGTATTGGCTTCATGTTGATTTAGGGAAGTATGTTTAGAGGAGGAGTTTCAAGATAACTAACTAGAAGTAAATAGATCATCCAATAGAGAACACTAAAATTCAACAGAAAAGTGACAGGAAATACTTAAGTGAGGAAGGAGAGGGAATAAAGGCAGCTTGCTTTGCCAGGATGGGCTGAGAGCCGAGGGACCTCCCACAGTGGCCCCTTAGTGGCCCACATCCCCACCTTGCACTTCTGCAATTCTAGCCATGGGAGAGCCCCTTAAGCCTTGTAAGTCCTGAAACTAACATGGGGAGTTACCAAGCGACTGTGTGATAGCACTCCTCCGGGAAGGAAGCTCCTGCTGGGCCCCACACCCTCCCTAAGACCTAAGCAGCTGAAGAGAGCACTATTTGAGAGCCCTGCCCCCAACAGACTGCATGTTGTCCTGGGGCCCAGTGGCATCGGGGCTGAGGTTAAAGAGAAGTGCAGGCCACTGTCCCTGGGGCTGAGGCATGAGCCAGGTATGGGCTGGGGCAGCCAGGGCTGAGGCATAACCATCACACAGGCTACCACCACACTTAGGACTGAGCAGAGAGCGAGGCAAAGGTTACCACCAGTAGAGCTGAGGTGTGAGTGCTTTGGGGCTGAGGCATGAGCAGCACTTGCGTTTCCCACCCGCCCACCTAGGCTGCCACCACCGAAGGTGGCTCTGCATTCCCCAGTGGCAGGGGAACAGTGCAGCCACTGCTACTTCCCACCTGAACATTCCACGGGTAGCCTGGGGGCCACTCACCCCTGCCTACCATGACTGATGTCTACACACACCATCAGGGGGCCTGAGGACAAGCCTACCTAGCCCAACTTTATCCCCCACCCCATGGCAGAGCACACAGTACAGGAGCCAGAGGGTTGTCCAGCCCAGTCCACCACCATTGGTACCTGAACACTCTTTCCTGGGGGCTTGAGGTGGGGTCTGCTCCCTCTGCCACTACAACCACAGTTGTCACCTGCACATGCCACCTGGAGTACTGGGGACTGGTCTGCCCAGCCCTTTGCAGCCACGGCCAACACCAGCACACACTACTCAGGACCCAGAGGGTCATCCTGCCACTGCCACTGCTGTAGCCCAAGTCATTCTGGCAGCCCAGGGGCCTATCTGCCCACCCACCCAGTCCACCACTGCCACTACCAGGAAGTAAGCCACATGGAGACCCAAGAATCAGTCTGCCTGGACCTGCTAACACCAGTGCCAGCGTATGCCACCCTGGGGTCCAAGGACAGTGATGCTTAGCCCACCACTGCCACCACTGGAATCTGAAAATCAGCCTACTGGGAGTCCCAATCTCCAACGAAACTTTACCAAAACCCATGGGATACAGAAAAAGCAGTGCTAAGAGGGAAGTTTATAGCAACAAATGCCTATGTCAGAAAAGTAGAAAGATTTCAGATAAACAATCTAATGATTCACCTCAAGAAACTAGAAAAGCAAGAACAAACCAAACTCCAAATTAGCAGAAGAAAAGAAATAACAAAGACCATAGCAGAACTAAACTAAACAGAAACTAAAAAACAACAAAGGATCAATGAAATGAAAAGTTATTAGAAAAGACAAACAAAATTAATAAACCACTAGCTAGACCAACTAGGAAAAGAAAAGAGACACAAAATCAGAAATGAAAAAGTGGACTTTTACAACTGATATCACAGAAATGCAAGAGATCATCAGAGACCGTTATGAACAACTATACACCAAACAAACTGGAAAACCTAGAGGAAAGAGATAAATTCCTGGATACATACAACCTACTAAGACTGAATCAGGAAAAAAATTAAAAATCTGAACAGATCAATAACTAGTAGCGAGATTGAATTGGTAATAAAAAATCCCCAAACAATCAAAGCCCAGGACAGATGGATTCATTGCTGAATTCTACAAAATATATAAAGAAGAACTAACGCAAATCTTCCTCAAAGTGTTTCAAAAAATTGAAGAAAGAATTCTCACTAACTCATTTTACAAGGCCAGCATTAACCTAATACCAAACCAGTCAAGCAAAACAAAACAAAACAAAAACCATAAGCCAATACCCCTGATGAACATAGATACAAATATCCTCAACAAAATACTAGTAAACCAAATCCAAGAGTACATCAAAAAAATAATACACCATGATCAAGTGGGATTTATATCTGGGATGCAAAGATGATTCAACATAGGAAAATCAATAAACATGACACATCATATCAACAGAATGAAAATAAAAACCATATGATCATCTCAATAGATGCAGAAAAAGTATTTGATAAAATTCAACATTCTTTCATGATACAGACTCTCAATAAACTAAGCATAGAAGGTACATACCTCAAGATAATAAAGGCCATATATGACAAACCCACAGCTAACAACATACTGAATGGCAAAAAGTGATAGCTTTTCCTCTAATAACTGGAACAAGAAAAGGGTGCCCATTTTCACCACTCCTATTCAACATAGTACTGGAAGTCCTAGTCAGAGCAATCAGGCAAGAGAAAGAAATGAAAGGCATACATATTGAAAAAGAATAAACCAAGTTATCCCTCTTTACAAATGATATAATCTTATAATTAGAAAAACCAAAATAATCAAAGTTCTTAAAAGTGGTAAACAAACTCAGTGAAGTTGGAGAATACAAAGTAAATATACAGGATGAGCACAGTGCCTCATGCCTGTAATCCCAGCACTTTGGGAGGCCGAGGTGGGTGGATCACCTAAGGTTAGGAATTCGAGACCAGCCTGGCCAACATGGTGAAATCCTGTCTCTACTAAAAATACAAAAAGTAGCCGGGTGAGGTGGCAGGCACCTATTGTCCCAGCTACTCGGGAGGCTAAGACAGGGAGGATTGCTTGAACCTGGGAGGCGAAGGTTGCAGTGAGCCAAGGTGGTGCCACTGCACTCTATCCTGGGTGACGGAGTGAGACTGTCTCAAAACAAAAACAAAACAAAACAACAAAAACAAAAATAAAATAATCATACAAAAATTAGTAACATTTCTATACCCTTATAATAAAATAACTGAAAAATAAATCAAGAAGAGAATCCCATTTACAAGTTACAAAAAAGAAAATATTAGAAATAAATTTAATCAAGGAGGTGAAATATCTCTACAAGGAAAACTATAAAATACTCATAAAAGAAATTGAAGAGGACACACACAAAAAAGGAAAGACATCTCAGGCTTACGGATTAGAAAAATTAATATTGTTAAAATGATCATAGTGTCCAAAGCAATCTACAGATTCACTTCAATCCCTATCAAAATACCAATGTGATTTTTCATAGAATTAAAATAAATAGTCCTAAAATTTGCACAGGACAAAAAAAGAGCCCAAATTGCCAAAGCAATCCTGAGCAAAAAGAACAAAGTTGGAGGTATCACCTGACTTCAAAATATATTACAAGGCTGTAGTAACAAAAACAGCATGGTATTGGTATAAAAATAGATACATAGAACAATGGAGCAGGATTAACCCACATATTTCCAGCCAATTGATTTTTGACAATGAATTAACCCACATATTTCCTGCCAACTGATTTTTGACAAAGACATCAGCAACATATACTGGGGAAAGGACACTCTCTTCAATAAATTGTGCTGGAAAATTAAATATGCACATGCAGAAGAATAAAACTGGACCCCTATCTCTCACCATGTACAAAAACCAACTCAAGATGGATTAAAGTCTTAAATGTAAGACTTAAAACTGTAAGAATGCTAGCAGAAAACACAGGAGAAACACTTCAAGACGTTGGTCTAGACAATAATTGTATTGCTAAGACCTCAAAAGCACAGACAACAAAAACAAAAATAGAGAAACTGGACTATATTAAACTAAAAAGCTTCTGCACAGCAAAGGGCACAATCAACAGAGCGAAGAAACAACCTGTTGAATGGGAGAAGATATCTGTAAACTATTCATCTGACAAGGGACAAATATCCAGAATACACAAGGAACTCAAACAACTTCATAATAAAAAACCAATAATCCTGTTAAAAAGTTTTTTTTAAAAGTGGGCAAAGGACATGAGTAGACATTTCTCAAAAGAAGACATACAAATGGCCAATAGATATATATAAAAAAATGCTCAACATCACTAATCATCAGGGAAATGCAAATTAAAACACATATAAATGACAAATATTTAAGGTGATTGATCTATATTAATATGATACCTGGCCCTACTTTAGACTTTTCTATTCTTTTTCATGACTGTTTTCCTTTTATATCAGTGTTTCATGTCTGTTTTCCTTTTATATCAGTGTCATACTACATTAGTCATTGTAACTCCCTAATACATTTAATATCTGGCAATACAAGCCCAACCTCACTATTCTTTTGTAAACTTATTTGTTTACTCTACTGATTTCTTTTGTATATAGGATTTCAAAATTATTTTTACATAACCCCCAAGTTTTATTAGGAGTTTTGAAATTACATTAAAATTACAAAATAATGTAAAGAGAGAAGCATCTTCATGTCACCATTCTTCTTATTTAGGACCGTATTTCATCTGCCACATTTTTTAAGTCTTATTTTACTTTTCCTAGCATTTTGTTTTAATGTTCTGCAAGTAGTTTCTATATATTAACTTTTCTCCTAAATGATTAGATTTTTAAGTTAGTGATACAGTTTCCTTTATTGTTACAGGAGAAATAATTATTGCTTTTTACAGATTGTGTGATACTGGTGTTATAGCAACTCTTCAGTACTAAATATAGTCAGCTAATTATGCACTTTTCAATCTTTCTAAAACATTAATGCATATTAGACAGGAGCAGTATCAAAGTAGACACTTCACTTTCATTAGTGTCCTCAGTGTTGTGAACTTTCTGCCAGAGCCAAGGTATTGAACAATCTTATTTTAGAAAGAAGAAAAGCTATTAACATCTAATAAACCTAAAATCTCTCAATAGTCAGGCAGGTGAAGATGATCACATCAATTACTAAGATAAATGCAATATCTCCCTTTTACACACTTAACCTCAAATAAATACAACATAAATACAATTATGTTTACTACACAATTAAAATATTTGTAAATCAGTCTCCCAATTGACATTATTTACATAAAAAAAGACTATTTTATAGTACAACATAAAATGGGCAGTGGTTTACGCAGGTAATCCCAGCACTTTGGGAGGCCAAGGTGGGCAGATCACGAGGTCAGGAGTTGGAGACTAGCCTGACCAACGTGGTGAATTCCCCATCTCTACTAAAAATACAAAAATTAGCTAGGCGTGGTGGTGTGCACCTATAGTCCCAGCTACTCAGGATGCTGAGGCAAGACAATCGCTTGAACCTGGGAGGCGGAGGTTGCAGTGAGCCAAGATTGTGCTACTGCACTTCAGCCTGGGCAACAGAGCAAGACTCCATCTCGGCAAAAATAAATAAATAAATAAATAAATAATAAATAATAAATGGCACTATTCAGAGGGACTTGAAAATATAATAGACTTTAGAAATCTGTGTTTTGGGAGAAACTCAACTAGGTAAAGAGTTATTTTCCTTCTCTTCCTGTGTAAAGCCAACTCCCTAAAACTTAAAATCAATGTTATTCTTTACCTGTTTTGAAGTTTTAAGGTCTCATCCCTTCTATATTATAAATTAAAAATAACATTTTAATTTCTTTAATGTTCTTTTCATTACACTGTTTGGTTTAGATGTGTTGTAGCTACTCTAGGGTTTTACATGTATCTGTTTTTAAAAAATTTTTAATTTTTAATTTTTGTGATTATATAGTAGGAAGGTGTATATAATTATGTGTTACATGAGATATTTTAATACAGGCATGCAATTCATAATAATCACATCAGGGTAAATGGGGCAACCATTACCCCAAGCATTCATTCTTTGTGTTACAAACAATCCAATTATACTCTTTTAGTTATTTTAAAATGTACAATCAAATTATTTTTTTACTATAGTCACCCTGTTGTACTAGCAAATACTAGATCTTATTCATTCTAACTGTAGTCACCCTGTTGTACCAGCAAATACTAGATCTTATTAATTCTAACTATTTTTTTTTACTCATGAACCATCCACACTCCCACTCCCTACCCACATTACCCTTCCCAGCCCATTCTTCCACTCGCCATCTTGATGACTCAAATCGTTTTACTTTTTAGTTCCCCCAAATAAGTGAGATGCAAAGTATGTTTTTCTGTGCCTGGCTTATTTCACTTAACATAATGACCTCCACTTTCATCCGCATTGTAAATGCTTGGATCTCATTCTTTTTTATGGCTGAATAGGACTCCATGGCCATAAAGGGAGATTTACAATGACCTGAACCACTTATGATGATCTCACCATTGTTTATAATATAAAGAACAATTCAGAGAGATATGGAGGTAAGGGATAAAACCTTCTATGTGCCAAGCTCATATGTATAGATCATATAGTTACAAATTGGATGCATTTCAAAACGAAATCTAGTTTATAATTTCACATACTTTCCTTGATGCTGGGCCCCCAGGTGGTTCAGGCTTTCAGTGCAGGCAATGAATTCTAATCCAATCAGAGCATTAAGGGTACAGGACTCCATGTCTCTGATTTTCCATGAGAATACTTGAACTTCTCATCCATGTGCACCGATTTTTGTTCTCTACATATTGGGTCCATTACATTTCTGGGCCTCTTACCAGTTCCTGGCCTTCCTCTATTGATCACGTTGGAGAAGACATAGTAATTCACTTCTGCTTTGCAGTGAGGCAGAATTACAGCACAGAGGGCTTAAGCAAGTTGCCAAAGATCACATACCTGGGGAGGGGTAAAACCAGGATTTGATTTTCAGAGGTCTGATGTCAGAGTCAATGCTCTTAGCTGCTTCTCTTTTATGGCCTTTTATAACAAATGTTATCAGTATCAGTTTCCCTTTCTTTCCTTTTATGCAATGAATTCTGCCTGTACTGGTGATGATGGCTTGATTCATGTTTGGAGTCGTAAACACCTGACTAATTCAAGACACTCCTCCGAATCTCAAAAACCCTTAAACAGGAATTCTCACACTTAGCTGCTCATTGTAATTACCTTGGGAAATTTTAGAAGTAGTAATATCTGGGTCTCAACCTGAAGATTCTGAAGGAGTTGATCTAGGCTATGTTCTGTGCATTGGGAATTTTGAAAGCTCCTCAGGTGACTCAAATGTGCAGCAAGGCTGAGAACCACTTCACTAACAAACCTGGGCATCAGCTGGTTCACCTGACAAGGAAGGGCTCACTCCAGCTCAACTGATTTTATTTCTAGGTATTGGTGACACAAGCCAGCACAAAATGTATCAGTTTAGATCCATCCAAAGTGGAAATTCAGGTACATCACAGTTCTACAACATAGCATCACTGTATTATGATCACACACACACATGCACGTGCACACACACACACACACATGCGCACCATTCCTTTAGCTGCTAGATTCCTATTTCTGCATGTCCTTTACCGCTGGGCCCTTGAAGAGCATGTGTTTAGGTATAATAGCGTGGTGCCATCTCTCAGACTATTTATACTAATCCTTACAGCTGTTGAAGCTGTCACTTTGTAAGTGCTATTGTAATATGAAGGGCTCTTCTAAAAATAGAGTGTTTTTTATCTTCCAAAGTCTTTGCTAACTAGGACCATGGAATACACACAGCTCCTGTGCAACTACAGAAAGATTTAAAAAGCACTCTTACTTATCTCCATTTTACACCTGCCAGTGCTTCTGGGAGGCCTATCCCACCTATCAGGGCCAGGAAAATATTTAGCAGTTTGAGTTTTTACATTCACAGGTAAAACCACAGTGGAGAAGCACAAACTAGGGCTTGTGAGAAAACTTAAGCACTTTACTCCTAGTAAAGTGATCAGCTGGTTCCTATCTTCAGGAGAGCCAGTCCCCTTTTCAGAAAAGAGTCTAAAGTGTGGATTGCTTCCAGTGAGCAGTGTTGGATACACTGAGGAGGGAGGCAAGGTGGCAGCCATGCAGAGCCAGAGCTCAGCATCACTCACTCATACCTCTCACTAACACACTCACTCACACCACTGAACACCTGCCACAGCCTTGTGGGCCCTGGGACCAGCAGCCAACAAGGCAGATGTGGCCCCTGCCCTCATGGAGCTCACGGTCTAATGAGGAGGGTGGATGTTAAATGATTAAAGTCAAATAAATAACTACAAACAGTAATAAAAACCAGAAAAGAAAAAAGGGCTATGAGAGAACATAATAGGAAGAATCTTCTTGAGATTGAGTGGTGGGAGGAGGGGCAGATGCCCCAAGTTTAAGGAATGAGTGAGATGTGGCTTGGAGGAAGGAAAAGAGTATTCCAGGAAGGAGGTGTCATGGGTAAAGCTAGCCCATTCCGCAAGGAATTCGTATGATGAGAGGGGAGGCCGTGGGCCAGGGCACTTGAGGTCAGATCACTTCAAGGCCATGGAGGTCAGGAGGGGGATTGGGGATGTTTTCCTGAGTGCCATGAGAAGCCTTAGAGGCAGAGGGGTTGAGGTTACATGGCCACGTTTGCATTCAGAGATGAGAAAGAGTTAAAGAAGAGTGGATGTGAGCACACCAGAGAGAAGGGGCCAGTCAATGGCTCACAGCATTCTCACCCAGCTGACCACCTTCCCTTTCTTTAGGCTGTGTCCTCAGGTGAGGAAGCAGCCAGTGTGTTTGCTGCCTGTCAGCACTTGTGTTTTCTGTGCCTAGAAGAATGAGGCTGATGGGATGGAGGCTGACATGGTCGTTGCATGGTCCACTCATCCACACTGGCCTCCAGAACACAGCAGAGTTGCAGACCTGTTTTGGGGGATGACTGCACAAGATTCTTGCCCATGGGAAGATGCTGTCTGCCTCTGCTTTTTAGTGATGAATGAACCCTGCGTATTTTTGCTCTCAGTGTCTCTTCTGTCAATCTCCTTTTTTTCCCCAGCCTCTCTCCTGATATCTCAGTTTGGACTCTGACCTCCTTTCACCTGGCTTGCTGCAGTAGATTTCTAACTGCCCTCCCAACTGGTTTTAGAACCTCCAATATTTTCTGCTAATCAGGCCTGCCTTGAAATCTGACTCATCTTCTCAAATCACAGTTTTCAGGACACCACACCCCTGATTTTCTCTTGGCTCACCATTGCAGAATGAATTAAACTGAAGTTCTTTCATTTGCATTCAAGTCCCCAAAGTACCTCTGCCTTTTATTGCCTACTGTTCTTTGGATTATTGACCCAACAGGAGTGCACTCTATTCTAGGACCATGTCCTTTGGTCTCCTGTCTCCTGTCTTTGGAATTGGCCCTGCCTACCAGAAATAAGTGAAATTCCCTTCTGTGAAAGACAAGAGCATATTTCTCATGCCATTTACTCCCTAGCTTCAATGGTTATCTTTGCCATCCATCTATCCTACATGTTCTGGGAGGGCACAAACTAGCTAATTCCTCACTGTTGTTGCCCATCTTAGTCCTAGGACCAGGAAACATTGACACACTTGGACGTATACACCTGGAATTCTCTTCCCTCTTTTCCTCATCTTCAGATAACACTGGAAGTTTAGCAGTAGGTCAGAGCTGAGAAACACCTCCATTCTTTAAGTCTAGGTGCCTACTTTCTTTCTCATCCTTCTTTGTCTCTTTTAGCACTGATGGTGCCAGCCACAGTTTTCTTTTAATAGAAGAGAGGGGCTGCAGAGACTTTTTTTCTCAGCCAGTATAACAGTGTTTGCAATACCCCCTCCCCATGGCCAGCAGTTCAGTTTCAAAAGTCCCCATGGCAGTGATGGGTAGGTAGAAGGGGACAAGTTCTATTTTCACCTGCTCTACTTGCAAATGGCTACAAAGTGATAGTGCAAGCTGGCATTTGATTGACTCAGTCCCACTGAAGGGAGTCAAGAGGCTGTGTTTGTGCACCACCATCTCCAGATCCCTGAAGGGTTTGCAGGTTCCCGAGTCTGTAGACTGCAGCCAGCTTTAAGTGATTATGTCACAAGGCATTAGCAGGTCCTTAGCTGATGCAGAAAGTACCCTTTACGAAGTGTCATGAAGCATAGCTGTGGCCTCCGGATGTCAGGGCTTCTAGCACTACAGCTTCTGATTGCTAAATTCTCAAGTTCCTTACCAGGGACCAGGAACATCACAGTTCTTAAATGTCAAAGAAAAGGGAATCAGTGCCACCCTAGTCTTGACCTGGAGAATAACAACAACTCAGCAGTCTTGGGGCAGTGTTCTACAAAACTTGTTTATAGTCCTTGCAGTCCTGCTTTCCTCTACACTCACACTTTTCACTTTCAAACTCAATTCAAAAGCAAATTATGCAGAGGCTGACAACCCCAACTTGGTGAGGATTTGGAGCAACAGGAATTTGTATACATTGTTGGTGTAAGTGTAAAATAATAAACCACCGCTTTGAGAAAAGGCCGGCAGCTTCTTATGAGACCAAATATACATCTAGCCTGGATCACCCTCAGGCCTTTACCCAAGAGAAATGAAAACATGTCCACAGAAGGGCTTGTGGTAAAATGTACATAACTGTCCAAGTGACCATCAGTACAAGAATGCATTAACAAACTGTGGCATATTCATGCCTTAAAATACTATGTAGCAATAAAAAGAAATACCCTGCTGACACATGCAACAAAACCTGGAAAATATGCTGAGTGAAAAAAGCCTTATACAAAAGGGGATATACTATATGATATGAAATTCTAGAATAGGAAAAACTAATATATACTCGAAGAAATCACATCAGCCTCTGCAGAAGGTGAGGTCAGAGATGGACTGAAAGGGCTCACAAGGGAGCTTTTTGAAATGATGATAATGTTCTACATCTTGGTGGAAGTTTGGGTTAGTTGTATGCACCTGTCAAAATTCAGAATGTACACTTCTTAAGACTTGTGCTTTCATTGCATGTGGATTTTCATAAAAAATAAAAACTGCACACAAATATTAAATTTCACTTAATGATTTTATTACATATTTAGGGGGAAGTGTCCTGTAGTCTTCAATTTACTTTGAAACCCAAAATATGAGATGGATCCATGGATGGATAGAGGGATAGAGGAATGAATATGTGTTACAGCAAGTATAGTGGCATGTCAGTGCTAGAATTTAGGAGGTAGATGTATAGGTATTCACTGAAAAATTATTTCAACTTTCTGAGTAGTGTAAAGCCTGAAAGTAAAGCCCCATATTGTGAGCTGCCTTGACATCTGGTGTAACCAGGAGGGCCTTGAATGGCCTTACTGTGAGTTCCCCTCCCCACCCTGCTATCATGGATAAGACCCCAAGCCAAACAGCCCTCTTTATCCAGGGGGTCATACACAGGTTCCTGTTTATCCCTGAGTAGTGGGTTTCAGTTCCTTGCCAGCCCACAGAATTATTCAGTCAAGTCAATCATATCCTCCTATGGGAACCAGGGGCACCTCACCCTCTTGGTACTACAAAGCATGCCACCCTCAACCCCTGGTAGTTCACTTTGTTCATGAGTGAAACCCCCATGTGGCCCTGTGTGGCACTGGTGTCCTCCTCCCTCAATTGTGAGTATGTGTGACTGATAAATCTCATCTGTCTAGTGTACGGTGTCATGCGTTTAGCCATCCCGATAAACCAAGGGTGAGAATCCTTCCTTTGGATGAATAGGAGACAATTAAAACATGCTTCATGTTTGAAATTTTTATAGTAAAATATTGGGGAAAAAATCTGCCATGTGTCTGGCAGTGAGTAATGTTTCAAAAGAGAAAGCATTGCTTCTATCTTTATTGAGCATATAACTTACTTAGGCAAATACTAAATAATATAAATCACACACTCATCATGTAAATGTAGCGTATACTGTACCTGCTGTCTATCATTTAATTCTGACTTGCTCAGGGCCTTGCAGTGATTGGAAGAGTATGAGAATCCACACATCAGAATGCAGTGGTGTGATACAGTTCAGAGAAGAAAACCCTCCACCACTTTTTAACTCTGTGTCCTATAAGCAAATTACTTCCCCTCTCTGGGTCTCCATTCTTTACCCATAAAAAGGAGGGGTTGCCACGATTCACCTTTCCAGCTCTAACAGTCTAAATATATTTAATGTTAAATTAGCATAAATTACTGTACTTACAATTACCATATGACAGGAAAAGGGAAGGGGCATTTATTTTTGGACCCCTAATTCCTGAGTAGTCATTTGCTTGGTAAACAGTGTATTCCATTGCAAACAGCCCCCTTGTTTCCACCCAAATGCAAACCCCCAAAGAGCAGGAATTTAACTGCCTGCCTAATTCAATCATCTGATTCTGAGAATTTGCACAATAGCTAGCAATTTTTTTTTGGTCACACAAATACTAATAGTCAAATAATCCAACCCAGCTTTCTTGTGGACAATCACCCAGAGGGGAGCCATGGTTTCTTCTCACTCACAGAAAGGATGGCGTGAGGATTTCATACAGAGACAGGCCACATCCATGCAATGAAGCTGAGTGTGTGACTAAGCAATCTGGATGTGTAGATAAAAATGTCACACGCGGCTGGGACAGATTCACTGCACGCCTGCAGAGATAACAATTTTTCCTTTTATTCTTCTCAGGCTTCAGCTTGCTAAAGATTGGTGAAAGATGATGGCTGATCTAGGACATATTCACCGAGGACAAAACGAGACAGATTATGCTTTGGAGACATCTTTCCGGGGATACTTTAAAATCTGGCTTAAAAGCTTGTGGGAGACGAGACAGAAAGTACCAATTATCTGTAGATAACCACGTTTCTCTGCCTGTGACATTGTAGTTAGTTACCCATCACCAACTGGATTTTTTTTTTCCCCAGAAGGAGGAGTGGGCTTGCTGTAAGCCAGGATATCTTAGCCTCAGCACTATTGGCATTTGGGACCAGATAATTCTTTGTTGGGAGGTGCGAGGGGATGATCCTGTGCATTGCAGGATGTTTGGTAATATCCTTGTCCTGTGAAAACTGATGTGTCTCCAGACATTGTCATCTTCCCCAGTTGAGAACTACTGTTCTAAACTATCCACACTCTCTTTACCAGATGCACTGGAAAACAAGCTAAGCATACATGAAAAAGATGGGTAAGGTGAGGGAGGAGCCGTTGGCTCACTACCGTTACTTTCAATGGCAGTGAAGAAAGCTTAGTTTCCAAATAATGCCCTCAAATTGGCACATTTTTTTAAATTGTAGGAAAATACATATAACACAAAATTTATTATCTTAATCATTTTTAAGTATGCAGTTCAGTATTGTTAAATATATTTACATTGTTGTATAATCAATCTCCATAACTTTTTCATCTTGCAAAACTGAAACTCTATACTCATTAAACTCCCTGCTTCCCCCCAGCACCAGGCCACTGGAATTCTATTTTCTGTCTCCATGAATTGGACCACACTAGGTCTCTCATTCATATAAGTGGATTCATACAGAATTTGTCATTTTGTGACCAGCTTACGTGACTTGGCATAATGTCCTCAAAGTTCATACATATTGTCGCATGTCAGGCTTTTCTTCCTTTTTAAGGTAGAGTAATATTCCATTGAATGGATATGCCACATTTTCTTTATCTGTTCATCTACCAGTGGGCATGTGGGTTGCTTCCACCTTTTGGCTATTGTGACTAATGCTGCTGTGAACATGGGTACACAAATATCCTTGAGACCTTGCCTTGAATTATTTTTGACAAAAATCCAGAAATGGAATTGCTGGATCATACAACAATTGTATTTTTAATATTTTGAGGAACAGACAGACTGTTTTGCATAGCACCTGGACCATTTTACATTCCAACCAGCAATGCAATTGATCCACATTCTCACCAACACTTGTTATTTTACGTTTTTTGTAGTAGCCATCTTGATAAATGTGGGGTGATATCTCATTGTGTTTTCTTCACAACTTTATTAAGGTATAATTGATATACAAATAACTGTATATATTTTATGTATACAATGTGATGCATTTTGACATACACATGTGGATCAGTGATAGCATAGACTAGGTAATAAATATGTACATACCTCCAAAAGTTTTTTGTGTCCTTTTACTTTTTATTTTTGGTAGTAATAACACTTAACATAAGATACATCTTCTTAATAAATTTTTAAGTGAACAATACCATATTGTTAACTACAGGCACTACGTTGTACAGCAGATCTCTAGAACTTACTAATCTTGTATAACTATAACTTTTTACCCATTACTATGGTTTGAATATCGTTTGTTTGTCACCACCAAAACTCATGTTGAAATTTCATCCCCACTTTGGCAGTTTTGGGAGATGGAGCCTACTGAGAAGTGTTTGGGTCATGGGGGAAGATCTCTCAGGCTTACAGCCATTCTCACAGTAGTAAGTGAGTTCTTGTGAGATTGGATTAGTTCTTAAGAAAAGGGATTAGTTCCCATGACAGTGAGTTGTTATAAAGCCAGAACACCCCTGGGGTTTTGTCTCTTCACAAATATCTACTTCCACTTTGACCTTCTTTGCCATGTTTTGATCTAGAACCTATCCTTCACCAGAAACTAAGCAGATACTGGAGCCATGTTTTTCATAGTTCCCAGCCTTCACAGCTGTGAGCTAAATCTCTTTTCTTTATAAACTATCCAGACTCAGATATTTTGTGATAGCAACACAAAATGGACTAAGACATGCCATCCATTGAACAAATTCCCCCTTTCTCCATCACCACATTTGCATTTCTCTAATGATTCGTGATGTTGAGCATCTTTGCATATAGTGGTTGGCCTGTATTCTGTATACTGCCAGCCTTTTTTCAAAGTGGTGGTTTTTAATTTTACACTTACACCAACAATGTATACAAATTCCTGTTGCTCCAAATCCTCACCACGTTGGGGTTGTCAGCCTCTGCATAACTTGCTTTTGAATTGAGTTTGAAAGTGAAAAGTGTGAGTGTGGAAGAAGGCGGGACTGCAAGGACTATAAACAGGTTTTGTAGAACACTGCCCCAAGACTGCCAAGTTGTCATTATTCTCCAGGTCAAGAATAGGGTGGCACTGATTCCCTTTTCTTTGCATATACTGGTTGACCTGTATACTTTCTTTGGAGAAATGTCTATTGAAGTCCTTTGTTCATTTGTTAATCATTCTCTGTTTTTTTTGTTGTTGTTGAGTTGTAGGAGTTCTTGATATATTTTGGATATTATATATCAAATATATAATATGCAAATAATATCTACCATTCTGTAGGTTGCGTTTCACTCTGTTAATTGTATCCTCTGATGCACAGAAGTTTTTAATTTTGATGTAGTCCAATTTATCTGGTTTTACTTTTGTTGCCTGGATTTTTGATATCACGAAATCATTGTCAAATTCAACCCAGGATTTTCCCACTTTTTTCTGACAGTTTTATATAGTTTCAGATTTATATTTAGATTTTTGATCCATTTTGTGGCACACACTTTTTACATTAATACTATTATGTGATATACTTTTCTGAGTTCTGAGGTAGCCAGGTCTCAACTGCTCACTAATGGATGGAGTCATGGTTACAGTGATAAGCTAAATTTCTCAGGCTCTTTCTTACCTTGCTATAAACTTTTTAAAAATCCCTGACATTACTCCTGGCAGTACCAAGGGGGGGCTCACATGTGCTCACAGGCAAGTTCAGCCACATGTTCCCTGCCACATCCCATCATCCATTTCAGTTGATTGGGTGCCATGAAGTCCGGTAAATACAAACGCCTTGTCTTGACCTGTCTGCCATCTCCTGCCAAGCATGCCTCTACTTTTCCAGTAACGTTGCCTATAGGAAACTATATTATAATTTCCTATAATCCACTGCTGCCAATATATATGAGGGCCACCACCATCACCCTGGGGCTCTCAGGGTGTCAGAGCTGCGGTGGTAGTATAGGTTGAAATAAAGGAGCACATCTCTACCTTTTTATTGTGGTACATTTTCTTAAAAAAGCTATATGTTTTGGGGTTTGCTTTTGTTTTATCAATATGACACCTTTAGTATTTGCTGACAGCATGCTTCTCTTCCTGTAACAAGTTCCAGACACAAGTTCATGGGGTTGAGTTTGAGTTTGAGAAGCAGCCAGTGGCAGGGCAGCCACCATGCCTTGGTAAGACTCAGCACTCCAGTCCAATAACAAAGCTTTGTAACTGGGTGAAGCTAAAGGAGCTTGGCTCCTCTTTCCCGCTCAATGAATACTTTCCCATGGATCCTCACCATCTTGTGCAAATAGACTTTTGTCCACCTATCCTTTTCATACCCCAGCTTAGTGTTCTGCTAAGATTCCATCTGAATTATTTTAGAATGACTGAGAGCTCAGGAAGCAGCCTCACAGCCATGCTGATGATCTACTGTGAGTTAGTCACAGCACTGAATAAAGCTTCAATGTTAGATGTTCCCAAGCACTTACATAAATCTCATTTGTTTGGCACTAATGAAGAATCCCTGTTTTTTTTTATTTAAAAGGGATATTTGTTATACACCATCCAATATTTATGAGTTAATTTGAATCCTGCAGTAAAGCAAAATACAATCTTGAACCAGAAAATGCTAGTAATCCTTCCATTGTGCATCACTGTTGACACTGTTAATTTCATTTTAATCACACAATCTTACCCCTGAAATGTTGGCGTCTGTGTGGCAATAATTCAAAGTGTTCCAACTTGAGGGGGATGGGGAAAATCACTAAATAAGCTGGCAATCAAACAAGGAAAAATTTGAGCTAGGAATTGTAGCATCTGGTTGCCAGCACCTACTAGGCATGCAGAAGGGTCAAGTGGCACCAACAGCCCCAGAACTGTCCCTTGGTTAAAGAGAAAAGGTGATTTTCTTTTGTATCTAAAACCTAAGCCTCTCATTGCTTGTGAATGGGTTTTTTAATAATAATAATTATTATTTTATATATATATTTAACAATTGTATTAATAGTTAGAGGGATGTTGTGAGCATTTAACCAGATCATGCAAGGAAAGCATATAGAACAGACCCTAGTATTTAGCTCAGTAAATGATTTTTTTAATGATGTTTAAAAAAATACACTGAAGGCAAACTGTGGTTTAAGAGAAATAAAATGGGCTTTAGCATCATATGATCGTGATCCAACCACCCCACTTAATAAGTAAGTGACTCCTGCTATGTTACTTCTGGAACCTCATCTTCTTCATCTATAAGATGTAGAAGTCATCATCTTCAAAGAATTGATGTTAAAACAGTAAATGAGATAAATCAGTGCCTGCTAGAGTCACTGGTACTTCACTATCATCATGAAGCAGTAATAAAAGTTAATGTTTAATGATCACCAACTATAAGCCTAACACTTTAAGTCAGTCCTTTTATTGTCTCTAAGAGATGAAGAAACTAAAACTCGAACAGGTTAAATGACTTGCCCAAGGTCACAAAACTAAAAAATATTCACCTTTGAACTGAAGTCATATCAGTTGGATGCCCAAGCTCGTGAACTTAATCACTTTAACATACTGACATGCCCCCTTGTTGCAGAACTTTCTTCAATGATGCTTGGTGGCTTGGCATTAAAGAATCCAGACAAAGAAGGCTAGCTGAGGACATGAATAGATGAGGCAGAAAGGTGGGAAATGAAAAGGCTAATGGTGGCAGAGTGCTCTGTCGAGATGGCTGTTGTGAAATGAAAACAGACAAGAGTTGTGTGCATGTGTTGGGAGAGGGGGAAGGGTAGAAATGTTAGGATACTGACACGAAGACAAAAGAGAGTAATGAAATGAGGAAATAGAGCAAGTCAAATGATTAGAAGACAAGATTGAGTTCCTAACAATGCACCCAAGAGATCTCTTCTGAAGGCAGCTGTTGATCCAAAGGCTTCGAAGAGAAAAATGAAAGCACATCTCTATGTTGTGCTGACTGGATTCTAACAGCATGATACTTGTGGGAATGAAACCACTTTAGAAGGAAAACAACCTGGGTAACTCAGCATCACTCAGTGTACAAAGATTCTTCTGTAATAACTCTCCTGGTTGAAGAAAAATGCATTATTGAGCATTTTAAGACCATAGGAAATATAGAATTAAGAGAACCAAGGTCACAGAAAACTCTATGAATGCCCTTGTAAAACTTTCACTTTTGTCAATATAAAATACATACAATCCAATCCAATTAAAAGAATATCAAGTTTGTTTGTTTTTCCAAGATGGCAGATTAGAGGCTTTTAGTGTGCCTCAGCCACTAGGAAATAGCAAGAGAGTGTATAAAGATCAACTCTGTGAGCCTGAGTTCCAGAAGAAAAATGGGAATCCACTGAAATTGTAAAGGACACTCTAGGTCCTGGGGAAGAGAATGTGTGCAAACAGCCCTTATGACCTTGTCCAGCTGGTAAAAGTGAGTGAAGCTCCAGTATGTGAGAGAAGCAGACAGTCCCCCTCTGTGACTCACCTTTCCACTAGGGATCCAAGCAACCCAGCTGAGGCAGAGCACTTTGCTTCTCCCAAACCCTGAAGCTAACCTGGGGAGAGACTTGGAGGTGCTGTAAGGGTACGACACTGGGAAAAGCTGCAGACATTTTTGCAGATCCAGGAACAAGAGCAAGAAACCATTTTTAATCTGGGTACATACAAATCAGCCATTCTTTGGAGACCTAGCACCATGGTCATGCAGGCATTTTAATCTTGGGCCAGAGATTGGAGTGCCTGCTTTGGAATAGAGTAAGGACTCCACAGACAGAACTGTGGAAAGCACCTCAGTAATAGGCATGAGAATTGTGCTCTCCTCCATTGCAGTCCTGGGACAAGAGGAGAGCTGCCACAACTATGGTTTCTCCGGGGTGATGAGACTTGCAGCTAGGGCCAGCTTGGCAACCTGGGACTGGTCTGCATGTGTCATTGCTGAGTGCCCAGTCTACTTCCCTGAGATTGTGGTACAGTGAGACCATCTCCACTCCACACCCATGCAGATCTCCAGGATTTCAGAGTACCTGCTAACCTGGATCAGCTGCCTGATCTACCCCACCTTTCCTATGCATAGATTGTGGTACATCTGGGCCCTCTCTACCCCGTGCTTAGGCAGATCTCTAGGCATTCAAAGCATCTGCTTGCCCAGATTGGCAGCTTGAGCTACCCCATTTTTCTTGTGCAGATATCTTGGTGCAGGGGGGCCCTCTCTGTTCCATGCTCAGGCAGATCTCCAGGCATTTGGAGTGCTCACTCACCTGGAATAGCAGCCTGAGCTGCTCTACTCTTCATGTGCAGTGATCTTGGTGCAGGGGAGTCCTCTTTGCTCCACATCCAGGCATGTGGAACACCCTCTTTCTTGAATTAGGAGTTTAGGCTGCCCTCCATAAACATCCTGAGAAGCTGGGTCTGAAGGGATTTCCTATCTCCACACCTAGGCACACTTCTGGGTGCTTGGTGGCTGCCCACTGGATTACCTCTCAGTGCTTGTGCTTGTGGTTGTCATCAGGGAATCTATAAGCAGACCTGCCCAGTCCAGCCCCACCCAACTTGGATCCCACTCCCCAAGGGCTGAGCATGAAACTCAGACCTCTGTGCATTCCATGAATCAGCTCATTGCCCAAGGCAACAGAAAGCTTCTCCCAGTAAACAACGATCAAGTGTATACCCAGCCACATTGGCTGTAGCTGGCTCTTACCTATAAGTGCCATCTACTGGCTTGTAGGTCAAACTGCATAGCACAATATAAAATCTGCCAAAAGAAGTATATAGGGCTATAGAGGCAAAGCCAAAAGACCCTACCCAGAATTCTTTACAGTCATATCCCCTAGGAAAAGGATGAAAGGAAAAAGAAAATAACAGAATAATATTATAGAGAAAAAAATAAAATATTCTACCTACACCAAAATAATTGCAAAAATTAGAAAGTGACAACATCTCCAGATGAGAAGGAGGAAGTGCAAGAATTCTGGCACCATAAAAAATCTGAATGTAGTAACATCACCAAAGCTCTCCAACAATGGTCCTTAGCCAAAATGGAAACTCAGAAATAGCAGATAAAGAATTCAAAGAATGGATTGCCAGGAATCACAATGAGATCCAAGACAAGGTTGAAAATCAACACAAAGAAACTTCTAAAGCAATACAGGAAATGAAGGAAGAGATCTTAAAAAGAAATCAGTAAGAGCTCCTTGAATTAGAAAACTCACTTGGGAAATTTCAAAATACAATTGAAAGTTTTAGCAATACACTGGGCCAAGCAGAAGGTAGAATCTCAGAGTTTAAAGACTGGTCTTTTGAACTAGCCAAATAAAACACAAATAAAGAAAAAAAAATTGGTTAAATAAACAAAGCCTTCAAGAAATATGGAATTATGTAAAGCAACAAAACCTAAGAACTATTGGCATTCCTGAGAGAGAAGGAGAAAAACTAAACAACCTGGAAAACATATTTGAGAATATAATTCAAGAAAATATTCCTTATCTTGCTAGATATAATAAATTCAGAGAATGCCTGTGAGATACTATACAATACAAACATCAACAGGGCATATAGTGAACTGATTGTTCAATGTCAATGCTAAAGAAAAAAATCTTAACAGCAGCTACAGTAAAAGGTCAGATCACGTACAAAGGGAATTCCATCAGGCTAACAGTGAACTTCTCAATAGATACCTTACAAGTCAGAAGAGATTAGGGGCCTATTTTTGGCATTCTTGAAGACAAGAAATTCCGACCAAGAATTTCATATCCTTCCAAACTAATCTTTATAAAGCTAAGGAAAAGTGGAATATTTTCAGACAAGCAAGTGCTAAGGGAATTTGTTACCACTGAACCAGCCTTACAAGAGATTCTTAAGGGAGGTCTAAACATAGAAACAAAAAAACAATACTTGCTACCACAAAAACACACTTAAGTACATAGCCCACAGACCCTATAAAACAACCACACAATAGAAGCTACAAACCAACCAGCTAACAACTTCACCTAGGATGGAAACATCACATATTAATATTAACCTTGAATGTAAATGATCTAAATAACCCACTAAAGAGGTACAGAGTGACAAGTTAAATAAAAAACAAGATCTATCCATCTGCTGTCTTCAAGAGAAGACATCTCACACATAATGACACCCATAGGCTCAAAGTAAAGGGCTGGAGAAATATCTACCACTCAAATGGAAAATAAAAGAGAGCAGGGTTCACTATTCTTATATCAGATAAAACAGGCTTTAGACCAGCAACAGTAGAAAAGAACAAAGAAGGGCCTTACTAATAATAAAGGGTTCAATTCAACAAGAAGACTTAAATACCTTGAATATATATGCACCCAGATTCATAAGATCAGTACTTCTAGTTATATAAAAAGACTTACACAGACACACAGTAATAGTAGGAGACATAAACACCCCACTAACAGTGTTAGAGAAATCATCAAGGCAGAAAACCAACAAAGAAATTCTGGACTTAAATTATATACTTAACCCATTGGACTTAGCCGATGTCTACAGAATATGCCAGCTATCAACCACAGAATATACATTTTCTCATCTGCACATGGAACATAATCCAAGATTGACCATATGATTGGCCATGTAACAAGACTCAATAAATTAAAATGTGTAGAAATCATACCAACCATACTCTCAGATCACAGCGAAATAAAAATAGAAATCAATACCAAGATCTCACAAAACCACACAATTACACAGAAACTAAACAATGTGCTCCGGAATGACTTTGGATTAACAACAAAATTAAGGCAGAAATAAAAAAATTCTTTGAAATAAATAAAAATGAAGACACAACATACCAAAAATCTCTGGGATGTAGCAAAAGCAATGTTAAGAGGAAAGTTTATAGCACTAAACACTTACCTCAAAAAGTTAGAAAATCTCACATTAACTATCTAATATCACTGCTGGAGGAACTAGAACAACAAAAAGAAACTAACTCCAAAGCTAACAGAAGAAAATATACAACTGAAATCACAGCAGAACCAAACAAAATTGAAACCCCCAAAAAACCATACAAAGAATCAACAAAACCAAAAATTGGTTTTTTGAAAGGATAACAAGATCAATAGACTACTAAGTAGATTAATAAAGAATAAAACAGAGAAGATCCAAATGAGCACAATCAAAAACCACAAAGGTAACATTACAACTGATCTCAAGATATACAAAAGATCCTCAGAGACTATTATAAACACCTCTTTGCACACAAACTAGAAAATCTAGAGGAAATAAATAAATTACCAGAAACACACAATGTCCCAAGATTGAATAAGGAAGAAAATGAAGCCCTAAACAGATCAATATTGAGTTCTAAAATTGAATCAGTAATAAGAAAAACCTATCAACAACAAAAAAGTCCAGGACCACATGGATTCACAGCTGAATTCTGCCAGACATATAAGGAAAAGCTGGTATTGGCCGGGAAAAGTGGCTTATGCCTGTAATCCCAGCACTTTGTGTGGCTGAGGCAGGCGGATCACTTGAGATCAGGAGTTTGAGACTAGCCTGGCCAACATGGTGAAATCCCATCTCTACTAAAACATTAGCTGGGCATGGTGGCACACACCTGTAATCCCAGCTACCGAGAGGCTGAGGCATGAGAATTGCTTGAACCCGGGAGGCAGAGGTTGCAGTGAGCTGAGATCACACCACTGCACTGCAGCCTGGGTGACAGAGCGAGACTCCATCTCAAAAAAAGAAAAGAAAAAGAAAAAAAGAGCTGGTACCAATTCTACTGAAAGTATTATAAAAAATTGAGGAGGAGGTTGTCCTTCCTAACCCATTCTTTGACGCCAGTATAACCCTGATTCCAAAGTCTGACAAAGACACAACAAAAAAGGAAAACCGTAGATAAATATTCCTGGTAAACATAGACACAAAAATCCTCAAAAAAATACTTGCAAATTGAATCCAGCAGCACATCAAAAAGTTAATTCATCATGATCAAATAAGCTTCATTCTTGGAATGCAAGGTTGGTTCAACATATATAAATTAATGTGATTCACCACATAAACAGAATTAAAAACAAAAATCATATGTTCATATAAACAGACACAGAAAAACATTTTGATAAAATCTAACACTTTTTATGATTAAAAACCATCAACAAATTAGGCATTGAAGAAACATAGTTCAAAATAATAAGTCATCTATTGCAAACACATAGCCAACATTATACTGAACAGGCAAAAACTGGAAGCATTTTTCTTGAGAAATGGAAGAAGACAAAGATGTCCATTCTCACCACTCCTATTCAACATAGTACAGGAAATCCTAGCCAGAGCAATCAAGCAAGAGAAAAAATAAAAGGAATCTAAATAGGAAGAAAAGAAGTCAAACTATCTCTCTTCTCAGATTATGTGATTTTCTACCTAGAAAACCCTGAAGACTCTGCCAAAAGGCATCTGGAACTAATAAATGACTTCAGTGAAGTTTCAAGATCCAAGATCAATGTACGAAAATCAGCAGCATTTTTATACACTAATAATATTCAAGCTGAGAGCCAAATTAAAATGGTTTTATTTATAATAGCCACACAAAAAATAAAATACATAGGCATACATATAACCAAGGAAGTGAAAGATCTCTACAACAAGAGCTACAAAACACTGCTGAAAGAAGTCGTAGATGACACAAACAAATGGTAAAACATCCATGCTCAATGATTAGAAGAATCTGTATCATTAAAATGACCATACTGCCCAAAGCAATCTGTAGATTCAATGCTATTTCTATCATACTACCACCATCATTTTTCACAGATTTAGAAAAAATATTCTAAAATTCATATGGAACAAACAAAGAGCCCAAATAGTCAAAGCAATTCAAAGCAAAAAGAACAAAGTCACAGGCATCACATTACCCAACTTCAAACCATACCATAAGGCTACAGTAACCAAAACAGCATGGTACTGGTATAAAAACAGACATATAGAACAATGGAACAGAATAGAGAACCCAGAAATAAAGCTGCACACCTACAGCCATCTGATCTTTGATAAAGTCAACAAAAAAAGGCAATAGGGAGAGGACTTTCTATTCAATAAATGGGGTTGTGATAGCTGGCCAGCCATATGCAGAATAATAAAACTGGACCACTACCTTTCACCATATAAAAGCTTAAGATGGATTAAAGATTTAAAAGTAGGACCTCAAACTATACGAATCTTAGAAGAAAACCTAGGAAACACCATTGTGGACATGAGCCTTGGCAAAGAATTTACGACTAAGTCCTCAAAAGCAATTGCAACAAAAACAAAGATTGACAAGTGGGATCTAATTAAACTGAAGAGCTTATGCACAGCAAAAGAAACTACCAACAGAGTAAACAGGCAACCTACAGAATGGGAGGAAATATTTGCAAACTATACATCCAACAAAGATCTAATATCCAGAATCTATAAATAATTGAGTTTATTTGAAAAGAAACTAAGATGATCATGTGCTTCAATCCTGGAATGGGAAGAAACAGTCCAAGTATAAGCAAAGGTTAGGACAGGAGTAGACTTTACGTGCATTTTGAAATAATTGGTGGGTTTGAGGCTTAGGATGAATAACCTTAGGTGACAAGAGAAGTGAATCAAGAGTCCTAAGGCCACCTGTTGGAACAAAGGTGATTTAAAAGAAAATATAACTGAACTTGTGACAGTGCTAAGGTTGGGAAAGTTATACCCTGACCTTATATTTATCTGCAATGTTATAATTTTTGTAAGGAACAGTGTAGTCATACCTTACTTGAGTAATTAAAAAATCTTTAATAAAAAATTTTAAGGATAGGCCAACTTGTGAAAAGTTGGTATGAAATGGGTTGATTGGGACTTTTTCTTTCTATTATTCTGCATTTTTCTAATTCTCAAGATAAACAAATAAATATATATATTTATGTTATATGTAATATATAAAATAACTTTATTATATTTATTTATAATAACATATATCAATATATACATTCTGCTCCTGTTATATTCTGCTATAACAATTATTATATCATTTGTTGAGTGCTACTTATGTGTCAAAGGGATCTACTAACAAATGCATCATTTCCTTTAAATATTACAACAATCCTGTAATGTAGAGACTGCTTTTATCTCTGTTTTCAGATAAGAAAACTGAGGAGAAATTATGTACTTGCCCAAAGTCACTTATTAGAAAATATAGCTAAGCTTGAGATTCAGGTCCCTATGTGAACTCCAGAATCTGCTTTTTAATGTTTATATTAAACACAAAAAAGCAAAACATAAAAGTGTTTATATTTTTATGTTTATATTAAACATAAAAAAGCAAAACATAAAAATGCATGTAGAGTAGAAGCTAACTTTGTGGCTGTATGTGACATAAATGAGACACTGGTAAGGAAACAGCCTTATCTTAACCTTCCAGCTTTGCTTATTCCAGAAGGAAGAAGGGTTACTTACCTACTGCCCTACACAAAGAGTTTTGTAATAATTTCTTGTTCATTACTGAGGTAGGAGTTGAGTTGGAAGAAAGGAAGACGATAATAGATGATAGTGAAAAAGGAAGAAACTTCAAGGAGATATGGGATAGAATCTTTCTGCTGTCAGAGAAAACAACCCTAGAAGCAGATGCTATTGAGACAAACCGTTTCTATTCCTAGCAATTTTCAAGAATAAAACTGATACACCACCTTTTCTGGCCAGCTTGGCCAGACAGGGGCCTGCATTTTGTTATCCCTGTGGATTCTGATCTAAGTCTTAAAGGTTCAGCCATAATTACAGGGAAAGCAATTTGCTTTCATGTCTCCTTCATATCACCTCATTGACCATTCTGGTCTTCAGCTCCCTCTTCTCATCTCAGATTATCTGGGATAAGAATACTTTTGCAGAACCTGACTGTTTTCATTTTGCAGAAACAATTTAAGATAAATTGATCATTAGCTACATGGTGAATTGCTTAAATCTCTTGCTACATGTAATCTTACCTCTAATGTATTTACGGAAACAGTGATGGAGCCTGCTTTCTTTTTCTTGAATATGTTAACCCTAAATAACAGAGACAAGCTCTCTAAAAGAAAAAGATATTTATTTGGGAATACAGCATTGCAATGGGAATATGCATGCCACAGTAAACTATGTGAATATTAAGGGAGGTAGGGAAGTCACAGGTTTTTAAAGAAAAAAAATGAGAATTACATAATTGTTTTGAAATAATTATCCTTGGCTACAAAGATCAATAACATTTGTGACACCAATTCAAGGTTGGACAGACAGTTTCTGGGTAGGTGTCCTTGCGGAAGTATGTTTTTGTGTAAGGTTGTGATAGTCTTTGTGCAAGGTTATGGTATATTTTAGTCTTTTTTTTAATCAAGTATACAAGCATTAGAATCCTCTCTTCATGGTCTTTCCCAGCTCTATTTGTTGGGGGTTTCTTATCATTGGTGACTCCATTTTGATTCTGAAAACTTTCACTTTTCACCCTTTTGATCAGGATCTTTCTTCTAAAGCATCACTGATCAATCACCCTGCAGTTAGGTTTTGATGTCCTTCCATGTTGGAATACACCTGTACCGGTTGTTGATCTTGCTTTATTTTGGGGAGAGTGACTGGTTATAGAAGTCAGTGTCAAAACCCTTTTAGCCACATTTGAGCAACAAAGGAGGTTTTAAGGGAGTGGCTTTCAGGCTAGTGTCTCCTGAAGTCCATTATTAAGTTCAATTTTGTCTGTCCCATAGTTTTTTGTTATTATCTCAAAGTGCTGGGCCAGCACTGTTTTGTTAGGAGTTACACTTCTGCAAAAATTTAGCAAGTAAAAGATACAAATTTAAAAAGAGAAAATACAAAGGGAAATTAATAATAATATGACAGTTTCAGTTTACATAATGGTTTAAGTCATGAACCTATGTTTAAATACAACCAATTGAAAAAATCAAATGACCATAGGGAATTGGGTGAGACCTATTATAACCGTAAGTCCTGTTTGCTTATTTTGTGTATATGAGTCTCATCTTTCCAAGAGGAATGTATCCAGGTACAGCACGTAATATTAGCAATAGCACAGACATTTTCTTATTTAACCAATATGTATTAAATGATTTTTTATTAGGTTCTGTTAAGTTACCAGCAGAAGCTATTGATTATAAAATTTCAATTATACCATTATCCCATCAAGTGAAAAGTTAAGTATTAAGTTGTGGGGGGGTGGTAAAAGTCTCATTATGATACAGAATCTTGTTCCAACAACTTAGGAAAAGCTGTCTACAGCATGAAAATATTAACTTTTTTTCTCTTTTTTTGTTTGAATGTCTCTAGTCATGACATTCTGCAGTTTGGTGAACTTTTTGTTGGTCCATACATCAGGCATGAGGCTTGCTCCTTAAAATGTGTCTAGTTTCAGCTTATAGGGCTTTGGAACAGAGAAACTTTTGTTTCTAGTTGGAAAATTGTACCAAATATTGGAGGATATTGGGAAAATTCAGGAACTAATCCAGTCTACGTGTAGATAACATGAACTTGAAAACAATTAACAAGGCTACAATCTAACAACAGGTGTATTACAGATTTTCTTTAGAAACATAACTTTTCTCTCCACATTGATCATATGGGAATCTCAGATTTAAAAATGTCTTGAAACTAGGAAGCCAAGCCAACACAGACTTCAGATTTTACCCACAGTCGTAAGGTTCTTGGGCCTGCCAGGAAGTAATAATTTTTGCTCACTTACCGTAAGGCTGGGAACTCTTGAAGCCACGCATTTTATGCACATTCTTAAATATGACACTTCAGTCAAAGCATTGGTGATATAACTAATGTTTCCAATTGTATACGGCTTATAAAGAGAGAGCAGATTTTTATTGAACTTTTGTAAATAAAAATGAGAATATTCCACAAAGAGTTTCCAAATTTTGGAGGAATCAACTAGGGAGAAAAAGCAAATGCTTCCACTTTTGGTCCACAGGAGTATACTTTACCAAATTCTTGTAAACTATAGCTAGCTTATGAGAGAAAATTTTCTTAAATGGGGAGAACAAAATGCTTAAGTAAAGAACTAATAATGGTTTAAATAAATCATAAAAACGCTATCTTCATCAATTATTTAATTTCACATAATTTTTCTTGTTTTGCTTGATTTTATTAGCAGTATTATGAACCCATCCGTTTCGTTATTAGAATTCTAAAAATTTTTATTTAGTCTATTGATCTTAAAGCTATCACAAATCTACGTTCAAGAGTACATGTTAATAGTCTTTTCCCATGAAAAGGAATTTTGGTTTATAGCTGACTGCAAGTGATTTTAGAGCAGAATTCAAAATAATAACTGTGGATGACAAAAACTTGGAATAACCATAGTTTAAATCTGATGCAAGTTCTCAGCTGACAAGGAAATTTAATTATTTCTACTACTTGCAGCATTTTAAGATAAGCAGAATCATGACTGGCAGTGTCACATCAAGACTCCCAGACTTTTATAAATTTCATATAATCTTTTTTTTGGGGGGGGGGTCGTAGAGGATGGAGTCTTGCTTTGTCACCCAGCCTGGAGTGCAGTGATGGGACCTCGGCTCACTGCAACCTCCACCTCCCAGGTTCAAGCAGTTCTCCTGCCTCAGCCTCCCTAGTAGCTGTGATTACAGGCACCTGCCACCACAAGCAACTAATTTTTGTATTTTTAGTAGAGATGGGGTTTCACCATGTTGGCCAGGATGGTCTCAAACTCCTGAGCTCAGGTGATCTGCCCGCCTCGGCCTCCCAAAGTGCTGGGATTACAGGGGTGAACCACTGCACCCAGCCAATTTCATATAATCTTTAGAATACTCACATTATATAACATATCCATACAAATATAACTTTAGAAAAGAATTAACATAACAATCAAAATTATGATAACATTAAATTTTTATGAATGTATATAATTTTTGGAATATTTATATGAATAACATACCCACAACTGTAACTGAAAACAGATCTAGTATCTATATTTGTCTTTGCTAGATATTTTTAAATGTCAATGTTTGATACAAAGTTTGTAAAACGATATACCCAGCCTAAAGCAGAATGATCTTTATATAATTTTTTGATAAGTAAGATTAATTTGTTAGTTTAATGAAAACAGCCATATCTTCTGAGTTATTGGCAAAATACACAACCTTTAAAAAATTCTGGCTGATTATGCCAGATTATACCACGTAGACATGATGTATAACATGATCAATGTACATATGCATAGACACATTCAATACATATACACACACACATATAAAGATTATATAGCTTTCATTTTAGAGTTTATCATGAGTTAATAATACAAACTTACCAACTTATAAAAGACAGTTGGATCTAAATTATATCTGACTCATCTGGGACCTATTCACATGGTTAAACTTTATTTGCCCCAATAGATAATCTAAAGAAGGCTGTGGGCCAAAATTTTGGGTAATGCAGTTTCAATGGCAGTTTGATTTTTAAAAACCTCTTTCATCCCCCCGTATTTTTTCTTTTCTTAGTTTTTAATGAGTTGAGGGTTAAATTTTCAGTGTTTACATTTCAGGTAGGACTGGTTGATTTATAAAAGAAAAACAAAATCTCCAAGTAGCTTTGAATTAGTAACAAATCTATCTTTGTTTGCTGGTCTGGTTTGCTTGACTAGCAGGAAATAATTTTAAAAGTTTCCTTTTCTTTCTTCTTCTTTTTTATTCTTTTTTCTTTTGACCTTTGCATGAAAAAAGAAGCAAAATTTTTACACTGGACAGAGACACCTTATACTATTTCTCCAAGCTCAAGATTTTGACCTGTTTGATTTGAGAGGCTAACTTTTATAAATATCTAGTTTTTATTTTAGATTATTAATTTTTCCATTAAGTGAAAAATCATACACAATTGATGATCATAAATCATACACAAGCAAACCTAAATTTATATTTGTAAAAGATGTATAGGTTGTTGGTCACCATGGAGCTATTGCAATTTGTAAAACCATCAATTTGATAACCCTTTAAAACTTTTTTTTAATCCTGGCTGGAATGCCATAAGCAGTTAGTTTATCTCAACACCAGTAGAAAAGTGAGCAGATTCAAAGTAGGCTGAAAAAAAAAAATACGTAGACAGACAATTTAGAAGACTCTACATGTAAATTCTATATTTGCAGGTTTTTCAAATAATGCTCATCTGAGTTCTGAATTTTCCTTGATGTAATTTTCCTTTTAGTTAAAAAATGTGTGCAAGAAGGGGCCAAAATATGTAGCCCACTAGAATCCCTCAAAAACCTGGCATGATTTAATGTTTGAGAATCCCATTCTGTTCCTTATTAATCTCCCAAAAGCAAAGAAAATCTTATAAATCCTGTTAGGGAATGTCCAGAGTTTAGATTGGTGTTTTAGATGAAGGAAACCACCCTAATGGCTTTTAATTAGCCATCCTGTCCCCACTATTTAGAATGTTTATTTTTGCTTTCAGAAAATTTTCAAGAAGAAATAATCTAACCAAATTTTTAAAGAAACGACAAGATAAGCGTGTTCACAAAAATTTTTACCTAGGCACACAGATCTAAAAAAAAATTTAACTGGGTACACAGACTGGACCAAAAATAAATTCACCAGGAGGCATGCCTCACAAACAGAATGCAAATTCTGTAGAAATCAAGAGTACTCAATCCAGAAAGACGCTTGTTTTTGTATCAGAAAGGACTTACCAGAAAAGACAGAAAGTCTTTTATCATCCCAGGAGGGATGTATTGTCCTTTATTAAGTCAGCCTTATCCAAACCAGATCCCAAATAATATTAAAAAGCATCTACCAAAAGGAGGGAGGCTCAGCCTGAGAGAAGACTCATCAGGGCAGAAAAGGCGAGCCAAGGAAGCAGAGAGCTCAGAGGGCTCAAGTGAGTAGCGCACTGCGGGTCCAAGAATCACCAATGCATCCTGAAAGTGATCTTTTTCAAGTCCTGTTTCTGACACATATAGGTCAACATAAAAAACAGAAAGACGCACTCCAAAAGAAAAGGTATTTATTTGGGAAGAGAGCACTGCAATGGGGAATATGCATCCCATAGTAAATTATGTGCATATTCAGGGAGGTAAAGGAAAACAAAGATTTTTAAAGAGAAAAATGAGGAGGACACACAAGTGTTTTGACGTAACTATCCTTGTCTACAAAGATCAATAACAATGGTGATACCAGTCCGAGGTTGGACAAGCAGTTGTTGGGCAGATGTCTTAGGAGAAGTATTTTTTTTGTGTCTAAGATTGTGATGGTCTCTGTGTAAAGTTGTGGTTCTTGCAGAGTCTTTTTTGTTATCAGGCATACAAACATGAGAAACCTCTCTTCATGGCTCTCCTCAGCTCTATTTGTTGGGGTGTTCTTAACATTACTGATGCCACTTAGATTCTGACAAGTTTCATAAATATTAATAAACAGTTAAAAACAGAGATACTAGTATTTTTTCTGAAAGCAAATATTATTCATTCAAATACATTTTAAAGTATGTAGCAATTTGATGTGCTATGAAAATGACAATTGGCATATTACTTATTCAAAGACCAAATGAGTGATATATGAAATAAACCAGATACACTACACCCAGTATTATCAAGTTGGAGAGAAATGCATATTCTTTCAAAGATACAAGTTATAAAAGCAACGTCATGCTATTTAACTTAACAATCGTGTTTTTTGATGATAAAAATGTCACTATGCATGGTACAGCAAAATAAAGTCTAATTTAGCTAAATGTGCTTTGAGTAAATATTATATAATTTCTAAGTCATGTATTTTGACGAAAACAAGCTGACAAGAATCTTGATAAACTGAATTGAAGCCACACATTGTACTGGTTAAGATGCTTTTAAATGCAAGAAATATTAGCTCAACTTCAAGTGATTTTTAAAATAAATTCCTGATCTTGTATAACAGAAAGTCAGGTGGTAAGGCAGGCTTCAGGGTGCGTGGAGCCGGCAGTCCAATCATATCCTAATGGAGCATGGCATTTTCATCTGTCCATACTACTATTCACAGTATCAGATTCATCCTAACGCAGTTCCCTTTCATGGTGCTGTGGTGACTGCCAGCTACAACTGGAAAAATATTTCTGTTCACATCTAGGAGGAGAGGGAACTCCACCTGAAGCATGGAATAAAAATCCTTCCCTTCTCTGAGATAGACAACGTCAATTTATGTGCCCCCTTTTGAACCATAGCAGTTGCCTAGGAAATGCCACATGCATCCTTGTTAACAAATCAGCATCCACCCCAGGGCTTGTGGGATGAAGCCAGTTTACTGCTTGTTGGTGGGGGCCGGGCAAGGGGGTAACTAGACATCTGAACAATATTGGAAGGAAAAGAGGGGCAATGGGTGCTGAGTTAGCAAGCGATAGTGTTCACCACAATCATCTTTTTTATTTCCCAACACATACACACACCCATCTTCTCATATGTACATTTCAACAATCCTGACACGTGCATAAAATACTGACATTCCTTAGTCTCATCCAGTCTCAGATCCAGTCTTTCTGGGTGATGGGCAGTCCCTTCCTTCCATATCTAAATTGTCTGCTGACATAGCACCAGGGAGAAAACTGTTTTGTTTTTTTTTTTTGTTTTTTTTTTAGCGCCTGAAGCTCACATAATTTGGGAGGCCGTATTAAAGAAAAATAATGTTAAATTATAAACACAAAATTTGGCACACAAAAGGAATATTTACTTAGAATGAGAAAACAAATCACAAAAAATTATATATTTTAAAAAGCTGACAAATACCACAGACATCAAAAAATTCAGAAAAAAAGAATATATTCTTGCATAAGTGTTATATTAATTAATTGCCTAACTCATCACTTTTCCTACATTTTTTGTGTGCATATGCTGATCATCTCTTCAAATGACAATGATTTCATAATTCAAATTCCTATGGAAAGAACAGAAAGATAATACAGTTTTTATTTTTTATTACTGAAAGTTTAGAAAGTTTCTTTCAACGTTGCAACTTCCTTCCTTATTTTTAGTACCACAGTTCTTAACACCCTCTGCAGTTTCTTACTCAGGCAGATCTGCTTTGAGATAAACTTTAGGAGAATTCCAGCCCTTTAATCTCACAGTATAGCGGTCCAGACTGCAGCTTCCTTAGCAACCAATTCAATCTGACGTGTGGCACTACCAGTTCCTCCCCGCCTCGCCACTCTTGACCTGAGGCCAATGATGGCCGGGAGGTGGTGAATCCTGGGTTGCCTTGGTCTTCAAGCAGGAAGCAGAGCAGTCGCTGATTCAGGCACTTCTCCTTTGGGTTAAAGATACACTCCAGGTGCTGAAATGTGGTCCAGCAGAGGGATGCTCTCGCTTGGAGCCAGGCAGATGTGGAGGTAGAGCTGATAGCCCACTGGCTGCCTGAAGCACCAAGACCACACCTAGATGTAAAGAGTAAAACCCCACACTGGACAGCACTTCAGGGCTCCAGCTTCTGTATCCTGTTCCCTCATGCCCCAAGGGAGAACACACTGAGCTGTGGAAGGGGTCCATGCAAGTGAGGGGTTTCAACACCAAAACATCATTAACTTCATAGTAAGAGTCTACCTCTTACTATGACTAAAAGATCATTGCAAAAATTCTCAAACCAGTCAGTATTCAATTGTGCAAAAGGAATGGGTTAATCATTCTATTTAAAAAGGAGAGAAAGGTAACTATGCACAGTGGTTCCTGCTACTAGTATATCCTGCTGCTGGACACAACTGAGGAGGACCTTCTGCCCAGGCAATGATGTGACTCTTGGCCAGCCAACTTGACATTCCTTGAATATTCTCTCTGGGACAACGCTCCTGTTCCTGTTTCCTCCTTGGCCACCTCTGGCCCCCAGCACAGAAATTGAGGGTCTGTACTGCAAGATGGTATGTATACTGGTGGATAATATGTGCCCTTGATGGGGATGCACAGCTTCAGCAGTCTTCTTCCTGACATTACACATTTCAAGGTCAAAGAATTGCTTTAGGAATTAAACATGTTTGCTGTTGTCAGCCAGCTGAGAGCTGTCATTGGCAATACAGTTCCTGTATAAATGTAGTGGTTTCAGTCTATTTGCTTCTAAGCATTTCATTAGGCACTCAAGTACCCAAAGTTAGATATCTTCTCTGCCACTGTGTCTTGTTCATCCACATGGCCTGAAGTTAAACCAATGTCCTCATTTGAAAAATTAGCTACAGTAAACCTCTCCTTGACCCAAGCCTCATCTCAGATACTTCTTTCCGGTGGGCATGATAATACCCTCTGTCAGACAGAAAATACTTGAGAGAAAGTGGTGGGGACAGGTTTATAGAAAAGGGCTTATCTTTTTCATCTCTTTCTAAGTCTTCTGCCTCTTCAATGTCTAACTTTAGCTTGGGGAAGAGACTTCCGCCTTTCTGACCTTGAATATCTACAAATTATTGGACTTGTATTCAACTTAGGTTTTAGGACATAAGCAAAAAGGACCTTCTTTAGTAAAGCTGCATGATCTTCCCTCTATGCTCTTAGAATCCAGTGTAGCCTAAATTTATCTCTTGTAAGACCTTGCTGAAGCTGAAAGAAGTGGCTAAGAACATACCTACAGCCTGAACTTTCTTACCACTTCCCCTAAAATAAAGCCTTTGGCACATGGTCTCTGCCCTCAGGTACAATAAGCAACAGAGGTTCCCAGCCGCATCAATAGGGTATCCCATTTCCTAACTGGAGTAACAGGTTCTCCCAACTCAGAGACATCAAGGGCTAGGCTATGCTGGGAGTAACTGGTCTAATTCAAAATTTTGTGCTGAATATTTACAGATATTAGTATTAATTTTGGCTGCAAGTAACACAAAACCAGACTAAAAGTGACTTAAATCTGCAAAGATAGTTGTTATTTACAACAAATATAAAAAGTCTGTAGGCAAGTGAATGCAGGGTTGATTCCGAGAATTAGCAAAGTCAGGACTCTGGGCCTACAGGCTGAAATACTTTCGGTCTCTCACTAAGAATGACAAGATGTATGCTGAAGCTTCAAGCAACATACCCTTAAGTAACAGCATCTCATGCAGCAATAAGAATGGGGGTAAGTAAACGGGCTTTTACTCCTACAATGTTCTTTCTCTTATTAAGAAAGAAAATCTCTTCCCAGAAGATCCCCCCTCAGTCTCACTGGACAGAACTGGGTCACATGCCCACACCCAGAGCAATCACCAGTCAAGAAGACTGGGATTACCTGGACTGGATGAAGCTATTTACCCCTAAGGATGGGGTGATGTCTTCCCTGAGCCTGCCGCCGTCCACCTGCTGCTGCCCACCTGCTGCCTACAAAGCACAGCTCTGTTTGCAAAAGATAGGGAAGTGGCAGAGGGCAATGCATCTGCCAGAGAACTCTAGAAAGAGAGATACTTGCAAAGTGGAGAAGGCAGTGCCCAGCAAATGTCAAATATCTGTGGACTCCTTTCTGGAGATACACTAAGTAAGTCTTTAAGACTCAGAAGTTTCTGATCCACTCATTAAGAGGTCTTAGCATGAGACACAGACAGCAGGAAAAAAAAAAGAAGGCAACTGGCAGAAAGGGAAAGGGTAAAGGAAAGGAACAGAAAATTAAGAAATGAAAATAAGTAGAGGAAAGAGAAAATTGGAGAATATAGAGAGGCAGAAGTGAGTCAGTTTTTTAGATTTTCGTAGTGAAAAAGCTATAAAGGTTTTCAGCAGTTTATTTTTCTAGGAAGAGGAGAACAATAGAGGCAAAGAATACATGGAGAGAGACTTAGTCTGTGGGCAGGGGTCAAGCCAGGTCTTATGGGACCTGAACCTTATGGAATTTGAAGGGCCTTCTTAAAGAAAAAGAAAAAAATATATAAATATGTGATTAGATGTGCAGGTGATTATTTACCTAGGATGAGAAAATAAAGCTATACAAATTTTTAAAATATGACAATTATTTTAAAGAGACGTTATTTTTATTAACTAACAGACTGGCACACCTCTTTAATAATTTTTCCTTCGGTTTTTCCCTGTATATTCTTTAATATCTCTTCAAATATATAACAACTTTGCTGTATTTTTTATAGAAAGCATAGAAGGAAAAATCAGTCTTCTAGCATAGTAAAAATAAAAGATATTTTTATTATAGTTGGAATACATAAAACCTATGACTTTCCACATAGATGTCTTCACTATTTCTAGCACTGGTTGCAGGGCTTGTGCTCTACAGACACAGGCATTCAGATAAATCCTATTTCATGCAATTCAGTTTAGAAAAGGAGAAAACAGGTATGGTGCAATTATCATTACATGTTGGGTGTACCCTAGACAGGACAGAATCTCCATTTGGATAAGTTGTCAATGAGACCCAAATTCTCTGCTAGAATTCTGCATGCCTGATGACAAATTTTTCCTGAATCAGTCTTTGGCTCTATGTTTTTAAAACTTGTTTCTCCTCCACTATACACAAACTTCCAATGCCAGACCCCGGAAGCACATACTTATCCAAGTCCCCTGCATCTTTGTTGTCATGAGGTCTGGAGAGTTGGCAGAGTGCAACAGCAGTGTGCTTGGATACCATTCTCACACCAGATGGCTATCAATAACTTTACACAGAGATGATGGCAAACTCCATAAACATATCCCACTAGACCCAAACAAAATGTGTTTATAAGTCAACTCTTCCTTAGCTGGATCCCCAAAAATGCCTCTCAGCTACTCCGGTACCACCCAAAACAAGAGAAAATGTGACAGAAAAGAATCCGGCATGGAAAAAACAGCAGTCTTAACCAATTGTGGTTAAAATATATTATTTTTGCAAAATTCACAAAAACATATGACCATGTGAAGACATTGCTAGGCCCTTTCCAGGACCTAAAATCATAAGCTTTCTTTGTTCAAGTAAAAATGCTTCTGTCTGGAGGGAACAAAGGGTATGGATGGGGTTATGGGGAGTATGAATAAATAATTTCATCATCATGGTTTTTCCATGGACCAACCCTACTACCAGCTCCCTAACTTAAGTACAACCCTAGGACCAAGGCAAGATACCAGTCTGCAGACCTTTGCTGTCAACACAGCTAAAATGTAGCTCTTCCTGACACATTTGGTGAATTCATCCCTCAAGAGTCTACAATTCCTTCTCCATGACATATTTTCTGATCTCCAGAGCAAAGTTGACTTCTACTTCCTTCATTTGACATAACTGCACCCCTTCCACCCTCTCCTGAATTGACTGTGGAAATGACTCACTTGGACTGCGGGCTCTTTTCTCTCATGAGGTATTTGATGGCACCACTAGATCCACAGTGCTAAGTCTGGTATTCTGCACAGAAGAGGAGGCTCTGGGACCATGTTTTGAAAATAAGTCTGGGAAAAAATGTCAGAATGAGAGGTTCAAGGTGGCTGATTAGAGGCATCTTGTATATGCCTCCTCCACTAAGAAGAACTAAAATAGTGAGTAGATTGTCACACTACTATTAGATTATTCAAAAGAGAACACTGGAATTCAACAGAAAAGAGAAAAGAGACCCCTAAAGCAAGGAGGAAGAGAGAACTGAGGCAGCCTGCTTGGCCAAAATCAGCCTGGAGCCAAGAGAGTCTCCCTAACGTGAGAAAAAGGCAACAGAACCTCCATGATCCATATTCCCACTGCAAATATTACTAAATTAAAAGAGAAAGATAAACTGCAATACAATAATTGTGGGGAACTTCAACACTCCACTCAGGTTTAGACAAATCATCTAGACAGAAAATTAACTGAGACACATTGGATTTAAACTTCACACCAGGCCAAATGGACCTAACAGACATTTACAGAGCACTCCATCCAATGAATACAGAACACACATTTTTTTTTTCAAATGCACATGGAACATTCTCCAGGAAAAACCATATGTTAGGCCACAAAACAAGTCTCAACAAATTTTTAAAAATTGAAAACCTTTCAAATATCTTCTCAGACCACAGTGGAATGAAACTAGACACCAAGAGCAAGAGAAACATTGGAAACTGTTCAAATACATGGAAATTAAACAACATGCTCCTAAATGACCACTGGATCAAGGAAGAAATTTTAAAAATTCTTAACACAAATGAAAATCAAAACACAGCATACAAAAACCCATGGAATAAAGCAAAAAGAGTGCTAAGAGGGAAGTTTAAGGTAATAAGTGGCTACATTACAAAAGTAAAAATTTTAAAATAAACAATATAATAATGCTCTTCAACAATCTAGAAAAGCAAGAACAAACCAAACCCAAAATTAGTAGAAAAAAAGAAATAATAAAGATCAGACCAAAGCTAAACAAAATAGAGAGTAAAACACAATACAAAAGATCAATAAATGAAAAATTGTTGTCTTGAAAAGATAAGCAAAATTGATAAATTGCTTGCCAGACTAACCAAGAGAAAAAAAGAATCTAATAAACAAAATTAAAAATCAAAAGCAGATATTACAACTGATACCACAGAAATACAAAAGATCATCAGAAACAATTATGAATAACTGTGCACCAACAAACTAAAAAGCTAGAAGAAATTGATAAATTCCTGGACACACAATCCACCAAGATTAAACAGGAAGAACTACAAAACCTGAACAGACAAATAACAAGTAATAATATCTGTATTAGTCTATTCTCACACTGCTATAAACATACTGCCTGAGAGTGGGTAACTTATAAACAAAAGAGGTTTAATTGACTCACAGTTCCACATGGCTGGGGGGCCTCAGGAAACTTATGGTGAAGGGGAAGCAAGGTATGTCTTACATGGTGGCAGGAGTGAGAGAGTGCATGCAGGAAAAACTGCCACCTTTAAAACCCTCAGATCTCATGAGAACTCCCTGACTATCATGAGAACAGCATGGGATAAACTGCCCCATCATCCACCAGGACCCTCCCTAGATGCATGGGGATTACAATTTGAGATGAGATTTGGGTGGGGACACGGAGCCAAATCATATCGATATCAAAGCAGTAATAAAAAGTCTCCCAACAAAGTACAGAACCAGATAACTTCACTGTCAAATTCTACCAAACATCCAAAGAACTAACACTAATTCTCCCGCACCTATTCCAAAAGATTGAAGAGGAGGAAATTATCCCTAACTTCTTCTACAATGCCAGCATTACCCTAATACCAAACCAGACAAATACAAAGAAAAAAACCCAAAACTAAGATGGATAACCATGATGAACACAGTGCAAAAATCCTCAACAAAATACTAGCAAATCCAACAGCACATTGAAAGAAAAAATACGTCATGATCAAATGGAGTTTACCCCAGGGAAATGAGAATAATTCAGCATATGAGAATCAGTAATTGTGATACATCACATCAACAGAATGAAGGACAAAAACCATATGATCATCTCAATGAATGCAGAAAAAGCATCCAATAAAATTTACCATCACTTCATGATTAAAAAAGAAAAAACTCCTAACAAACTAGACCCAGAAGGAGGGCACCTGAACCTAATAAAGACCAAATATGATAAACCCACAGGTAACATCATACTGCATGGGGAAAAGCTGAAAGTCTTTCCTCTAAAAATTGGAACAGGACAAAGATGCCCACTTTCATCACTCCTATTCAATATAGTACTGGAAGTCCTTACCAGAAGAATCGGGCAAGAAAGAGAAATAAAAGGCATCCAAATTGGAAAAGAGGAAGTCAAATTGTCTTTTTTTGTCAGCTATATAATCTTGTATTTAGAAAGCCTAAAGACTCCACCACCAACCTATTAGATTTGATAAAGAAATTCCATAAAGTTGCAGTATACAAAATCAACGTATAAAAATCAAGTGTTTTTATACACCAATAATGAACTAATTGAGAAAGAAATCAAGAAAACAGTCCTATTTACAATAGCTAAAAAAAACCCCTAGGTATAAATTTAATCAAGGAGGTAAAGGATCTCTACAAGAAAACTATAAAGCAATGATAAAAGAAATTAAAGAGGAGACTCATACGAATGGAAAGACATTCTATGCTTATGGATCAGAAGAATTAGCATTGTTAAAATGACCGAATTACCCAAAGCAATTTATAGGTTTCATGTAACTCCTATCAAAATACCAATGACATTCTTTGTCTGTCAGAAACAGACAAAAACAATCCTGAAATTAATATGAAACCCAAAAAGAGCCCAGATAGCCAAAGCAATCCTGAGCAAAAGAAAAAAGTGGAGGCATCACACTAGCTGACTACAGAAATATTACAAGGTTATAGTAACAAAAACAGCTTGCTATTGGTATAAAAACAGACACATGAACCAATGGAATATAACAGAAAACTCAGAAATGAATTCCAACTCATTTTCAATAAATGTACCACCTATACACACTGGGGAAAGGACACCACCTTTAATAAGTGGTTCTTAAATTATTCAATATCTATAGGCAGAAGGATGAAACTGGACCCTTATCTCTCACCATACACAAAAATCAACTCAAGATAAAGACTTAAACATAAGACCCAAAACTATAAAACTACTAGAAGAAACCATAGAGAAAACACTTTAGGACATTGGTCTAGGCAAAGATTTTATGGCTAAGACCTCAAAAGCACAGGAAACAAAAAGAAAAGGAGACAAATGGTATGATATTAAACTAAAAAGCTTCTGCATAACAAAAGAAACAATCAGCAGAGTGAAGAGACAGCCTGTGTAAAAGTATTTGCAAACTATTTATCTGACAAGGGACTAATATCCCAAATATATAATAAACTCAAACATCCAACAATTAAAAAAAAACAAATACCATTAAAAAGTGAGCAAAAGCACAAATAGACATTTCTCAAAAGAAGACATTCAAATGAACAGGTATATGAAAAAATGCTTAGCATCACTAATCATCAGTGAAATGCAAATGAAAACCACCATGAGACATTTTCTCACTCTAGTTAGAATGGCTATTACTGAAAAGAAAAAAAATAATAATAGCTGCTGGATAGAATGCAGAGGATGGGGAACTCTTACACAGTGTTAGTGGAAATATAAATTAGTACAACCACTATGAAAAACAACATGTATATTTCTAAAAAAACTAAAAACAGAATTACCATGCAATCCAGTAATTCCACAACTGGATATCTATCTAAAGGAAAAGAAATCAGTATATCAAAGGGATAACTGCACTTGCAAATTTCTCACAGCACTATTCATAATAGCAAAGATATGAAAATCAACCTAAATGTTCATTAGTGGACTAATGGATCAATAAAATGTGATGTATATACACACAATGGATACTGTTCAGCCATAAAAAAGAGTGAAATTATGTCATTTGCAGCAACATGGATGGAACTGGGGATCATTATGTTAAATGAAATAATCCAGACACAGAAAGACAAATACTGCATGTTCTCACTCATACATGAGACCTAAAAAAGTTGATCTCATGGTGTAGAGAATAAAATTGTAGATACAAGAGGCTGGGAAGAGTGTGCATGTGGGAGGAGGGTATGGAGAAATGTCGGTTAATGGGTAAAAATATAGAGTTAAATGGAAGAAGTTCTAATGTTTGATATGAGAGTAGAGTAACTATACTTAGATATGTAAAATATTATGTATCAATAAAATAACCTTTTTTAAAAGTGATAAAAAGGATATCTTGAGAGAGTATGCAGTAACGTTAAATAATATCATTAATAGTATAAATAATATCATCACTAATAGTATCAATAATAATACACATATGTTTTGAGCATTTACAATGTGGCAAGCCACTTTATAGTCACTGTCTCGTCTAATCCTCACCATAGTCCTATTAAGTTGGTACAATAATCACTCCTACTTTATATAGCTCAGATAGTTGAAGTAGTCACACAGCTAGTAAGAAGCAGAGCCAGGATTCCAGTCTAGGTCTGCATAACTCCCTAGGCTCATACATAACAAATTTACCTTCTATACTGAGATTACTGAGGCTACCCTATAAAGATTATACAGCCAAGAAAGTCAAGTCTACTCTCCTCTTCTAGGGTTGTAAACAATATCACTAGTAGATCAGGACACTTTTGTCATCCTTTTGGAAGTAAAGTCTACATCCAATTCCAAATAGCTATCCCCAAATCACTGGAGGAAGAACAGAGCTAAAACTTGTATTTCTTCTTGCACCCATCCCATCACCTTGGTTGAGAGAAAAGCCACTTGCTCAGGTTTACAAAAGAAATTTGTTATAAGTTTAGGTTAAGAATCCAAATCTCCACATTTCATCCAGTAGTCTTTGATCTACACTGTGTGACTGATAACCTTGCTTCTGGTAGCTTACTCTTTTTCTTGAGATTAAAGACTCATTATAAGATACTCCCAGTGAGTTAGACAAGCTCTCATAGCTGATTGAGAAATGAGGTATTTCTGTAAATGAAATGAGGTATTTCTGTAAAGAGTTACACTCATATTTCTTCCGGTAATTTTTTATCCTGTAATTCATATATATATGTGTGTGTGTGTATGAATTATATATATATAATTCATACACACACACACACACACACACACATATATATATATATTCCTAATAGATACAGGTGTGCAGTAATACTTCATTTTTTTCATGAAGACTGTATAAACATATCAACTTAGTAAATTACAGTATGGCTACTCCTTGCTTTTTCCTCTTTCAAGAAAAATAATAAATTTTATCAATTTTATGGTGATTCATTATTAGCCAGCCATATTAGACCTATCAATGGCAAAAACTAACATATTATGAGTTTTAAAAACTGAACTTGGAAGACAGAATTTGCTTCTCAGAATATTCTTATCTAATATATATTACAAAAATACATAATAAATTTGAGCCAGAATGGAATGAAAAACACCTAACCTGCACTGATGTGTGAGAAATGCTCCACTGAAGCCACAAGTTGTCACTAGAAATAAACAAGAGGCAGGCAAAACTAGAAACTCACACCCTGGTGGCCACCTGTGGTTGCTTCTGTGCCTCTAAGCCTGGTGGCCCTCCCAGTTCTCTGAGTGACTCCCAAAACCTTCCTGGGTATTGCTTGCAGACCATCCCAGTTAATCCTGCTGCTTCTCCCGGAGGTTCTAGTCTTTACTTTTCCAGACTCCAGCAAGTTATCTTTTATTCATCACCAAGTTTATATTTTGCAGTGCTCTTACTCCTTCTTCTTCGCATCCAAGGAAGTTTCAATTCCTCCATCCATTCCTCCATCACTTCCTAAAAGGTTCAGCTGAGAGATAACTTACATCCCCAAAAAGGAGGTTAGTGGCTACATAGTCTTGATAAAGACCGCTGGATGGAAAGTAGACACACTTGGGTCCTGACCTAGACCTACAACAAATTCCTTTAGTAAACCTGAGTGAGTCCCTTTGCTTTTCCCTTAAAGTTATCAAGAAAAGTGGTCTCTCAGAGTATCCAGAGCCCAAATAACACACTAGCAAACAGAGCCAATCAGATTTGTCTTCAGAGATCCTTCCTTTATGTAAAGCTCACAAGTTGTCTCTAGATCCAAAGGGCCTCTAGCTCCAACTCTGAGCATCCCACCTTTGTGCTCTAGACCTTTTTACTGCCAATTCCCGATACCTCCACTCTTTCTTCTCTAAACCATGATTCTTCTTGGTTCTCGTCAGTGGGTACTAATTTCTTACCTCTGCCTAATAACAAAGTTAAATGTCAAGGGAGGCCTTTGATTCATCCCACCACATGTAGGGTTATAAAAATTCATCCTGTGGCCAGGCGCGGTGACTCACGCCTGTAATCCCAGCACTTTGGGAGGCCAAGGCGGGCGGATCATGAGGTCAGGAGATCGAGACCATCCTAGCTAATACTGTGAAACCCCGTCTCTACTAAAAATACAAAAAATTAGCCAGGCGTGGTGGCAGGTGCCTGTAGTCCCAGCTACTTGGGAGGCTGAGGTAGGAGAATGGCGTGAACCTGGGAGGCGGAGCTTGCAGTGAGCTGAGATGTGCCACTGCACTCCAACCTGGGCTACAGAGCGAGACTCCGTCTCAAAAAAAAAAAAAAAAAAAAAAAAAAATTCATCCTGTGACCTTGGACTTCAGGACAGTAGGAAACATACTCTGAGACTGGCCTTGTCAATTTAACAAATGGGCAAAAAATCTGAACAGACACCTTACCAAAGAAGCTATACAGATGGCATTGGAAACAATGCTCAACATCGTACGTCTCTAGAGAATTGCAAATGAAAAAATAATGAAGTATCACCACACACCTATTCGAATAGCTAATTTTAAAAAACTGACAACATTAAATGCAGATCAGGATCAATATAAATGCATTCATTGCTAGTAAGAATACAAATGGCACAGCTACTTTAAAAGAGAGTTTGGCAGTTTTTACAAAGCTAAACATGCGATCCAGAAATCATGCTCCGAGGTATTTACCCAACTGAGTTTAAAACTTGTGTCCACATGAGAACTTGCACAGGAATGTCACAGCAGCTTTATTCATAATCACAAAAAACTGGAAAAAATTAAGATGTTCTTCAACACATAAATAGATTTTAAAAAACCTGTGGCACTTCAATTATTATTTAATAATAAAAAGAAATGAGCTATTAAGACAAAAAGACATGGAGGAATCTTAAATAGTGCTAAGAGAAAAAAAGCCAGTCTAAAAAGGATATACATTACATGATTTTAAATATATGGCATTCTGGAGAATATAAAATTACAGCAATGGTAAACATATCTGTTTACCATGTTTAGAATGTTTAGTTAGGAAAGGCATAGGGAATTTTTAGGGCAGTGAAACAATTCTGTATAATGTTGTAAGGTGAATACACAGCACAATGCATTTGCTAAAATTCGTGGAACTTTACTGCACAAAGAATGAACTTTAGCAAGTGCAAATTAAAAGCAAATCATTTGGGAGTTTGGAGAATCCCAGAATGGAATGCAGAATGTGAAAAAACAGCCTAACTGTATCACAAATATATGAAATAATCTCACTAAAGGTAGTGGGAGAAAATCGTACTGACAAGTAAATTTGGAATTGAGTGGAGTCTCTTAAGACTAAAAGCAAAATAAACTATAGATGGCCCTCCATATCTGTGGGTTTTCATCCATGGATTCAACCAACCATAGATTGAAAATTTTTAAAAATTGTGTCTGTACTGAACATGTGTTAACTCTTTTCTCTCATTGTTATGCCCTAAAAAGTACAGAATAACAACTATTTGCATAACATTTAAATTGTATTAGGCATTAAAATTAATCTAGAGGTGATAAAATATATGGGTGGATGTGCATAAGTTAAATGGAAATGCTACACCATTTTTAAGTCAGGGACTTGAGCACTCATGAATTTTGGTATCCACTGGAGGTCCTGGGACTAATCCCTTATATATCCCAAGGGACAACTGTATACACAAGCACTGTGCTCTAATTTATAAAGCTATTTACCATGGGAGTATTAATAATTCTGATATTGCTATACATGTATGCTGGAATTAAACAATTAAGTAAACAGATGGAGGATGATAGGAGCTGGGTTTTTCACTGCCAGGGTAGGAGATTACAGGTAAGCAAGAGTAAGAGTCTATAATGATCATGTGGTAATGGATTAGATTTGGAGACATCAATATGAACTCATATCATAATCCAGATACAGATGGTTACAAATAGAAATATTTATTAAAATGTATATACACATAGGTTAGTATATACACATTAATTTCCTACCTCTGTCAGCTGAGTGGGCCTAGGTGCAATGCCAACCCAGTAGCAATTAGCACACCTAGTACCCAGATCTTGGTTCCTAATGCCACCGTCCAATAAAACGAACCAGGGTTCCTTAGAGAAATTACGATTCTTGGACTGAGTCAGGAAAGATGAGCCTGGAGTATCTTGTTGTGAAGAAAGAAAGGAAAGAAGATGAGAGAGAGAGAGAGAAAGAGAGAAGAGAGAGACAGAAATAGAGAGAGAGAGACAAAGACAAAAATAAAAAACAAAAATCATGATGGAGACATGTCAAAGGGACACTAGACATGTCTCCCATTCAGAAGAATTCCAAATAATTTATGCAGACACTCTGCCCTCAAGGATGTGGCACATAACTCTTTGTTTATTTTGGATACAAGTCATTTATCAGATATGTTTTGCAAATATTTTCTCCCAGTCTGACTTCTTTGTATGGCTACTATATTTTTCCAACTACATGACATTCTAGAAAATTCAAAACTACAGAGATGGTAAATAGATCAGTGGTTACTAGGGGCTGGGGGGAAGATAAAAAGATGAAAAGTTTATGCACAGGAGATTTTTAGAAGATGGAACTATTCTGTGTTATACTTGTAAAGATTAATTTTATGTGTCTGCTTGACTTGGGAGCAAAGGGTTCCCAGATATCTGGTCAAACATTTTTCTGGGTGTGTGTGTCAGAGTGTTTTAGATTAGATTAACATTTGAACTGGAACTGGTAGACTGAGAATAGCAGATTTTCATTCCTAATGTGAGGGGGCCTCATCCAATCAACTGAAAGCCTAAATAAAACAAAAAGGCAAAATCTCCTATGAACAATAGAGAATTTCATCCCGCCTGAATACCTTGAGCTGGGGCATCATTATTTTCCTGCCGTGGGGCTCCAAATGAAACACTGGCTCTTCCTGGCTCTTGAGGCTGTAGGTCTCCAGACCTGGACTGGAACTTACACCATCAGCTCTCCTGAATCTTTAGCTTGTTGACTGCAGATCTTGGTTCTTGACAGCCGCCATGATTATGTGAACCAATTTCCTGTAATAAATCTCTCTCTTCTCTCTCTCTCTTCTCTCTCTCTCTCTCTCTGTGTGTGTGTGTGTGTGTATGTGTATTCTATCAGTTCTGTTTATCTGTACAACCCTCACTGATACTGTAATGATAGACACATAACATCATGTGTTTGTGAAAATCCACAGAACTGTACAAAACAAAGAGTGAACCAGCATAAAGAATATAAACTGTAGTTAATAATGACGTCTCAATATTTGTTCATTAATAGTAACAAATGTACCATATTAATCCAAGATGTTAACAGAGGAAACTGTGGAAGAGAAGAGGGGGTTATAGGAATTTTTGTACTATCTATCTGCTCAATTCTTCTGTGAATCTAAAGGTAAAGTCTACTAATTTAAAAAATGTAGAGTATGCAGAATACAGTGTGTTGATGGTATTTGGAGGAAATCAAGCTAATGTGCAATGGGCTGATGGTTGCTGCTATGAGATGCCAGAAATAAGTTGACAGTTAATTTAAAGGAAGTAAGAGGTTGTAACTTAGGTGGCCAGATGCAATCCAATGCTTCCCAAGAATCTCCAGATAAACTGGGGATAAGGGTGGAGGTGGTAATAGAAGCTGTGTGTCCTATTACATTTGGCTTCAAAATCTGAACGAATTTTAAGTAAATTTTAAAGGATTAAGTGGCTTAGAACAGCATTATGTATGTCTTCAATTCCATCTGTAAGGTCTAAACTGACAGGTAGGTACCCCATCACCAAAAGGAAAAGTAGATTTAACACACTGAATTCTTTCTGTTTTCCTTTTAAAATTTTATTTTAGGTTCAGAGGTGCATGTTCAGGTTTGTTATATAGGTAAACTTGTGTCATGGGAGTTTGTTATACCGATTATTTTGTGACCTAGGTACTAAGCCTAGTATCCAATAGTTATTTTTTTCTGTTTCTCTCCCTTCTGTCTGTTGTTCTCCTCTTTGTGTCCATATATGTTCTCACCATTTAGCTCCCACTTATAAGTGAGAAAATGCAGTATTTGGTATTATATTCCTACATTACTTTGCTAAGGATAATGGCCTCCAGCTCCATCCATTTTCTGCAAAGGACATGATCTCATTCTTTTTTATGGCTGCATAGTATTCCATGGTGTATATGTACATTTTCTTTATCTAGTCTACCGCTGGTGGGCATTTTAGTTGATTCCATGTCTTGGCTATTGTGAATAGTGTTTCAGTGAACATACAGGTGCATGAAACACACTGAATTCTGATGTTAGTATAACATATTTCTTAATTCACTTGAAGCATAAATGTCTACCATTGAGGTCTGTCCAGGAGACCCTTCTCTCCCTGTGTTTTCTATTCACCCTGCCCTGAAGTCTTTTTATCCTGTGAAACCAAGCCTCGGTCTTCTCCTCAGGACCCTCATTGCCATCCAGGTGGTGTACTGAAAGTACTCTGGGCTCACTTTTAGCCTCCTCCTGCTTGCCTCCAGTGGGTCTTTTAGATGCTGTGGTATGGATACCTTTCAGAGCTCTGTCATGTTTTCCAAAAAGCTTCCATCTGTTTATGCTGTCTTATTACAGACACCCTCTTCATTAGGGAGGAGGAGGAGTAAAGAAGATAGGTGGTCAGGAAACCCTATCTTGCCACACTAGCTAGCATCATTATCACCATCATTATCTTCATCATCATTGTTATTGCAGGCACCTAAACAGCCTGCTTCTTGACTGCTTTTCTGTCTCTATGCCAGGCCCTGGGCATCCCAATAATAAAGCCCTTGTTCCTCTGAAGTAACCCCAGTGAGCTTCTGGCCAGGATATAAAGTGATTTCCAGATCCTCCCAACTTTCTTTGTACACATGGAACAGAGGCTGCTTATGCTTTAGGAAGTGAGAAGGAAGCACCATCCCAGGTGCAGCTGTTTTCACAGGAGCCAGAAAAATGTAGAGTTTGACCCCTATCATCTCCAGTGACTTATATTTTAATGAGAAATGCTTGAGGAGGAAGGAAGCTTTCAGGGGTCTCTGATGGGAAGGAGCTGACTGAATGGCATGTGGTGTGATTGGCGAGTATACGCTTCAGAACTGGCTCAGCAGCTCTGGCTGCACCTGTGTCTCTGGCTGCCTCCCCCTGCTCCTGCCCCTTCCCCTCCATTCACAGACTGAAGGTTAGCTCCCCTGACTGAGCAGTGGTCTGCCCAGACTGGAGACAGCCTGTGCTTCCAGCACCCCATTTAGAAACACCAACCTCACACCTCAAAGGACGATGAGCAATTTCATTTTCTGCCTTGAAGGCCAACATAAAGAGACATCATAATGCCAGCCCTCAGGAAAGGCGGGCAGAATCAGAGACCTTTTATCCAATTCTTAGAGATTAACATTTCAAATCTGGAGGGTTGGATGCCTTTGTTCATAAAAGGTCACAAGAAGGGCACGTTGACTCCCGTCAGCATTCTTAAGCAGTCCCTCAGGTCAGACCATCTCAGAAGCGTCAGCCTTTGGAAAGCCACACCATACAATGACAAGGAACACAGAGGGGTGAAGAGTTTTCACTGCTCAGATGCTTTGTCTGACTACTCAAAGTCCACTGTGCTCCACCAAATGGGCACTGAGTTCTGGACCTGTTTCTATCACATACTTAGCAGGTGATTCTCTTCTCTGGGGCCTCAGTTTCCTCATTTTGCAAAATGTGAGAATGGACTACACTAGATCAAACACACTCAATGCTGGCTCCACTTTGGTATTACCTGGCAAGCATTTTGTTTTGTTTTGTTTTAATTTAAGGGAAATATATAGATTCCTGGGCCAAATGCCAGGCTTGCTAAGTCAGGATCCCTTGGGCTGTGACCCTGGACCTTGTGTACCTAGTGAGCTTCCCTAGTGGTGCTGAGGCAGCAGCTGGGTCCTCAGCAAAACCATACTTGGGAGCCACCGAATGAAACAACCTTCAAGAGCCTTTTCTCATATGATTGTTTTGAAAATATTTAATTATATTTTAACAATCTAAAATATACGCACTTTTCGGAAAAATCAGAAAAGTAGAGATAGAATTTTTGAAGGACAATAATTCCACTAGCCAAAGATCTCTATGCTATCATTTGTCCGTATGCATCAGTTTCTGGGATTTTTGCTTTTGTTTGTTTGCATAATTATAACCCCATTACAAATATGCATTCATATCTTGTTTTCTCACTTGACATTAATCAATTTTAAAAATGTAAGTATTTCCCCATGTTTTATGTATTTTCAAAACCAACATTTTTAAAAGTAAATGACATAAGCTGAGAGTGAGGGCTGCAGTTTACTTTGTCACTCCCTTTTATTGGGCATTTTCAGTTAAATGAATTGCACCACTCACTTCGTTGCAGGGCCCCTTAGTGGAGGGATGAGAGAGCAAAAGATGGGCCATCAACTCTCCTTCCCTGGCCTTGTGGAACCCTGGCAATTCACACCTGCCCACAAACTGCACTTTATGGCATTTGTGCCAGAGGGAAACCAATACATTGAGTCAGATGCTGCTATGGAAAGGCAGCACAGACCTTTCTCCCTTGATCTTTGACTCCTCTGCCTGAGAACACCGCATTAGTACTGCTGATGACACAGATTAATGGAGAAACTGATGGATCTGGCCTAGAAAACATGTGATCCTTCCCCATCAGCTTTCATTTGCTATGGTGTGTTTGGCCATTTTAGGGGCTGCAGTGAGCTTCAGTATTAACTAGTGAAATCTCAGGTCAGGGAAACTCATTCATCAACCCAATCATGAGCCCCTGACTAAGTAACAGGCAGAAAACTCAGAGCTAGGCTTTGGGAAGAGATGATGCTCAGGGACTAGCAGTTCAGGGACATCATGGCTCCCACTAAACTTCTCCTTATAGTTGGCAGAGAATCCAGCAAAACCACTCATTTTCCAAGGAGGAAGCTGAGACTCAGAGAGGCTAAGGAACATGTCTCAGGTCTTATGGGGAGTATGTGGCAGAGCCTGCTGGCTGGCCTGTTCCCTACACAGACCGAAATGCTGATACAGGGTGTCTGTGACTCCTCCTGCTTCATTCAGGATGGAACAGAACAGTGACCTCAGTACTCCTCCATATTCCCCAACCACCCGCTTTACCTCAAAGTCTGTGTCTCTCTAATATCCATGTGTTCATCCTGCTTTTTCTTTCTTTTTTCTCCCTCCATTCTTTCCTCTCTCCCTTTCTCTCTTCCTTCCCTCTTTCACAAAGTTTTTGAATACTAGGCAAATGTCAGGCACTCACTCTAGTGGAGACTCAAAGCATCCACCAGCCCACAGGCAGCTTCGCTACCAACATGATAAGAACCATAATGGGGTTGTAAGAGCAAACGTCAGGGCACCAACTCCAGACTTGCAGGGGAAAGGAAAAAGGCATCCTAGAGATGGTAACACCTAGATTAAATTCCGAGGACCAAGGCGTGAGTAAGGTGAAGCATGAGGAGGGGAGGGGACCCTTTCCTCCTGGGAGAGGGAACAGCATGTGCAAAGGCCTGTGAGTGAAAAAGCTCATGACGCATGTGAGGGACTGCAAGGCATTCCATATTTAGGGCCCAAAGAAGGAACAGGGGAATGTGTTTGGGGGAAGAGGTGAGGATCACAGCAAGGCAATGAGTAGACCAAGCAGAAAGGCTACAGATCCTAAGTGCCCTTACTCATACATGGTGGTTACTACTTTATCCTGAGGGATGTGGGGAGGGGCACAATTAGGGTACACCTGGAATGTGTCTGTGGCTGCAGAGCAAAGACTAGAATGGAGAGCCTGAAATCTGCATAAGAAAGGGTGGTGGCCTAATCCATGGATGGGCTGCAGGGATGGCAAGGATGCAGAGAATATCACTTATGGAGTACCCCCTGCATCAGAGCTGCAGAGCTCTAAGGGGAGGCCCACTTAGTGCATTCCAGGCTACCCCCAAGAGTCCCCAAAGCAGAAAATAAGGCTACACAGCTCAAACTGCTAAGCCTTGGCCTTCTCCAGCCACTCAGGGTCATTGATTCCCTGGAACAACCAAGCTGGCTTTAATAACAGACACCTCAGTGCTTCCCACTGGGTAGAACCCTGCAGCTGATCAGTTCAGCCTCAGAGCATGCAGGCCCCTGACCACTGCACACCTTTGAAGAGGGTTAATTGAATTTTTGCATCTTTAAATGTACAATTAGTGACCAAAAATGGAGGAACACTAGTTCTTTATTTCTCCTAGTTATCTAAATAAAACAGATGTTTGTAAAATGCAGTTCCTAAAGAATACAGCCAATTTTTTGTTCACCTGAAAAACCCACTGGTATAGAAAAGCTTTGATACAAGTTCATACTTAACAATTGCATTTTACTGTTATTTATTCTTATTTCCCCAACCCAGAGGTGATGTCTTGCCTCACAGGTATGAGACAAAGGACAAGGGTCCTTTAGAAAAGTCAAATGGTAAGTCTGAGGTGAGGGGGTGCAGTGGTGGGACATTGTCTCCCTGTAGGAATGCTGTCTCCTGGGCCACTGATCATAAAATTAACCATCACAGTGAGCAGTAGGTGTCTGCTCCAACAAGAGAGAGCTGTGGCTCCATGCACTTGAGGAAACTGAGGGGTCCATCTGAGCCCAAAAAGGAAGGAAGTCTGTTTTGGTTAAATAACACTGAAGGGCCTGTAATCCCAGAACTTTGGGAGGCCGAGGCGGGCGGATCACGAGGTCAGGAGAGCGAGACCATCCTGGCTAACACGGTGAAACCCCATCTCTACTAAAAAATACAAAAAAAATTAGCTGGGCATGGTGGCGGGCGACTGTAGTTCCAGCTACTTGAGAGGCTGAGGCAGGAGAATGGCGTGAACCCGGGAGGTGGAGCTTGCAGTGAGCTGAGATCACGCCACTGCACTCCAGCCTGGGTGACAGAGCGAGACTCCGTCTCAGAAAAAAAAAAAATAACACTGAAGGCGTCTTTAAAGTACAAAGGTAACTAGGAAGAGGGTATCATATTTAGCCATTCCCATTAACTGACATCTCTTTTCTTCCTGTACCTAATTAGGCAGGCACCCAGCTTGGCATTGAGGTGTGGAAACTCAGGAGTGATAAGTTTTCTGGGTAAGAGTTAGATGATTCTTAAGAGTAGAACTTGCCCAAGTGGGGCACTGCTAGGAAGGTCCCAGGCAGCTGGGGGAGGGAGTCAGCAAAAGCAGGAAATCCCTGCAGCAAGGACAGAGTGAGAAGGAGAGCTGATGGGGACCAACTTTGCCTTATTCCATATCGGTTGAATTCTAAAAGCCAACAGCATCCTTTTCTCTGGGCTCCTTTTTGCTCATAGTATCCAGTTTATTACAACCCAAGTCTCATGGACAAAGGGGTCTTTTTGGTTTTATGAAAACAAATAATGACCTAAGCCTTTTAAAGAAGTAATCTTCTGCTTGAGGAGCTTGGATGTCAATCTTTATGAAATCACTTTCACTTGGGTCATGAGCTAACCCTAGGTGATTTCAGCTATTACCACCCTCCAAAGACAGTAACTTGACATTACCAATTAGTCTTTTTTTTTAAATCTGCATTTGTTACCAAGGGTCTTAGTGTTATTTCATAGTCACACAGTCCAGCTGGTGTCTACTCTCTGGATAATCTGGGAATAGTTATAAGGCAGACAGTGCAGAAATAACAGGAGGAGGGGAAGAGACCTGCAGTCACTGAGTGGCTCTTTCACATTTTGTATTTAATTCAGTCCTCACCACAAGTCTGGGAGGTAGGTTTATTCATCCCTGTTCTCAGCTGAGGAAACTGATATTCCAAAGGGGGTAATGTAGCCAGAGGAGATGTGGTAGGAAGAACTCTGTGATGAACTTCAATGACCCTGACCTTTTTATAATTTCCTTTTGTTGAATGTGGGAAGAACCTGTGAATAGGATGAGGCATCACTTTCATAATTTTATCTTGTTATATGGTAAAAGAGTTGTGCAGATGTAGGTAGATTCATAATCAGTTGCATTTGAGTTTATCAGAAAAGAAGCTATCCAGGTGGACCTGACCTGATTACCAGAGCCCTTTAAATCTGCATGAAGAGGTCAGAGAAATAGAAAGTACGAGATTTGAAGAATGGGAGGGATTACACCTGAGAGAGATTCTCCATAGCTGGCTTCGAAGTTGAAGGAGCCACATGAGAAGGAATGCAAGTGGCCTTAGGAGTTTAGAGCATTCTCAGCTAACAGCCAGCAATAGAGTTAGGCCTCTGTCCTACAAGAACCAGGAACTGAATTCCGCAAACAACCACACGAATTTAGCCCAACTGACACTTTGTGTAACTGAGCAAAGGACTCGGCTCAGCTGTGCTGGATTTCTGACCTATGGAAACTAGGAGGAAAGAAGGGGTTATTGTTTGAAATTGCTTAGTTTGTGTTAATTGGTTACAAAGCAATATAACATGAATGCAGATGGTGATGAGCTAGAACATAAACTACCTGGACCCAAAGGCCACGCTCCTCCCACTGTAGTAGTTGCCTCTGCCTTCTACTTCTTCCATCTGGGAAGAGAGATAAGAAGGGTTTACTGGACAATTACATTCTACAAGTGTTTATTGAGAACCATTGTGTGCATAGCCCTGGAGTAAGCAGGGGATTTACAAAATGATTAAGGCTGGACAGCATCCCTTCAAGGGGCTCACTGTCTGGCATGAAAAATAAATAAGAGGCAGATGGGGAGAGCAACGTGTGGGAGCAGATAGTCAGTAGCATGCTGCTAGAACTGAGATGAAGAAAGGCTGTGAAGGAGAGGAGACTTTAAGCCTGGATGTGAAGATGAGGAAAGAGGATGTGGTAGGCAAGCTGAGTAGTGCATGCGAGAAAGGGCAACTGCACAGGCAAAATCAGAGACAGAACCCACACAATATATTTAAGCTATAGTATCAGAACTGCTAGGCATACATAGGGCAGGTGGGAAATGGAGCTGGAAACGGATTAGACCAGATGGAGGGAGGCCTCTCATGCCATGATATGGCAGCTGAGCCATATCATAACTTCTCTGTTCTGCCAGCTCTGCCTGCCCAAAAGCCCCATAAAAATCAAGGCAACTTACTAGACAACACTCTAGAATGTCTTAATATGTAAGACCTCAAATGGCTGCTATTTGGGGTTTTTTTCAGTTGACTTTTTTCACTTCATTTAATCATTGATTCATTTAACAAACATTCCTTGTATAGCTTCTCTTGCTGAGCACTATGCCATGCCCACGGGGTATAGCAGGGAAGCAGAGGAGGCCCTTTTCCCCCAAGTGGTTGACAGGTTTGGGAAGCTGCATGGACCTGCCTGGGTTTAGAGATGGGAGAGGAGAGGAAGAGTGGGAAAGACTAAGATAATCTTTCCAGAAGGAGGAGAAGAGAATCTGCTTCCTGGGAAGTGAGGATGAAGAGGCCAGAAAACAGTAAAGACTTCCCTTTTCTAAAATATTCTGGAATTCCCTATGCCCAGGCAACCTGTTACTTCTGATCAGGCTGCAGATGGAAATGTATGCAGGTTACCACAACCGGTTCATAGCTGGCAACGGTGCCCAGCCTGATTGCATGCTCAGGGCTGAATTGCCATGCATTCTTTGCTTTAATTGCATAATGGCTTATTTTGTTCATTAAACTTTGGCAAATGACATCATAAGCAACAAAACATTTCAGGAGCATTTTGGAAATAATTGTGTTTTTTTTTTTCCTACAGCAGATATCTCCCCACTCTCAAGATTAGAGCTTTTCAGCCTATTGTAGAAAAGAATAAAAAATTGGGGGCAGTGGGATTGTTCTATATCCTGACTACAGTGGTCGTTTCATAGGTGTATTTGTCATCTTGGACTGCCATAACAAAATACCATAGACTGCGTGGTTTAAATGACAGAAATTTATTTCTCAACAGTTCTGGAGGCTGGAAGTCCAAGATCAGGGTGCCAGCATCGTCAGGTTCTGGTGAGGGCTCCCTTTCAGGTTATAGACTGCTGACTTCTCACTGGGTCCTCACAGCTCTCGCTCTCTTTCTCTCTCTGGTGTATCTTCTTATAAGGGCACTAATCCTATCATATCAGGGCAAACTCTTAGGACCTCATTTAACCTTAATTTCTTCCTTGTAGCCCTGTCTCCAAATACAGTCACACTAGGGATTAGAGCATCAGCACCTGGATTTTGGGTGGACACAATTCAATCTATAGCAACGGGCATATAAATCTATCAAAACTCATGAATTTGTATGCTTCAAATGAGTGCAGTTTATTATAGATAAAACAGACCTTCATAAAGTTGTTTTAAAAAATAGAACAGGCCAGAAACAGCCAGATCTTGGCCCAGTAGATTTAATAGAGTCTTTTAAAAAAGTCAGGTTAGTCCTTACTCCGGAATTGAGTGACTATGTCACTTGCTACTCAAGAGAAAATTGCAAAAGAAACCACTCCCTTCCTGAAACCTCTCACCCCACTGGGCTTACACTTGTCCCTCTATGACCAGGCTCCAGATGACAAAACTGGACACTGCCTCTGTACCTGCTGAGGCCAAGTGGGTTCACCCTCTTCCCCAGGCAGCTTTGGCCACTGGTACTCCCCTTGGCTTTGGGTGCTCTCAATACCCAAATAGATGACTGGCCTGCCCCTGCTTTTAAGAAGTTAGGTCCATTTTACCACCTACTTTCCAAAGGGCTCTGGGAGCACTGTGTTGTGGATGGAAGGTCTCAGGTGCCCACCTGTTCAATCAGTGCCCCTGCAAGGTGTGCCCTGCTGTACCAGGACTCCTACCAAGTCTGATCCCTTCCCAGGGGGCTTCATGCTCCAACATTTCCTACTCCTACCCCTTTCTTTTTTTTTCTCTTTTTCTTTTCTTTTTTTTTTTTTTTTTTTTTTTTTTTTTTTGAGACAGAGTCTCACTGTGTTGCCAGGCTGGAGTGCAGTGGTGCAATCTTGGCTCACTGCAACCTCTACCTCCTGGGTTCAAGCAATTCTCCTGCCTCAGCCTCCCAAGTAGCTGGGACTACAGGTGCTTGCCACCATGCCCAGCTAATTTTTTGTATTTTTAGTAGAGACACGATTTCACCGTGTTAGCCAGGATGGTCTCGATCTCCTGACCTCACAATCTGCCTGCCTCGGCCTCCCAAAGTGCTGGGATTTATAGGCGTGAGCCACCATGCCTGGCCCCTACCGCTTTCTTGATACCTCATGAAATGTGCTTATGTCTTAGGCTCTACAGACTCTGTTTTCAGATAACGTACTGGTGACTGATAATGACTTGCAACCCAGGGTTGCCTTTTAATTTAACAGAAGCATTTTGGAGACAGCATCTGAATCTCAGGGAATCTTGATGCTTTCAGTCTAACCCCTGCTGAACTATAAGTTTGTCTGGCCTACTATGCCATGGGGATTTTTCTAAAGCTCCAAATGGATCACATCACTTGGCTGATTCTAGTCCTTCATTATTCATTCATTTATTTATTCAAAATGATATATCAAGTTTCTGCTGTTCTTGGCTCTGGGCATAGAGAAATGAATAAGACATAGTTCTTACCCTCTAGGAAAATACTGTCTGGCAGAGGCAGCTAGACCTGCATTTTATGTAAGTAGACAAATGTCACAAAGAGCTGTAGGTACCTTGATGGAAATGATGGGATTTAGGAGAGCCTAAAGGAGAATGATGTCATTTCTTCCTAGAAGGCAAGAGGACATTGTTTAGGCTCAAAAAACAATATCCCAAAATGAAGGCCACAGAAGCAGCCTCAGAAGCCTGTTTTTCTCTGACCTTCTCCTGCCCTCTTGAGTCTTAGTACCATTCTCCCTCAAAACTAGTCCTGTAAACTAGAATCCCGCTTCCCCAAAGCAGATCATAGAAACAAGAACTGCTTTTCTAAAAATCCATCCATAAAACTTAAAATATTCCATGCAAAAACTGGCCATAAAGAAATTATATGACCTACCTTGTTTGACTGCAGGTCATTAGAATCCCATTCCAGAGAGAGGCCTGCCCCATACCCAGAAGGGAGGAATGTGTGCTTAGCAAGGCCAAGAAGAATCTAGACAGACAGGCCTTGCTGGGTTTACTCAGTCTGTTAGATCAGATCATACCTTCCTGTCTATGTTTCTACATGGCTGTCCATACTTGGTTGAACCTAAGTATAAAAATGGATAATTTCCCCTGTATCTTGGGTCTTCATTCTGAAGGCTCCTACGTATACACATTAAATAAATTTGTATGCCTTATCTCCTATTACTCAGTCTGCCTCATGTCCATCATTTTCAGCAAATCTCCAAAGGGCCAAAGGCCTTGGCCCTTACAACATCAAGAAAAGCTTCAAAGAAAAACTGACCCCTGAGCAAGGTCTTGAAAAGAGAGGGTTAAGACATTTCTGGAAGAGGAAGCTACGCTGAATAAAGGCATGAAACAACGTGGACATGTTTATCCACATTTTACTCATAAGAAGTCTGAGGCTCCAACAGGTTAAAAGCTTGCCCGTGACCATATTATTTGTGTTGCTAGTAAGAGCTTCTCCTGTGTGCCAGGTATTATTCTAGGGGTTGGGAATATGACAGGAAACAAATTCAAATTTAAGTACAGGGATATTTTTATTACTCAACACTGCAATCCCATCTTTTCAGTTTAGTAATGCTACAGAGCACACCTACTCTGCTCAAACATTTTGGGGAATACAGAAATGAGTTATACAAAGCTGTCCTCAAACAATATATGTAATATAGTAATATCCCGTAGTTAAATTTAAATTTGTTTCCTGCCATATTCCCAAATAATTGTGTGGTCCTTTCAATTTTGTAATGTTATCTTAAAAATAATCACTGTTTTGTTTTGTTTTGTTCATTTTATTTACCTGATGACAAAGTGCGAACATTACAAGAAAACCAAAGTCTTATTGACCTGGTACTTAGCACTTGACCAGTGTTTTGATTTATATATTTTTGTTTTTTGTTTTGTTTTGCTTTTTGAGACAGAGTCTCACTTTGTCACTAAGCTGGAGTGCAATGGCGCGATCTTGGCTCACTGCAACCTCCGCCTCCCGAATTCAAGCTATCCTCCTGCCTCAGCCTCCCAAGTAGCTGGGACTACAGGCACAAGTCACCACACCCAGCTAAATTTTTATATTTTTAGTAGAGGTGGGGTTTCACCATGTTGGCCAGCATGGTCTTGATCTCTTGATCTCATGATCTGCCTGCCTTGGCCTCCCAAAGTGCTGGGATTACAGGCATGAGCCACCATGCCTGGCCTGATTTATATATTCTTATGAACAAAATTATGTGAATTCTGGCCCAAAGGCAATTGGGGGCTGTTTTATTTGAACTCAGACTGTGTAACATGAATTGTCATCATGAGAGAGGGAAGTCTTTGCAGTTAAGCTGTTGGGGCTGCCATGTAGGTTTCTTGTGCTAAATCCTTGAGGGGGTTCCCAAACCCATAAATGAGAATCCATACTCAATCTACTTTTATGCCTAGAATCTTTTCATATGGGTACCTGAACATCTACCTCTGGCTGTTAGAGGAAACAGCAGTGATGAGATCCAGGTAGATAATGTCAACCTCCCCCTCATGATACTTCTGTGTTAAACAAAGGTGAACTGTGTCATCTTAACTCAAGTCTTTACATCCCCTTAGGTCCTCCTGGCCTGAGCTGGGAGGTATTCAGTGATGTCCTGGATGATGGGACCAGAGACATGAGCATCACTTCCTTTGGGCAGGAAGGAAGGCAGGAAACTGGGAATGACTCTTGAAGCCCACCAAGAGATTCCATTCCTACCCCATCCCCCAAGTAACCAAAGCAACCTCTAGAATCCCCACCTGGAATTTTAGGTCCCAAATTCCAAAGGTAGTCTGTGTGTAAAATTTGGGGCATTAATAACAGGTCCTTTTGGATTTGTTTCATGGCCAAGGAATCTAGAAATACATTCTACTCATGATCCATCCACTTTCCCTACGAGTCCCCAAGAGAAATAAGATGCAGGACAAGTATAAAAGACAGACACACTTCAGTGTTAGTTGAGCCTTTGAACCTAAACCCCAGTATAGAGAGTATCAGTGGGATACACTGTGCCACAAGTAGCACTCCTTTTTCCCACATTAGTTGAGCCCACTCTCCAACCCTGGACCCATGGCAGATACCACTAATCAATTGCAGTACTCTACTGTTGATCCCAGACAGAGCCTCAGACACTTTTTCAATACAGAGCTTTAAGAAGCTACTCCTTATTAATAGGATTAGTACTGTACAAATATAAAGCCTATAAACTATTTTTTTGACCCACGAGATGAGTGAACACTTGCTTGGTTCTGTCCTTGTCTTGCTGCTTCCCGCAGGATTCTTCTGCTATTCTAGGCTTGGCTGCATACCCATAGATTTCAAGCTATTAAGAAAGATGTCACATACTTGGATTTGAGTCACTAAAGCTCTGCCATATAGTTCCTCTCCTTCCTTCCTCTTTTCTTAATCCTTATCATCCAAGTGATGGGAAGGCATTGTGTTTGCTTGATCTTTGTCCATGTGCTTTTTTTCTACCTCTGATTAGAGTCATGCCCTTCTACCTGGGTTATCATTTGTTGGTCTTCTCCCCACCAGCTCATACTCTCTAACAATTTTCAAAAAAGTCAAATTTTCAAAAGTTTAAACAAAGACTAACTGAAACCTTCTCTTTCATTAACAGAGAATCTAATGTGCCAAGTATGCTGACAACTTTGAATTCAATGTCTTTTAATTCATAACTGAAAATGCACCTACTGTCTGAGGGATATTTTATGTTCCACCATCTCATGATGTCTCTGGGATGCTTCTTAAATGATATTCCTGTCACTGAAGCCTCAAACCTTTCTACCTCCTTTAGAAAACTACCTTTCTCTACTTCACCCATATTGCTCCTTGGCTTCCCAGGTTGGGCCCAAATATCCCTCTACTTTCCTTTTATTATGTATTATTACTATTTTTAGAGAAAGAAAGAATCTTACTCTGTTACTCAGCCTGGAGTGCAGTGGCACACTCATAGCACACTGTAACCTTGAACTCCTGGCTCAATCAATCCTTCTACCTGAGTTCCCTGAGTAGCTGGGACTACAGGTGTGCACCACCATGCCCAGCTAATCCTCTTCTGTCCTTGAAGGAAGTCAAAGAAGATGCCAGTGAAGAGGCATAAGTGGCCAATTACTCTTAAGCCCAAAGGCTCTTAGGAATTGACTTCTGCTTCACCAGAGGTGTCCAATATTTTGGCTTCCCTGGGTCACATTGGAAGAAGAAGAATTGTCTTTAGCCCTACATAAAGTACACTAACACTAACAAAAGCTGATGAGCTTAAAAAAAAAAAAAGTTCTGTGTTGGGCCACATTCAAAGCTGTCCTGGGTCTTATCCATGGGCCACAGATTGGACAAGCTTGCTTAGAGGAAGGAATTCAAATCACGATTTCACTCTAACTCTGTTGCTTTCACTCTGATGGAGGTATTAATCTGATGGGTTGGATTTCAGGGCCTCATTTTCCAGTGATTGGGAAGCCCTCAGGACATAAATGGCCTGTGGATAGGCAGACTATGATTTTGATTCCATCCCTCCTGCAGCTGGTGGATGTCTTTCTTACATAATGATAAGGTTCAAAACTTAAATTGGGTGCTGGGAAAGTGGGAGGTAGGGAACAGGCAGACTGTTCTGAGAGCCTCTTTTGTATAAAGCCACTTAGGCTCAACTAAGTCATCACAAATGGTCATGGACAATAGATGTCCTCAATGCCCCTTATCAAGACCCTTAAAATGACTCTTAAAGCTCTAATTATCTAGTCTTGCCTCTGATCTCTCCTATATCCCGAACCATAGTGACTTTATGAAATGTGAAAATCTGATGATATCTCTACTCTTGGAAAGGCAAAACACATTCAGAGCTCTGGGACAAGGATCAGAGAAGTGATCTTGCTTAGGAAAGACAGGCCCCTGCATCCCCATAAGCCATGACTTATTAGAGAATTCATGTTCTTATATAGAGCCACACACACCTCAGCCTGTCCAGTGGGAGCTATCATGATAAGCAGAAAAAGGAGAAGGAACTAGAAAACAATTAAATAAGAAATTGAAAATCTAAGAGTTTGGTCAAATAGGTAGCCTTGTAAGATGCCGTCTTCTGAACCATCAGTAAGTGTCTATGTGGTCTCCCCACAAGCTGAGGATTCTGGGTCTATTTTTGGACAGGATAGCAGGGGTGTGGGCCCCAGGGTGGCAGGCTTGTCTGTTCCCATTTTTAAGCAAGGCCCAAAGCACACTTGGAGGGTTCATCCTGCCCCATCTCTCCTTCCAGGATCCTGGGCCTGATTAAGAAGCAACTCAGATGTAACGCGGTGGGAAGGAGTCTCTCTTCCTTAGCAGTTCAATTGGAAGCAGCCACGGCCAGCTGTCAGCACTGAGGCAGGAAAAGCCAAAAGCAGTTGGAGGCCAGGGCAGGTGTGGTGGGAGTGGGACCGAAGGTCAGATGCAGGAGTGTGAAATGAGGCCAAGCAGGGGCCGGGAGGATGGAGGGGCCTGGAGTCTGAGGCTAGGTCAGCTCTGCAGGAAACATCTAATCTGAGCAGTGTGTGAAAATTGGAGTTTGGGGTCAGAACCAAGGGCAAGCAGAGCTTGTTTGGAAGATGGGGCCAGGTTTCAGGACAGAGCCTTGGTTGGGAGAAAAAAATCACTTCTAGGGGATAGAAGGCCAGAGCATCACCAGAGAGGCCAAGCTTATCTTGGTTCTCCCCTTTCTTCTAAAAATTTTTACCTCCTCTGGTCTTAAAAGTGCAGTCGTCCAAAACTAGTATCTGTTGTAGAGGGAGGTGCTGTTTAGCATTAAATAATCAAAAGACATCAGCAATGTGTGGGAAGCCCAGGAGGGGACAACATCTCAGCTGAGGAGCCCCCTGCATTCATTACCTTCTGGTGCAGCGCTGAGCGGCATAAGCGGGCTGCTTCAACCCTTCTTTGGGTGTAAGGCATATGCATTAACAAGTATCCTTCATTTCAAGAACATTCTATATTTTCTGTGATGAATTTTGAAATAAGTGTTCATCCTGAGGCATCATAAAACCAAATTTGAAAACCACCAGCATGACCAGTATCCAGGTAGCTTTGAGGATAAAAAGAGCAGGAGTGGTTCCTGTACAGCCTCTGTCCTTCCTTCTGTCCTCTGCAAGGACTTATGAGCTCCTTTTCTGGACCAGGATGGCCTTCCCCAATAGATCATACACTTGGAGATGAGCTTCTCAAAACTCTCCAGCATTTTCTTTCCAGTCTCCCGGCTCTCCAAAAGATCTGTAGGGCTGACCAACATTTTATACTCATTTTGTAGGTTAAAACCAAAAGCCACAAAGTTAGCCAGGTGCGGTGGCTCACACCTGCAATCCCAGCCCTTTGGGAGGCTGAGGCAGGAGGATTGCTCGAGGCCAGGAGTTCGAGACCAGCCTGGCCAACATGGTGAAACCCCATCTCTACTAAAAATACAAAAAATTAGCCAAGTGTGAGGCTGGGCGTTTGTAATCCCACCTACTCAGGAGGCTGAGGCAGGAGAATCACTTGAACCTGGGAGGCAGAGGTAGCAGTGAGCCAAGATTACGCCACTGCACCCCAGCCTGGGTGACAGAGCGAGACTCTGTCTCAAAATAAATAAAAGCCACAAAATGGGCTTGTTTAGGGTCAAAACAGTCTTCAAAAAAACAAGATACTCATCATTTGCATGACTCAAGGATGCCAGATAGTTAAGCCAATTGTTTACTTTATGATTATTCTGCTCCATGATGCTGCTTTGCCTAGCGTTCCTTTCATACAATTCTCCAGCTTTAAAATGTTATGTGATTAATAGGAAAAAGAGGTAGGCAGTCTGGCTTCCCACTGAGAGATGTGACTCACCCTCATAACTTTAATGGCCTTAATGTGTAATGCCCTGTGACTGAACTTGAATATCTGTGGAAGGGATTCTCTTATCACTGTGTTTGCAGCCTATTCTCGGAACCATCAGAGGATCATATCAGAAATCTCCCAGTCTCTGATGTGAGTCTGGTGAGGGTATTCATACACAAATACCCTTTCTTCGTTTCATACAAACATTTTTCCTCTCTGAAATATCCTTTCTTAGCCATGTGATAATTATCACCTGCAAGGGACACCATGAAGAGAGGCCCAGGTGCCACCCAGCCTTGCTTTGCTTCTAGTTCTCTGCAAGGGCCCTCAAATGCTTGTTGAGTGTAACCTCTCTTCAGGGCAGCACTAACCTCCTCTGAGTGGCCACCTGCAACCCCATACCACTCATTCATTGCTGGGAGGTAACAGCTACACCGTGGTGAGCAGTCTTTGGTAACAGAATGACTCAGAATCAAATCCACCCCTCACAGGTGAAAGATGTGTGACTTTAGGTACAACATCCGTGTCACTGAATCTGTTGATCTGTTAGAAAGATAAAATGACTAACAGAAAGAATGTCCCAATTGTAAAAATTAATTTGAAAATCGTAAATGTGCTTAAGGATAGCTTCAAGGATAAAATAGGTAGGGCCAGTGTCAGGTGCAACCTCTGAACTTCCTCCTGTCCTGTGACTTACTGAGGACTGCAATGTGCCAGAAGCTGCATTCACTGCTAAGGATAGAGCAATCAACAAGAACAACTGGTCTTTTATCCCAAAGAGCACATATTGGGAGACAAGCATCTCAAAAATTATTCTGCCCTGGCACATGGTAGGCCCTCAGACACAGGTGGTTATTGTTCACTGAATTATTCTACATCCGGAAAACATATTATGTTTTTGCTACACTTCTCTAACCCTGGCTTGGTGTCCTACAGCTAAGGAGAGAGCAAGAACGGTTTTTCTTTTCTCTGCCATTAATACAATGTTCCCAGTAAGAGTTCGATAAAATTTTTGTTATGTAACTAACCACTGTTAGCAAAATTCAACTTCCAGGAGAGATTTTTCAGAACAGCACACAGTGTCAAGAGTGGCATGTGGAAAATCACCTCTTACACTTTAAGCTCTGGTTAGAGACAGAAAAGGAAAATGAACAATGATCCCTGCCCTTCCATAGTCAGCTGGGTAAGGCAGGGTGGAATCAAACAGAATAATCTTAGCAAACTCATGTAAGAAGCCCATCCCCAGTGGTGAGTGAACAGAGGGGAATGCACATGCTAAGAGAAGTCTAGCTTTGCCGGATCTCACTAAGATTTTATGTGTACTTTTCCCATTTTACTACTATGAGAAACAACCCAATGAGGGTGTGTAAGGAAAAAAGGAAAGAAACCCACAAAATGTAATTGTTATGTGCGTGACATAATGTAGGTGATTTTAACAGCAGGTAGAAATAAGCTCCTTCAGTAAATTAATTCAACTGTAGTGGCAAAGCATCCTGAAACCACAGAGGCTGCTCCTGGCAAACCCTCAGTTCCTTGGCAGCAGTGCTTAAACACAACTTTATGTATTAAAATAGGAGAACCTCCTTTCCAGGAGAATGAGCCAGGAAAATCAAATAAAACAGCAACTTCTCAAGTCATTTCAAGTTGAAGAAAATGCTGATCAAGTGGGCCGAATAAAATGAGTTGTGTTTCTAAAATAAGAAAGGTGGGTGTCTCTAAGAGTGGAAGTTGGTTTCATGACCTTTCCTGGTAATAGAAATCTCTTATATCTCTTAGGTCACATATTTCCACCAAGCCCCTCCTCACCACCAAACAAATACAACAAAACCACCTCAGAATCATCCCTCTGTTTGACTGTCAGCAATGTGATCTTCAGTAAAATCTGCAGACCCATCTTGGAAAAACTTCACATGGTTTCTAGCCTAAAGGTGATTTTGTTTTTTGGTGAATCTCACCAATGTGGACATACACATCACAGGATTTATTTCAGATTGAAGCTGGATCTTCTACTCTGATTCAAGTTCTGAAATGTAAAGGTTGTTGAGGAGAAAAAATACCCAGAAACAGTTTCTCACAGTTCATTCAGTTCATTAAAATCGAGTTTTAGGTTATTGAAAATTATTTTCTTCCACATTTTGGAATAATAATTGTCCCTACGAACATTAGGGCAACATTGCTCGTGCAGTTTGGAACACTGATTACTAAGGCAAGAAAACCAGCTGGGGCCGGGCGCAGTGGCTCACGCCTGTAATCCCAGCACTTTGGGAGGACGAGACGGGCAGATCACGAGATCAGGAGATCGAGACCATCCTGGCTAACATGGTGAAACCCCGTCTCTACTAAAAAATACAAAAAATTAGCCGGGCATGGTGGCAGGCGCCTGTAGTCCCAGTTACTCGGGAGGCTGAGGCAGGAGAATGGTGTGAACCTAGGCGGCCGAGTTTGCAGTGAGCCAAGATCGTGCCACTGCACTCAAGCCTGGGTGACAGAGAAACTCCATCTCAAAAAAAAAAAACAACAACAAGAAAACCAGTTGGTATGTCTTAGAAATATTTTCAACCCCGTAAGTTAAAATTAAAAAGGCTCTATGGCTAAAACAGAGTTAAGCAGAAAGTTCAGTTTGGAAAAACATTATATTCACTGATATTTTTGGTTACTCAACATTTTGTTTCATTCTGCATTAGAATGAAAGGTTAATCATTCACTACTTGATGAGATGCTGCCTGGCATAATAGTGTGGGCTGGACAAAAAGCAACTTGGCTTTGTTTGTGTTTTGCTGTAAAGTAGCCTGGTGGCTCAGGGAAATTACTTAACCTCTTGGAGGTTCAGAATGCTCAAATGGATTAAGATATCAAATTGGAGACTTTATAAGACCCTGTAGTTCTAAGTGACTTCCATGTGCTTCCAAGTCATTTACCAGGTACTACAGGTGAAGCCAGAGACACTGGCCATGAGTTATCTTCAAGGTCAACTGTGATCATCTCAATCTCTTCCTAAAAACTGTCAATCATTTCCAAACACCTACTGAACAAAATTCTATGGATACCGTTGAAAGCTTCCTACCAATGAAGATAAAGGAAAAGAAAAAAAGGAATTTTCTCTGCCCCCAGGTGAGAAATGAAATCTCTTTCACCATTGTACTTTCTACCACAGTAATTGTTGCTAAGCAAGTAGCTCGACAGAGTGATGTGAGGTTTTTTTTTTTTTTTTTTTTGAGACGGAGTCTCGCTCTTTCACCCAGGCTGGAGTGCGGTGGGCGCAATCTCAGCTCACTGCAGGCTCTGCCCCCTGGGGTTCAGGCCATTCTCCTGCCTCAGCCTCCCGCGTAGCTGGGACTACAGGCGCCCGCCACCTCGCCTGGCTAACTTTTTGTATTTTTAGTAGAAACGGGGTTTCACGGTGTTAGCCAGGATGGTTCGATCTCCTGACCTCGTGATCCGCCCACCTAGGCCTCCGAGGTTTTAAACAGACATGACAGCCCCTTTCTAGCAACCTCCAGATTCAAGGTTAGTGAGGGTTACATGGACTCTGGGATTCTAGGTATTAGAGGCTGCGGTTACTCAGCAGCTGTTTACCAAGTTAATTGCCCTCTCTTTCTAGAAAAGCAACTAGACTAAGTTTCCTGGCCTCCCTTGCAGGTAATTGTTACTTTGTCGTGGCATTCTGTCCTACAGAATATGGGTGGATGATACCTTTTCCAGGCCTAGCCCATGAAAACCTCTCACCTGGCCTGGAGCGGTGGCTCACGCCTGTAATCCCAGCACTTTGGGAGGCTGAGGTGGGCGGATCACAAGGTCAGGAGATCGAGACCGTGGTGAAACCCCGTCTCTACTAAAAATACAAAAAATTAGCCGGGTGCGGTGGCGGGCGCCTGTAGTCCCAGCTACTCAGGAGGCTGAGGCAGGAGAATGGTGTGAACCCGGGAGGCGGAGCTTGCAGTAAGCCGAGATCGCGCCACTGCACTCCAGGCTGGGTGACAGAGCGAGACTCTGTCTCAAAAAAAAAAAAAATGAAAAAGAAAACCTCTCACCTAATTCTCAATTTCCTGTTGCCACCCATCTGCCAGCTGAATTGAAGATGGCAGCCTGGGTTCCTGAATGACTGTCTTCCACCACAGACTACACTCTGCAAGAGTAAAGAATCAACTTATTTTGTGTTCAACTGCAGAAAATCTGGGTGTTGTTTTTTTTTTTGTTTGTTTGTTTTTGTTTTTGTCACAGCAACTAAATTAGCTGCATATAGAAATGTCTGCCTATATACAAAAAAAAGGTATTTGCACTATTGATTTCTTCAATGGGAGCTTTTAAGCTTTCACCTAATTAAGTCAATAAACCATCCACTATAGTTCTGATACCAGTTCCTGGGGTCTTAATGAAGGAATGAATACTGAATAAATCACTGGATAAAGAAAAAGTAGATAATTAAGTAAATCATTGAATAAATAAATAAACAGGCTTGTCAGTGGTAGGTGCTCCAGAGTGGGGTAAGATGACAAAAACATCTTCTTCCCTGGGCCTTTTTATGTCTGGAACAGCTGAGCACAACCACTGATTTATTCCTCGAGAAGTGTGACATGAATTGTGATGCAGGCCTAGGACTCTGAGACAGTTAACAAGAGGCTCAGAGAGAGATTGGCTGACCCACAGCTACTGCCCTGAGACTGAGTAGTGTAGTGGGGAGGCCAATAGAGGGAGATAAATGAAGTGCCATCTAATTAAGAAACAGGGCAATGGCTCATCCTAGGGCTGAGAAGGAAAGAGAGGCTGCTTCTACCAGGTTCTCCATCCTGCAACACAAGGTATGTCCAATTATAATTTCCAAACAATTAAGAGCGTGACTATGTGTTAAAGATTATTAATTTAATAATGAGGGAGTTGGTAAAATGGTAAAGCTGGTTCAAAGAGCATTTTAAAAAATAAGGGACTCTTACATAATCCAGGAGAGAAGGCATTCTGAAATAAATTTGCCGTTAGACAGAAAATTGGAATATCATACAGGACAATAAAATATAACTTTTAGGATTATCTATTTTAACAGAGAGAAATCTATGTTACATGTAACTTTATTGTATCTAATCCCTTAAAAGCAGATATATCCCCACATATAATTAATCTTTGAATAAGCCTATGAAATAATATTCTAGTATGACATTGAAAGGACATGGTGCTCACTTTTCTGCCTCATTTCTAAGTTTTAAAAGATTTTTTCCTAGCAGTCCCCCTAGTTTGATCATAAATAATCTGCAAAGATTATTCTCTATCACAAAAAAACTGATGGTCTTGAAAGGAGGTGTCAGCTGGGCTTCCTGGGTCAAGTAGGGGCCCAGAAAGCTGTGAAACTCACTCATTTTTTGCATCAGGACTTACTTCGGTCTTGGATGAATAATATTGAAGATATATGCTTAAAATATTCCTAACATCAGAATTTGTGCATGTGTTTTCTTCCCCAAGAAAGCTATAAACAGCAAAAATTTTGTTGTAAGCTTCCCTGTGTCCTCTCTCCCTCTCTCCCTTCCCCCTCCTCTGAAACTAAAAGGAATGTTAAAAGCCCATTTTTCTGTGACCAGCAGACCTTATCTATGCTCCCAGTTACAATTCCTTATAAACACATTTGTAAAATCCTGTGAGATCCTGTCTCCTTTGCCATGCAGCTGCAAGGTTAGAAAGTAGATAAAACTTAAGTTGCAATTCCGGTTTTCCTCAAGATCTGAGACATGTTAATTGTCTTTGTTTCTCGCTCTGGTAACATCTTCCCACTGCACGTATTTCCCGCCTTAAAGAGTTTAAAAGGTGATCAAAAAATCTAATACTGGCTACCCACTCGGGACCCCTTCCACACTGTGGAAGCTTTGTACTGTCACTCTGTTCAATAAAGCCTACAGCTTTTTTTCTCTTGGTCCAATCCGTGTCTGTCTCTCACCACGGGCTGCCGTCACACTAAATCTTTGGCGTAGCTAAGGTAAGAACCTTTGGCGTTACAGTCTCATGGTGTTTTAGCTTGATTATTTACAAAAGTGAAACAAGAGGTATTAATTAACCATAAAAGCCTCCATGAGCATATAGTACTAAGCAACTACTAAGGCCAGATAATTTAACTTCTGTTTGGAAATTTTATTAAGGAATCTCAGGTAGAGCTTTTTAAAAGACTCAATTGTTCTGTCTTCTAGCCTGTGGCTAAAAGCAGGCCCAAGAAACTCCACCACATTTCACATGCAGAACCTCTACATTTTGGTCATTCAGCTTTTAAAACTGTGTTGAGCTAATTAAGAAGTATGCATAAAAGAACTAGCTATTGCTAGCATCCCATTAAATCTTAGAAGATCTCAAAGGATGTCAGGTGTAAAATTTACAAGAGATAAACAACCCCATTAAAAAGTGGGCAAGGGACGTGAACACTTTTCAAAAGAAGACAGACATGTGGCCAACAAGCATATGACAAAAAGCTTAATATTAGTGATCATTAGAGAAATGCACATTAAAACCACAATGAGATATTACCTCATACCAGCCATAATGGCTATTATTAAAAAGCCAAAAAATAATGGATGCTGGCGAGGCTGTGGAGAAAAGGGAATGCTTATAGACTGTTGGTGAGAGTGTAAATTTGTTCAACCATTGTGGAAAGCAGCATGGTGATTTCTCAAAGAGCTAAAAGCAGAACTACCATTCAACCCAGCAATCCCATTACTGGGTATATACCCAGAGGAATGTAATGCATTTTACCATAAAGACGCATGCATGTGAATGTTCATTGCAACACTATTCACAATAGCAAAGATATGGAATCATCCTAAAATCATCAAAATCCATTTTTATGGCTATAAAAATAAGATCATTGTCAGGCTTATGAGCCCAGGCTAAGCCATCATATCCCCTGTAACCTGCACGTATACATCCAGATGGCCTGAAGTAACTGAAGAATCGCAAAAGAAATGAAAACGGCCTGTTCCTGCCTTAGCTGATGACATTACCTTGTGAAATTCCTTCTCCCAGCTCAGAAGCTCTCCCACTGAGCACCTTGTGACCCCCACCCCTGCCCACCAGAGAACAAACCCCCTTTGACTGTAATTTTCCATTACCTACCCAAATCTTATAAAACAGCCCCACCCCTATCTCCCTTTGCCGACTTTCTTTTCGGACTCAGCCCGCCTGCACCCAGGTGAAATAAACAGCCTTGTTGCTCACACAAAGCCTGTTTGGTGGTCTCTTCACATGGGCACAAGTGAAATTTGGTGCTGTGACTCGGATTGGGGGACCTCCCTTGGGAGATCAATCCCCTGTCCTCCTGCTCTTTGCTCTGTGAGAAAAATCCACCTATGACCTCGGGTCCTCAGACCAACCAGCCCAAGGAACATCTCACCAATTTTAAATTGGGTAAGCGGCCTCTTTTTACTCTCTTCTCTAACCTCTCTCACTATCCCTCAACCTCTTTCTCCTTTCAATCTTGGGGCCATCTTTCAATCTCTCCCTTCTCTGAATTTCACTTCCTTTCCTTTTCTGGTAGAGACAGGAGACGCATTTTATCCGTGAACCCAAAACTCCAGCGCCAGTCACAGACTTGGGAAGACAGTCTTCCCTTGGTGTTTAACCATGCGGGGACATCTGCTTGATTATTCACCCACGTTTCAGAGGTGTCTGACCATGCGGGGATGCCTGCCATGGTCCTTCACTCTTAGTGGCAAGTACCGCTTTTCTGGGGGGCAAGAACCCCCCGACCCCTTCTCTCCATGTCTCTACCTCTTTTCCACTTTCCTGGGGAGCAAGTACCGCCCACCCATTCTCTCCGTGTCTCTACCCCTTTTCCACTTTTCTGTGGGGCAAGCACCCCCCACCCCTTCTGTCCGTGTCTCTACCCCTTTTCCGCTTTTCTTGGGAGCAAGCACCCCCCACTCCTTCTCTCCATATCTCTACTCTCTCTTTTCTCTGGGCTTGCCTCCTTCACCATAGGCAACTTTCCACCCTCCATTCCTCCTTCTTCTCCCTTAGCCTGTGTTCTCAAAAACTTAAAACCTCTTCAACTCATACCTGACCTAAAACCTAAATGCTTTATTTTCTTCTGCAACACCACTTGGCTCCAATACAAACTTGACAATGGCTCTTAATGGCCAGAAAATGACACTTTCGATTTCTCCATCCTATAAGACCTAGATAATTTTTGTCAAAAAATGAGCAAATGGTCTGAGGTGCCTTACATCCAGGCATTTTTCACACTTCCTTCCCTCCCTAGTCTCTGTTCCCAATGCAATTCCTCCCAAATCCTCCTCAGTCCCAACCCTAAGCATCACTGAGTCTTTCCAATCTTCCTTTTCTACAGACCCATCTGACCTCTCCCCTCCTCCCCAGGCTGCTCGTCACCAGAGTGAGCCAGGTCTCAATTCTTTCTCAGCCTCCACTCCTCCACCCTATAATCCTTCGGTCACCTCCCCTCCTCACACCTGGTCCAGCTTACAGCTTAGTTCCATGACTAGCTCTCCTCCACCTGCCCAACAATTTCCTCTTAGAGAGGTGGCTGGAGCTGAAGGCATAGTCAGGGTACATGTGCCTTTTTCTCTATCAGACCTCTCTCAGATCAGTCAGCGTTTAGGCTCTTTCTCATCAGACCCCACTAAATATATACAGGAATTCAGATATCTAACTGTGTCCTACAATTTAACCTGGAGTGACTTAAATGTCATCTTAACTTCTACCCTCTCCCCAGATGCACGGGAAAGAGTTTTTTCTCTGGCCCAATCTCATGCTGACAACTGCTGGCTCCATGAGCCAGACCTCCAGGAAGGCATTAGAGCAGTTCCCTGAAAGGATCCCCAATGGAACTATCAGGCAGATTCCCCAGCTATAGCTAGGTGAGATTACATGATTTCCTGCCTAGTTAAAGGGCTTAGTCATCTAGGTTCCCATGTCACCCCTAATCCTGCTTGAAGCAGCCCTGAGAAACATCGCCCATTACCTTTCCACACCACCCCCCAAAATTTTCACCACCCCAACAGTTTACCACTATTTTGCTTTATTTTTCTTATTAATATAAGAAGACAGGAATGTCAGGCCTCTGAGCCCAAGCTAAGCCATCATAGCCCCTGTGACCTGCATGTCCAGATGGCCTGAAGTAACTGAAGAATCACAAAAGAAGTGAAAATGGCCTGTTCCTGCCTTAACTGATGACATTACCTTGTGAAATTCCTTCTCCTGGTTCAGAAGCTCCCCCACTGAGCACCTTGTGACCCCCGCCCCTGCCCACCAGAAAACTACCAGCTTTGACTGTAATTTTCCACTACCTAACCAAATCTTATAAAACAGCCCCACCCCATCTCCCTTCACTGACTCTCTTTTCGGACTCAGCCCGCCTGCAGCCGGGTGAAATAAACAGCCTTGTTGCTCACACAAAGTCTGTTTGGTGGTCTTTTCACACAGACACAAGTGAAAATCATGTCTTATGTGGGAATGTGGATGGAGCTGGAGGCTATTATCCTTAGCAAACTAATGCAGGAACAGAAAACCGAATACCACATGTTCTTACTTACAGGTAGGAGCTAAACGATGACAATTTATGAACACAAAGAAGAAAACAACAGACACTGAGGTGTACTTGAGAGTGGAGGGTGGGAAGAGGGAGAGGAGCAGAGAAGATAACTATTTGGTACTGCACTTAATACCTGGGTGATGAAATAATCTGTACAAGAAACCTCCATGACTTGAGTTTATCTATATAATAAACCTTCACATGTACCACCAAACCTAAACTAAAAGTTAAAAAAAAAGAATATTAGGTGTAAAAAGACATGTTGATTATTTTTCTAAATTATGCTCTGATTTTGGAATGACAAAATCAAGAGTTATGAGAAGATATTTAGGCACTTGATTAAAATAGAAACAATAGCTTGGTTACCTATTAATCAAAGAGACCATATGATATTTTAAATAAACATTGAAAAAGATGACACAAGAATATGGAATCTTGGCTCTTTAGAATCAAAGGCATAATAAAGTCACACAAAGAACAGAAAATTATTCTGGTGAGACTTTGAATTCTTGCTATCCAGACAGATAACACAGGGTGTAGAAAATAACCTTTTTCTTTCCCTCATAAGAGCAGAAATAAATACTCTAAGACAAATCTATCACTTTAAAAGAGAGAAATCATATTCTAGGTTTTCATTAATGTCAGACTTAGCAGTGAAGATTCTCAGGTTCCTCTCACCCCCCTTGTTTAAACTTATGGATGAGCTCATCAACACTATGCAAACTTTTCCAGAATTTGAGGACATTCCTTGGCTTCTTTCAGACTCATCATTTGTAAGTATTATAAATCAATTTCTAAAAACCCTCTACAACTTTCTATATTCAAGTTTTGTCTCCCATTATTCTTTTTCACATGTGGAACAACCAGATACTTTACTTAGGTCAAAACTACCTCTTTGATCCTTGCCATTTTCCTTTCCCATGATCTTGCAAATAGTTGAATTTATTTGCCATAATGCCTGGTATAGTTTTTTGTTTGTTTGTTTGTTTGTTTTGTTGTTGTTGTTTTTAGGTGGAGTCTCACTTTATTGCCCAGGCTGGAGTGCAGTGGTGCAATCTCGGCTCACTGCAACCTCTGCCTCCCAGGTTCAAGAGATTCTCCTGCTTCAGCCTCCGGAGTAACTGGGATTACAGGCTCGCACCACCACACCCAGTTAATTTTTGTATTTTTAGTAGATACAGGGTTTCATCATGTTGTCCAGGATGATCTTGAATTCCGGGGCTCAAGTGATCTGCCTGCCTCAGTCTCCCAAAGTGCTGGGATTACAGGCATGAGCCACCATGCCCAGACCCTGGTATAGTCTTAACCATTTATATTCATTAAAACTTATAAACAAATTCTATTTTAAAAAGAGAACTTGTAAGTAAGTATGTAATTAAGAATTATCTGTCATACACAAGCATTTAGGCAGACCCAAAAGCATAGAGGAACATATAATACAACCTCCTACTGCCATCCACATGCCTTTTACACCTTCTCCAAGTGGCAAAAAGAAACACTTCCACTAACAAGATCCAAAGATACAGTCACTCTATAATATATGCAAATAGGAAGCAAAAGTATACCCATTTAGATGTTAAGATGACACTCAGTAACCGAGATTTCTGTATTCTATTTTACTTAGAAATTACCCAGGTAGTCAAAGATTCTTCATTAATCATTATCCTTTATCAATTTAATATTAGTTTATAGATTCAAAGTTTACTGAGGGTGTTAGAAATTATGTTCAAACAGATATGCTACACATATAATTGCTGTTAATAGAAAAGGTTTGTAAAAACTCTAATTCAATTTATTTGAAAATTTTGTTTTCCCACAATCCTAAATATTATGTAGGGCTAATATTAGCTAATCTAATAAATGAATTAGTGTAAAAAGTTTAGGAAGTTCAGATTAACTAGTATCTTCACATAAAAGAAAATATACCAAACCTTACTTTCAAAAAATCTTATATTTATACCCCACACTGATAAAACCATAGGAAATTACATGTAACTGTTGCTAATCCTAATTATTAAATCAACCTGATTTGGACATGGATTCATCTTGATTACTTGAATTTTGATTCTTATGAAAATGCCTCCTAGCTAGCATTTTCTGTAAGAGAGAATTTTTGTAGGTTAGCCCATTTAAAGTATTAGTTTAGCTTCTTTATTTTGGGGGATGACATGGTTTGGCTCTGTATCGCCACCGAAATCTTATGTTTAATTGTAATTCCCTATGTTGGGGTGGAACTTAGTGGTAGATGATTGAATTATGGGGGTGGATTTCCCCCTGCTGTTCTCATGATAGTTAGTGAATTCTCACAAGATCTGGTTGTTTAAAATTGTGTAGCACTTCCCCTTTTGCTCTCTGTCTCCTGTCACCATGTGAAGATATGCTTGCTTTCCCTTTACTTCCACCATGATTGCAAGTTTCCTGAAGCCTCCCCAGCCATGCCTCTGGTACAGCCTGTGGAACTGTGAGTCAATTAAACCTCTTTTCTTTAAAAACTATCCAGTCTCAGATAGTTCTTTATAGAAATGTGAGAACAAACTAATACAGAAAATTGGTACCAAAGAAGTGGGGCATTGCTATAAAGATACATGAAAATGTAAAAGCAACTTTGGAACTGTGTAATGGGAAGAAGTTGAAACAGTTTGGAGTGTTCAGAAGAAGACAGGAAGATGAGGGAAATTTGGAACTTCCTAGAAACTTGTTGAATGATTTGACCAAAATGCTGATAGTGTTATGAACAGTGATGTCCAAGCTGAGGTGGTCTCATAGGGAGATGAGGAACTTACTGGGAACTGGAATAAAAGATCCCTCTTGCTACACTTTAGCAAAGAGACTGGCAGCATCGTGCCCCTGCTCTAGAGATCTGTGGAACTTTGAACTTGAGAGACATGATTTAGGGTATCTGGTGGAAGAAATTTCTAAGCAGAAAAGTGTTCAAGATATGGCCTGGCTGCATCTAAAAGCTTATGCTCATTTGCATGACCAAAGAAATGACCTAAAACTAGACCTTATATTTAAAAGGGAAGCAGAGCATAAAAGTTTGGAAAACATGCAGTCAGATCATCCAATAAAGAAGAAAAACCCATTTTCTGGGAAAAAAAAATTCAAGGTTACAGAAATTTGCATAAGTAAAGAAGAGCTGAATGTTAATAGCCAAGACAATGGAGAGAATGCCTTCAGGGCATTTCAGAGACCTTAGCAGGAGCCCCTCCCATCACAGGCCTGCAGGCCTAAAAGGGAAAAATTGTTTTGTGGGTCAGACTCAGGGCCCTGCTGCTCTGTGCATCCTTGGGACAAGGCACCCTGCATCCCAATTGCCCCAGCTCCAGCTGTGACTAAAATGGGTCAAAGTACTGCTGGGGTCATTGCTTCAGAGGATGCAAACCCCAAGCCTTGCTGACTTCCAAGTGGTGTTGGGCCTGTGCATGTACAGAAGGCAAGAGTTGAGGTTTGGGGGAATCTGCCTAGATTTCAGAGGATGTTTGGAAATGCCTGAATGTCCAGGCAGAAGCCTGCTGAAAGGATGGAGCCCTCATGGAGACCTTCCACTAGGGCAGTGTGGAGGGGAAATGTGGGGCTGGAGCCCCCACACAGAGTCCCCATTTGGGCACTGCCTAGTGGAGCTGTGAGAAGAGGGCCGCCACTATCCTCCACCTCCCAGAATGGTAGGTCTTTTGACAGCTTGCACTGTGCATATGGAAAAGCCAAAGGCACTCAGTGCCAGCCATGAGGGCTGTACCCTGCAGAGCCACAGAGGCAGAGCTGCCCAAGGCCTTGGGAGCCTACCCCTTGCATCAATGTGGCCTGGATGTGAGACATGGAGTCAAAGGAGATTATTTTGGAGCTTTAAGATTTAAGAACTGCCCTGCTGGGTTTGGGACTTGCATGGGGCCTGTAGATCCCTTTGTTTTGGCCAATTTCTCCCTTTTGGAATGAGAGAATTTACTCAATGCCTATACCCCCATTATATCATAGAAAAACAAACTTGTTTTTGATTTACAGGCTCACAGAGGGAAACAACTTGCCTTGTCTCAGATGAGACTTTGGACTTGAACTTTAGGGTTAATGCTGGAATGAATTAAGACTTTGGAGGGCTGTTGGGAGGGTATGATTGTGTTTTGAAATGTGAGAAGAACATGAGATTTGGGGGGGTCCAGGGGCAGAATGATATGGTTTGACTCTGTGTCCCCACCCAAATCTCATGTCAAATTGTAATTCCCAATGTTAGGGGAGGAACCTGGTGTAAGTTGATTGGATCATGGGGGTGTATTTCTCCCCTGCTGTTCTCCTGATAGTGAGTGAGTTGTCACAAAATCTAATTGTTGTTTGAAAGTGTGTAGTGCTTCCCTTTCACCATCTCTCCCCTGTCACTATATGAAGATGTGTTTGGTTCCCCTTTGCCTTCTGCCATGATTGTAAGTTTTCTGAGGGCTCCCAAGTCATGCTTCCTGTACAGCCTGTGGAATTGTGAATCAATTAAACCTCTTTTCTTTATAAACTACCCAGTCTCAGGTAGTTTTTTTATAGCAATGTGAGAATAAACTAATACTGGGAATTCTGAGAATATTATATCTATGTAATTCCTTAAAGTCCTATGAAGCATTTAATTAATTTAAGAGACATTGTAATCTAATTTATTAATATCCTTCAGGAGAAGGAAAATGTTTCACACTCACAGTGAGAAGTAAAGCTTTTCTTAATTACATACAAACCTACAGAGAGCTTGCAGTTTCAGTTCTGTAAACTAAGTCACAGGTCAAGAACAGATAGAAATACAAACATTCACTTATCCAGATCTCAAAGGATGTGCTTAGTTCCAGGAAGCACAAAATATTTTCTTAGTTACTTGAGCTCACAAATGGTCAAACAAACTGAAAAGACTAACAGAATTATCTCTCATTTCTCACCCAAGAGAGTATATCCCATCGTTCTAGTAAAGATCACCAAATGATCACACTATGCAGCCAGAGTCCCATCATTGCAGTCACCAGTGGCAAATGACTATTGGTCATGCTTAAATCAGAACTATGGCTAAATCTGTCCAAGGGCCAGAAATAAAAAAGAGAAACATGATTAGAAGAGTAAGCAAGTGAAAGTGTGAGAGAGAGAGAGGAAAGACGAAGGTTTATTACCACTTGAGATCCATTGTAGGTGCCAAAATCACTTGCCGGAGCTGCAGCAGCCCAGGTTTGTTTCCCATGCCTCAGAGTTTAATGAAAACTAGCAGGTTAGTCCACTTGACAATCTCAGCAAATCTTCAAAAACCAACAATTATTTCAATTCCCCAAAATTTAAAAACATGCAAATATAGAAACAACATGTATCCAAAATTACTGATTCATCAATAAGGAAATAACTAAGATGGTAAAGTTATTTAAAAGAGCATTTTGATCAAATAAACAATCTAATGCAACTTAAAGAACTAGAAAAGCAAGAGAAAACCAAACCAAAAATCAGTAGAAGAAAAAAAATAATAAAGGTCAGAGCAGAAATAAATGAAATAGAAATGGAAAAACAATACAAACCTCAATGAAACAAAAAAGTTTTTCGGAGTTTAACAAAATTGACAAACCTTTAGCCAGACTAAGAGAAAAAGAGAAAATATTCAAATAAATAAAATCAGAAATTAAAAAGGACATACTACAACTGATACTGCAGAAATTCAAAGGATCACTAGTGACTACTATGAGCAACTATATGCCAGTAAATTGGAAAATTTAGAAAAAATGGACAAATTCCTAGATTCATACAACCTACCAAGATTGAACCAGAAAGAAATTCAAAACCTGAACAGACTGATAACAAGTAACAAGATTGAAATCATAATAATAACAATAATAAAAATCTCCCAGTAAAGAAAAGCCTGGGACCTGATGGCTTTGACTGAGTTCTACTAAACCGAATTCTACTAAATATTTAAATAAGAACAAATACCAATTAGTTCTTCTAATTCTACTATTTAAGGAAGAACTAATATCAATCCTACTCAAACTATTCCCAAAAATAAAGGAGGTTGGAAGACCTCCAAACTCATTCTATGAGGCCAGTATTACCCTGATATCAAAACCAGTCAAAGACACATCAAAAAAAGAAAACTACAGGCCAATATCTCTGATGAATATTGATGCACAAATCCTCAACAAAATACTAGGAAGCTGAATCCAACAACACATTAGAAAGATTATTCATCATGACCAAGTAGGATTTATCCCTGAGATGCAAGGATGATTCAACATATACAAATCAATCAATGTGATATATCATATAAACAGAATGAAGGAGAAAAATCATATGATCATTTCATTGACACTGAAAAAGCATTTGATAAAATTCAACATCCCTTCATGATAAAAACTCTCAAAACCTGGGGATAGAAGGAACATACTTCAACATAATAAAAACAACAGACCCACGCTAATATACTGAATGGGAAAAAACTGAAAGCTTTTCCTCTAAGATAAGGAACACAACAAGGGCGCCTGTTGTCACCACTGTTATTCAACATAGTGCTAGAAGTCTTAGCTAATCAGACTAGAGACATGCAAAGGAATGAAACTAGACCCCCAGCTCTCACCATATAAACAAATAGAGTCAAAATGGATTAAAGACTTAAATCTAAGACCTCAAATTATGAAACTACTATAAGAAAACATTGGGGAAAATCTCCAGGACATTGGTATGGGCAAAAATTTCTTATTACCCCACAAGTACAGGCAACCAAAGCAAAAACGGACAAATAGGATCACATCAACTTAAAAAGTTTCTGCCCAGAAAAGGATGCAATCAACAAAGAGAAGAGACAACCCACAGAATGTGAGAAAATATTTGCAAACTACTCAACTGACAAGTAATTAATAACCAGAATATATAAGAAGCTATAGGAAAAAAAATCAAATAATCTGATCAAAGATGGGCAAAAGATTTGAATAGACATTTCTCAAAAGAAGATATACAAATGGCAAACAGGCCTAGAAAAAGGGGCTCAACATTATCAATCATCAGAGAAATGCAAATCAAAACTATGATGAGATATCATCTCACCCCAGTTAAAATGGCTTATATCCAAAAGACAGGCAATAACAAATGCTGGAAAGGATGTGGGGAAAAGGGGACCCTTGTATACTCTTGGTAGGATGTAAATTAGTACAACTACTATGGGGAACAATTTGGAGATGCCTCAACAAACTAAAAATTGAGCTACCATATAATCCAGCAACTCCACTGCTGGATATATACCCAAAACAAAAGAAATCAGTATATCGACAAGATACGTGGACTCCTAGGTTTGCTGCAGCACTGTTTTCAATAGCTAAGATTTGGAAGCAACCTGAGTGTCCACCAACAGATGAATGGATAAAGAAAATGTGGTACACATATACAATGAAGTACTATTCACCCATAAAAAATAATGAGATTCAGTCATTTGCAACAATATGAACAACATAGATGGAACTGGAGATCAGTACGTTAAGTGAAATAAGCCAAGCACAGAAAGACAAATATTGCATGTTCTCGCTTATTTGTGGGATCTAAAAATCAAAACAATTGAACTCATGGACATAGAGAGCAGGAGGATGTTTACCAGAGGCTGGAAAGGGTAGTAGGAAGGGGCGGGTAAGGTGAGGATCGTTAATGGGTACAAAAAAAATAGAAAAAATAAAAAAGATCTACTATTTGATAGCACAAATAGCAACTATTATTAATAATAACTGCACATTTTTAAATAACTTAAAGAGAGTAATTAGGTTGTTTGCAACTCAATGAATAAATGCTTGAGTGGATGGATACCCCATTCTCCTTGATGTGCTTATTTTACATTGCATGCTTGTATCAAAACATTTCATGTACCCCATAAATATATATACCTACTATGTACCCACAAAAATGAATAAAAATAGATTTTTAAAAAAGACTTACTATGAAACTAAGAAAACTATCTCTTTAAAATATGGTAAGGATGAAAAATAAAACTTATTTTTTACACAAAAAATAAGTAAATAAAAGAGCATTTTGAGGAACATGGACTGTATTTACTATATTGTGGTAGGCTGAAAAAAGATCCCCCAACACTTGTATCCCCAGAACCTGTGAGTATAATATCTTACATGGCAAAAAAGATTTTAAAAATTAATTTAGTCTAAGGATATTTATATGGGAAATAATCCTGGATTATCTGAGTGTGCTCAGTTTAACCACAGAATAAAAATAGAAGAGGAAGGCAGATGGTAGGTCAGAATGATGCTATGTGAGAAGGATCTGCTGTTGCTGGCTTTGAAGTTAGAGGAAGGGGACCATGAGCCAAGAACGTGATGACCTCCACAAGCTGGGAATATCCCTCAACTTATACTTAGCAAGAATATGGATGGGGACCTCAGTCACAAACCTGTAAGGAACTGAATTCTTCCAATAACTCACATGAGCAGGAAACAGATTCTCTCCTGAGAGACTCCAAAAAGGAGCAAAGCATGCACAGACCTTGACTTTAGTCTGGTAAGACTTGTACCAAACTTCTGACATTCAGAAGTATGGAATAATAAATCTGAGTTGTTTTAAGCCACAACATTTGTGGGAATTTGCTATAGCAACAATAGAAAACTAACATACTAGAATGGAGATTTAATTTGTTAAATTCCTACAGGACAATAAAACTGTGACCTTGAAACTTATCTTTTCTGCCACACAGATACCTACATTATGCATTTGATATGTTTAGGTTTTGTGTCACCACCCAAATCTCATCTTGAATTGTAACCCACAGGTGTGGAGAGAGAGACCTGATGGGAAGTGGTTGGATCATGGGGGCAGTTTCCCTGTTGTCATGATAGTGAGTGAATTCTCACGAGATCTGATGGTTTTATAAATGGTAGTTTTTCCTGCACTCTCACATGATCTCTTTCACCTGCTTCCCCTTCTACCATGATTGTAAGTTTCCCAAGGCCTCCCAGCTACGTGGAACTGTGAGTCAATTAAACTTCTTTCCTTTGTAAATTACCCAGTCTTGGGTACTACGTTTACAGCAGTGTGAGAACAGACTAATAAAACATTTAACATCAGAGTATGACTTCATAGTTAATAGTGAATATCAAAATAAAAAACAGGTACATTATTCTAGATATTTAAATTATTGTTTAGTGAATCCATTAAACAATGTCCCAGTATGACATTGAAAGAACATTCTATTCACCTTTTTGCCTTCTTTCCAAGTTTAATTATTTTTTTTTTCTGCCAGGTGAGACTAGATGTCATTTCATTTTATAGACTATAAGTCCCATGATGGCAAACACCGTATCTTTTTCAACTGATATCTTACTTGAGTCTAACACATTGTCTGACATATTGTGGGTGCTAAATAAATGTTGAATGGATAAACAAACCTTTGCAATCTCATGTCTGAATATTTCCTGCTGTGAAATTTATGATTCAACCTCACTGAATTCCTTCCATTCCTTAAATATCAATAAACCATGCTCTCTCTCACTGTGAGACTTTTGCACTTTCTTTTTCTCTGCCTGAAACCCACATCCCCATTTTGCCTGGCTAGTGAGCAATCAATGTTAGAGCTCAGCTCAGATGTCACTTCCTCTGGGAAGCAGTGTCTGGTCACTCTCCCCTTCCCATACATCATTCTCTTTGCTCTCACAGTCTGTGTACTTACCCCTCCATAGCACTTGACGCATTATATTTTTCTGTATGTTCTCTTCTTGATAGACTAATGCAGCAAACAATAATAGTGTTTTTGCTTGTTTGTTTTTAAGGCAGGGTCTCACTCTGTTGCCCAGGCTGGAGTTCAGTGTGCGCCATCGTGGCTCACCACAGCTTCAACCTCCCTGGGCTCAGGTGATCCTCCCATCTCAGCCTCCTGAGTAGCTGGGACCACAGACCTGCACCACCACACCCAGCTATTTATTTATTTTTTTGTATTTTTAGTAAAGACAGCATTTCACCATTTTTCTCAGGCTGGTCTTCAAACTGCTGAGCAACCATAATAGTTTAATCATCAACCCTAGAGTCACACTGCCTGGCTCTACAATTGACTAGCTGTATTAATTTAGGTCATTTAATCCATGACTCCATTTTTCATATCTAAAGTAACAACAATATTAATGCAACTACTGCATAGGGCTGTTGCGAGGACTAAATGTTAAAGACTTAGGACAGAGCCTGGTATACTGCTAGCTCACAGGAAGCTTTTGCTGTTTTGTAAGTTTCCTGAACTCAGAACCACCATCTTATTCACTCTTTTCCTTAGTTTCTGATACAGAACGCCTGCCATAGAGTGAGTGTTCAGTATCCTTTGGTGACTTGAAGAGATTTGTGATCCAGTAAAGAACATCCTTCTGTGGGACCATAATTGGATATAAAAAAGCAATGTCTTTATAGTGAGATAAGCTACCCAGAGAGGCTCAACTTCAAAGGCAAGAGGGATCCTCCAACTCACCCCCACCCCAAATATCTGGAAACCAAAGTACCAGTCCTGGTGCTCCCTGGAGGGGCCTGTTGACTCAAGCCTTCTGGGACATATACCTCATTACATCACAGATGCAAGAAGCCTATTCCCCAAAAGACTGTGGATTCTCAGTAACAGCAGACCCTTTCCATCCCTACCTCCCTAAAACACATAAACGCATGTGCACACACATACACACCACTCCCTCCATCCCACCCCAAGCTTCCTGGATCAGGAAATTCTCCTGTGGTCTTTAGACGCATTATGCTGACCTGAGGAATCAGGCTTTATAATTCCAAGAGCTTGTTCAGGCCCAGGATGACTCGAAGGAGAATAAGAGTTGCCTTTTACTGAAGGAATGCAGTGCCATGTTTTCCCTCTTTGGTTATTGGGGTTCCTAGCTGAGTCATTACACCCTTTTTGGTGCACAGATTGAGAGCTTTCCTCAGCCTTTCCGCCCAGCAGGGTCCGGAAGCACCAGCCCATCCAGGAACAGCACAGAGCTGGCTGATGACTTCATCAAATTCACACTCCTGCAGGCAACTGCCTACAGCCCCCACAGAGTGAAAAGAGAACATAAATTATGTGAAAGGCACAGTCACTTTGCAGAAATTACCCTGAGCCAGCATGGAATTTGTGCATGGATAGAAACTGTGAGATTTGGTATGAATTTTTAAAGGCCCAGTCTTATCACATACTGGACCTGTGTGGGCTGCATTCAAAAGAGCTGTGCAGGAGCCTCACTGGTGATTGTCCACATCCTCCTAGTTTCCATCTGTTATTGAATAAGGTTTTACATTGTTTGCCAATGTATGCTTTTATTTTCCCTATCACTAAAGAGCAGAAAACACCAAACAAACATAAAAAAAAACTAGACAGTACATGCCTGAATTATTATTATTATTTTGCCATTGAGAAAAGCGAGCCAGAAGAGGTTACACAAAATGTGAAAGGCTATATAGCACAATAGGCACAGAGACCAAACTCTTGAGTTCCGGATTTCTAGGGACATTACAGCATATAATCCATACAACAATCTACCAGTTGGATGCTATTAACCCACTAGCAAGGAAGCACTTTTTTTTTTGCCAATTAAACATTTATTTTTTACCTGAAAACTCCACAGCTAATAAAAGAGGTGGGTGAATATTAGAATTTTTGCTTTTTTTTTTTTGGTTTGTCTGTCTTATTTATTATACCTTAAGTTCTAGGGTACATGTGCACAACGTGCAGGTTTGTTACATAGGTATACATGTGCCATGTTGGTTTGCTGCACCCATTAACTCATCATTTACACTAGGTATTTCTTCTAATGCTATCCCTCCCTCTGCCCCCTACCCCAGGACAGGCCCCAGGGTATGATGTTCCCTGCCCTGTGTCCAAGTGTTCTCATTGTTCAATTCCCACCTATGAATGAGAACATGTGGTGTTTGGTTTTCTGTTCTTGTGATGGTTTGCTCAGAATTATGGTTTCCAGCTGCATCCGTGCCCCTGCAAAGGACATGAACTCATCCTTGTTCATGCAATACTGCATAGTATTCCATGGTGTATATGTGCCACATTTCCTTAATCCAGTCTATCATTGATGGACATTTGGGTTGGTTCCAAGTCTTTGCTATTGTGAATAGTGCTGCAATAAACATACGTGTGCATGTATCTTTATAGTAGCATGATTTATAATCCTTTGGGTATATACTCAGTAATGGGGTGGCTGGGTCAAATGGTATTTCTAGTTCTAGATCCTTGAGGAATTGCCACACTGTCTTCCACAGTGGTTGAACCAGTTTACACTCCCACCAATGGTGTAAAAGTGTTCCTATTTCTCCATATCCTCTCCAGCATTCGTTGTTTCCTGACTTTTTAGCGATCACCATTCTAACTGGTGTGAGATGGCATTTCATTGTCGTTTTGATTTGCATTTCTCTGATGACCAGTGACGATGAGCATTTTTTCATGTGTCTTTTGGCTGCATAAATGTCTTCTTTTGAGAAGTGTCTGTTCATAACCTTTGCCCACTTTTTGATGGGTTTTTTTTTCTTGGAAATTTGTTTAAGTTCTTTGTAGATTCCAGATATTAGCCCTTTGTCAGATGGGTAAATTGCAAAAATTTTCTCCCATTCTGTAGGTTGCCTGTTCACTCTGATGGTAGTTTCTTTTGCTGTGCAGAAGCTCCTTAATTTAATTAGATCCCATTTGTCAATTTTGGCTTTTGTTGCCACTGCTTTTTGTGTTTTAGTCATGAAGTCTTTGCCTGAATGGTATTGCCTAGGTTTTCTTCTAGGGTTTTTATGGCTTTAGGTCTAACATTTAAGTCACTAATCCATCTTGAATTAATTTTTGTATAAGGTGTAAGGAAGGGATCCAGTTTCAGCTTTCTACATATGGCTAGCCAGTTTTCCCAGCACCATTTATTAAATAGGGAATCCTTTCCCCATTTCTTGTTTTTGTCAGGTTTGTCAAAGATCAGATGGTTGTAGATGTGTGGTGTTATTTCTGAGGCCTCTGTTCTGTTCCATTGGTCTATATATCTGTTTTTGGTACCAGTTCCATGCTGTTTTGGTTACTGTAGCCTTGTAGTATTGTTTGAAGTCAGGTAGTGTGATGCCTCCAGCTTTGTTCTTTTTGCTTAGGATTGTCTTGGCAATGCAGGCTCTTTTTTGGTTCCATATGAACTTTAAAGTAGTTTTTTCCAATTCTGTGAAGAAAGTCATTGGTAGCTTGATGGGGATGGCATTGAATCTATAAATTGCCTTGGACAGTATGGCCATTTTCATGATGTTGATTCTTCCTATCCATGAACATGGAATGTTCTTCCATTTGTTTGTGTCCTCTTTTATTTTGTTGAGCAGTGGTTTGTAGTTCTCCTTGAAGAGATCCTTCACATCCCTTGTAAGTTGGATTCGTAGGTATTTTATTCTCTTCATCTTGTGAATGGGAATTCACTCACGATTTGGCTCTCTGTTTGTCTATTATTGGTGTATAGGAATGCTTGTGATTTTTGCACATTGATTTTGTGTCCTGAGACTTTGCTGAAGTTGTTTATCAGCTTAAGGAGATTTTGAGCTGAGATGATGGGGTTTTCTAAATATACAACCATGTCATCTGCAAACAGGTACAACTTGACTTCCTCTTTTCCTAATTGAATAGCCTTTATTTATTTCTCTTGCCTGATTGCCCTGGCCAAACTTCCAACACTATGTTGAATAGGAGTGGTGAGAGAGGGCATCCCTGTCTTGTGCCAGTTTTCAAAGGGAATGCCTCCAGTTTTTGCCCATTCAGTGTGTTATTGGCTGTTGGTTTGTCATAAATAGCTCTTATTATTTTGAGATACGTTCCATCAATACCTAGTTTATTGACAGTTTTTAGCATGAAGTGCTGTTGAATTTTGTCAAAGGCCTTTTCTGCATCTATTGAGATAATCATGTGGTTTTTGTCATTGGTTCTGTTTATGTGATGGATTATGTTTATTGATTTGCATATGTTGAAACAGCCTTGCATCCCAGGGATGAAGCCGACTTGATGGTGGTGGATAAGCTTTTCAATGTGCTACTGGATTCGGTTTGCCAGTATTTTATTAAGGATTTTTGCATTGATGTTCATCAGGGATATTGGTCTAAAATTCTCTTTTTTTGTTGTGTCTCTTCCAGGCTTTGGTATCAGGATGCTGCTGGCCTCATCAAATGAGTTAGGGAGGATTCCCTCTTTTTCTATTGATTGGAATAGTTTCAGAAGGAATGGTACCTGCTCCTCTTTATACCTCTGGTAGAATTCGGCTGTGAATCCGTCTGGTCCTGGACTTTTTTTGGTTGGTAGGCTATTAATTATTGTCTCAATTTTAGAGGCTGTTATTGGTCTATTCAGAGATTCAACTTCTTCCTTGTTTAGTCTTGAGAGGGTGTATGTGTCCAGGAATTTATCCATTTTTTCTAGATTTTCTAGTTTATTTGCATAGAGTTGTTTACAGTATTCTCTGATGGTAGTTTGTATTTCTGTGGGAAGCACTCTCTTGAAAGGAATAAGACTGAATTCTGAGAGTAAACATTTGATGAAAAAATATAGTTCAAATCCTGCACACCTGGGTGACTTAGAAAATTTTAACTATAAATAAGGGCATTCAAAATACATAGCAGTATTGGCAAAGGGAGTCCCAAATGCCATGCCCAGACTAATTGTTTTTCTCTCTTCTTTCTAGGACAGCAGTTGGTTGACATTTAAAGGGCTACTGTCCCAGAAGGCTGCTTGCCTGGGCCCATGGCACTGCCAGAAATCACAAGACTAAGCTGAAAAAGCACAAAGAAGTTTCCTTTCATTCCAGGAACCTCTTGGCTTGAATATGAAATAGCCTCTTAGTGACACTACACTGCAATTTCAAATAATAGGTTTTTTATCACCTCTTTGAGAAATATCACCTTGGGTTCATCCCAGAAAAATAATACAAAGTAGAATTTTTTCAAACGTAATCCCCTTGGGTTCCTCTCAGAAAAAAATAGAAAGTAGAATTCTTTCAAACTTAATCCCCTCTTTGTATTTGTCTCCTCTGCATCTCTCCAAAGTAGATGGGTAGGAGAGGGAAACAGTGCTGTAGAAAATGGGACAAGAACACACCCTAATAAAACAAGAAAACATGGTTTGCCAGAGGTCTCCTTTCCCAGGCTCAAGCCTCAAGTTTCTAATTGTCCCTACATTACTCCCACAAATGCCTTTCTGGGAGAGTCTTGTATGCTAGACCTCTGCCATCTTCCCATCCTTTCTCCCTTCCTCCTAACCTTCACTCTTGAGAAAGACTCATCCTGGCTTCTGTGTCCATAGAACCTTGAAGCAGCTTTCTGGTGAGGAGGTGAGCTACTTCCTGCAAAACTACTAGTAGCTGCTATTGATTAATGTATTCTTCCAACCAGGTAATGTATTCCTGTTCCAACAGAAGTCTTCTTGAGACATATCTGAAAGTGACATAGTAACCAGAAGGAAGATTTTTGGAGGGTTCTTGAACTAGCTCTACATAGGAAACTGCCAACAATAACTTCCTGTGGCATTTGTTAAGTTGTGATTCTGCCCCTCACTGCTTGACTTAGTCCTCTTGACAAGGGCCAGGAGGAGAAAACAGGTCTCAAAGAACAGTGTACATCAAAGCCTGGCTTTCCAGCAATGCCTGACCCTGCCAAAGAAGGCAGGGAAGCCCCCACAGAGCCTCTTAGAAACCTCAACTCCCTCAGCCTCTTGTCCCAGAGCATCACTGGCAGGTATAGACCAAGCATATCCACATCCACACGTACGTCTTTTTTGCTTTTATTCATTTTAGTTTATAACAACTATTTATTTAGGACGTGGTTCTGTGAGCTGTTAAATTGTTCTATTGTCAGATCATAGCTGTATACATTTGTGGGGTGTCAAAACGATGTTTTAACATATACATACAATCAGTGTGATTAAATCAAGCTAATTAACACATCCATCACCTTGCTTACCTATCTTTTTTATGGTGAGACATTTGAAATTTACTCTCTTAGTTGTTTTGAAATATACAATGCAGTATTATTGACTATAGTCACCCTGGTATACAATATATCTCAAAATCTATCCCTACTGTCTCTCTGAAACTTTGTACCCTTTGATTAACAACTCCCATTCCCCTTTCAATCTGAAACATTGTACCCTTTCATCAGCAACTCCTCATTCCCTCCCTCCCAGCCCACTCTTAGCCTCTTTCTACTCTCTATTTCTATGAGTTCAACTTTGTTAGATTTTTACATGTAAGTGAGATCATGCAGCATTTGTCTTTCTGTGCCTGGTTTATTTTACTTAGCATAATGTCCTTCAGATTCATCCGTGTTGATGCAAGTGACAGGATTTCTCCCTTTTTAAGGCTGAATAATTTTCTATTGTGTATGTTTCACATTTCCTTTATACACTCATCCATTGATGGATACCTAAGTTGTTTCATGTTTTAGCTATTGTGAATAATGCTGCAATAAACATGCAGAGTACAGATATTCTGTTGACATATTGATTTCAGTTTCTTTATATATTCAGAAGTGCGATTACTAGGTCATACGGTAGTTCTATTTTTAATTTTTTGAGGAACCTCCATGTTAGTTTCCATAATTGATGTATAAATCACATTCTCACCAACAGGGTATGAGTTTTCTTTTTCTGCATCCACTCCAAGATTTGTTATCTTTCTTCTTCTTGATAAAAGCCACATTAACAGATGTGAGGTGATATCTCATTGTGGTTTTAACTTGAATTTCCCTAATGATTAGTGATGCTGGGCATTCTTTAATGTACCTGTTGGCCATTTGCGTGTCTTCCTTTGAGAAACGTCTGCTCAAGTCCTTTGCCCATTATGTTAGATCATTCTTTTGTTGTGAGAAATTAATATCTGAGATTGGGTAAGTTATAAAGAAAATAGGTTTAATTGGCTCACAGTTTGAAGGCTATACAGAAAGCATAGCCCCGGCATCTCCTCAGCTTCTGGAGTGGCCTCAGGGAGCTTTTACTCATGGCAGAAGGCTACTTGGGAGCAGGCACAAAGCATGGTGAAAGCAGGAGCAAGAGAGAGAGGGGAGGTGCCACACTTTACATCAACCGGATCTTGTGAGAACTCACGGTTGTGATGACAGCACTAAGCACGAGTGATTTGCCCCCATGACCCAAACATCTCCCACCAGGCCTCACATCCACAATTGGGGATTAGATTTCAACATGAGATTTGGGTGGGGACAAATATCCAAACTATAACACCCATTTTTAAATCAGGTTTTTGTTTCTTTGCTATTGAGTTGTTAGAGTTGCTTCTATGTTTTGGATATTAACTCCTTGTCAGATGTATGGTTTGCAAATAATTTCTCCCTTTCTATGAGTTGTCTCTTCACTTTGTTAGTAGTGTCCTTTGTTGTGCAGAGGCTTTTTAGTTTAATATAACCCCATTTGTCTATTTTTGCTTTTGTTTCCTGTGCTTTCAGGGTTACGTCCAAAAATATCATTGCTTAGACCACTGTTAGGGAGATTTTCCACTGTTTTCTTCTAGCATTTTTACAGTTTTGGGTCTTATTTTTAAGTCTTTAATCCATTTTGAGTTGATTTTTTAATTGTGTAAGATAAGGATTCAATTAAGCCCTGAATTCTCTAATTCTGAAAGGGTGGTGTGAAGTAACTTTATTCCTACTAGGAAGGTTGTAAGACAAACTTATTTAAAATAACTGTGGATCCAATAAATTCTTACAAATATAAATACAAGAACAAATGTAAATTTCGACATTAAAAACAAAAGGTGGGAGAAAGGCAGTGAAAGTGTAGAGTTTTGTATGCAATTAAAAGCAATTATTGTCAGCTTAAAGTAATCCGTTTTAAGGATAACATGTTTTATGTAAGCCTGATGGTAACCACAAAACAAAAACCTATAGTAGTTGCACAAAATATAAAATAAAAGCTTTCAAACTGTACCCCCACAGAAAATCATCAAACTACAAAGGAAAACAGTAAAAGATGAAGAAAGAAACAAGGGACCTACCAAACTGTCAATAATTACATTGAATGTAGATGAATTAAGTCGTCCAATAAAAAGAGTGGCTCAATAGATGAAAAAAAACAAGAAAAAACTTGCTTTACTGGTAAGGACCCACATAGGCTGAAAGTAAAGGAATGCAAAAAGATATTCCATGCAAATGGAAACTAAAAGGAGCAAGTGTAACTATGCTTATCTCAGACAAAATACACTTTAAGTCAAAAACTATAAAAAGAGACAAACATGATTACATAATAATAAAGAATATACAAATATATATTTGTAACATTGCAAATATATATGCCCCCAATATTGGAGCACCTAAATTTGTAAAGCAATTATTAAATAATCTGAAGGGAGAGATAGAATGAGTTACTATTATAGTATGGTGCCTCAATACCCCACTTTGGACAATGGGCATATTATCTAGACAGAAAATTAATAAACATTGGTCTTGAATTATACTTTAGACCAAATGGACCTGACAGACATATACAGCACATTCCATCCAACAACAAAATACACACTCTTCTGAAGTACACAGGGAACATCTTCCAAGGTAGATCATATTTTAGGCCACAAAACAAATCTCAACACATGTAAGAGGAATGAGGTCATATCACGTATCATTTCAGATCTCAATGGCATAAAACTATAAATCAATAACAGGAGAAATCTTGGAAAATACAGAAATATGTGGCACATATTTCTGTTACAGTTTCAGTACACAGATCTTTTACCTCCTTGATTAAATTTAGACCTAAGTATTTAATTTTTTTGGTTGCTATTGTAAGTGGGATTACTTACTTAATTTGCTATTCAGATAGCTTGTTATTAGTATAAGGAAATGTTCCTAATTTTTGTATGTTGATTTTGTAACCTGAAACTTTACAGAATTTATCAGTTTTAACAGTTTTTTGGTGATGCATTTATGGTTTTCTATACATAAGATCATGTCATCAGCAAATAGACTTGCATTTCCCTAATGATTAGTGATGTGGAGCACACTAATAGGTCACAGAAGAAATAAAAAAGGAAATAAAAAATACCTTGAGACAAACACAAATGAAAACACAACATACCAAAACTTAGGAAAAGCAGCCCTAAGAGGAAAATTTATAGCAACAAATACCTATATATAAAAAAAATTCACAATCTACTGTTATAACTCAATAAATTGGTAAAAGAACAAACTAAGCCCAAAGTGAGCAGAAGAGAGGACATAGCAAAGATCAGAGTAGAAATAACTGAAATAGAGACTAGAAAAACAATAGAAACATTGATAAAACTGAAAGTTAGTTTTTTGAAAAGGTTAAAAAAGAAAAGACAAACCCTTAGCTAGACCAACTAGGAAAAAAAGAATAACTGCTCAAATAAATAACATCACAAATGAAAGAGGAGACATTACAACTGATACCACCAAAATACAATAGATAATAAGAAACTAATATGAACAAGTATATGCCAACAAATTGTAAAACCAAGAACAAATGGATAAATTCCTAGATACATACAACCTACCAAGAATGAAGAATGAAGAAATAGAAAATCTGATTTGACCAGATTTTCTGGTCAAATCATGAGTAAGGGATTGAATCAGTAGTTAAAAAAAAAAAAATCTCTCACCAAAGAAAAGCCCAGAATCAGACAGCTTCACTACTGATTCTTTCCAACACTTAAAGAAGAACTAATACAAATTCTTCACGAATCCTTCCCAAAAAATCATGGTAGAAAGAATACTTCTGAACTTGTTTTACAAGGCTAGCATTACCTTTTTACCAAGGCCAGACAAGGACACTACAAGAAAAGAAAATTACAAGCCAATATCCCTGGTGAACACAGATGTAAAATCCTCAATAAAATATCAGCAAACTAAATTAAAGAGCACATTGAAAGAATAATTTACCATGAACAAGTAGGATTTATCCCTGGGATGCAATGATGCTTCAATATATGCAAATCAATAAATGAAATATACCACATTAATGAAATGAAGGATAAACGTTATATGATCATCTCAACAGATACATAAAAACTATTTGACAAAATTCAACGTTCCTTCATGATTAAGAAAAAACTCTCAACAGATTAGGTATACAGGGAATTATCTGAACAAAACAAAGCCCATACATGACAAACCCGTAGCTAACATCATTCTCGATGAAAATTTGAAAGCTGTTCATCTGCGATCAGGGACAAGACAAGGATGCCACTCTCACCACTTCTTTTCAACATAGTATTGGATGTTCTAGCCAGAGCAATTAAGCATGAGAAAGAAACAAGAGACATTCTAATAGAAAGGGAAGAAGTAAAATTATCTCTATTTGCTGATGACATGATCTTATGTATGGAAAACATAAATGCTTCACTAAAAATCTGTTAAAACTGATAAATTCAGTAAAGTTTCAGATTACAAAATCAACATACAAAAATGAGGAACATTTCCTTATACTAATAACAAGCTATCTGAATATCAAATTAAGTAAGTAATCCCACTTACAATAGCAACCAAAAAAATTAATACTTAGGTCTAAATTTAATCAAGGAGGTAAAAGATCTGTGTACTGAACCTGTAAAACACTGATGAAAGAAATTGAAGAGAACAGAAATAAATGGGAAGATATCGCATGTACATGAATTGGAAGAATTAATGTGAAAATGCCCATACTACCCAAAACAATCTACAGATTCAATGTAATTCCTGTCAAAATTCCAATGTCATTTTTTAAGGAATGGCCAAAACAATCCTTAAATTCATGTGGAGCCACAGAAGACCCCAACAAGTGTCTAATATCCAGAATCTATAAGGAACTTAAATAAATCAACAAGCAATAAACAAACAGCCTCATTTAAAGATGGGCAAATGACATGAGCAGACACTTCTCAAAAGAGACATACACATGGCCAAAAAGTATATTAAAAAATGCTCAGTATCACTAATCATTAGGGAAATGCAAATCTAAACTACAATGAGATGCCACCTCACACTAGTCAGAATAACTATTATTAATAAAATCAATAAACAGCACGTGCTGGCAAGGTTGTGGAGAAAAGGGAATGCTTATATACTACTGGTGGGAATGTAAATTAGTTCAGTCATTAGTTTCAGTCATTAGTAAATTAATTCAGTGGAAAGCAGTCTAGAGATTTCTGAGAGAACTTAGAATTATAATTTGACACAGCAATCCCATTAGTGGGTACATACCCAAAGGAATATAAGTCATTCTATCATAAAGAGACACACACACACATGTTCATCACAGCACTAGTCACAATACCGAAGACATGGAATCAATCTAAATGCCCATCAATAATGGATTGGATAAAGAAAATGTGGTGCATATACACCACAGAATACTATGCAGCCATAAAAATGAAATCATGCTCTTGGCAGCAACATGGATGAAGCTGGAGGTGATTATCTTAAGTGAATTAATACGGGAACATAAAACCAAATACTACATGTTCTCACTTATAAGTGGGAGCTAAACATTGAGTATACGTGGACACAAAGAGGCCTACTTGAGGGTGGAGGGTAGGAGGGGGGTGAGGATTGAAAAACTACCAATTGGGTATTATGCTGATTACCTGAGTGACAAAATCATCTGTCTACAAAGCCCCCACTATACACAATTTACCCATGTAACAAACCTGCACATTCCTTGAACCTAAAATAAAAGTTGGAAAGAAAACTAACTAAACGAACAAAAGTTACTTCCCAAGCTTATGCCATATTCTTTTTATATCTCCTTAATGAGGTCAAATTGTTGTCTTGGGAGGAGGGTTTTAAATGTTGGAAAATAGCCCAAGGTCATTACGAGTTTAGCCTGATGGCTGAGTACCTTGAACTCTACTGTCTCGCCACTCTGCTTGCTCTTCTGCACAATGATGGGATGATAACAAGAATAAATTTCTTGTATAATTTGTAAAATGACCCTGAAGGCCATCTTAAAAGAAGAGTGAGAGTTACTGAATGGCTTGTTTAGAGCAACCAAAGCACCTGTGGAACAGGTGCACAGTCTTCCAGCATGACTACTTAGAAATCAGTAACTCTCACTAGGCCATATAGGTCTGGACAAGATTCATTTATGAGATACAATCAATGTCTCCCTATCAGAGCCACACTGAAAACCAAGTAGTATTTTGCATTGTTACCACCTCTAAAAGCCTGAAAAATGGAAACAATTTCCATAAGCTCCAGAACATTCCAGAAAACCCTTTTCTTTTGCCTCCTACCACATGTATGAGAGACAGCAAGAGAATATGAGAGAACACGGGTTCACATGCATATGAAGGAGAGAAACATAGTGGATTTTTGTTAGGAGGATATAATTTCCAATCAGCCAGACCCTTTTCACTCAATAATTTCCTACACTGCAGAGAAGTTAGGTGTTGGATCACTTCCCTCTATGCTTTTTAGACCAGAAGTGTAAATTCTAGCAATGTGTTAATTTATTATCAAATGTGGTTATAAACCCCCCAATAATTTGTAGCACACACACACACACACACACACACACACACACACACACACAGAGATCAAATTTGTAGGAAAAAATCATGTTTTGGAGAAGCATAGGCCATAGCAGTGAATTTTAGAAGCCAAATGCCAAGAGAATAGAGATGTTGAACACTATAGCCCCTTTGCTCCTAATTAAGCACAAATAAATGTATTTGAATGACTTGATTAGATCTATTAGATTTTATTTTGCATGTAACTAGCATACAGCCAGACCTGGAAGTACTCACTCACCACTAAATTGTCTCCTGATTAGAAGGTTGAGTGTTGTTGGTTGGCATTTGGTTCAGTTAGAAACCTTCCCTTCTGAGTGCCAATCTGAACTGGCCACCTTGCAACAAAAAGAAACAGTGGTGTGTTGGCCATGGGCTGGTTCATACCACGTTGAGGCTGAGGATGTGTGGTTTGATGGAAATCTGAATGCTGGAGCTCCCCATCAGTCTTCCCACATGTGAATGTCTGCAGTGTCTCCTATCTACTATGAGGACAGAACTCATAATCAAGAGCCTTTGGGAAAGCCTGGATTGATAGGCATGTGTCCCATGCCCTGAACAAAGTGTGCTTCCCAAAGCCAGCACTAGTGACCTCTAGCACCCTCCACGAAAACTTAGGTCCACACCAGAGCTGAACTCCCTCTTCACTTCTCTCAAGTATGCTAAGACTAATTTCTGTCTTAGTTCATTTTGTGCAGGTATAACAAAATAACTGAGACTGGGTAATTTATAAAGAACAACCATTTATTTTCTCACAGTTCTGGAGGCTGAGAAGTTCAAGATCAAGGATTCAGGAGGTTTGGTTGTCTGGTGAGGGCTGGTCTCTGCTTCCAAGATGGCACTTTGATGCTGTGTCCTCCAGAGGAGAGAAATGCTGTGATCTCACCTGGTGGATGGCACAAGGCCCAACTGTCACTGAGGAGGGGAAGACCCAGGAAGAAAGGTCAAAAGTCAAGCAAATTGCCTCACTATCCTCTCAAGTCCTTCAGAGCCTCAGGATCCCCTGTGGACCCTGGAAGTTTTCCCCCATCTTACTCAGGTCACTCCTTTCTCCGAGACCTTCTAAACTTTGAGGAAACTAAGAGACCTGGCCCTAAGCATAGATGGGACAGGATGGTGTAAATGTGCAACACAAACCAGCAAGACACAGGTACTCTCCTCTACCTTCCCTGCAGAGCAAACAGTGTTGACAGCAGTGAAGATGATGATAATGATGACAACTGCAGTGTTTTGGAGAGCAAATACCTAGGGCCAGCTATTTTACAGATATCCTTATGTTACTATCCAAAGAAACTTTATAAAGAGACGATGGAAAATCACAGCTTTGAACTAGATGACCTGTGTCTTTATTTGATTTGCCTGCCCTTCCTTCAGAATTTTTTTTTTTGTCTTTCTCTACCTCCCACAAGTTGAATGCCTACCTCATGCTCCTAGGGCTCCTCTCTATCAGAAAATTTGGTCCCCACTGGTACTATGGGTTACCCATGGCTGTCTCCCTTGCTTAGGCTGTGAGCTGTAAGAGGCTGACTTTGTCTCTATAAACCCAACCAATCCAGTACCAAGGACAGAGTATGCCCTTAGCAAATGGGTGTCAGATGGATGGATGGATGGATGGATGGATGGAAAAAAATCTATGTACAACTTGGCTTGGATTAAACAGATATTGAATGTCTCCTGTGTGTCAGGCTCAGTGCTAAGAATTCAATAGTGACCATACAGACATAGTTCCTACCTTTAAGGAGCTTCCAGTCTGGTTTATAAGTTTACAAGCCCCAACCCTTTTCCTTCTCCCTCCCTGGAAAAGTCTACCTAACAGCCTACTTCTCAGTGTTTAGGATACAGCCAGGCTCTCTTGAAGGCAGAGGACAGAGCAGGGGTCTCAGTCATATTCTCAGTTCTATCTGCCACAAGAGTAATGTAAGTGCTGATGGTACTGATGGGAGAGAAGCTCAATCTTCTGTCTTTTGGCTCACAATTCAGAGGCTCCTACTTTCTGTGACAGTCCCTCTCAGGGCCATACTATGGCTTTTCACTTCTTCAGGTGCCTGTACTCCTGCTGACCTCCTCAGTCCTGAGTCAATGCAGCAGATGCCAGAACTTTCCATGTCCCCACATTGAGTGTAAATCACACGGCATTAAATAAAACAGACATCAGCATTGCCTACCCTCTATCTCCTTCCCTTGGCAAAAGGAAATGATAAGTGCATGCTGTCGAGCAGGTGTAGTGTATCAGGCAATTACTTTTCTAAACTCTCAACCAACCTGCAAGATAAGCATCACAGATATGGGAATCAAAGCTCTCAGAAGTTGGGCAGACTTGTTCAAGACCTCACAGGACTTGAATTCAGGTCTTTCTAGGTCCATAGCAGGTGCTTATCCTACTACACAAGACTTTATGGAGCAAAGTGAAGGACTGTGCTTTGAACAACCAAGGGGCAATTTGCTGAATTGGCCAAACATAAATTATTTGGAGTCCTATCAAAGGCTATGTTTTCCTCTGTGGATATGCAATCTTTTATCTCACAACCTAGAGAAAAAAAAATATTTCTAAGTGAAAGAGAGCTGACAGGAAGAAATTTAGACAGGCTTACCAGGGTGACATTAAAATGCCTCTGAACCAGTGAGCTATGGCAAATGCTCCACTCTTGATCAACTTTATAATCCAGCTGGGGCAGCGTATAGCCTGCCATGAAAATGAGATTCCAGAAAGATGGGCTGAGGTCAGGGTAAAATTGGGACTTGTTCTCAAAGGATGTCATGAGTTGACTGTTGGGTTGATGTTGAATCCCCAGGATGTTACGGCTAGTGTCAACCATTCCAACTAATGTGTTTTGGGGGCCAACTCTGGGCCAGGCTCTGGACCAGGCCCTACATTTTCAGTCATGAAAATGGCAATGCACACAGGCTGGAGAAGTGGCAATTAGACAAAGAAATCTCATGCACTGAGAAGTGCTAAAATAGGGGTGGCTCCTGTTCACATCTCTGTGAGTGTGAATAGAAGCCCCTGCCCTCCAGGAACTTATGACTGCTGTGACCTGCGTGAGACAAGGGTGCAAGTATCTGACAACAAATGGTACTCATTCATTCAACAAAACCTGCAGGCCAATGAGAAGACAAGATTAGTGAGACAGCCCTATCTTCTGAATATCATTACACACATTCTACAGAAGAGGGAAAATACCTCCAGACAGCTTGTCAACTTGCCTGGGCTCATGAGCTAGTGTTTGGCAGAACCATATTGGAACACTAGACTGTCTGGGATCACAAGGCCTATATCTTTCCACAACATAACAGAGGCTGAAATGACTCTGAATTGCCCTCTCAATGAATCTCATCTGTAAGTATTCTTTGGAGTCTGAAGAGATTCTTTGATACAAGACTAGCGTCTAGTTCATGTGCTCAATTCAGGCCAGTTGGCTCAGAGGCCTAGAAAGAGCCCAAGCTGTTGCTAACTCTTCTTGGGGACCAGTTTATATCATAGGGGGAGGAACAGTGGGCTTCACTCAAGTAGCCCTCAGCAATTGTATATCGTCCATAGTACACTCAGAGACAAGCCACCCAAATCCCCTTCAAGGAAGGACTTGCTCCCCAGCTGCTGGGGGAATACAGCAGGCACCTCCAGCTGTCAGCTCCTCTTGGATCTGCCTCAGCTGCCAAGAGCCTGGGTCTCACCTTCCTGGGCAGCCTGTATTCAGTGGTATAGGGCCAGCCATTTCAGCTCAGCCCAACACTGATGGGTGATCTTTGCTCCCATGCTCCTTATCAAGTGGGCCAAGGCTTTGTCAGGTATACATTGTATTTTGATTTTTCCCTCTGACCCATCCTCCTGCTTCCTCCCCTTCCTTCCACAGGTGTTCATTCCTAATAGACATCTTGTTTTTTGTTTGTTTGTTTGTTTGTTTGAGAGGGAGTTTCGCTCTTGTTGCCCAGGCTGGAGTGCAATGGCATGATCTCAGATCACCGCAACCTCCACCTCCCGGGTTCAAGTGATTCTCCTGCCTCAGCCTCCTGAGGAACTGGGATTATAGACATCCGCCACCACATCCAGCTAATTTTGTGTTTTTAGTAGAAATGGGGTTTCTCCATGTTGGTCAGGCTGGTCTTGAACACCCGACCTCAGGTGATCCACCCGCCTTGGCCTCCCAAAGTGCTGGGATTACAGGCATGACCTAATAGACAACTTGCATTCCAGTTTGTCTCTGCATTTACTGTCAGAGACTCCAACCTCCAGCAGTGTTGAATGTCTTCAGCAGTGTGTATGTGTGAGGAGTGGAATGAAGAGTGTTGCAAACAGACAGAGCCTTGCTCTTAAGATGTTCATCGTTGGGCATGAAGGGAGAAGTGTGGATGGTTCAGTTCAGACTCCCATCTGCAGAAGAATTCAGAGTCTAAACTCCCTGCATCTGCCTGAGCGCCAGCACAGCAGGCCCTCCTCAGTGCCCAGCCTGGCTGACGGTGAGTCACAGAGGCCTGGGGCCATATGAGGAGTCTGTGACCCTGGGCACCAGCTTCTTTCCAGCTCATCTGCCAATTACTTTGCTCACATTCTTCTCTTCACATCCACTGACCATCCTGATGCAAGCCACCAGCACATTCCCTGAGTTCCATCTCTGGACCCCTGCTTCCAGTCATTCTCCATAATATATCCACAGTAAACTCAAAATGCAAAGCAGATCACATTCTCTACTGCTTAAAACTTCCCAGTGGGGCCAGGCATGATGGCTCACATTTGTAATCTCAGCACTTTGGGAGGCCAAGGCAGGTGTATTGCTTGAGCCTAGGTGTTCAAGGCCAGCCTGGGCAACATGTCAAAACCCTGTCTCTATAAAAAATACAAAAATTAGCCAGGTTTGATGGCACATGCCTGTAGTCCCAGCTACTCAGGAGGCTAAGGTGGGAGGATCGCTTGAGCCCAGGAGGTGGAGGTTGCAGTTGGCCGAGATTGCACCATTGCACTCAGCCTTGGTGACAGAGCAAGACTCTGTCTCAAAAAAACAAAAATAAAAACAAACTTCCCAATGGCTTCTTACTGCTTTTAGAATAAAACCTACAGTGCTTAATACTGTCTATTACATTCTCCATGTTCCACCCCTGTGTATGTTTCTGACCTCCAAAATATTTTGGGGGATCTGCCACATGCCAGGCAGGTGTTGGAGATACAGCAATGAACAGAATGAAGTCCCTACATCCAATGAGCTTCCATCCTAAGGGGAACAGACAACAAACAAACAACTAATGCATCAAAGGGTGATAAATGTCAGGGAGAAAAATAGAAAGTGCTGGCCGGGCGCGGTGGCTCATGCCTGTAATCCCAGGGCTTTGGAAGGCCAAGGCAGGCGGATCACGAGGTCAGGAGATGGAAACCATCCTGGCCAACATGGTGAAACCCCATCTCTACTAAAAATACAAAAATTAGCTGGATGTCATGGTGCGCACCTGTAGTTCCAGCTGCTTGGGAGGCTGAGGCAGGAGAATCGCTTGAACCTTGGAGGCAGAGGTTGCTACTGGGGAGGCTGAGGCAGGAAAATTGCTTGCACCTGGGAGTTGGAGGTTGCAGTGCGCCGAGATCATGCCACTGCACTCCAGCCCGGTGACAGAGAAAGACTCCATCTCAAAAAAAAAAAAAAAGAAAGAAAAAACAAAGAAAGTGCACAGGGTGGGTGATGGAGACATTGAGGAGGAGTAGACAGGTTGGTAAGAAGCCTCCATAATAAGTTGATATTCAAGCAGAGACATAAAAAGCCATGTGGATAAGTGTGTATAAGGGGATGCAACAGGGAGTCCTCCAGCTGAGAGAAGAGTAGGTGCAAAGGCCCTGAGGTAGGGTGTGTGCTTTGCATGTATGAAGAAATCAAGGCTGCTGCTGGAGCAGAGTGGATAGGAGAGGCAGAGTGCATGCCGGGCCTTGTGGGTCACCGTATGCACTTGCGGGTTATGCTCTGAATGAGATGTGAGCTACAGAAGAATTTGAGCAGCACAGTGCTGTCATCTAACTTACATTTTCAAAGGTTCCTTCTGGCTGCTTAGGGGTAGAAATCAGGTACGAGACTCCTGCTCACTCCAGGTGGAGTTGAACTAGGATGGCCATCATGCACAATGAAGCTGACTGGACTTGCTGAGAGAGCGGCTACAGAGTGAGAGAGAGGGTCAAGGATAGCTGCGAAGTTTGGCCCCTGAGCAGTGGAAGAATGGAGATGGGAAAGATAAGAGGAGGGACAGGTTTTGTGGGGAAATGAGTTCAGCTTGGACATGTGAAATTTGGCAGTATTTCATCTCCTATCAACCACTGAATTCACACTGCTCATTCATCAGTTTCTAGAAATGTAAGCTAGTTTTACCTCCTGGCCTTTGCACTTGCTGTACCCTCAGCTAGATGCTCTTCCTGTCTACATGGGCAGTGGGGTGCAGCCGTCTGAGAGACAGACAGGACTCTCACCCTTGGGCACCTTCTTTTTTCAGGTTTCAATATGACTGCCACTTACCTCTGATGTGTTGAAAGTAGATCTCAATCGCATGCACTGTTTGCTTTTTTGTAGCATTTGTCACTACCCGTGACCTTTGTGTTGTGTGTTTCTCTGCTAGTCTAGCTCCATGAGCATTGCTGGCACCTAGCTAGCGCCTGGCACATGGAGGATGCTCAGTTAACATTTATTAAATTGATTTAACAGAGACTAGCAACCACGGTTTTATACTCCAGGGGCTCACGGCCAGAATGAGAAGGATATGTCACTAAAGATTAGTCACAGGTGAGAAAGAGCAAGTGCAGAGAGGACCAAAGGAACACCTAGCAGCCAAGGGACAGGGCAGGGGCAGGGATAGGATCTGTCAGGGAGGGCGTCAGCAAGGCCAGTCAAGGGAAGATGAGCTGGGCAGGAGGGAGAGGGCATAGCCAGCCAGACCTGGGTTAAGTGGGCCAAGCCAGGCAGGGCCAGGATGAGCTGGCCTTCTCTCCACAGAGCTAGCAGACAGAGGGTGCACAGGCCACACCAGGACCAGGGCAGGGAGCACCAGTATAAAAATACCAGCAACGTCTGCCACAAAGCCATTTTGACAGCTCCTTCTCCAGGTGGTGGTGGGAGGCTCAGAGGCCATAAATCAGAATTAACTGCAGCTGTCATGCAAAGGGTGCTTCCCCAGGACGTTCATCCAGACACCAGGGGAAAGAAATCCCACTGGGCCACCCAGGCCAGCGCACCACATGTTCTCACCCCACCAACCACTGCTTTACCTCTGCAACTGCGGCCAAAGCTTCCCTCCAACAAACCATGACCTCAACAACCTTCACCTTGAACACAGGGCAGAGGTAAACCCTCCCACAAGTCCCACGAAGGCCAAGGCCTAAAGGAAATATGGCTGCTGAAAAATAATGAAACCCCTATGCACCCTAGAGCTACTCCTGCCTGAACCTGGGAGGTGTCCCTGAGGCTGTGTGGGTGAGACCAAGGAGGGTGACAATCGCACATCACCAAGGGAAGGAGGTAGTTCTTGTCAGCTCAGAGCAAGGAGCGGGGGCCCATGGTGGGGCAGCAGAGCTAGGCTGGGAGCACCAGCCAGGATAAAGCCCATCTGGCAAATTTCCCCAAATTGATTGGCACTGGCTGCTAAGAAGCTAAGGCTTGTTAGCAGCAGCTTTCAGAGCACAGTGTGGTGGGATCTGTGGATTTCTCCGCTCTGGGGTATTTTTCTTGGCTTCTTGAGGCCACAGAAAGTATGATCTCCCCCCATCCTCCAACCATGATCCTGGTCTGTGCCAGGGTTAATCCGGCTGCCCTGAAGGTCAGGAACCCCCTACATCAGCACTGTGTCTGGTACAGAGGGGACATGCTCCCTTGGAAGAACTCCTCGGCTCTCAGATTTCTGGGCACTCCAGAGGCAGCCCCGGGCCCTTCTGGGATGACTGGAGGCATATTAACAAGCGTGGGACGTTTGAGGGGGCCTGGCTCTGGGCCATTTCCTCTGCTGGGTTTTCGGCCCTCTGACCCTCCTCGGAGAACCTTTCTCTGACTGTGATGCAACAGCCCCTGCTCCCTAAGTCTCTGGCCTGGGCTCCTCATTCAGATGCTCCAGCCCACTCACAGTCTGGTCCTTCATCGCCCCCAAGTGGCTGTCTAGGCTCACTGCTCGCTGAGCTGACATATTTCGTTTTCCTTCAACATGGTAAATAGACACTGCTTTCCTACTATTCACCTGGCACCCTCACTAGACCTGCAAGGGACACAGTGCCTGTCCTAAAAAAAGTATAATCTCCTCAGGAGATGAGGGCACACCCTCAATGGAACACTGAAATCAAATAAGATAATATATGCTTTCAGGGAGAGATAAAGTCGCAGCAGAGAAGGAAAGGCTCAAAAAGACTGAAGCCATAGCATGCCTTTAAGCATGGAGTACATTGTGGTATGTGGAGAGGTTGGGGAAGGACTCCAGGAAGGAGGGATGACATGGGTAAAGACTGGATGAGGAAAGACCTGCAAGGAGTCAGAGAGGAAGGAAATGAAGCAGTATGCATGGCTGGAGCCAAGATCCCAGAAGAGAAGTCGCTTCTCTTCCAATGAAGAGAGCAAGAGAGACCCCAGCCAACTCCTCCCAAGTTATGGAGCACCTTGAAAGGGGCTTTTTCCTTTAAATACCAAAGCTCTCAAAAAAGATGAATCTGACACCCAAGCATGGGGTTGAGTGGACACAACAGGCTCCAGAAGTAACAAGCACAGCGGAGCCACCTAGGGAGCCAGCGGGCCCACCCCAGCCCTTTGAAGGATCCCGTCTATCTGTGGAGAAGAGGAGGCTCTGGCACTCACTAAGCCCCTGCCGTATATCTGATCCATGCAGGTGTCGAATCACCTGCTATCTTATTTAAGCACCACGCGGGCTCCTGTGGGAGGCCTGTTCCCTTTTTCACAAATGGAAAGGCCAGGGCTCAAAGAGGTTAAGCATAAGGTCACATAGGTAGGAAGAAGCCAAGCAGAACTTCAAGCCCATCTGTGATTCCACATCTGTGTTCTTCCCAAAAATCACAGTTTACATTAGTGTGGGGGTATAATCTGTAGACGTGCTTTCATATGCTTTATTTAATTTAATCATCATATTAACCCCAGGAAGCTGGAGGTATTATTTCTATTTTATGGAAGAGAAAATAAAATCTCCAAGAAATAATATGCCCCATGACTCATTATCTAGTAGGTGGCTAGGCTAAGATTTAAAATTCAAACACCAGTGTGTTTGGTAACCTAGACCCTTTCACGACTCCACAGTGATACTGTTTTGTGTCACCTCCTTCCATTAAAGTGTGGAGACTGAGAGTTTTCCCACAAAAACTGTCCTGCTGTCTCCCAGCCCAAGTTCATTCTCACCTAAGTGCCCTACCCATGCCTTGTCACAGGAAGTCAGAAGCACACACACTCCAAGGACCCCGACCACCAGGCACAGTTCCCGCCCCTCATTAGCAGATGTGGTTGATTTGTTAGTTTTGTCACTGCTGCCCTTGAATATCTCCATGCTCAGGTTCTGGGATGGGGCACAGCTAGGAACAAATATCCTTGAGATTGCATGAGTGCCCCTAAATCTAAAGCCATGGTCTGGGGAGCCAGAATGGGTGAAGGGGTGATACAGACATGTTTTGTTAAAGGACTTCCCTGCCATTTCTCCTGAGAACCCTTTTCCTTAGCGATGAAAATGTGTGGGGGACAACCTCTCTCCAACTAGAGGGATTGTCTGGGTGGAAGAAACAGCTCCCAGCAACAGGAATGATGTAGGAAGGCAAGACACACATCCCAAGGTGGGATGGCAATGATTCTCACTACCTGAGTATAGATTATAGGATAAAAAGTAACAGAAGCGCAAGAGAAGCACAAAGGCAGATTCCACAAAGGATCAGAACAAGGGCTCATGTTTATTGGGATTTAGGTGCTAAGGACTTCACTGCTCCATTCCAAATGAGCACCATAACCACCCAGCGAGGCCACAATTCTCATGCTTCCATTTGACAGATGAGAAAATGGAGGCTCTGGAAGCTTAGGTAACTTGCCCAAGGGTTTGTAATCCAGTGAGGCTGATTCCCTCCCCTCTGCCCATAATCACTGTTTGATATAATACTCCCCTGAAGTATTCTATCAAAGGCCTCACCTTCAAGAATTTCTGATTTAAAAGGTCTGGGGTATGGCCTGAAAATCTGTATTTTTAACAAGTTACCAGATGACTCGGAAGCTTTGAAAATGATTATTCTAGAAGTTGGATGGCTAATCAATAATTTACTCAAAATCAACCCAAGTTCAATGGCAACAGGGATGTGTATCATCTTGCATTTGGGGGTGAACTGGGCTGGTGATGCTGATGCATCTTAGCTTTAGCAGTAACCAGCTCTGAGCCAGATCCTCTCCCTCATGTCTGGCTCTTGTGGAGCAGGGCACAGAGGTGGGCACTGCACTGTTAAGCCTTGAAAGAGGCCCCAGGGGGCTAATCCATCACACAAGGACAGCACCACTGTGGGAGGCTCTAGGGACTCTGACAGCCCACAAGTGCTGGAGTCTGAGCCACCAGCCATGAGCCCAGCTGTGCAGCCCAATCCTACTCTCTATTTTGCCCGAACCACAAGCATCTGAAATGTGCATCCCTGGAGGTTTGATTTTAGCATTTCAAGATCAAGAAGCAGACACACTTGCCTTGTCTGCTGCTCCAAGGGCACACAGTCCCCTCCCACCTCTACTCCACACATAGCCCAACCATAGAAGATGGCAACTGGAGGAGAAAAGGGAGGAGGGAAAGACAGTAGCCAGGAGGTGGTGAATAGAGGAGCTCAGAAGACCCTACCCCCTCGTGTCCCGGGACGTGCTGCCCCTGTCAGGGGAGTCCTAGACAAGGTCCAGTTGCAGTTCGTGGCAAGAGATTTAAATTCATAGTAAAAGCATGGTTCTCATGTTTGCCTGTGTGGCTGCATCTCTGCTCTGCTTCAGGTCAGGCTGACCCTAGACTCCTAACATGGACAGACAGTCCAAATGCAGATATACTGTATGTACGATGAGTTGTCCAGCTGGAAAATGCACTTTCTAATGATGCCACACTTTGGATCTTTAGATCTTTGGATCATTAATAGAGCATTTAAAAAGAAGCAGGTAATTTGTAGAAGCTCTAAAAGCCTTTGTTGAAAATTCATTGCTCTGCAGCAATCAGATATTATAGTTCTAGGGCCGCCAGCGTCCTTTGACGAAGAATGTCAAATATAAGCAGAGCAATTATGAGCCGCTGGTGAGTCCCAGGGCAATATTCAAAAGAAAATAATAAATAATTTTTTAAAACATGTTTTAATATTTGATGAACGTAAAAATTAAAAAAGTAAAACATGCCCTTATATGAAACCAGCTATGTAGTTTAGGAAGCAAAAGTGACAGTTCCATTTGTTTTATGTTGGTGTAAAATTCACAAAAATTTAAAAACCAGGTAAATACAAAGCACAAACAAAACAAAACAAAACAAAGAATGCAAAGGAAAAGAAAGAACAGATTCTATAAATCCGGGGTTGCACCACCAGCTGCTCTGATGCTAAGCATAGGGTTTGATTGCCCAGATGAAGGGGAAACACTGGTGTGAACAAGAACAAAGACACAGTTTTAAACCCTGCACGAAGGGTTCGGGTGCAGAGAGGAGAGACATCACCTTACTCAGTAGTCTTCCCTGTCTGGCTTAACTAGTGTCCAAAAGGAAAGTGCATTCTAGATTCCCTAGGCTTGCAAGAGATAGTGAAGAGACAAAAAGATACCACTAATTCATTGCCCTGGCCAGCCTTTTAGATCCGTGGTTCTCAACATAGTCTGAACATCAGAGTTATCTGGGGAACATTTAACATCTTAATGTCAGGTCACTCCTCAGACTAATTAAGTAAGAATTGGTAAGAACCAGGCATCAAAGTTTAAAGTTTTTAAAAAATATTTCAATGGGTCAATGGTCAGGCTGAGAGACACTGCTCTAGAATACTCTGACTTAATGTTGAATTTCCTGGATTTTTTGGCAGATTTTGATAATCTGCTTTATGCCATCATCCACGTGGTCAGTTAAGATCTGGCCACAAATCCACCTCACTGCCCATTCCTGACACTCTGCATCCTTATATCCTTATCTTGCACTGATTACCTCACAATGGGCATGAACCAAAGTCGAGCAATTAATTGATACTTTAAAAAACAACAGAATAAAATTGTGAAAGTGTATCCCAGTCCTCTCCGCATAAAATGTCTTCTAAGAACACAATAACATCCTATCCAATTTCATTAGCCACAAATGCCTTTGCAAAGTAAACTCAATTCTTAAAAAAACGTTAGCAAGCCAAAGGTTTCTTCTCCCATTGTCAATCAGTTCCTTGATTTTATCCTTTGCCTCACAAAACATTTTGTGGAAGATCTGCCACCTACCTCTTCAAATAACTTGTTTTTTTCCTTCAGGTTGTGTGATAATATGGTCATTCTGATTTTTGTCCTAAGAGAAACTTATACCAGACAGACAGGTCTTAGATCATTTTTTCTCCCACTTTACCATCATGCTGTTGTTCAATTTTTTTTTAAAAAAAGTTCTTTTAGAAGTGCCTCTTCCAATCAAAGGAAGGCCATTTATTTCAAGATATATAAATAGCTGTGGATTTTTAAGATTCTTAAGATTTCTAAGATTTTTAAGATTCTTAAGATTTTTAAGAGCTCTGACTCTCTATAGCGTTCATTTTCCTCCCAATTTTCTTATTCCTACACAGCCTGAAAAATATTCCCTGTGGAGAAAGCTATAACAAATGCTTCAAAAAAGGGGGACTGTGCCAATTTATATGTGAAGTTCACATATAAACTTCAACACTACCAATAGCTACACATTCCTAGATGAGTATACATGTCACAATTCTGAGAAAGCATCTGGAGAAGACTATGCTATTAGAAGTTCTAACAGGGGTCATTATCATAAACCAGTAGATAGAAGAATCTAATCTCTACTTTCATCTCTGCTCAGACTCTCTCATGCATCTGGGTGAACACTGCTTGGATTCAAAAACAAAGGGAAAGGATTGAGATTATTTGATGACTTTGGACTTTGTTTATCGATACTTGAGATAATCAGATTATTTTTTATTTTTTAATCTCAATTTGTCTTATACCTATATTAATGTTTTTGTCTGTATTCTATGTTTTAAACCATGCATATTTCATTATGACACAGCCATGGTTTACAAGTTATCAATCACCTAATCTTCAGGAGTAGATAATGACTGTGTAAAAAAATGTTTTTTTCCAGGATTTGAATCAAGGAATAATTTGGTAAGGTGCCTAAAAGAGAATCAACCTCCAGGAATCATGTTCAAATCTCTAGTTGACCCATCTTGTCCCCATACCAAGTCCAGAGTATCTGATCCCATGAGAAGAGGCCTAGATTTTAGAAAGACTTGTGTTTCAGCCTGCTCTCTGCTCTTCCAATGGGTATATTACTTGTTTTAATGTACGAGGATATTCATTGCAGTGGAATTGATTATGAAGAAAAGTTTAAAAGCAACAGAAATGGCCAACAATTTATACTTAGTTGAATTCAGTAAATTTTGATATTGAACATCAATATAATGAAAAATACGCAGTCATTCAAACTGTATTGTAGAGGGATATATGGAGACATGTATTAGGATATAGATTTAGCTACTATTAAGAAGACTCAATTTATAATGAAGCAAAGAAAATGGGAGTTTCTTCCTTATTCACAGTTTGGAGATGGTCAGTCCAGGGCTTGCAGTAGCTCTGCTCCATGAAGTCACTCAGGGCCCCAGTCTTTTTATATTTTGTTCCTCTGTCTTCTATCTTGTTAACAGTCTATTTTGTCATATCAGCCTTCTGTCTCATTATCATTCTATTTTGTTGTCAGTCTATGTATCTTGTTATCAGTCTTCTTCTATCCTATTATCTTGTAGAGCATGATCCAAGACAGTACACACTTTGTCTTCATTCCCTTTAGCTGAAAGTAGCAAGAGTGGGCAACGGAGGGCATATCCCTTTCCTTCAGTGCAGTACTCCCATCCCTTCCACTGGCTAGAACTTGGTCACATGGCCACATCTAGATGGAAAGGAGGCTGGGAAGTAGGGTTTTTAAAAGAATTGTGGACAATCATAAAACATTTTGATGGATTCTGTTACTAAAGAGCAAGTGAGCACAAATAGCAGTCTCTGATTCAGCACAGAAACATTTTTACAACATACTTAGTAGAAAAAAACAGGAAACAAAACAGGACCAGTTTTACATGTCTGTGTGTACTCATACATAGAATTCCTTTTCTATATAAACAGTGGTTATCTTTGCGAGTTGGAATTATGGATGATTCCAATTTCTTCTTCTTGCTTTTATTGTGGAAAAAAGTCCCAATTGTTTTACAAATTAACATTTTTCCCCCAGTAATAAGAAAAACCTCACAATTTGTACATTAAAAAGAAGTAATTTAGGAGAGAAAGCAGTGCCTCTTGTGTGCTTGTAGCTGTCTGCCTTTCTTCTCAGTTGTTCCTCTGCTGGGCCTCTTTTGTTGGTGGATCTCTTGGTTCTCATGCAAAGTAATAACATTGTCCAGGCTGAATGGGTGTATTACTTTTTAAAAGAGGAGTAAGAGAGCTCCGTTTGGAAATTTCATTTTCATTGTGGATAATGGAGTGGTGTGTTAGTTGTTGATGTTCAAATGTCTATTTTGTGTGTTAGTTGACCTGCCTCAGCTTTCCCATGATGACCAATCTCAGGGAAACTAATCGATTTGGAGAGAACACATAAAAGCAGGCACAAGATTCATCTGCCCCCTTTCAGCCAGACTGTTTCACCATGCCAATCTACCAGGAGCACTGTGTTTCCATGCTGAAATTCCTTTCCAGTATTTCTTGGAAAACTTACATCTTTCTGAACACCTCAATTTTGAGAAAAATCAGTCAAGAAATCAGGAAAATGAAAAACAAATAATATAAATCTCCTTTGAGAGTTAAAACTTAACGAGTAACACAAAGACACTCCTGGCTTGAAGTTCAAACAAGAACAGGAAAATTTGGCAAGAAAAATCAAAGGTTAAGGTGGACATTTCTAGGAACCAGACATTAGCCCAAAGACAGTCATAATCTAATTAATGTTTCCTTTGTAGCTATGGACATGTTTATGAGTGTGTGTCCTTGGCCTTCTCTGCTGCTAATAGTGAGTCATTCTTTCAAGTAAAATGAATATTAATAAGCTTATAAATATAGTATGCTTTATACAAATCTTATGAGTGGTGCTTCAAGAAATAGTAAGTTTTGCAAATAAATTACATCCTAAAATGGGCAATTTTGACATGCGATTCTGTGAAGTATCATTTATCTCCCTGGGAGATCTGAATACTACATTATCGCAGTACCATCCAAAAATGTGCCAGCATTTTCCAGTGTTTAAATCTGTAGGCTACAATTCTTCATAAAGTCTCTAAACCTTCCTTTTACTTCTTATTTATTGAAACAACTTTTTCTGCTATCCATAATAATAATTAAGAAATATGAGAAATGTTCAAAGTTTTTTTTTTAAAAGGTATGATTTTGGAAATTCCTGAAAATCCCCAGGATTCCAATTTCCAGTTTCCAAATTCTAAAGACCCTCAGAAGTTTGGAAACACTGCTGTCAACTACAACTCCTAAATTTCTTAGTTTGGTGCCCTTATGTCTGCCTCCAACCTGGGCTGTCATCTGCCTTGGACTGGATTGCTGAACCAGCCTCCTGACAGGATCCTCGCAGTCCACTCTCTATACCAGAGCCAGACAGACCTTATGGAAACACAAATCTATTGGTTTCATCCCTTCACATGAGACATTTTAATGGCTGCCAATATGACAACAAGGTGCTCAACTTCATTAATAACCTGGGAAATTAAAATTAAAATCACAATTAAGGATCAGGGCATACCGATCATATTGGCAAAAATGTAAAGTCCCAGATTCATGAGGGTAGGGACAATATCCATTTTTGCTCACCATTTTATTTGTAAGCTTAGCACAATGCCAGACAACTAGTAGATGCTTAATGTCCATTTGTAGATGAATGAATGGGCAAATGAATGAGATTGATACATGCAAGGGCTCCCATTTTATATTACACAGTGTCACCCCACACATGGAAAAATTGAGTCCCCTAGGCATTGTTCAACCTTATTTTTCTTCTCTTAGGCTGAGATCCAAAGATCCCTTGATTTGTCAAATGCCTTCTCCCATCACAGTGGTGAAATAGATTCTTATGAGCCCAAATTTTCCCATCTTAAACAAAGAGAGACTGTACAACAGGCTTGGTGTTTCCTTTGTTCCGAGAAATTATCAAACGATATTAAATTCTATAAAAATCTATCAAACATAGCCACCGTTATCAACACTATTTCTTCCTGTTTTATGGGATTGCAGTGAGAAAACAAATGAGATAATATACATAAAAGTGCTCCATAAAGCACAAAACGTCATGCAACATTAGAATCCAACATTAGTAAATCGGCATGCCTCCACTTTACAAGCAAACCCCATCTACATACATTTATATCACAGAGCCTGGGCACAGCCTTAAGCCAACCTGGAGAGATCCTCTCTTTATCTGGGAGCACTTTCTTTTCTGATTCTCTTGCCCTGCTTTGGGTGTATTATAATTCAGTACCTGACTTCCACAATCAAGATTTTCCTTCTATCTGGAGAAAAATGCATTTTAGAATCAAACACACCTGGTTTTGAATTTTGACTTTGTGGCTTATAGCTTCTTTGAACACTTAACTAGTCCCTTTCATTTCTGAGACTCATTTTATGCACCTGTTAAATGGGAATAATCATCTCTCCCTAATGAGGGTGTTTTGGGAGATCAAATAAAGCCATATGCTCAAAGTAGCTTCCTCATTATCCGATTCATAATGAATATGAGCTCTATCAATTCCCTTCTATTTCCCTGAGTAATCTCAACGAATTGAAAAGCTTATTTTCACTAATAGGAGAGAGCAAAAAGCAGTTTCTCTTTAGTAAGACAAAAAAGTGGGAATATCAGGCTGGGTAAGATAGTATTTAGCCCCTTAACAAAGCAAAGGGTTAGGACTTGGTCACATAGAAGCCTAACAGCTGCTCTCAATGACCACCAAATTTTCTGGGGTGTTGGAAGAATTCGAATACACAAGAAAAGAAGCTGACCTACTAAGCAAAGACCCTTGTCTGACAATATGTTCTAGGAGTATGATGATTTCCCAGGTCTCAAAATCATAGTCAACCAGAATTGTACTATCCTAGGTTTGACTGTACCATTTTAACACATTCTGGGAACAACACCAACAACAATCTGGATACCAATTGAGGGCCCCAAATTACTTATTCCTTAAACCTAAACTTTCATTCTAAGGAATTATCATCTTAGACCAAGACTTGCAATAGGAATGGCCTTGTCATAGGTTTGCTGTGAGACTTTATGCGAGACCACCCCTCTCTGGGCTCCATATAAACCGATCTACAAACTGAGTAGTCTGGGCTTGGAAAGTCTCAGGGCCCTCCCCAAAGTTGCATCCTGTTGATTAATGATACAAGCCTTTGACTGGCAATTCATGCCTCAGGATCAGGGACTGTTTCCCTTGTTTTGAAATCAAAATCGTGTCAGTTGTATTTGAAGTCTGTTCCTGCACTCCCTGTTCTTTCAACAGAGAGAAAAAGAACTACTCATTGTTCCAAACTCTCAGGACTTCCTCTGTTTTCTGATTTCTTGTTTCATACTTGCACTGAGGTCCCCAGCCTCAGCTCTGTAACCACCAGGGTGATGGCTGACAGCACAATGCAGCACATCAGGTCATCCTGATATCAGCAAAGGATGTTTTTATTCTGTGCCCTCTCCCCATCACCTCGACACAAACAAATATCTGGTGCACAATATGAAAGTTTGCTTATTTCCAATCTGACTCGGTTGGTACATTAGTTGAATCAGAAGGGGTTTTGATCAAATACAAAAAGTTCCTAGCTATAACAATCTCACGACAAGAATTTTGCAGGATAGTCACAATTTCAAATATTACAGGCCTCCTTTCGTATCCATGAGGTATTGGTTCTTAGAACCTTCATGAGCAAATACCAAAATCTGGGGATGCTACATATAACCCATGCACATTCTCTCATATCTTTTAAATCAGTCCTAGATTACTTATGATACCTAATACAATGTAAATGATAGAAATAGTTGTTATACTGTATTGTTTTTATTTATATTACTTTTATTGTTTTTTTATTGTTTTTTTCCCCAAATATTTTAGATCCTTCACTGGTAGAATCTGCAGATGCAGAACCATGGACATAGAGGACTGACTGTACATTGTATTTTCAGATCAAGAGTTCTAAATTTTAACTATGAAAACACTCACTGCAATGAGGATTAAGAGCAGTAAGATGGTTGCAAAATTGACCTATGTCAGAGATGTAAGTGATGAAGAAAATCCATGCCTGGTATTCACAGCAGAATCAACCTGAACAGCAAGAAAGCATGCAACTTAGCAAAAGCCTTTTCACCATGATAAGCCCCAAAGCGTGCATTGTTTCATGTGTGTGGTTTTACTGCCGTCTAGTGTCTCAGAGTGTTAAGGATGTGTTGAACCTGGAAATGCCTTCTTACCACTAATTATAGAGTCACAGTTTCCAAAATATTATCACTTAATGAAAAAAAGAGATAATCTAGTGAACATCAACAACTTTTGTATAGGTGTCTAATTGAAGATGAGAGAGTAAAAGACTTGCTCAGTCAGCCAAAATTAGAAACAGTACAGTAATGATTAATCACCTCATTCATTTCATTGCAAAATATTGGAGAAAACAATTTACATTATTTGTTCCCTAAGTTAGATCCTTTTCTCTGAGGTCCCTCAGGGCAGAAAATTGCACCTCTGACTTCAGAGCCAGGGTTCTTAATTCAAACTTTGTGCCTAAGCTCCTTTATATCCTCCAGGAGAGAGGAAAAACAAGGTCCCTCTTGCTTACAACCGTATTCCAAGTGCTTTGGATAGAGTTTGACACATGTTAGGTGTTAAGTCACTACTTATTGAATAAACCAATCAATGAATAAATAGCAGGGTAATTTGTTGAAATACTAATCATGGGTTTTTTGTTATTGTATATTTATCTCATTGCTATAGGTATGTACACAAGCTGTTGAAAGAGCAGAATTTAGTAGGATGTAGTCACAAAGCAATTCTGTCCCAATTACTGCCCTTTCATACCTGCTTAGTGGGCTAGTTGCTTTTATCCCTCTCCCACACAAGTTTCTCAGAAATTTTGTGGGCATGCGACCATGCCCACAGCAAGAAGCATGTTTTGCAGGGCCCAGGGCACACACTCACATGTGTTCATGAAACAAAAGTTTCTGGAAATAGTGATCTTTACTATGTACCACATGCCCTGATATTTCCAATTCCATTCATTCTCTGTGTTTTTTAAAGCTGGTCATGACATACGAAATGGGTTTTATGACTCACTAAGAAACTATGAACTTCAGTTTGTAAAACCATATACTGAACTGATTTCTGCAGTCCCTCTGAATCTTTTCCTCTTGCCCCTCTGAGATTTCACACATGCCACTCTTTCTGGTAGGATTCACTTTCTCTTCTCCACTCCTCCTTTGGCTACTTCAATTGTGTATTAGGGTTCTCTCGAGGGACAGAACTAATAGGATATACATATATATATGAAGTTTATCAAGTAGTATTCACTCACATGATCAGATGGTCCCACAATAGGCTGTCTGCATGCTGAGGAGCAAGGAAGCCAGTCCGAGTCCCAAAGCTAAGAACTTGGAGTCCAGTGTTCAAGGGGAGGAAGCATCCAGTATGGGAGAAAGATGTAGGCTGGAAGGCTAAGCCAGTCTAGCCTTTTCATGGTTTTCTGCCTGCTTAATATCCTGGCTGCGCTGGCAGCTGATTAGAAGGTGCCCACCCAGATTCAGGGTGGGTCTGTCTTTTCCAGCCCTCTGACTCAAATGTTAATCTTCTTTGGCAACACCCTCACAGACACACCTAGGATCAATATTTTGCATCTTTCAATCCAACCAAGTTGACATTCAGTATTATCCATCACAAGTTGTTTCCTACCTTTCCTGCACATTAGAATCACACAGGATGCCTTAAAAATATACTAGTGCCTGGTCTCCTTCCAACCCATCCCTCAACCCCTACTCTGTGATTCTGATTTAATTGGTCAGGGTGGAGCCCTGACTCCCAGGTGGTTCCTCATGGGCAGCCAGAATTGAGAAGCACTTGGCCTCACTCCTACTCAATCTTCAAAGTTTATCTGCAACATCCCCTCCAGGAAACTTCCTCTCCCACCCCCGACACACACACACACACACGTGCATGCACACATGCACACACACACACAAACACAAACACACGAGTCCACAAGCTCCTAGCTCTCTCTGGTCCAGTCTCTATAACATTCACCACGTTTTATTATATTTGCTCTTCTATCTGTCTTTCCTCTAGGTGGTGAATGGCTTGAAGGCAGGGATGTATCACATCTTATGCCTGTAAACTTAACCTACTTAGCACACAAAATGTGCTCAGTAAATATCTGTTGCATGACCTCTGAGGCAGTTCCTATCATTATCCTATTTTACAAGTGTGAGTTCTTTTTTTTTTATTATACTTTAAGTTTTAGGGTACATGTGCACATTGTGCAGGTTAGTTACATATGTATACATGTGCCATGCTGGTGCGCTGCACCCACTAACTCGTCATCTAGCATTAGGTATATCTCCCAATGCTATCCCTACCCCCCTCCCCCCACCCCACCACAGTCCCCAGAGTGTGATATTCCCCTTCCTGTGTCCATGTGATCTCATTGTTCAATTCCCACCTATGAGTGAGAATATGTGGTGTTTGGTTTTTTGTTCTTGCGATAGTTTACTGAGAATGATGATTTCCAATTTCATCCATGTCCCTACAAAGGACATGAACTCATCATTTTTTATGGCTGCATAGTATTCCATGGTGTATATGTGCCACATTTTCTTAATCCAGTCTATCATTGTTGGACATTTGGGTTGGTTCCAAGTCTTTGCTATTGTGAATAATGCCGCAATAAACGTACGTGTGCATGTGTCTTTATAGCAGCATGATTTATAATCCTTTGGGTATATCCCCAGTAATGGGATGGCTGGGTCAAATGGTATTTCTAGTTCTAGATCCCTGAGGAATCGCCACACTGACTTCCACAATGGTTGAACTAGTATACAGTCCCACCAACAGTGTAAAAGTGTTCCTATTTCTCCACATCCTCTCCAGCACCTGTTGTTTCCTGACTTTTTAATGATTGCCATTCTAACTGGTGTGAGATGGTATCTCACTGTGGTTTTGATTTGCATTTCTCTGATGGCCAGTGATGATGAGCATTTTTTCATGTGTCTTTTGGCTGCATAAATGTCTTCTTTTGAGAAGTGTCTGTTCATGTCCTTCGCCCACTTTTTGATGGGGTTGTTTGTTTTTTTCTTGTAAATTTGTTTGAGTTCATTGTAGATTCTGGATATTAGCCCTTTGTCAGATGAGTAGGTTGCGAAAATTTTCTCCCATTTTGTAGGTTGCCTGTTCACTCTGATGGTAGTTTCTTTTGCTGTGCAGAAGCTCTTTAGTTTAATTAGATCCCATTTGTCAATTTTGTCTTTTGTTGCCATTGCTTTTGCTGTTTCGGACATGAAGTCCTTGCCCATGCCTATGTCCTGAATGGTAATGCCTAGGTTTTCTTCTAGGGTTTTTATGGTTTTAGGTCTAATGTTTAAATCTTTAATCCATCTTGAATTGATTTTTGTATAAGGCGTAAGGAAGGGATCCAGTTTCAGCTTTCTACATATGGCTAGCCAGTTTTCCCAGCACCATTTATTAAATAGGGAATCCTTTCCCCATTGCTTGTTTTTCTCAGGTTTGTCAAAGATCAGATAGTTGTAGATATGTGGCGTTATTTCTGAGAGCTCTGTTCTGTTCCATTGATCTATCTCTGTTTTGGTACCAGTACCATGCTGTTTTGGTTACTGTAGCCTTGTAGTATAGTTTGAAGTCAGGTAGTGTGATGCCTCCAGCTTTGTTCTTTTGGCTTAGGATTGACTTGGTGATGCGGGCTCTTTTTTGGTTCCATATGAACTTTAAAGTAGTTTTTTCCAATTCTGTGAAGAAAGTCATTGGTAGCTTTATGGGGATGGCATTGAATCTGTAAATTACCTTGGGCAGTATGGCCATTTTCACGATATTGATTCTTCCTACCCATGAGCATGGAATGTTCTTCCATTTGTTTGTATCCTCTTTTATTTCCTTGAGCAGTGGTTTGTAGTTCTCCTTGAAGAGGTCCTTCACATCCCTTGTAAGTTGGATTCCTAGGTATTTTATTCTCTTTGAAGCAATTGTGAATGGGAGTTCACTCATGATTTGGCTCTCTGTTTGTCTGTTGTTGGTGTATAAGAATGCTTGTGATTTTTGTACATTGATTTTGTGTCCTGAGACTTTGCTGAAGTTGCTTATCAGCTTAAGGAGATTTTGGGCTGAGACAATGGCGTTTTCTAGATATACAATCATGTCGTCTGCAAACAGGGACAATTTGACTTCCTCTTTTCCTAATTGAATACCCTTTATTTCCTTCTCCTGCCTAATTGCCCTGGCCAGAACTTCCAACACTATGTTGAATAGGAGTGGTGAGAGAGGGCATACCTGTCTTGTGCCAGTTTTCAAAAGGAATGCTTCCAGTTTTTGCCCATTCAGTATGATATTGGCTGTGGGTTTGTCATAGATAGCTCTTATTATTTTGAAATACGTCCCATCAATACCTAATTTATTGAGAGTTTTTAGCATGAAGGGCTGCGGAATTTTGTCAAAGGCCTTTTCTGCATCTATTGAGATAATCATGTGGTTTTTGTCTTTTGTTCTGTTTATATGCTGGATTACATATATTGATTTGTGTATATTGAACCAGCCTTGCATCCCAGGGATGAAGCCCACTTGATCATGCTGGATAAGCTTTTTGATGTGCTGCTGGATTCGTTTTGCCGGTATTTTATTGAGGATTTTTGCATCAATGTTCCTCAAGGATATTGGTCTAAAATTGTCTTTTTTGGTTGTGTCTCTGCCCGGCTTTGGTATCAGAATGATGCTGGCCTCATAAAATGAGTTAGGGAGGATTCCCTCTTTTTCTATTGATTAGAATAGTTTCAGAAGGAATGGTACCAGTTCCTCCTTGTACCTCTGGTAGAATTCAGCTGTGAATCCATCTGGTCCTGGACTCTTTTTGGTTGGTAAACTATTGATTATTGCCACAATTTCAGCTCCTGTTATTGGTCTATTCAGAGATTCAACTTCTTCCTGGTTTAGTCTTGGGAGAGTGTATGTGTCGAGAAATTTATCCATTTCTTCTAGATTTTCTAGTTTATTTGCGTAGAGGTGTTTGTAGTATTCTCTGATGGTAGTTTGTATTTCTGTGGGATCAGTGGTGATATCCCCTTTATCATTTTTTATTGTGTCTATTTGATTCTTCTCTCTTTTTTTCTTTATTAGTCTTGCTAGCGGTCTATCAGTTTTGTTGATCCTTTCAAGAAACCAGCTCCTGGATTCACTGATTTTTTGAAGCGTTTTTTGTGTCTCTATTTCCTTCAGTTCTGCTCTGATTTTAGTTATTTCTTGCCTTCTGCTAGCTTTTGAATGTGTTTGCTCTTGCTTTTCTAGTTCTTTTAATTGTGATGTTAGGGTGTCAATTTTGGATCTTTCCTGCTTTCTCCTGTGGGCATTTAGTGCTATAAATTTCCCTCTACACACTGCTTTGAATGCCTCCCAGAGATTCTGATATGTTGTGTCTTTGTTCTCATTGGTTTCAAAGAACATCTTTATTTCTGCCTTCATTTCGTTATGTACCCAGTAGTCATTCAGGAGCAGGTTGTTCAGTTTCCATGTAGTTGAGCGGCTTTGAGTGAGATTCTTAATCCTGAGTTCTAGTTTGATTGCACTGTGGTCTGAGAGATAGTTTGTTATAATTTCTGTTCTTTTACATTTGCGGAGGAGAGCTTTACTTCCAACTATGTGGTCAATTTTGGAATAGGTGTGGTGTGGTGCTGAAAAAAATGTATATTCTCTTGATTTGGGGTGGAGAGTTCTGTAGATGTCTATTAGGTCCACTTGGTGCAGAGCTGAGTTCAATTCCTGGGTATCCTTGTTGACTTTCTGTCTCGTTGATCTGTCTAATGTTGACAGTGGAGTGTTAAAGTCTCCCATTATTAATGTGTGGGAGTCTAAGTCTCTTTGTAGTTCACTCAGGACTTGCTTTTTGAATCTGGGTGCTCCTGTATTGGGTGCATATATATTTAGGATAGTTAGCTCTTCTTGTTGAATTGATCCCTTTACCATTATGTAGTGGCCTTCTTTGTCTCTTTTGATCTTTGTTGGTTTAAAGTCTGTTTTATCAGAGACTAGGATTGCAACCCCTGCCTTTTTTTGTTTTCCATTTGCTTGGTAGATCTTCCTCCATCCTTTTATTTTGAGCCTATGTGTGTCTCTGCACGTGAGATGGGTTTCCTGAATACAGCACAGTGATGGGTCTTGACTCTTTATCCAATTTGCCAGTCTGTGTCTTTTAATTGGAGAATTTAGTCCATTTACATTTAAAGTTAATATTGTTATGTGTGAATTTGATCCTGTCATTATGATGTTAGCTGGTGATTTTGCTCGTTAGTTGATGCAGTTTCTTCCTAGTCTCAATGATCTTTACATTTTGGCATGATTTTGCAGCGGCTGGTACCGGTTGTTCCTTTCCATGTTTAGCGCTTCCTTCAGGAGCTCTTTTAGGGCAGGCCTGGTGGTGACAAAATCTCTCAGCATTTGCTTGTCTGTGAAGTATTTTATTTCTCCTTCACTTATGAAGCTTAGTTTGGCTGTATATGAAATTCTGGGTTGAAAATTCTTTTCTTTAAGAATGTTGAATATTGGCCCCCACTCTCTTCTGGCTTGTAGGGTTTCTGCCGAGAGATCCGCTGTTAGTCTGATGGGCTTCCCTTTGTGGGTAACCCGACCTTTCTCTCTGGCTGCCTTTAACATCTTTTCCTTCATTTCAACTTTGGTGAATCTGACAATTATGTGTCTTGGAGTTGCTCTTCTCGAGGAGTATCTTTGTGGCATTCTCTGTATTTCCTGAATCTGAACGTTGGCCTGCCTTGCTAGATTGGGGAAGTTCTCCTGGATAATATCCTGCAGAGTGTTTTCCAACTTGGTTCCATTCTCCCCATCACTTTCAGGTACACCAATCAGACGTAGATTTGGTCTTTTCACATAGTCCCATATTTCTTGGAGGCTTTGCTCATTTCTTTTTATTCTTTTTTCTCTAAACTTCCCTTCTCGCTTCATTTCATTCATTTCATCTTCCATTGCTGATACCCTTTCTTCCAGTTGATCGCATCGGCTCCTGAGGCTTCTGCATTCTTCACGTAGTTCTCGAGCTTAGTTTTCAGCTCCATCAGCTCCTTTAAGCACTTCTCTGTATTGGTTATTCTAGTTATACATTCTTCTAAATTTTTTTCAAAGTTTTCAACTTCTTTGCCTTTGGTTTGAATGTCCTCCCGTAGCTCAGAGTAATTTGATCGTCTGAAGCCTTCTTCTCTCAGCTCGTCAAAGTCATTCTCCATCCAGCTTTGTTCCGTTGCTGGTGAGGAACTGCGTTCCTTTGGAGGAGGAGAGGCACTCTGCGTTTTAGAGTTTCCAGTTTTTCTGTTCTGTTTTTCCCCCATCTTTGTGGTTTTATCTACTTTTGGTCTTTGATGATGGTGATGTACAGATGGGTTTTTGGTGTGGATGTCCTTTCTGTTTGTTAGTTTTCCTTCTAACAGACAGGACCCTCAGCTGCAGGTCTGTTGGAATACCCTGCCGTGTGAGGTGTCAGTGTGCCCCTGCTGGGGGGTACCTCCCAGTTAGGCTGCTCAGGGGTCAGGGGTCAGGGACCCACTTGAGGAGGCAGTCTGCCGGTTCTCAGATCTCCAGCTGCGTGCTGGGAGAACCACTGCTCTCTTCAAAGCTGTCAGACAGGGACATTTAAGTCTGCAGAGGTTACTGCTGTCTTTTTGTTTGTCTGTGCCCTGCCCCCAGAGGTGGAGCCTACAGAGGCAGGCAGGCCTCCTTGAGCTGTGGTGGGCTCCACCCACTTAGAGCTTCCCGGCTGCTTTGTTTACCTAAGCAAGCCTGGGCAATGGCAGGCGCCCCTCCCCCAGCCTCACTGCCACCTTGCAGTTTGATCTCAGACTGCTGTGCTAGCAATCAGTGAGATTCCGTGGGCGTAGGACCCTCCGAGCCAGGTGTGGGATATAATCTCATGGTGAGCCGTTTTTTAAGCCGGTCTGAAAAGCGCAATATTTGGGTGGGAGTGACCCGATTTTCCAGGTGCGACCGTCACCCTTTTCTTTGACTCGGAAAGGGAACTCCCTGACCCCTTGTGCTTCCCAAGTGAGGCAATGCCTCGCCCTGCTTCGGCTCGCGCACGGTGTGTGCACCCACTGTCCTGCGCCCACTGTCTGGCACTCCCTAGTGAGATGAACCCGGTACCTCAGATGGAAATGCAGAAATCACCCGTCTTCTGCGTCACTCACGCTGGGAGCTGTAGACTGGAGCTGTTCCTATTCGGCCATCTTGGCTCCTCCCCCCTACAAGTGTGAGTTCTAATCCCATTGTACACTTCCAGCTATATGACACTGGCTAGTTTATTTAACCTTCCAGATATGTTTTCTTTTTAATAGCCAAAAGTTACAAAAAGTACTTGAAAATTAATCTGTCTGAAGGTATCAGAGAGTTATAGAGGTAATGAAAACTTGAGAAACCTAAGATTTCCAGGAGACCAGAAGCCCAGAGATGTAATCACAACATTTGCCAAGGCACCCTCCCTGAAACATTTGGAGACTGGAAAGTAGTGGCAAAGATGAAGAGATGAGCAGAGAGCCAGAGATGAGAAGCTGAGAACCTGAGCAGAGATCTTCATCAGTGTCATGAGATGGGGGGAAAATGTTATTTCAGAGCCTGGCAAGGAGGAGCGACCCTGACAAATACTCCAGAGTTTCAACTGAGATCCCTACCCTCAAGGCCTTACACTAGATTAGTCTAGCTTTTGCCAAGAATGAAGCTCAATCCATAATTGCCCTAGGGTGATGTGCATCTAGGCTATCGGCCTGTCAGAAGTAATAGTAAATCCTCTCTGGAGAAGAACATCATACAGATCTTCGCGTGATATCCAAAGTTTTTGAACACAAGCCTCATACTCAATCAAGATTAACCAGACAAAACAGAATATGAGATATGCCCCAAAAGTTAACCAAACAATAGAAATAGTTCCATGGGAGATTCAGATATTGGAGTTATGAGATAGGGATTTTAACAGAGTCATTATTAATGTATTCAAAGAGTTAAAAGACCAAATGAAGACTTAGAGTACATAACTATAAAACATAAAAAAGAATACAACAGAAATTTTAAAAGTGAAAAATACCCCTCAAAATGTGATATAGTTACAGAGATAGTTAATAAACTGGAGTATAGGTCAAAACATATCCAGACTGAAGCACAGAGAAATAAAATAATGCAAAATAAAGAGCAGAGAAAATATACATACTTTTTGAGTCTGAGAAGTTGAGATGAAAAGGATGGATCAAAAGTAGTATTTGAAGAGTCAATGTCTGCGAATTTTCCAAAATTCATGAAAGGAATTAAGCCACATACACCAGAAGCTCTATAAACCCAAGGTAAGTACAAGGAAAACCACACCTAAGCACATCATCATAAACTTATAAAAATCAATAAAAATGAATGGTATTACATTAACACTATGGAATATTATGCAGCTGTGGGAAAATATTTGCAAACTCTCCATTTGTCAAGGGATTAATAATCAGAATATATAAGGAACTCAAACAACTCAACAGAAAAACCCAAATAATCCAATTTTTAAAATGGGCAAAGAATCGAAATAGGCATTTCTTAAAGGAAGACATATGAATGGCCAACAGGTGTATTAAAAAATATTCAACATTACTAATCATCCAGAAAATGCAAATCAAAACCACAGTGAAGTATTATCTCACCTCAATTAAATTGGCTGTTATCAAAAAGACACACACAGACACAACACCAGATGTCTGTGAAGATTCAGAGAAAGGGGAATTCACACACTGTGGGGATGTAAATTAATACAACCATTATGGAAAACAGTATGGAGGTTCCTCAGAAAACTAAAAATAGAACTAATATATGATCCAACAATCCTACTGCTGGGTATATAGCCAAAAGAAAAGAAACTGGTATATTGAAGAGATATCTATTTGCACTCCCATATTTATTGTAGCACTATTCACAATATCACAGCACCGTTCACAATAGCCAAGATATGGAACCAACCTAAAGTATCCATCAACAGATGAATGCATAAAGAAAATGTGGTATGTACACACAATGAAATACTATTCAACCACAAAAAGAATAAAATCCTGTCATTTACAGCAACATGACAAATGGCCAATATATTTATTTAAAGATTATTAACCTCATTACTTATCAGGGAAATGCAAATTAAAATTACAATGTGGTTTTACTACATACCTACCAGAATGCTTGAAATAAAAATGACTGATTATATCAAATCTTAGCAAGAGCAGGGACCACTGAACTCTCACATGCTGATGGTGGAAGTCTAGATTGGAATGACTCTTTAGAAAAACTCTTCAACATTATCTATAAATTTTTTTTTTGTATATGCAGAAAAAAGGGCAATATCTTCACAAAAAAACATGCAAGAATGTGCATACAGCCACATTATTCTTAAGAGCCAAAAAGCATAAATAACCCACCAACAATGTCTACTAATAATACAATGGATAATATATGGCATTTTGGCATTTTCACACAATGGAATCCAGGCAACTATGAAAATTCATATCAACAATTGTATGCAACACAAGGATGAATCTCAAAAACAAAATACTGAGCAAAAGAAGCCAGGCCTAAAAAAATGCATACTATGTGATTCCAAGTCTATAAAGCAGAAAAACAGGAAAACTTACCTATCACTTTTTTTTTTTTTTTTTTTGAGATAGAATCTTGCTCTGTTGCCCAGGCTAGAGTGCAGTGGCATGATCTCGGCTCACTGCAACCTCCACCTCCCGGGTTCAAGTGATTCTCCTGCCTCAGCCTCCTGAGTAGCTGGGATTACAGGTGCTGGCCACCACGCCAGGCAAATTTTTGTATTTTTAGTAGAGACAGAGTTTCACCATCTTGGCCGGACTGGTGTTGAACTCCTTACCTCGTGATCCACCTGTCTCGGCCTCCCAAAGTGCTGGGATTACAGGCATAACCACCGTGCTCAGCCAAACTTACCTATGTTACCTATGATCTTAGAAGGCAGAATAGTGGTTTTATGCTGGTAGAAGAAGAGGGTAGTGACAGAGGAACATGAGGGGGCTTCTGAGTTGCTGGTGATGTGCTGTCTCCTAATCTGTGTACCTGTTTCGCAGTTGAGTTCACTTTTTGACAAAATGTACATTTAAGATTTGCTCACTTTTTTGCACATATGTTGTACTACAACAAAGCTTTTATTGAAACAATGAGGATGGAGACGATTGGGCATACACTCATGCAATCAGTTTCTGAAGGACATAGTGCTAATCTGCATTAAAACTCATCAACATTTTCATATCGTTTGGCCCAGGAATTCTACTTCCAGCAACTTATCCTAACAAAATACTTAAGAATGTGTAAAAAAGTAGAAAGATTTAGCTACAAAAAAAGTGTTCAAGATAGCATTGTATACAATAGTGAAAACCTGGAAATTGCCTTACTGTCAAACAAAAAACGGTTTGCTAAACTGTGAAATATTAGAAAACAGTATTATAAAATTAAAAAGTAAATATATAGACTTGGAAAGCTATAAACAATTTATTAGGTCAAAAAGTTCAAGTTATTGGCTGAGCACAGTGGCTCATGCCTGTAGTCCCAGCACTTTAGGAGGCTGAGGTGGGCAGGTCACCTGAGGTCAGGAATTCAAGACCAGCCTGGCCAACATGGTGAAACCCCCTGTCTACTAAAAATACAAAAATTAGCCAGTGTGGTGGTGCATGCCTGTAATCCCAGCTACTCGGGAAGTGAAGGAAGGAGAATCGCCTGAACCCGGGAGGCAGAGGCCGCAGTGAGTCAAGATCACACCCCTGCACTCCAGCCTGGGTAACAGAGGGGGATTTAATTAAAAAAAAATTTTTTTAAGTTATCAACAGCATTTCTTTTCAGATTCTAATTATATTAAATAAATTGTTGGATTATATTCAGCAAAATTCTTTTTTTTCTGAGTGGAAAAAATAAGTGATTTTAATTTTTAAGTTTATTATTATCTTAATTTATAACTTTTCTCTAGTAACAACACACTATCTAAGCATATTTGCTGACTCCTAGGCTGGTGGTCTTTTAAGAGCAGGGGCCTGAGGGTCCTTGTAAGTGGCACAGATATGGGGAAAGGGGAGCAGGGATAGGGTGCTACTGTATAGTATCTCCTCTGTTATTTCACATTTAGGTGGCTTGGACAATCTGGTAAGTTATGTAATTCTTCTTCTCTGGCCACTCTAATCTTGTGATTCAAGAGATCTATTGCATCTGGGGACAGGTTGCTGGTATATAGGTATGCAAAGACAGCTTTTCCAAGAAAAATGATTTTCTGGAACAGATTCCCATGAAAAGCAGCAATGAGTGGGAGTATTTGGGGTATCTCAGAGGTGACCAGGTGTAAATCCAATGATGCTTCTGTGGCTCATGTCAAAGTAGCCACTGACTATTTTTAATCACATGAATTCTGAATTTGTAGGTTCACTAATGTGCAAAATATGATAACTACAGCTCTGTCAGAGCTTCTATTTGTTTTTCATTTTCAGAAATATATACCTACCAAATGGAGTAATAGTGTGAAGCGGATTGTGTTTGTACAGGCAGGATGGGAACTTGGAAGATAGGACTCTGTTATGAAGTAATTTGGGAGCCCTTCCTCTGCTGTGGACAATTCTCTCACTAAACATATGCTTATCTGTTCGTTTAATAAAGCTTTACGCTGTTGATATCTAGTCATCAACTTAAATTTTGGAATTTGGACATAATAAAGCTGAATATCTTTTAAGAAATAACTTCTTTGGAGTTGGGGATATGTTGATTCGAGGACACAAAATTTCTGTTAGATAGGAGGAATAAGTTCAAGAGATATATTGTACAACATGGTGACTAGTTAATAACAACATACTGCATTCTTGAAAATTGCTAAGAGAGTAGGTTTTAAGTGTTCTCGTCACAAAAGAATGATAAGTATGTGAGGTAACGCATATGTAAATTAGCTTGATTTAATCTTCCCACAATGTATGCATATTTCAAAACATCACTTTGTACATAATATATACAATTTTTTGTGAATTAAAAGTGAAGGAAAAAAGAAAAAAGTACTTCTGATTGAGTATGTACCTTGATCAAGTACTGGGCTATCTTTTTGCAATCCTTTGAGATCTGTTGTTGCTGATAATCCCATTTACAGGCATCCAAAATTTCTAAATGGTTACATAATTTGCTCAAGTACACGTATGCTAATTACAAGGGTCAGATCAGAATCTACATCTTTCTACACTAAACTAATTTTTCTTTTTCCATTGGCCCATCTCCTCCTTTAGATAATCTTGTTAATTTAGACTGTACTACCTTTCCTTCAGAAAGTGAAGTTCTGTAGCTAGAGTGGATAGACTTGATTTTCATAGCCTGGTAGCCTGAAAGCACTGTTCTCTCTTGGAGTCCAGTAGGACAGGGCCCTGCCCTTCTACACCAGGCCACACTTCCACTGCCTGACCCCTGCTTGCCTCTCAGCCCTCTCTGCAAAGTGCAAGGCTGGTGCTTCCAGGGCACTCTCGCTCTCCAAGTGACTGAAGTAGAAAAGCCCAAAGAAATCAAACTGAGCAGATCTTAGTACTCCTGGTTGTCACCCATTATATTGTTACTTTTTCTGTAGAATTAGAATATTTTTTATGAAAAGGCAGGGAAAGTTCAGCTGCCTTGCAGCACATCCCAAACTTCTCTATTGGGGTGGTCGGTTCTGGAAATTGCCAGCTGTGACTTTGGTGTGATGTTCATTATCTTTCCTGGTGGCAGTCTGCAGAGAGGATGTTGAGGTTGTACACAGTAATCACAGTAATCACCTGACACATAGTAGGTGATCATTAAATGCTTATCACATACATTAATATGCCTTCATCATTCCTTTTTCGAGCACTTTTGAATCTTCCACCTTCACATCTATGGAGTGCCCTGCAAGCCTGTAAACATTATTTGGAATGATAAAGTAGAAATTGTATTATACATCCTCCAGGTGAGGAGCCTGAGGCACTTTGATGCTAAAGCAAAGAGTTATGCAGCAGAAACACGGTAGAGGCAAAGATAGGTCAGTAATTATCAAAAAGAATCCTCCTCTGTGTCCTCTCACTTGGACTCCTTTCCTGTCTCTCTGGCTGGTTCATTTTCTTTCTCTTCTTTCTGATCTTAATATTTCAGAAGTTCCTCTTCTCTTAAACCAGTGCTGAAGTTAATGGCAGCACAGGATCAATAATATAAAAGCCCCTTCATCAACAGAGCAGAGGCAATATTCAAGCATTGTGAACTCCTCTCCCACCTAAACTCTGAGATTGTATCTTAGAAGCCCATGGGCTGAAAGAGAGTGGCTAGTGACATATTTTGTTGCTATAGTTTGTTGGATCATCTATCTCCCCATGGGGTCACTTGGGGACTCCCAGAGAGACAGTGTGGAATCACAAAAACTTCAGACCCTGGAGTCACAGCCCAGCTCATGGGCCTTGGCTTTGCACTCATTCAGTAAATACTGACCACCAGGCACCATGCTGAGACTGGGGACTATCATGGTAACAAAACAAGCATGGTCCCTGCCTTCATGGTGCCACAGGGTCACCTCTGGAAGATGGGCACTTGATGAAGGAGCAGAAGCATGGCTCATATTTATGAGTGCTTGCCATGTGCCAGACACTGTGTTTAACAGGTTGCAAGCATTGTTTGAAGATAAAACATTGGGTGGCAGAGCTAGAGATTCATACCACACCTATATCTGTCTCACTCTAAAGTCCAAACAGGCAAAAAGAGAATGTATAGAAAATACCAAGTCAAACGTATGGCACTTGGTACATGGCATGGTTGAGGGAAATGGGTCTGGATTTGGACTCAAAAGGAGAGGGGTTGAGGCCTGCATCTGCTGCCTCTGACTGTCTGTGATGAGGAAGCACAGGGGTGAGGCCACATCAAGAAAGAGCGAGCTCCAGGTAGCAGGGCCAAGCCAGGCAGGTTCACTGCTTTACCCTTAGCATCTGGCACAAAGAAGGAGCTGGAATTCAATTACATTGACTTGACTTAGAACATCCTGGCAAACCTGCTTTGTTACAAAAACTAAGAAATAGTCTGAAGAGGACATACCTATAGGAGTCAAGTGGCCGATTAACTGATGATATCACTCTCACCACTAATAATAATAGCATACTCCCATGTATGGAGACACTACTCTGTGTACTCTACTACTACCCAATACAGAAGCTATTATTTCTATTTTATAAAAAAGAAAACCATATCTCAGAGAGTGTATTGCTCTTGGCTACACAGCCAGTAAGAGGGAGAGTCTAGACTTGAACCCACGTCCCTAATGTAACTATCCCAGCAGACCCTGCTTCCAGAGACTCCTCCTCAGAAATCATCCTCAGTCCAGGCCATATCCTCATTTGGGTGGACTAAAAGCTGTCATTCGAAGATGAGCTTTGGTGAGATTCAAAGGTCTCCCATATCTGAAGTCTGTGTTTAGTTTGGAAGCAGTTACAATTAAGATAACAGAAAAGTTCTAATCAAATCGAACATTATCTGGGTCAATCAGATCTTCTGCTAATAAGAGTTCCATTCAAATAATAATGCATGCAAAATTGTCTTTCTTGAGTTAAGGAGGAAGACTAGCTTTTATCAAAATATCTAGCCCTAAGCTGTACCAACACTCATCCCAGAAAAGTAGGTGAGTGCATGAGGCTGAGCCTTGTCCTGGGTAGCTCCAATTTCTTCTGAAAACTTGAGTGCTCTTAGGAGACTAACCAGTGGTGTCTGCCCATTGCCCTAAGGCAGGGTTTCTCAACCTGGGTACTACTGACATTTGGGCTAGAAAGTTTCTTGTGGGGGCTGTCCTGTGCATTGCAAGATGGTTAACAGCAGACGGGTGTGGTGGCTCACACCTATAATCTCAGCACTTTGAGAGGCCAAGGCAGGTGGATCACCTGAGGTCAGGAGTTCGAGACCAGCCTGGCCAACATGGCAAAACCCCGTCTATACTAAAAATACAAAAATTAGCCAGGCATGGTGGCACATGCCTGTAATCCCAACTACTAGCAGGGCTGAGGCAGGAGGATCACTCGAACCTGGGAGGTGGAGGTTGCAGTGAGTGGAGATCATGCTACAGCACTCCAGCCTGGGCAACAGAGTGAGACTCCATCTCAAAAAAAAAAAAAAAAAAAAAAGATGGTTAACAACATCTCTGACCTCTATGCACTAGATGCCAGCTGAAGCCCCTCCCCTAGTTGAGACAACAAATAATGTCTCCAGACATTGCCATATACCCTCTTGAGGGGAAAAATTGCCACTGGTAGAGAACCACTACGATAAGAGAACATTTATTTGGGGATGGATTAATTAATTCAGTCACTTTGCCCTCCTTGGTATGCTGGCTTTCTTCTCCTGGCCCCTGCCAGCCTTATGTACTACGGATGCTATAATTAAGGAATGGAACACACAGAATTAAAGAAAGGAGCAATGCCTATCCCTGGCTTGCCTTACTTCTTTGTCTTATTGCATGTGGAAATCACCATGTGCGCTCTGGCAGACATTTGCCGTGCATGACTCAGTAAGGTAAGTGAATGAAGAAATTAAACAAATGTTACTAGCGGGTGGGAAGAACCCTTGCCTCACATAGGCCAATAAAGGTAATTTTTGTGGTTCTAGTTCTTGAAAAATCTAATCTACCTGCAAACTATCTCAGCGGAGGGACTTGGCAGGTGTATTTTGGCTCAGTGTGCCTTGGGAAGTAGTCCCTGACATCTCTCATACTGGGACTCCTCAGCCTGTCCTTGTGGGATGGTGTATCAGAGTCCACTCACAAGTCAGGTAGCTGCCCTGCCACAATGAGAGCAAAGCAGTGGTGCTGTTAGCAGTGGGTTGTAAGGTCACAAGCAGAGGGTAGAGTCAGGCAGTACAGGTGCAGCTTTGTTACATGGATGCATTGTATGACACTGGAGTTTGGGCTTCTACTGAACCAGTCACCTAAATAGTGAACACAGTACCCAATAGGTAGCTTTTCTGCCCTTGCTCCTGTCCTCCCCTGTCTCTCCCCATAGTTCCCAGTGTCAATTATTTCCGTGTTTATGTCCATATGTGCCCATTTTTTAGCTCCCACTTATAAGTTAAAACATGCAGTATTTGATTTTCTGTTTCTGAGTTATTTCACTTAGGATAATGGCTTCTAGCTGCATCCATTGTTTATGCAAGGGACATGATTTCATTCTTTTTTATGGCTGCATAGTATTCCATGGTGTATATGTACCACATTTTCTTTATCCATTCCACCATTGATAGTCACCTATGTTGATTCTATGACTATGCTACTATGAATAGTGCTGTGATAAACATTTGAGTGCAGACGTCTTTTTTGGTAGAATGGTTTCTTTTCCTTTGGGCACATAACCAGTGGTGGGATTGCTGAGTTAAATGTCATTTTCAGTTATTTGATAAATCTCCATACTGCTTTCCACAGGGGCTAAACTACAAACAGTATATAAGCATTCCCTTTTCTCCACATACTTGCTAATGTCTGTTTTTGTTTTTTTACTTTTTAATAATATCCATTCTGGCTGGTGTAAGATGGTACCTCATCGTGTTTTAATTTGTATCTCTCTGATAATTTAGTGATGCTGAGCATTTTTTCATATTTTTTGGCCACATATATGTCTTCATGTGTCTGCTCATGTGTTTTGTCCACTTTTTAATGGGGTTATTTGTTTTTTTCTTGTTGATTTAAGTTTCTTATAGATTCTGTAAATTAGTCCTTTCTTGGATGCATAATTTCCAAATATTTTCTTCCATTCTGTAGACTGTCTGCTTACTCTGTTGATAGTTTCTTTTGCCGTGCAGAAGTCCTTTAGTTTAATTAGTCCCAATTGTCAATTTTTGTTTCTGTTGTGTTTGCTTTTGAGGCCTCAAAATAATGAGAGCCATCTATGACAAATACACAGCCAACGTCATACCAAATGGGCAAAAACTGGAAGCATTCTCCCAAAGAACGGGAACAAGACAAGGATGTCCACTCTCACCACTTCTATTCAACATAGCAGTGGAAGTCCTAACCAGGGCAATCAGGAAAAGGAAACAAATAGAAGACCTCCAAATAGGAAAAAAATGAAGTCAAATAATCTGTTTGCTGATGATATGATACTTTACCTAGAAAACCCTAAAGATTCCTCCAAAAGACTCCTAGACCAGATAAATGACTTGAATAAAGTTTCAGGATATAAAATCAATGTACAAAATTAGTAGCATTTCTATACACCAGTAATGTTCAAGCTGAGAACCAAATCAAGAACTCAATTCCATTTACAAAAGCCACAAAAAAAAACAACCTAGGAATACATCTACTAAGGAGGTGAAAGATCTTTACAAGGAGAACTACAAAACACTCCTTAAAGAAGTCGGAGATCAAACAAACAAATGGAAAAAATATTCCATGCTCATGGATTACAAGAATCAATATCATTAAGATGTCTATATTGCCCAAAACAATATACAGATTCAATGCAATTCCTATCAAATTACCAAGGTCAACCTTCACAGAATTATAAAAAATGAATTCTAAAATTCATATGGAACCATGAGTAGCCAAAGAAATCCTCAGCAAAAAGAAAAAAAGCCAGAGACATCACATTACCCAACTTCAAACTATACTACAAGGCCATAGTAACCCAAACTGCTGGTACAGAAATAGACACTGAGATTAATGGAACAGAATAGAGAACCATAAATAAAGCTACACACCTACAACTAACTGATCTTTGACAAAGTCGACCAAAATAAGCATTGAAAAGGACTCCCTATTCAATGAATGATGTTGAAAAAACCGGCTAGCCATATGCAGATGACTATTTAATCCATCTGCCATATGGATCTATAAGAAACTTAAATCAACAAGAAAAAAACAGATAACCCCATTAAACAGTGGACAAAACACATGAGCAGACACTTGAAGACATACATGTGGCCAAAACACATGAAAAAATGCTCAGCATCACTAAATTATCAGAGAAATACAAACTAAAACATGGTGAGGTACCATCTGCCATATGCAGATGGATTAAAGACTTAAACTTAAAACCTCAAACTATAAATTCCTAGAAGAAAACCCAGGAAAAACTATTCTGGACACTGGCTTAAGCAAATAATTTATTATTAGGACCTCAAATTCAATTTTAGGGTAACTTCATTTACTTGGTTTTTTTTCCTTTTAGACTTCCTTTTTAAATGAACTGTAAAGGTAATATTTATTATAGAGATAGTTAGTAATGACAAAGAAGTACAACAGCACAGAAAATACGGATAATCCTAATGCCAGAAATGGTGAGGCAAAGAATTTTGTCATTTTTGGTCATAATTTGGTCAAGGTTTTTTTTTCTTCTATGATTTTTTTCTTCATTTTGAAATGTATTACTCACAGTCCCAGCAAAAGTACAGGATATACTTAAGTTGAGTAACTTGAAGAGAATTTAGTAAACTTACTATTTATAAGAGAGTGGATGGAATATAAGGAAACCACAAGAGATAGTGCAGCACCTAGGGTTTGGTATTAGTGGGGATGACATTGCCACCTGGAGCTTGAGTGGGAGAAGACAATGGTCAGAACCCAAAACAGAGAGAACTGTGTAGGGACCACCTCCTGACAGCAAGAGGAGGTAGTGCAACATCACTGGGAGGAGAATACATGCCTCAGCCTCACTCTTCCCCTTCCCTACCAGTGGCTTCCTCTGGCCAAATACATCAGAAACCAGCAATCAAGGCTGCAGCCCATTTATGCAGCCTACACCCCTGGGCATAGGACAGGGTCAGGGAGTGTAAAGAGTCCAACTAGAGGGGCAAACAGAAGATATCCAGCCCAAACTGCCCAAACACACTTTGCTTTCATTGTATGATATTCGAACATTAAAGATAAAGCAACCTCTCCCCTACAAAGAGGTAAGCATTGTTTTACGTTTAGTGTATGTCTTCCAGACATTTTCCTAGTTTGTTACCTGTATAATATATGTCCTCATAATAGGTGCAATTTTGTTCTGCCTGTGTGGGCATGTGTTTTGTAAACAGTGTGATACAATACGTATTGTTAAAGAACTTGCTTTTTTACTCAACAATTTGTCTTGGACTCTTTTCACATCAGCATGTAGAGACCTGACATTATTTTAATCCCCTGTGTGGCATTCCACAGTGTGGTTGATAGGAGGGCTGTTCTCCAATGTCCTAGTTCTCTCTCTCTCTCTCTCTCTCTCTCTCTCTCTCTCTCTCTCTGGGCACATAGTAGGATGGGAGCATCCCACTCTACTAAACTCAGGTTGCCAGTATGATTGCCTTTGGTCAAGGAGATATAAACCCATGTCCCATATGTCACTCCCAGGCAAAAGCTTTAAGAGCTGACACATGCTTCATCTTTCTCTTTTCACTTGCTGTTGAGACTAGTGGTGTTCTCGACCAGCACTGCCTAGTAAAAAATATAATCTAAGCTGTTATCTAATTTTAAATATTCCGTAAGTCACATTTAAAAAAAGTTAAACACAGGCAAAATTAATTTTAATAATGTATTTCATTTACCCAGTATACCCAAACTATTATCATTTCAACATGCAATCAACACGAAAAACTATTAAATAAATATTTTACACTTTTATACTCAGCCTTTAAAATCCGGTATATAACTTACACTTACAGTGTTTATCAATTCAGACTAGACACATTTCAAGGGCTCAATAGCTCCATGTGGCTAGTAGCTACCATGTGGGACAGTGCAGTTCTGTCTGCATCTTAAGGATGATGGAGCTGAGCCCCAGCTGAAATGTGTTGAGTTACTTTTACTCACACTACAGTGTGAGAAATTTTTTATTGCTTTTTTTAAGGCATCGTGACTTGGATGTTGTTTGCTCCCACAGAATCACCTGATCTGTCCAAACACACATATCGTAATTCATTTAATCATTTCAATATGGGTGGACAAGCAAGTTGTTTCCAATTTTTCACTGTTATAACAAGATGTTGGTGAATATCTTTATGCACATTTTTGTGCTCAGATGGAACTTTTTATATCATAGGCATTTATATATTTTTTTACTTTAACAAATTTAAAAGGCTGTCCAACGTGTTTCAAATTTTCACTTCTATTAGAAATATGTGAAAGTACCCATTTTCCCCATATCCTTACCATTACCTGATATCATCTAATTTTTTATTTCAAATACTTTTTCTATTTGTTTTTATTTACATCTCTTATAGTTGATATAATATACAGCCCATTCTTCTAACATCGTATTTTTATATAATTAAAATTTTCTTGAAACTTTGTTTTTAAATGGCAGCATCAACATGTGGCATAGATATAGCAAGTCAATTTAACCATTTCCCTAGTTTCTTGGATATTCACATTGAGATTACTTCCAAACTTTATTATACATATCACCATAATGAACATCTTTTGTGCAAACAACATTTTATACATTTCACTTAATTTTCCTATGATAAGTTCTAAAAGTGTAGTTACTGGCTTGAAAGGCCCATACACATTTATAGTTCTTGGTATTTGCTAGCAGATTCTTTTTTCTTGCTAGAAAATTTGTATCGATTACAGTCCTTTAGGGAAATTTCAGGTTTTTATATGACATAAATTGAACATTTGCCATTTACAGATGCTTTTAGATACATTCTTGCATCTAATGCTTACAAGGGTTCCATAAGGTGAGCAAAAGGAAAATGACCTGCCAGGGTCACAGCGTAGGTGAGAAGCAATGCTGACATTTGAACTCAGCTTCAGACAACAAATTCAGGTTTGTTTGTTTGTTTTGCTGAATACTTCAATTGCTTCCTTAACATTGACCATGGAAAAATAGGCTTCTTCTTGATCCCCATTTCAGCCACAACTTGTGGCCCCAAGTAACTCATTAGTTTGGGTCTTCAAGGAGAGAGAACTAATATTACCAATGGCTTATTTCTGTAAAAATCCTCCTCCGTGCTTGAAAATAGGAATGTCACTCTATAATTTCAAGATGCCAGGTGAGGGCACTGCTGGCCCATAATTTGTTTCAGAAACAAAACAGAAATGGTCTCAAGAGGAGGCTAACAATTTTTTATATGGTTTCCCTCAGAGAGACACCTTCCACTGAAGGAATATTAAACTGGTGTCTGGCATAGAGAACTGTTTTCCAGTGGGACTCACTGGGGTTCTCTATTTGGCGGATTTATCCACACAGACCAACTTGTTTCAAAATGAAAAGGGAGCCATAATAAAGTAAGATGTTAAGCTGTTTTAGGTGGAAACCACTGCAGATATTTTCTAGTATAGTTCTCACTACTGCAGACAACAATAAAATGCAAATGGGGAAATAGAGCGAAATGCAAAATTTCCTTTTAGAGTTTAATAGAGTTGAGCCTATCAGAAAAGATTAGAAACAACTTCTCAACATTTTTACATTTTGTTCTTTGGATGATGTTGATATATTATAGTTTTAGCTGAAAGGAGAATGTTTGTGTTCTCTGAAGTCATCTATCCCTTGTTGTGATCTGAGCTTCTTTCTTGTCTGGACCATGGCCATAGTGTTCTGATCAGGGTTCCTTCCCCCATTGTCACATCTCCATACCCAACTCACCCTCACTCTGCATACTACATTCTGTATGAACTTTCTAAGGTAAAAGTTGGATCCTTTCACATCCCTTCTCAAAGCTCACCAGTGGTTCACCACCCTCTAGAAGATAAAAGCCTTCACATACCTTATACTACCTTCAAAATGAAGCTTCTACCCACTTTCCAGCTTCATATTATGCCATGCTTCCTGCATCCCCTCGTAATACTGTGCTCCAGTCACACTGAACTTCTTGCCTTCTGCTGTGGTCTGAATATGTCCCCACAAATTCACATGTAGGAAAATTAATCCCCAATGCAACAGTGTTGGGAGGTGGGACCTAATTGGTGGTGTTTAGATATGAGGGCAGAGCCCTCATGAATAATTAATGCCACCATAAGAAGCTCTTAAAGAAGTAAATTCACTCTCTTTTGATCTTCTGCTATGTGAGAACGCAATGTTCCTCCCCTTCAGCAGACACGGCAACAAGGTATGAGTTTGGTGCAAAAGTAATTGTGGTTTTTGTCCTTTCTTCCAATGGCAAAAACTGCAATCACTTTTGCAGCAACCTAATACCATCTTGGAACCAGAGACTGAACCTGCCAATGGCATGATCTTGGACTTCCTAGTCTCTAGAATTGTAAGAAATATACTTCTGTCATTTATAAAATATCCAGTCTCAAATATTCTGCTATAGCAGCACAAAATGAACTAAGATGCCTTCCCCCAAATGTGCTCTGCTCTTTAATATCACCAAAGTTTTATACCTACTCTTTTTTCTGCATAAGAGTTTATTCATTATTTTACTCAACCTACCAATCCCTCTCACTCTTTAAAACCCAGCTAGCAGGTCACCTTTCTAGGATATTTTTTCCCAAATCTCCAGATATAATCACTTGTATCAGTCAAGGTTCTCCAAAGAAACAGAACCAATAGGACACACACACACACACACACACGCACACACACATGCACACACACAGATACAGATAATAGATATCAATATGTGAGAGGGGGCCAGATGCCATGGCTCACTCTGTAATTCCAGCAGTTTAGGAGGCCGAGGTGGGTTGGATCACTTGAGCTCAGGAGTTTGAGACCAGCATGGGCAACATGGCAAAACCCCATATTTACAAAAACATGCAAAAATTAGGCAGGCATGGTGGCATGTGCCCATAGTCCCAGCTACTTGGGAGGCTGAGGTGGGAGGATCACTTGAACCTGATCCTGTGGAGGTTACAGTAAGCCAAGATGGCACCACTGCACTCCAGCCTAGGCAACAGAGCCAGACCATGTCTCAAAAATTTATATCTATCTATCTATCTATCTATCTATCTATCTATCTATCTATCTATGGGTATTTATTATGGGAATTGGCTTACATAATTTTGGAGGCTAAGCAGTCCCACAGTTTTTGATCTGCAAGCTGGAAAATCAGGGAAGCCAGCAGCCTGGCTCAGTCCAAGTCTGAAGGCCGAAGAACTGGGAGAGCTGAATGTGTAACTCTCAGTTCAAGGCCAAAGGCCTTGGTTGGGGGAGGGATTTGTGCAAGTTGCAGAGTTCAAAGGTGAGATAATCTTGAGTTCTGATATCCAAGGGCAGAAGATGAGTGTCCCAGCTCAAGAAGAGAGAACAAATTCAGTTTTCCTCTGCCTTTTTGTTCTATCTGGTCCCTTAATGGATTGGATGGTGCCTGCTCACACTTGGTGAGGGCAGATCTTTCTTACTCAGTCTACTGATTCAAATGTCAACCTCTCTCAGAAACACCCTCACAGACATACACAGAAATAATGCTTTACCAGCTATCTGAGTATCCCTTAATTCAGTCAAGTTGACACCTAAAATTAACCATCACATGACTCCTCTATTGGTACTCCCATGAGTGATCTTAGGACTACATTATGTTGCTATTTCTTATTTTGAGTGCCTATCAGTACCTCTGTACAGAGAGCTCCTACACGAAAGAGATCATATCTAATTCATCATCGAATTCCAAACCTAAGCTTACACTTGGCACATAATAGACCCTCAATAAACTATTATTATTTACATTTTGGTAGATAAAGAGGTTTTTCATGTCAGTAATCTGGCAGCATGCCATATACACCATTCTAAAATTTTATGGAGGTTCTGAGATATCATTATTCATAACTTTACAATTCATACTTACAAAGATGTTTGTGCTTACTTTTACTTCTATCTTCTTCTGGATTATTTGGTTTGGGCAGAAGGGGAGAGGATATCTGAGGTTAGAATTTGGTCCAATGCCAGCACAGGTTTTTTTTTAAAAAGAGATGGAATTTAAGTAAAGGGAGGAAGATTTCCCAAAGGGTAAGAAGGGAAACCTGCTCTGAGTATTTAACAGAAGAAAGCAGAAAGATTAAAGTGGAGAAGGAAGCAAGAATCCTTGAGAACAGTTTTGCCACATTGTAGGGAAGAGAGATGGGAGAGAACAGGAGTGAATTAGGGAGGAGAGAGAGAAGTGAGTTTAGGCATTTATTCCTCTTCCTACAACTTCTATTTCTGCCCCCAGTGGCAGATATTAGCAGTGGTGAAAGACAATTGCAAAGTTCTACCAACTCGCCATATTCGTTTAGATGGTAATAAACTCTGCATGATCATTACATCTCAAAATGTAGAAAGTCACTAAAGGGAACATTATACATTCAGAGATCTATAAAGCTTGTCACTACAGAGTGTATACTATTTTAATGAGTCTTAAACTCTTTACACAGGCCCTATATCCACACAGAGTCATAACCAATAGCCTATAAAAACACATGCCTGCACGTGTGTGCACACACACAAATATGGCATCTCACACATCTATTATCCCACCTGGGGCATGACTGTATTTTCCTACTGATGGATTGAGCTCTTGGGTTGAGATGAACCATCTGTCTCCCAAATGGATTTCTAGTACTTCAATCACATCTCCAGTAATCACTTTCCCTAAACACATTAGTGGGAAATGATGTAAAAAATAATTAAGCATAACTATCCAGTGCATTAGAAATTGATGGTATCTATGTTGTGTAAATTAGAGACATGTATCTGGTTGATACATGTCTATCTATCTGGTTGAGAAACATATCCAAGAAAATGGAGCAATGGCTCTCAACTACATGGATGTCACTCTTTTTGGCAGAAAAAATATTGCTTCTTACTCCTTTAGTGCACTCTCAATACACACTTTTTTTCAGTAAATTTTACCTTACCCATAGACATAACCCCTGAGAAAACAACTAAACAAGACATATAGGGGAGGGGGGGAGGGGGGCATGTTCTATGAGTATGTCTGTGGGGATGAGGTGGGGGTGGGGGCTACATGCACATAGCACTCAGCATTTTTTTCCACACAGGTTGAGTCCCCAGTGGAAACAAGAAATTGGGCTAGGAACTGTGTGTACCATTTTGCTCTTTGGCTATAAAATACGAGAAAAGTGTTTACCAGAATTCAAAGGCCTCAGTGATTAATAACACATAGCAAACTTTGACTCTGCATAAAGCACATTTATTCAAGCACATGAGAGAAAAAACATTATGGGATCCATTAGAATATTCTACAGGATTGGTGAAAGGCTATTTTATTGCGAAGATGCAGAGGAATAGCAAATCTTTGAAGACAATTTACTACAGAGATCAGAAAAAGAGTTTAGAAAATTGTTTTTATATTTAAGAAGATGCTATGAGGTGTGACCTCTCTGGAACAGAAAGAGAACTCCACAAGGTTAAAATGCAGTTAAAATACTTTAATGCGGTTTCAAAAGTTTCTAGGAAAACCTAAACTGAACAGATAACATAATAAGATGGAAGAAAAAATAAAATGTAGATTTTCTGTAAACCAAAAGTACAGAATTAAATCTATATTGGAGGCATTAAAGATCAGAAGTGGCAGAAAAATTCAATTTAGTGATAGAAACAGCAAACTTTAAAGTATGTTTAATAATTAGAGGAATGGGATAAATATTAAGATGGGAGTGATTATATATAGAGAGAAAACAGAGGCTAAACATTCCACCTAATAATTATATGAATTTCTAAGGAAAAATCCGGAATCATTAATATTGAATCAATACTGGAGAACATAGTTGAAGAACGTTCTGCATAGTTTTTTAAGGAGAATTTTAATAGGAAGATATTAGGGTGAGAAATCTTACTACATTCTCAGATAGAATCAAAGAAAATGACCCAAATTCAGATGTAAGTCTAAAATGGAATATTTTAATTATAAGTAAAAATAAAATTCTATAAGCATCCTTTCAGATGATCCACAAATGACCTGCAAAGAAATATATATCTGTATGATGATACACTTTTCCTCTGTGATACTAAGTTATAGAGAAAAAGAGAGAAATGGTTTTGAGGGGATAACAATAGAATACAATAATTCATATGTGAAAGCAACAGGAAAATACTCTCAGGTACACATGTTAAATAAATGTACCATCCACACGTCTATCTTTAAAATAATACTTGAAGAAATAGCTTCAATTGGCAAAATGACTCATAAGTCAAGAACCAGGATAACTTGTATAAAAGCATGGCAATTTCTTCTTCAATTCAAAGTCTCTGCCTTTAGGAAATAATTTTATATGCTATGATTTGTTATACAAAGATATTAATTGAAGCATTATTTCTTTTAGTTAAATGTTATAAACAAGCAAACTGACCAATATTTTCAAAATGTCCAAATGACAGATTATTCTTCAGTCATTGAAAGTAATATTGAGGAAAAAATTTAAGTATGTGAAAAAACACAAGAAAAAGTTAAATGAAGAAAACATGATAGAAGTTTGTTATGCAAAATAATATTTATTATGTAAAAACACAAAAGAAAATAGATCAGAAGAAAATATATTTGATGTCAACTATGGTGCCTCTAAATAGGAGGATTAGGATTGAGCTTTATGCTTTAATGCAGGTTCAAAAGTTTCTAGGAAAACCTTGAAGATAGGGATGGAGAAAGCAGAAAGAATCAAACTTTTAGAACTAGAAAAGACTTTAGAGATTGTCTAGTATTGTGGCTCCCAACCATGAAGCCATTTCTGGAAGTCTTTAAGCAATGTTTAGTGTTTCAAATAATAACAAGAAGGTACATTTATTACACATTCACTGCAAGCTAGTCACTATGATAACTCCTTTACATATACTCCCTCCAAGTTTAAGAAGAGTCATTCAGGTATTCATCAAAAGGTCTAGAAACCATATTTCAGGTCTTCTAATAACTGGTCCAATAGCCTTTCTAACACCCCACAATTCGCATGACTCTAGGTCTAGAGTGTTCTCATAGTGTTAATTGTTGGGACATTTGGTTTTCACTGGAGTAGATCATACTTTATTCTCAGGAGGAGAATATTTGGAATATTTTTGCAGAAGCACTTATAATGCAAATCTCTTGGAGCCTGATGGAATTGGCTTTCAAATATGACTCAACAACTTAAAAGCTGGATGGTTTTAGGCAAGTCAATTAACCTTTCTGAATCTCTATATCCTCACAGAAGTGTTGTAAGAATTTAATTAGATGACACATATGGAGTGCCTGGCACATTGCCTAGCATGTAAGCCTCCATTGTAACTATTGATTATCACCACCCTTTCACAGAGTCTTCAATATCTGCACTGATGATCCCATTTGACACTCTGACCTTGTAATCTGAAATGGGGAACACTCTATGTCCCATTTTCAAACATAATGGAGCAGCTTTCAATTGCCCTATAACTTGCTCCGAGTGCCCTCTTCTATTACGCTGTTTAATTGAACACTAAGTACTGCAGTTCCTCTTGGCAAGGGTTCTAAGGAGCTTCCTGCTTACTTGCAAATCTGCCTCTGACGCGGCCTATTTTCTTTGCCTCTCACAATGCCAATGGTAGCCTCTGTGGAGACCTCAAGCAAGGCTGGCTAAGCCACAGGTAGCAGGCAGCAGGCAACTTTCTCACATGAAGTAACTCCAGTGCCAGCCTGGCATGAATGTGGGCATTTCTGCTTTACTTACTCCTTTGGTCTAAGTCATGCAACAGACCCAGACCTACTGATGAAAGAAGTAAGTTACAAGACTGACATCTTCTTTCATCTGAATGGACAAGTTCCAGGAAAAAGGCAATGGAGGAAGGTTGGTTCAGAGACACATTTGGCTGCAAACTACCCCTCCAGTCCCCTCCTTTTCTCATCTTCTCACAGCCTGGCACAGACTATCACAATCCCAACAAGATTTCGCCCACTCTGCCCTCCCTTCTGGAACATTTTCCCATCCCCTTTGCAGTTCTTTACATTCTAACTACCCTGTAGACTTCAGTTTCGATCCCATTTTGCCCAAGAAGCATTCTCTTACTGCCCCAGCCTACTCCATTCCCTACCTCCCCTCAATGCCTGTGGCACTAGGTTATCTCCCTTACTCAACTGTGTTTCATAATTAGGACTCTGGAGTCAGAAAAAATGATCCTGAACCTAGCCTCTTCCTCTCATTAATCTTGAGAAAGTGAATTAAGAAAGTGAAAGTGATCTTGTGAGAAAAGTAATCTTGAGAAAGTGACTAATCTTTTTAAAGTAAGACTTCTCATTTGTAAATAGACAAGCTAATAATATATTTCTCATAGGAATGTTATGAAGATCAAATAAAATAATCCATAAAGAAGACTTAGAAAAGTTTCTTGTACATAGTTAACTATTTAATGAACATTTTCTAAGTTACTTAATTTTTTTTACTCTAAGTCCTATAGGGCAAGATTAATCATCTCTCAATCCATCCATTCTTTCATCCATGCACCCATCCAAGCATTTAACACCTGGAATCCCATAGATATATTAAACCCAGTCTTTGCCCTCAAAGAGCTGGCAGTCTTGCCAGAGAGACAGAAATGCAAACAGGTTTATTATGACATGATATATTTGAAAGGCTTAGGGCCCACCAATTGGAACTTGTCAATCTTCCCCAATAATGGGACAGCTAAGACAGACCACTCTCATTTGCCTGCAGTGTCCAACATCCTCATTGCTCTTGGGTCCTCACTGAAGCCTTTTGGTTCCAGAGAAAAAGCTGAAGGCTATGGCTACACAGGGGTCTAGAGGGACTTGTGCTATGTCCTGATTTCAATACCAGAGCAAGCTCCCTTTTGCTATATAGGAAATGGAAAACAACTTTTTAGCACAAGCTGCTGAAGCTTCTAGGACTCTTGCCAGGATTTTAGTTCATCCAAATCAATTATTCTAAGATCAAGGTCAGTGGACCAGCCCTGGACGTGATTCGGGAGTCAGACAGCAAAAGTTGCAGGTCATCTGATGCCTTGTCAACACCTTCCACCCAGCAAGTCAGTCTGAACCATCACCAACAATGAGAAAGTCTTGTCATTGGAAGATTTTCAGAGAAGTGGTTCCACAGGTGCCCTTTCCAATATGAGATTAATCATAAAATCTCTGAATCATCCTACAAAGCTGCAGGAGCACACGAATATAGAAATAGTGTCCAATTAGCTCAGGGGATTATAATAGCCTGTGAGCACAGCCTTAGTCAGGGCTGTGATTCCCATGTAAGCCAGCTGGCCTTTCTCTGATGCCAGCAGACTTAATGCTGATAGGATAACATGTGGCCTTCAAAAACCAAGGCAGAGTGTAGGCAGCTCTGCACCGTCCCCACGACCAAAAGTTATACCCTGAATTGTTGACATGCCTTTGCATATAACGTTCTTTCCAATTGGCATCATTTGCCTACCTGGCAGATCTCAGCTGTTCCACACAGACATTGCCTGTGTCTTCTCGGTTCTGTGAAATTCTCCTAATAGGCAATCAGTTATCTGATGCTTCCAAGGGTTCTATTCAATAGATATTTACGCGGTTCTCTTTTTAATTAGATGTGTACATGTCACTATATTTCTTTACTTTTATGCATGTCTGTATTTTCTGTTAGACTTGAACGACCCAAGGACAAGGGCATGTCTTCTCTATTCCAATGCTCAGCACACAGTTGGTAGCAGAAGATAAGCATAGATAGGATCAGATAAATAAATAAGAAAGTCAGAATTCCATCCACACTAGTGGAGAAGGCATAGCGTTGCCATCAGCAAAGAGCTAAAAGAAATGGAATAGGTTCCAGTGGTCTCTTGGCTCAGGAAAACGGGAAGCTTCTGAGCTGGGATGGGAAAGATATCAACTCAGCCCCTTGTTGGCTGTTTTCCCAGAGTTTAGCAACTCTTTTATCTTCCAAACACTTGGCTTTGCTTTTTTTCTAATTATTTGACTACCTTTTCTATTATCTATTTTCTTAAGGTTATTAACATCTTTTGTATCTGTGTGGTGCACCATCACATACCGTTTTCATTACACAGATACAATAGATGTCAATAATCCTAAGAATATTAGCTAAAATGCAGTCAAATAATTAGGAAGTGATAAGCTTTGAGTTCACATTACCTTTAAAAATATAATTTGTTTCATATTTAATTATATATTTATTTAATTATATACTTATATGATCTAGTTAATTGTAACTTTATATAATTTAATTTGTAACATCACTGTGTTTAACACTCAGCTTGGTGAATTCCTAAAAATAGAACAGTGAGCACTGTGAGCAGGCATGAGTCAGCTCCAGCAGCCCATTGTCAGGATGACTAACCCAGATCATTTTCCCTAACCATCTTTCCAGGACTCTGCACACCAGTGGGGATGCTTTACAGGAGAAGCCACACGCTCAGTACTGGAGACTTGAGCTTCAAACTTGTCCAGACATAAGCAAAAGCAAAGCAGTCTGGCCGGCAGGAGAACTGCCACTCTGCCCATCAGAAAGACTGGGGACTATCACCATCATTCTTCACAGAATTGAAAGAACAATTCTAAAATTCATATAGAACCAAAAAAGAGCCTGCATAGCCAAAGCAAGACTAAGCAGAAAGAACAAATCTGGAGGCATCACACTACCTGATTTCAAACCATACTATAAGGCCATCATCACCAAAACAGCATGATAGTGGTGTAAAAATAGGCACATAGACCAATAGAACAGAATAGAGAACCCAGAAATAAACTCAAGTACTGACAGCCAACTGATCTTCAACAAAGCAAACAAAAACATAAAGTGTGGAAAGGACACTCTTTTCAACAAATAGTGCTGGGATAATTGGCAAGTCACATGTACGAGAATGAAACTGGACCCTCATCTCTTGCCTTAAACAAAAATCAACTCAAGATGAATTAAAGACTTAAATCTAATACCTGAAACTATAAAAATTCTAGAAGATAACATTGGAAAAACCCTTCTAGACATTGGCTTAGGCAAGGGTTTCATGACCAAGAACCCAAAGCAAATGCAATAAAAACAAAGATAAATAGCTGAGACATAATTAAACTAAAGAGCTTTTTTATGGCAAAAGGAACAGTCAGCAGAGTAAACAGACAACCCAAAGACTGGGAAAAAATCTTCACAGTCTATACATCTGACAAAGGACTACTATCCAGAAGCCACAACGAACTCAAATCAGTAAGAAAAAAATAAATAACCCCATGAAAAAGCGGCCTACAGACATGAATAGACAATTCTTAAAAGAAGGCATACAAATGGCCAACAAACATGAAAAAATGTTCAATATCACTAATGATCAGGGAATGCAAATCAAAACCACAATGTGATACCACCTTATTCCTGCAAGAATGGGCCTAATCAAAAAATTTAAAAAAAAAACAGTAGATGTTGGTGTGGATGCAGTGAACAGGGAACACTTCTACACTGTTGGTGGGAGTGTAAACTAGTATAGCCACTATGGAAAACAGTGTGGAGATTCCTTAAAGAACTAAAAGTAGAACTACCATTTGGTCCAGCAATCCCACTACTGGGTATCTACCCATAGGAAAAGAAGTCATTATTCAAAAAATATACTTGCACACACATGTTTATAGCGGCACAATTCACAATAGCAAAATAGTGGAACCAACGCAAATGCCCATCAATCAACAAGTGAATAAAGAAACTATGGTATATATTTACGATAGAATACTACACAGCCATAAAAAGGAATGAATTAACAGCATTTTCAGTGACCTGGATGAGACTGGAGACTATTATTCTAAGAGAAGTAACTCAGAAATGGAAAACCAAACATTGTATGTTCTCACTGATATGTGGGAGCTAAGCTCTGAGGAAGTAAAGACACAAGAATGACACAATGGACTTTGGGGACTTGGGAGGAAGAGTGGGAGGGGAGTGAGGAATAAAAGACTACAAATATGGTGCAGTGTATACTGCTCGGGTGAAGGGTACACCAAAATCTCACAAATCCCCACTAAAGAACTTCCTCATGTGACCAAATATCACCTGTACCCCAATAACTTATGGAAAAATTTAAAAAAATAAAATAAAAAGAAAGACTGGGGACTATGAAGTCTACAAAGCAGGCCCATGCTCTCACCATTTGTTACAGATTAAGTCCTCTGACAAAGTAGTCCTTTGTCAGATGTGGGGGACTCTGTCATGGAGATATGTGTTTATTAGAGAATGTTATTGGGAACAACTGTGAGGGAGTGAAGGCAGCAGGACTGAGCAGGGGGAGATGTTAAACTGAGATGTACCTGAAAAGAGGACCCCAGCTGATCCCAGGGGAGCTCCAAAGCTGAAAGATTTTCCAGAATCATCACACATGGAGGCAAAGAGGCTGGGCCTTTGTGTGCCCACATCACTCAGTCGCTGAGTGTGATGTAGCATCGATCCCTGAGGAGATGTAACACTGGACAAGGAAACCCCTTCTTCCCAGGGCAATGCCTAAGGACAGACTCAGCTGTGAGCCACCTAGAAGTTGAGGCAGCTGGGAAATAAATGCCTTGGTGCTGCAAGGGGGTTGGGGGTGTCTGTCCTACACACACAACATCTCTTACACCTGAGAGGGTCCTGGATCAGCATCAGCTGGGAACTTGTTAGAAATGAATATGTTTAAGTCTTACCCAGGCCTCCTCCATCAGAAACTCTGGAGATGGGACCCAGCAATCTGTTTTGACAGGCTGCCCAGGTGACTCTGATGTATGTTGAAGTTTGAGAATAACTGCCTCATACCAGCAGTTCTCAGATTCTGTGGTCCCAGAACCACTTATCCTCTTCAAACTTACCGGGGATCTCTAAGAATTTTTGTTTATGTGGGTAATAGTTATATTTACCACATTATAAATGAAAGTTTAGAAATTTAAAAAATATTTTATTAATTTATTTAAGATAAGCTCATCTTTTTTATGAAAAATAACTAGATTTTCCAAATTAGGAAAAAAGTTAGTAAGAAAAATAGCATTGTTTCACAGTTTTGCAAACCTCTTCAATATCTAGCTTAATAGAAGTGAGCTGGATTCTCATAACTACTTTTATATTCAATCTGTTTTAACATATGTCATATATATAGCTCATGGAAAACTCCACTGTACACTTGCAAGAAAATGAAAAAGAAAAAGGCAGATAACAACTTAGCATTATTATAAAAATAGTTTGACCTCATGGACCCTGAAAGGGTCCCAGGGACCCCCACTTTGAGAAAAGCTGGCCCTAGCTTCGATAATGAAGCAAGAGGCCCAGGCTTTTAGGTCAGATATTGCTAGTTACTCATTTGTGGTTTGGGATTATGTCTTGGAACTTGTGAACGTTACATTTGGGAGATTGATTATGTTTTATCCGGTCATATCCTGAAGAGTACTTCCTCCCTATCCCCAGAAGATAATGCAATTGATTAAACTCAGACTACAAGCTTTGTCTGTTTGGCAGCGGCCCTAAGCTTTCCTGGAGTCTCTTCTGGGAGCACATGCTGCAGGGCTCATGCAGACTTGGCAGAGCTTATACGCAAAATCTGGGGCCCTCTTTCTCTGGTTCTCTCCATTCAGGGATTGCTCCCTTACTTTTGGGTATGTGTGGTGACCTTAAACTCAGACATCTAGTTTTTTGAATTGGAAAGAATATGGAGTTTGTAGCAGACTTTTAGCCACCCTACAGAATGCAGATTTCAGTTTGCTCTAGAGTCAAAAACCCCATACAAACCGCAGTCTCACACCACACCATTCCTTTGTTCTGAGTGTCATCCCCGCTCCAGAATCTGCCTGATGGTGTTCACTCTCCAGTCTCCTGTGCCTGCAGATCGTCGGTTTTGGATGCTTTGTCCAGTTTAGTTATCTGCAGGAGGATCAGACGGTCATGAGCTCCTCAGCCATAGAGCAAAGGAAGGGCCACAGGTCCTTAGGAAGCCCCATGCTTCCCTCCTGCTCACTCCTCCCGAGAAGGAAGAATGCTAACATGGATTCTAGGCCTCTGTGAGTAGAATCACTATGAGTTAAAGGGTTGGCACACAGCGCAATTCTTTTTTTTCTTTCAGCTTTTATTTTAGGTTCACGGGGCACACGCGCAGGTTTGTTACATGGGTAAATAGTGTGTCGCTGGAGTTTGGAGTACAAATGATCCCGTCACCCAGGGAGTGACCATAGTACCTGAGAGTCAGCTTTTCCGCTTTCTTTTTTTTTTTTTTTTTTTTTTTTTTTTTGAGACGGAGTCTCCCTCTGTCGGCGCGATCTCGGCTCACTGCAAGCTCCGCCTCCCGGGTTCACGCCATTCTCCTGCCTCAGCCTCCCGAGTAGCTGGGACTACAGGCGCCCGCCACCACGCCCGGCTAATTTTTGTATTTTTAGTAGAGGCGGGGTTTCACTGTGTTAGCCAGGATGGTCTCGATCTCCTGATCTCATGATCTGCCCACCTCTGCCTCCCAAAGTGCTGGGATTACAGGCGTGAGCCACCGCGCCCGGCCAGCTTTTCCGCTTTCACCCCTTTCCCCGTCCCCGATTTAGTAGTCTCCAGTGTCTATTGTTCTCATCTTTGTGTCTGCATGTTCCCAATGCTTAGCTCCCACTTATAAATGAGAACATGTGGAATTTGGTTTTCTATTCCTGCATCGATTTTACATCTTCCCTTTTGGTGGCAGAGAGGGAAGCAGACCTATCCAGACAACATCTTTTTCTCTCTGGGTGTCCTCTATTTCTCCTGCTAGATGGGCTAGCCCAGGACATCTGCCTCCCCTGAGGTCCAGGACAGCTCTGAGCTAAGTACTGGAACCCAAGCCCTTTCTTCTGCTACCACTTCTCTCTGGTTACATTCCTCCTGCAGCGGATGGGTTTGCATTGGATCAATCCTCGGTCTGAAGTTCATTAGGCCTAACTAGCTTAAGAAAAACGTGTTTACCAGTTTACTAGAGTTCTCTGCTTTGGGGATGGAGGGAAACACCACAGCTGATAACATATTGTTTTATTTGTTATATTTTATTTTTTCCAGGCATTTTCCCATATTCCTCGCTCCCTCTGGGGCCTCAAAGAAAGGGAGGGTAGAAAGGGCAGGATTAAGGACTTCCAAGTGCTTAGCAAAAATAGTATCTAAGAGTACAGCGAACACACTATTAGTGCCAGCTGGGGACACCATTAAAACTTGTCAGGCATGTGCCTTCTCTCAGGCCAGACCCCAGAATCACAGGATCTATTTGAATGACTGAGGCACAGACTCCAGAGTTTTTTCCCACACACTCTAGAGAAACCTAGATATGGGAGACCTATGTATTAAAGAGAAAGCATGCAGAATCTGAAGCCCACCCCAGCCACATGCCTTCCAGGTTATCTGCCAGGTCGTGGGCAGAGTTCTGGTCTAATGCCTGACATACTATGGTGTGGTCAACCCCTTCCACATCTGCCTCCCCTGCTAGACTAGAGACCCTTAGGCATCTCTGAGCTCATCTCTGTTTCCTTCTACCCTTGCAGGCTCTTGGTACACATTGTCTATTCCTGTTCTCAGGTTAACACGTCCAGAAGCCAGATCAATTTGTTCTACTTTAAATCTTTGGCCATGTAACCCAAAGGGGTCTACAACATCATTCAGCATGAGTACTGCACACTTTTTTAACAAAGGCATGGATTGGGCTTAAAGAAGAAACTAGGGATGGTGCAGTACTCCAGTACTACAAATGGATGTGATGTTAGTGGAACCCAGAGAAAGAGCTCTATGGAGAGTGCCACCTGATGGAAACTGTAGCCTGGGTTCAAGGCACACAGCCAACCCGGAGAACTCAGTAGAGAGGGAGGCAAGGACATAAACACCAGCATAACTCTCCTTTTGTCATCTGGTCTCCTGCAGGTGACTTCCATTGGCTGACCTCAAACAGAAGCCAGCAGGCAAGGGGGCCCATTGAAGCAACACACAGAGATCAAGTTCCTAGGCACAGAACAGAGTGGAAGGTAGGCAGGGAACAATCTACACCAGCAGAGAGAAGCTGATCAAGGGAAAAATCACCTAGCCCTACTTCCATTCCTACTAATTCAGGGAAAAGGAACAGAGGGAAAGGAAAGTAGCCCTAATAGAATGAACTGATGTTTTTGGTTTACTCATACTTACCTGCTGTATGATCTTGAGCATACTATTGAATCTGTATGCATCTCAGTTTTCACCTCTGAAAAATGATGGCAATAATACATAGTTTATGGGGATTTTATGAGACCGTTGTGGTAGACATAAAGCAGTAGGATGTGGTCTGGCACCCAGGAGGCTTCAATAAATGGCAAATATCCTTGCCAGGCCAATCTTTCCTTATATACCCTTAATCATATCAGTAATCCCTCTCTCTTTTGCAGTTTCATTCTCTCCAAGGAATTCTTCCCTACTGTCAGCAAACATGTCTGGACATCCCTTTTCCTAATTCAACTTTAATTTAGTTCACAAAATTAAATGCAGTGGTTGGCATGTTTAGAGCACTGGAAACTCCTGGAGGGCCAAGCCCCTGGTGAGGAGGTAGCCTTGGACTGGCAGCAAGCCTTTCATGTTTGGTCAACCCAGGACTAGGACCAGCTACTAAGTCAGCCTTTACAGCTTAGCCTACAGAAACTCAAGTGAGTATATTAGCAAAGGCAGTGCCAAAACTGGGCAGCCAGTCCACCCAGGTCTGGTTGTGTTGAGTCTTCTGTCAGAGACTGGTTAAAATACAAATCTGGAGAAGACTGCCCATGTTTGGATTTCATTGCATGCTCAGGGTTTATTGGCCTTTTCCAGTTGTGTCTTGAGTGTGAACAATCCTCAGGTCCTAGGAGCCAGGAGATGCCCCTTATTGGTGATGTTATAAGAAAGTCACAACATTTAAGCAGAAGTCAGACTACCATTAGGATTGGCAGCAGGTATAAAACACAAACTACCAATACCCAGATGCCCTTTGTATCAGTTTGCTAGGGCTACTGTAAGAGGATCACAGGCTGGGAGGCTTAAACACAAAAATTTATTATCTCGTAGTTCTAGAGCTAGAAGTCCAAAATCAAGACTTCAGCAGGGTTGGTTCTCCTTGTGGAGCTGTGAGGGAGAATCTGTTCCAGCCCAATCTCCTTGGCTTGTAGATAGCCATCTCTCCCTGTGTCTCTTCACATCATCTTCCCTCTATGCATGTCTCTGTATCCAGGTTTCCCTTTCTTATGATGACACCAATCATATTGGCTTAAATCCTAGCCTAGTTGACCTCGTTTAACTTGATTACCTCTGTAAAGACCCCATCTTCAAGTAAGGTCACATCCTCAGATGCCAGAGATTAGGACTTCAACATTTGAACTTTAGGGGGATAAAATTCAACCCACAACACCTTCTTGATGGCTCTTATGTCAATAAAGTGTCATATAAGTAAATATATATAGAAGAGTCTCAAGTTGGCTATATTCCCATAATTATTTTTCTAATTACTTTTCTGCTAAAGCAAACTTTTTTCCCATTCTCTCTTGTAATTTTTTGGATAGTACCTGGGTATGCCAAATGGATTAAAGAATTCACAGACAGTACTAGGCTATTGACCACACTGGCCTCTTCCCTTTGCACAAATTAGGGCAGGTCCCTGGATAGCCCTGAATGAACTAACTGGCAGAGAACTCAGAGTTTCACACTGAGCCTGTCTGTTTACTTGCATGTGCCTCTGCCTCTGTTACATCTTTTGATAATTCTGCCTGAGAGCCACTATTTGTCGTGTCAACGCAGACCATGAAAAGATGAAAACTGAGCTCTACTAATCCTGACTTTTGTGCATCTTGTCCTATACCTTATGTCCAGAATCCCAGGGTATGCCTGGCACCTACCCTCAGGGCAACATAAAAAAAGGCTTTTCTCTCCAGGGCTTGAAATGTTCAGATTGATTCCACTGGCTCCAGGTTGCTGAGTCTACAGATGTTTTGCTGCAGAAAGCTAATGTTTTCCAGGGCTCAGAGACAAAACCATATCAGAGGCAGGATAGAGACAATGGGCATTTGGCTTGCCACAACCAGCCTTTGAAGAGAACGATGTGCTAGGTGCTGGGCTAGGCACAGGGAAGATGGGTGAATAAGTCACAGCTCTCAAGGGACTTGCAGCCACTGTGAGACATTTATGGACAATGAGGCATTAAGGCTGAGGGGAGTCTGGAAAAGAGTTGGCCTGGGCTCATATGGTCCTGCTGGATTGGACTGTTTGTGTCCCACCTGAAGGATGGATATCACATATTCTTCTTGAAACTCAGTAACCCCAACTCTGGGATCTATTGTTGTTGGTTTCTTATATGATTTTCAGCTTAGTCCCTTAGGGTCAGACTGGTGATGTCATTCCTCCTGGAAGGATTGAAAACATATGCTGTCCATTATCCTGGGCAATAAATGATTTAGAAGGCAGGCTCTAGATCAGGGTAAGGCAAAAATATCCTCCTCTTCCAGGGTCCATCTGGCCTGATTCTGAGACAAGGAGGTATCCTGGTATAAGAGTACCCTGCCACAAGGAAGCCACTCAGTAATGAATAAACAACATAGTGGGATGAACCTTGCCTGACTTTAATCCTATTCCTCTGTATTACACTGTATTATACTTCTTTGTCATAAGTCTTGAAACTTTCAAAGTTAGAGCCTGACCCATGCCCTACTGCAGGTGGTGATGGGAAGGGTGGGTCTCTTTCTCAGGGGAAGTGGACAAGGCTAGAACAGTGTCCTCTGTGACCACATGGTGGCATCAACTGGGGAACCCATAGATGGGGCCATGTCCTGACAGGAGAGCAGGTGAAGCATATGTCCCTGTGATTCAAGTTACACAAATAAACAGCCAATTGGAATTCAGCCTGATCAATCCTGTGTACTAGGTCAGCGCAGGTGCAGAGTAGAACACAAATGCAGCATAGCTGAAGGGTCAGGAGTGTAGGTGTGTGCCTGGGTAGTTAGCGGCTCAGAGTAGGGTTCTGGAACCCGATAGCTGTGATTTGAGGGCTGTCAACACCACTTGCTGACTGTATGATTGTGGGTAGATTAGTTTTGCTAAGCCTCAGTTTCCTCATTTATAAAATGGAGATGATTATAATACTTTGTAAAATTCTTGTAGGATTCAGTGTGATAATCTGTGTAAAGTCCTTAATCTGTGTAAATCACTCATTAATTAATTCATTCATAATTCAGCAGCATGCATAGATCACCTGTATTGCGCCAGGTCCTGTTCTAAGCACCAGGATACATCAGTGGGTAAAAGCAGACAAAAATCCTGCTTCCTACTCCATTACCCCATTCCACCACCACCACCAAATTTATATCCAACAGGTGTTTAGTGCAAGGCCTCAAAAAAATTAACAAGGCTTATTATCCCTCAGGTGGCATTTGGGAAAGGAATCAAAGGGTGAATGAGGAAATGATAATGCAGAAAAAGGTGAGAGAAAGGCTTTCAAGTCAGAACCTTGCACAAGTAAACATGCAGGCTGACATGAAAGCACACACAAATTGTGATTCAAGTGGCCATTTGGGAGGCTCTCCATGCCTCACTATGACCAGCCAAGCCAAGCCACCCCCTGGAGGTGCACAGCACTGGGGTAACTTTGTAGCTCAGAAGTTCTATGTTGGAGCCCAGGGAATGCTGCTATGGGCCTGACTGTGCTCACATGGCCCCTAGGGAAAACACAGTTGCATCAGGGCTGAACTGGAGTGCATTCTACAACTGAGCGAGTCTGCCTTACTTTTGTAATTCTGGTAGCACAATAGAAACCTTCCTGTTATTTTACAGAATCAAATAGGAAAAGCAATTAAAGAATGAGAAAATTATGCAGGATTTCAGCTTGAGAGAGCAAAGAAATTAGCAACTGCATTATTGAAATGGAAACGTGACCAGGAGATTTTGAAAGCAGTGATATCCATACTGAGACAGCCAGTCTGTAGAAGATTCTGGCATCACTGTAATTCAGCTAAAATAAAGGCTCCCACTGCCTTGGAAAATGTGTGGCATTCTATCCCTCTCATCTCAGAGCCTCCTGCCATCTGAGCGACTGGTGTGGATGTGGTATTTGCAGGGCTCATCTGCACAGAATCTCTATTTGTTTCTGGCTTAATAAGTTCTCCATGTGTCCTAAACCAACCACCACCTGTGGTCTGCGAGTGAGCCATTTGCAGTGTTTGCTGTGCAGGAACATTTAATGGGATCCTAACACCTGCCTGGACCTCCGATAGAAAAGGCAAGTGACGGGACGTCAGCACTGCATCATTGCATTCTGGGAGCCAAACGCTGGCACTGTATATTATAGAGAGAAATTCACGGGGCGAGTCCTGTGACCTGTCCAGAGTGATAATTATGGAAGGATAGCTAACATTAATTTACCATTAACCTAAATTTTTACTATGAATAAGGTACTCTCCTAAGCATTCTACACATAGCAAGTTAACTTGGTCTTCACAAAACCTCGGTAAGATAGGTGCAATTATTAATTCTCTTTTGCAGATGAGGACACTGAGACCCTGAGAGCTTAACTAACTTGCCCAAAGTGACTCAGTTGATAAAGGGGGGAGCCAGAGTTTGAATCCGGGCAGTCTCACACTGGGGTCCTTGTTCCTGCACTTCATCTAAAGTTTCTCATCATGGTGGGATGAAGGATTAGGCATATGAGATTGCAGCCTGCTTCACACCAAGGTCTGTGCAGAATCAAACTCCCACCCAATTTTAGGGAGCTTCAATCTAAAGTCATGTCCCCATCTGTGAGGTCTGATTCCTTGCCCTCATTTATGGGATTTATTACTCACTACCTAAAATACAGTTTGGGTGGTCTGGAGATCACTCAAATTCAGCGTTCAACTATTTAAACTCAATTGACTTTTTAAATTTATTTTTTATTTCAATAGTTTTTTGGAGAACAAGCAGCATTTGGTTACATGAATAAGTTCTTTAGTGGTTATTTCTGAGATTTTGGTGCACCCATCACCCAAGCAGTGTACACAGCACCCAATGTGTAGTCTTATCCCTTACATCCCTCCCACCCTTTCCCCAGCATCCCCAAAGTCCAAAGTATCATTCTTATGCCTTTGTGTCCTTATAGCTCAGCTCCCACATGTGAGCAAGAACATACAATGTTTGGTTTTCCATTCCTGAGTTACTTAGCTTAAAATAATCGTCTCCAATTTCATCCAGATAGCTGAAAATGTTATTATTTCATTCCTTTTTATGGCTGAGTCATATTCCACGGTACATGGAATATATATATATTATATATATATATAAGTTATATATAATATCTAATATATAGATATTTTATTTACATATATATAAACGTGAGACATCACATTTTCTTTATCCTCTCATTGATTGATGGGCATTTGGGCTGGTTTTATATTTTTGCAATTGTAAATTGTGCTGCTATAAACTTTCATGTATAAGTATACAAGTATCTTTTTCCTATAATGACTTCTTTTCTTCTGGGTAGATACCTAGTAGTGGGATTTCTGGATCAAATGGTAGATCGAATTTTAGTTCTTTAAGGAATCTCCACACTGTTTTCCATAGGGGTTGTACCAGTATACATTCCCACCAATGGTGTAAAAGTGTTCCCTTTTCATCGCATCCCTGCCAACATCTTTTATTTTTTGATTTTTTTAGGTGAAATAACTATTATTATTATTATTATACTTTAAGTCCTAGGGTACGTGTGCACAACATGCAGGTTTGTTACATATGTATACATGTGCCATGTTGGTTTGCTGCACCCATTAACTCATCATTTACATTAGGCACATCTCCTAGTGCTATCCCTCCCCACTACCCCCACCCCATGATAGGCCCCGGTGTGTGATGTTCCCTTTCCTATGTCCAAGTGTTCTCATAGTTCAATTCCCACCTATGAGTAAGAACATGTGGTGTTTGTTTTTTGTCCTTGAGATAGTTTATTGAGAATGATGGTTTCCAGCTTCATCCATGTTCCTACAAAGGACATGAACTCATCCTTTTTTGTGGCTGCATAGTATTCCATGGTGTATATGTGCCACATTTTCTTAATCCAGTCTATCATTGATGGACATTTGGGTTGGTTCCAAGTTTTTGCTATTGCGAATAGTGCCTCAATAAACATATGTGTGCATGTGTCTTTATAGCAGCATGATTTATAATCCTTTGGGTATATACCCAGTAATGCTATGGCTGGGTCAAATGGTATTTCTAGTTCTAGATCCTTGAGGAATCACCACACTGTCTTCCACAAAGGTTGAACTAGTTTACAGTCCCACCAACAGTGTAAAAGTGTTCCTATTTCTCCACATCCTCTCCAGCACCTGTTGTTTCCTGACTTTTCAATGATCGTCATTCTAACTGGTGTGAGATGGTATCTCATTGTGGTTTTGATTTGCATTTCTCTGATGGCCAGGGATGATGAGCATTTTTTCATGTGTCTTTTGGCTGCATAAATGTATTCTTTTGAGAAGTGTCTGTTCATATCCTTCACCCACTTTTTGATGGGGTTGTTGTTTTCTTCTAAATTTGTTTGGGTTCTTTGTAGATTCTGGATATTAGCCCTTTGTCAGATGAGTAGATTGAAAAAATTTTCTCCCTGTAGGTTGCCTGTTCACTCTGATGGTAGTTTCTCTTGCTGTGCAGAAGCTCTTTAGTTTAATTAGATCCCAATTGTCGATTTTGCCTTTTGTTGCCGTTGCTTTTGGTGTTTTAGACATGAAGTCCTTGCCCATGCCTATGTCCTGAACAGTATTGCCTAGGTTTTCTTCTAGGGTTTTTATGGTTTTAGGTCTAACATTTAAGTCTTTAATCCATCTTGAATTAATTTTTGTATAAGGTGTAAGGAAGGGATCCAGTTTCAGCTTTCTACATATGGCTAGCCAGTTTTCCCAGCACCATTTATTAAATAGGGAATCCTTTCCCCATTTCTTGTTTTTGTCAAGTTTGTCAAAGATCAGATGGTTGTAGATGTGTGGTATTATTTCTGAGGGCTCTGTTCTGTTCCATTGGTCTATATCTCTGTTTTGGTACCAGTATCATGCTGTTTTGGTTACGATAGCCTTGTAGTATAGTTTGAAGTCAGGTAGCATGATGCCTCCAGCTTTGTTCTTTTGGCTTAGGATTGTCTTGGCAATGCAGGCCCTTTTTTGGTTCCATATGAACTTTAAAGTAGTTTTTTCCAATTCTGTGAAGAAAGACATTGGTAGCTTGATGGGGATGGCATTGAATCTATAAATTACCTTGGGCAGTATGGCCATTTTCACAATATTGATTCTTCATATCCATGAGCATGGAATGTTCTTCCATTTGTTTGTGTCCTCTTTTATTTCGTTGAGCAGTGTTTTGTAGTTCTCCTTGAAGAGGTCCTTCACATCCCTTGTAAGTTGGATTCCTAGGTATTTTATTCTCTTTGAAGCAATTGCAAATGGGAGTTCACTCATGATTTGGCTCTCTGTTTGTCCGTTATTGGTGTATAAGAATGCTTGTGATTTTTGCACATTGATTTTGTATCCTGAGACTTTGCTGAAGCTGCTTATCAGCTTAAGGAGATCTTGGGCTGAGACGATGGGGTTTTCTAAATATACAATCATGTCATCTGCAAACAGGGACAATTTGACTTCCTCTTTTCCTAATTGAATACCCTTTATTTCTTTCTCCTGCCTGGTTGCCCTGACCAGAACTTCCAACACTATGTTGAATAGGAGTGATGAGAGAGGGCATCCCTGTCTTGTGCCAGTTTTCAAAGGGAATGCTTCCAGTTTTTGCCCATTCAGTATGATACTGGCTGTGGGTTTGTCATAAATAGCTCTTATTATTTTGAGATACATCCCATCAATACCTAATTTATTGAGAGTTTTTAGCATGAAGGGCTGCGGAATTTTGTCAAAGGCCTTTTCTGCATCTATTGAGATAATCATGTGGTTTTTGTCTTTTGTTCTGTTTATATGCTGGATTATGTTTATTGATTTGTGTATGTTGAACCAGCTTTGCATTCCAGGGATGAAGCCCACTTCATCATTGTGGATAAGCTTTTTGATGTACTGCTGGATTCGGTTTGCCAGTATTTTATTGAGGATTTTTGCATCAATGTTCATCAGGGATATTGGTCTAAAATTCTCTTTTTTTTTTGTTGTGTCTCTGCCCAGCTTTGGTATCAGGATGATGCTGGCCTCATCAAATGAGTTAGGGAGGAGTCCCTCTTTTTCTATTGGTTGGAATAGTTTCAGAAGGAATGTACCAGCTCCTCCTTGTACCTCTGGTAGAATTTGGCTGTGAATCCGTCTGGTCCTGGCCTTTTTTTTTGGTAGGTAGGCTATTAATTATTGCCTCAATTTCAGAGCCTGTTATTGGTCTATTCAGGGATTCACCTTCTTCCTGGTTTAGGCTTGGGAGGGTGTATGTGTCCAGGAATTTATCCATTTCTTCTACATTTTTTAGTTTATTTGCATAGAGGTGTTTATAGTATTCTCTCTCTGAGGGTAGTTTGTATTTCTGTGGGATCGGTGGTGATATCCCCTTTATCATTTTTTATTGTGTCTATTTGATTCTTCTCTCTTTTCTTCTTTATTAGTCTTGCTAGCAGTCTATCAATTTTGTTGATCTTTTCAAAAACCAGCTCCTGGATTCATTGATTTTTTGAAGGGTTTTTGTGTCTCTATTTGCTTCAGTTCTGTTCTGATCTTAGTTATTTCTTGCCTTCTGCTAGCTTTTGAATGTGTTTGCTCTTGTTTCTCTAGTTCTTTTAATTGTGATGTTAGGGTGTCAATTTTAGATCTTACCTGCTTTGTCTTGTGGGCATTTAGTGCTATAAATTTCCCTCTACACACTGCTTTAAATGTGTCCCAGAGATTCTCATATGTTGTGTCTTTGTTCTCATTGGTTTCAAAGAACATCTTTATTTCTGCCTTCATTTTGTTATGTACCCAGTAGTCATTCAAGAGCAGGTTTTTCAGTTTCCATGTAGTTGAGCAGTTTTGAGTGAGTTTCTTAATCCTGAGTTCTAGTTTGATTGCACTGTGGTCTGAGAGATAGTTTGTTATAATTTCTGTTCTTTTACATTTGCTGAGGAGTGTTTTACTTCCAACTATGTGGTCAATTTTGGAATAGGTGCGATGTGGTGCTGAGAAGAATGTATATTCTGTTGATTTGGGGTAGAGAGTTCTGTAGCTGTCTATTAGGTCCACTTGTTGCAGAGCTGAGTTCAATTCCTGGATATCCTTGTTAACTCTCTGTCTCGTTGATCTGTCTAATGTTGACAGTGGAGTGTTAAAATCTCCCATTATTATTGTGTGGGAGGTTAAGTCTCTTTGTAGGTCACTAAGGACTTGCTTTATGAATCTGGGTGCTCCTGTATTGGGTGCATATATATTTAGGATAGTTAGCTCTTCTTGTTGAATTGATCCCTTTACCATTATGTAATGGGCTTCTTTGTCTCTTTTGATCTTTGTTCATTTAAAGTCTGTTTTATCAGAGACTAGGATTTCAACCTCTGCCTTTTTTTTGTTTTCCATTTGCTTGGTAGGTCTTCTTCCATCCCTTTATTTTGAGCCTATGTGTGTCTCTGCATATGAGATGGGTCTCCTGAATACAGCACACTGATGGGTCTTGACTCTTTATCCAATTTACCAGTCTGTGTCTTTAATTGGAGCATTTAGCCCATTTACATTTAAGGTTAATATTGTTATGTGTGAATTTGATCCTGTCATTATGATGTTAGCTGGTTATTTTGCTTGCTAGTTGATGCAGTTTCTTCCTAGCCTGGATGGTCTTTACGATTTGGCCTGTTTTTGCAGTGGCTGGTACGGGTTGTTCCTTTCCGTGTTTAGTGCTTCCTTCAGGAGCTCTTTTAGGGCAGGCCTGGTGGTGACAAAATCTCTCAGCATTTGCTTGTCTGTAAAGGATTTTATTTCTCCTTCACTTATGAGGCTTAGTTTGGCTGGATATGAAATTCTGGGTTGAAAACTCTTTTCTTTCAGAATGTTGAATATTGGTCCCCACTCTCTTCTGACTTGTAGAGTTTCTGCTGAGAGATCCGCTGTTAGTCTGATGGGCTTCCCTTTGTGGGTAACCCGACCTTTCTCTCTGGCTGCCCTTAAAATTTTTTCCTTCATTTCAACTTGGTGAATCTGACAATTATGTGTCTTGGAGTTGCTCTTCTCGAGGAGTATCTTTGTGGCATTCTGTGTATTTCCTGAATTTGAATGCTGGCCTGTCTTGCTAGGTTGGGGAAGTTCTCCTGGATAATATCCTGCAGAGTGTTTTCCAACTTGGTTCCATTCTCCCCATCACTTTCAGGTACACCAATCAGGTGTAGATTTGGTCTTTTCACATAGTCCCATATTTCTTGTAGGCTTTCTTTTTACTCTTTTTTCTCTAAGCTTCTCTTCTCACTTTATTTCATTCATTTGATCTTCAATCACTGATACACTTTCTTCCAGTTGATTGAATCGGCTACTGAAGCTTGTGCATTTGTCACGTAGTTCTCATGCCGTGGTTTTCAACTCCATCAGGTCATTTAAGGACTTCTCTGGATTGGTTATTCTAGTTAGCCATTTATCTAATCTTTTTTCAAGGTTTTTAGCTTCTTTGCAATGGGTTTGAACTTCCTTCTTTAGCTCGGAGAAGTTTGATCATCTGAAGCCTTCTTCTCTCAACTCATCAAAGTCATTCTCCATTCAGCTTTGTTCCGTTGCTGGTAAGGAGCTGCATTCCTTTGGAGGGGGAGAGGTGCTGTGATTTTTAGAATTTTCAGCTTTTCTGCTCTGTTTTTTCTCCATCTTTGTGCTTTTATCTACCTTTGGTCTTTGATGATGGTGACGTACAGATGGGGTTTTGCTGTGGATGTCCTTTCTGTTTGTTAGTTTTCCTTCTAACAGTCAGGACCCTCAGCTGCAGGTCTGTTGGAGCTTGCTGGAGGTCCACTCCAGACCCTGTTTGCCTGGGTATCAGCAGCAGAGGCTGCAGAACAGCGAATATTGCTGATCAGCAAATGTTGCTGCCTGATCATTCCTCTGGAAGCTTCGTCTCAGAGGGGTACCGGGCTGTGTGAGGTATCAGTCTGCCCCTACTGGAGGATGCCTCCCAGTTAGGCCACTCGGGGGTCTGGGACCCACTTCAGGGGCAGTCTGTCCATTTTCAGATCTCAAACTCCATGCTGGGAGAACCACTACTCACTTCAAAGCTGTCAGACAGGGACATTTAAGTCTGCAGAGGTTTCTGCTGCCTTTTGTTTGGATATGCCCTGCCCCCAGAGGTAGAGTGTACAGAGGCAGGCAGGCCTGCTTGAGCTGCGGTGGGCTCCACCCAGTTCAAGCTTCCTGGCCACTTTGTTTACCTACTGAAGCCTCAGCAATGGCAGGTGCCCCTCCACCAGCCTCGCTGCTGCCTTGCAGATAGATCTCTGACTGCTGTGCTAGCAATGAGTGAGGCTCCATGGGTGTGGGACCCTCTGAGCCAGGCACGGGATATAATCTCCTGGTGTGCTGTTTGCTAAGACTGTTGGAAAAGTGCAGTATTAGGGTGGGAGTGACTCCATTTTCCAGGTGCCGTCTGTCACCACTTCCCTTGGCTAGGAAAGGGAATTCCCTGACCCCTTGTGCTTCCCGGGTGAGGCGATGCCTCTCCCTGCTTCGGCTCACACTCGGTGGGCTGCACCCACTGTCCTGCCCCCACTGTCTGACAAGCCCCAGTGAGATGAACCTGGTACCTCTGTTGGAAATGCAGAAATCACCCATCTTCTGCATCGCTCATGCTGGGAGCTGTAGACTGGAGCTGTTCCCATTCGGCCATCTTGGAACTGCCACCCGTATTTTTTGATTTTTTTATAGTGGCCTTTCTTGCTGGAGTGAGGTGTTATTACATTGTGATTTTGATTTGCATTTCCCTGATAGTTAATGATATTGATGATTTTTCCATATGCTTCTTATCCATTTGTATATCTTCTTTTGAGAATTTTCTATTCATATTCTTAGCCCATTTTTTGATGGGATTGTTTATTTTTATCTTGCTGATTTGTTTGAGTTCTTTGTAGGTTCTGGATATTAGCCTTTTGTCAGATGTATAGATTGTGAAGATTCTCTCCCACTCTGTGGGTTGTCTGTTTGGTGATTACTTCTTTTGCTGTGCAGAAGCTTTTTAGTTCAATTATGTTCCAGCTATTTATCTCTATTTTTGCTGCATTTGCTTTTGAGTTCTTGGTCAGGAAGTCTTTGCCTAAGTCAATGTCTAGAAGGGTTTTCTGATATTATCTTCTACACTATTTATGGTTTCAGGTCTTAGATTTAAGTCTTTAATCCATCTTGAGTCGATTTTTGTGTAAGCTGAGAGATGAGAATCCAGTTTCATTCTTTTATATGTGGCTTGACAATTATCCCAGCACCATTTGTTGAAAAGGATGTCCTTTCCCCACTTTAGGTTTCTGTTTGCTTTGTCAAAGATCAGTTGGCTGTAAGTATTTGGCTTTATTTCTGGGTTCTCTATTCTGTTCCATTGGTCTTTGTGCCCATTTTTATGCCAGTACCATGCTGTCTTGGTGACTATGGCCTTATAGTATAGTTTGAAGTCGGTTAATGTGATGCCTCCACATTTATTCTTTTTACTTAGTCTTGTTTTTGTTGTGTGGGCTCTTTCTTGGTTCTATATGAGGAACTGTTCTTCATTCTGTGAAGAATGATGGTGGTATTTTGATAGGAATTGCACTGAATTTGTATATTGCTTTTGGCAGTATGGTCATTTTCATGATATTGATTCTACCCATTCATGAGCATTAGATGTGTTTCCATTTGTTCGTGTCATCTATGATATCTTTCAGCAGTGTTTTACAGTTTTCCTTGTAGAGGTCTTTTACCTCCTTTTTGGGTATTTTCATAAGTATTTTATTTTATTTTATTGCAGCTATTATAAAGGGGTTGAGTTCTTGATTTGATTCTCAGCATGTTTACTGTTGATGTATAGCAGAACTACTTATTTGTGTATATTAATTTTGTATCTGGAAACTTTGCTAGTTAATTTACCAGTTCTAGGAGTTTTTTGGATGAGTCTTTAGGGTTTTCTAGGTATACGGTCATATCTTCAGCAAAAAGCAACAGTTTGACTTCCTCTTTACCCATTTGGATGCCCTTGATTTCTTTCTCTTGTTTGATTGCTCTCGCTAGAACTTCTGATAATGTGTTGAATAGAAATGGTGAAAATGGGCATCCTTGTGTTGTTCCAGTTCTCAGGAGGAATGCTTTCAACTTTTCCCCATTCAGTATAATGTTGGCTGTGGGTTTGTCATAGATGGCTTTTATTACCTTAAGGTATGTCCCTTCTATGCCTATTTTGCTGAGGGTTTTGATCATAAAGGGATGCTAGATTTTGTCAAATGCTTTTCTGCAGCTATTGAGATGATCATATGATTTTTGTTTTTAATTCTGTTTATGTGGTGTATCACATTTATTGACTTGCAGATATTAAACCTTCATTGCATGCCTGGTATGAAACCCACTTGATCATGGTGGATTATCTTTTTGATATGCTGTTGGGTTCAGTTAGCTAGTATTTTGTTGAGGATTTTTGCTTCTAAGTTCATCGGGGTATTGGTCTGCAGTAATATCTCCTTTTTTTTTTTAATTGAACTTATTTGGATCTCCTCTCTTCTTTTCTTGGTTACTCTCACTAATGGTCTATCAGTTTTATTTATCTTTTCAAAGAACCAGCTTTTTGTTTCATTTATCTTTTTTTATTTTCTTGTTTCAATTTCATTTAATTCTGCTCTGATCTTTGTTATTTCTTTTCTTTTGCTGGGTTTGGGTTTGGATTGGTCTTGTTTCTTCAGTTCCAAGAGGTGTGACCTTTGATTGTCTGTTTGTGCTCTTTCACACTTTTTGATGTAGGCATTTAATGCTATGAACTTTGCTCTTAGCACCACTTTTGCTGTATCTCAGAGGTTTGATAGGTTGTGTCACTATTATAGTTCGGTTCAAATAATTTTTAAATTTCCATCTTGATTTCATTGTTGACCCGAAGATCATTCAGGAGCAAGTTATTTAATTTCCATGGTTTTGAGGGTTCCTTTGGGAGTTAATTTCCAATTTTATTCCACTGCACTCTAAGAGAGTACTTGATATAATTTCAATTTTCTTAAATTTACTGAGACTTGTTTTGTGCCTCATTATATGGTCTATCTTGGAGAATGTTCCACGTACTAATGAATAGAATGTATATTCTGCAGTTGTTGGGTAGAATGTTCTGTAAAAATCTGTTAAGTCCATTTGTTCTAGGGTATAGTTTTTTGTTTGTTTGTTTTTGTTTTTGTTTTTTGAGACAGAGTCTCACTGTGTCACCCAGGCTGGAGTTCAGTGGTGCAATCTCGGCTCACTGCAACCTCTGACTCCCAAGCTCAAGCAATTCTCTGCCTCAGCCTCCTGAGTGGCTGGGACTACAGGCGCTCACCACCATGACTGGCTAATTTTTTGTATTTTTAGTAGAGACAGGGTTTCACTATCTTGGCCAGGCTGATCTTGGACTCCTGACCTCGTGATCCACCTGCCTTGGCCTCCTGAAGTGCTGGGATTACAGGTGCAAGCCACCACACCTGGCCTAGTGTATAGTTGAAGTCCATTGTTTCTTTGTTGACTCTCTGTCTTGAAGACCTATCTAGTGCTGTCAATGGAGTATTAAAGTCCTCCACTGTTATTGTGTTGCTGTCTATTTCATTTCTTAGTTAGGTCTAGTAGTAATTGTTTTATAAATTTGGGAGCTCCAGTGTTAGGTGTATATATATTTAAGATTGTGATATTTTCCTGTTGTAATAGTCCTTTTATCATCATATAATATCCCTCTTTGTCTTTTTTAACTGCTATTGATTTAAAGTTTGTTTTTCTGATGTAAGCATAGCTACTCCTGCTCACTTTTGGTGTCCATTTGCATGGAATATCTTTTTCCACCCCTTTACCTTAAGTTTATGTGAGTCCTTATGTGTTAGGTGAGTCTGCTGAAGACAGCAGAAACTTGGTTGATAAGTTCTTATCCAATCTTCCATTATTTGCATTCAATATTAGTATTGAGATGTGAGGCACTATTCTATTGTGCTATTTGTTGCCTGAATACCTCGTTTATTTTTCATTGTTCTATTGCTATATATGTCCTGTGAGATTCATGCTTTAAGGAGGTTCAATTTTAATGTATTTTGAGGATTTGTTTCAACATTTAGAGATCATTTTAGCAGTTCTTGTAGTGCTGGCTTGGTAGTGGCGAATTCTCTTAGCATTTGTTTGTCTGGAAAAGACTGTATCCTTCCTTTGTTTATAAAACTTAGTTTTGCTGTATGCAAAATTCTTGGCCAATAATTGTTTTGTTTAAAGAGGCTAAAAATAGGACCCCAATCCCTTCTAGCTTGTAGGGTTTCTAATGAGAAATCTGCTATTACTCTGATAGGTTTTCCTTTATAGGTCACCTGGTGCTTTTGCCTCACAGCTCCTAAGATTATTTCCTTCATCTTAACTTTAGATAACCTTCTGACTATTTGCCTAGAGAATGATCTTTTTGACATGAATTTCCCTGGTGTTCTTTGAGCTTCTTGTATTTGGAAATCTAGATCTCTAGCAAGGCTGGGGAAGTTTTCCTCAATTATTTCCTCAAGTATGTTTTCCAAGCTTTTAGATTTTTCTTCTTCCTCTGGAACACCAGTTACTCTTAGGTTTGGATGCTTAACATAGTCCTAAACTTCTTGAATCCTTTGTTCACTTTTAAAAATTATTTTTTCTTTGTCTTTGATGGATTGGGTTAATCTGAAAGCCTTGTCTTTGAGCTCTGAAGTTCTTTCTTCTGCTAGTTTGATTCTATTGCTGAGACTTTCCAGTGCAAATTGCATTTTTCTAAATGTGTCCTTGATTTCCAGAAGTTGTGATTGTTTTTTATTTATGCTACTTATTTCACTGGAGAATTTTCCTTTCATACCTTGTATCACGTTTTTAATTTCTTTAAGATGGGGTTCACATTTCTCTGGTGCCTCCTTGATTAGCTTAATAATCAACACTCTGAATTATTTTTCTGGCAATTCAGAGGTTTCATTTTGGTTTGGATCCATTGCTGGTGATCTGGTGTAATCTTCTCGTGGTGTTGAAGAACCTTGTTTTGTCATATTACCAGAATTATTTTTCTGGTTCCTTCTCATTTTGGTAGACTATGTCAGAGGGAAAATCTGGGACTCAAGGGCTGTTGTTCAGATTCTTTTGTCCCATGGGATGCTCCTTTAATGTGGAATTCTCCCCTTTCCCCTTGGGATGAGATTTCTTAAGAGCTGAACTGCAGTGATTGTTTTTGCTCTTCTGGGTCTAGCCACCCAGTGGATCTACTGGGCTCTGGGCTGGTACTGGGGAGTGTGTGCAAAGAGTACTGTGGTGTGATTTGTCTTCAGGTCTTTCAGCTATGGTTACCAGCACCTGCTCCAGTGGAGGTAGCAGGGGAGTAAAGTTGACCCTGTGAGGGTCCTTGGTTGTAATTTTTGTTGAGTGTACTGGTTTTGTGTTGATTGGCCTCCAGCCAGAAGGTGGTGCTTTCAAGAGCGCATCAGCTGTGGTACTATAGGAAGGAAGTAAACTTGCTCTAGGGTTACCTGGTTATGTATTTAGGTTTCTCAGGCAGTGGGCAGGGCCATAGAGCTCCCAAGAGATTATGTCCTTTGTCTTTGGCAACCAGGGCAGGTAGAGAAATACCACCAGGTTGGGGCAGGGATAGGCATGTCTGAGCTCAGCCTCTCTTTGGGGGCTTGCTGCAGATGCTGTGGGGGATGGAGGTGTGGTTCCAGGCCAATGGAGTTATGTTTCCAGGGGGATTACGGCTGTCTCTGCTGAGTCACACAGGTCACCAGGGAAGTGGGGAAAGCTGGCAGTCACAGGCTTCAACCCACTTTCGTGCATCCTGCAGTCCTAAAGGCATGTCTCATTCCCATTATGCACCCCCACCAACAGCACCGAGTCTATTTCCAAGCAGCCAGTGACCAGAGTTGAGAACTTGCTCCATACCCCGAGGCTTCCTGCTGGGAAAACAAGCAGACTCACAGTTTTTGGCATTTGGGGAGCCTGCAGTGGCAATACAGTTCCCTCAAAGGGTCTGCGGATTCTCCTGAAATTATCTTTTATCTCATTAGATTCAGTCATTCCAATCACTTGAAGAATCTGGGTGGGGATATAGTCCAAAAGGCCAAGAGTTATATCCCTCTGACTGTGATGACTTTGTCTTCTCTGTTGTTCACTAGGTGAGCAGTTATGGCTTGTATTGTGGAAGTTGTTCAAGTAGGCAGCACTGTCCTATTACAGAAAAATTATAAATCCCTATTTCCTAGTTATAATATTCTCCATCTTGTTCTGATGGTTAAAGATTTACATATATACATACAGTTTTGTTACAGCATTAGGTTAATATGGGCGAGGGGAGAGTATTATATGTGCATCCCAAAGCTGAACATTGTATAAGATCTGGGAAGGGAATAAATGATGGAAACAAAATCAGATAGGCAACTGTATTAATCCATTTTCATGCTGCTGATAAAGACATACCCGAGAGTGGGTAATTTATATAGAAAAAGAGGTTTAATGGACTCACAGTTCCACATGGCTGGTGATGCCTCACAATCATGGCAGAAGAGCAAAGGACGTCTTACATGGTGGTAGACAAGAGAGAATGAGACCCAAGTGAAAGGGGTTTTCCCTTATAAAAACTATCAGATCTCATGAGACATATATTTCCACAAGAACAGTGTAGGGGAAACTGCCCCCATGATTCAATTATCTTCTACCAGGACCCTCCCACAGTACATGAGAATTATGGGAGCTACAATTCAAGATGAGATTTGGGTGGGGACACAGCTAAACCATATCAGCAACTTAGAAGGAGCCAAAGGCAGATCATGGGAGAGGGCAAGTTCTTACAAATTCCTCTATACCACTTACTCAAAACTAAGTGTTCAAAGGAACTAGATTCAGAGCAAGTTAGCAAATGGGGATAGGAGTACAAGATTTTTATTACCAATTAAGTGTCCATATTTGTGACCCTCATTTGTGACCCTGTGAAGCAGCAGAGATCCTCACAAAGTATTGGGCATGGAAAGATGAAACTGCAAGACTCCAGCAGCAGCTCTTTTTTTCTTGAACAAGTCCCAGAGGCTGTGCGGAAGATGTCATGGTGCCAAGGCTCAACCTAATAGGGTAGCTCTCTCTAGTCTCCACCAGAGGGGAAGCGATTATTTCTATCAGACTCTAAGATGTTACCCTTTCTTTGCGGTAGAGAGCAGAAGGATGCTGAACCCTCAGGCATGATATAATCACTGGAGAGTGCAGACCCAACACATTCCCTTTGGTGAGCCAGGGCTACCCCCTTCTGGTTATAAATTTTATAAGACAGAGAAACTTAAAAAAGAAAGAAAAAAAGAACCATTGACAGAGAAGTGACTAATGTAATTGATCTAACAAAAATCTATGATAAAAATAATTAAAACAGTGTGTTTATTGGTGGAGAAATTAATAAATAGATCATTAGAATAAAACAGAGGATATAGAAACGGTTCCAAGTAGATACAGAAATTTAGCTTAGGGAACAGATTGAATTTCACAGGGAAAGAAAAAGAATGGCCTATTTTCCCTTCAAATGGATAACTAGTAGTCTCAATGTCATTGATTTAATAAAGCTAGATGTGCCCCAACTCTCTGTTCCCAGCATCAAAATATAACTGAGATGGGCTGAAGAATGCTGTATTAAATACAATGATAATATTAGATGAAAATGAACAAGAATATTTTGATGGCTTTGGAGTGAGTTAAGTCTTCCTACGTAGAATACAAAATGTCAGAAGTTTGAAAAAGCTGTTCACAGATGTGTAAAATAAATTTAAACTCTCTGTATACAAAAGGCATAAGAGAAGTTAAAAAAAAATAAGCAACATTTTAAAAAATTGCTGAGTATTTGAAATTTTTCTTAATGAAATTTGGGGAAAAATAAGCAACATACTAAGAGAAAATGTTTATCACAAAAATTATAGGCAGGATTAATATTCAGAATATAAAAAAGCTATAAATGCCAGAAAAATTGAGAAAGAATAGAGATAGGCAATTAACATGAAAAGAAATGCCAACAGACTATAAACATATGAAAAGTTGTTCAACTTGACTAGTAATCAGGGAAATGAAAATTAAATCAACAATTAGCTCACATTTTTTATTCATTAGATTGGAAATAATTAAACATATTGATCATATTCAGTGTTGTTGTTAAGGAAACAGACACTCTCATATACTCTTGTTTGGTGTATTCATTGCAAAGTCATTTTGAGGGTAACTTGGAAGTATTATCAGTGCTTTAAATATGTACATTCCTTAATCCAGAAAATCTGTATCTCATAATTTATTCTCAAGGAAGATGTATTTTCTTCAAGATTCATGGAAAAGCATTGGGAAAAATGTCCATCACTAGAAGAATAGTTCAAAAAAACTGTTGATACACATAACCACTGCCTTCAGAAAGAATATCATAAATCTTTATGTACTGACACAAAAACATTTGCATGGCATTTTTCTTTTATTTAACTTTTATTTTAGGTTTAGGGGTACATGTGCAGGATTGTTAGGCATTTTTCTTTGTCAGTGAGAAAGGCCAGTCAGAAAACAATTCATAGAACATGATTTTCATTATAAGTAGAGAAAGAAAAAATATTTGTTTTACATAGAAAACATGACTGGAAGGATGACAATCACAATGTCTCACCTCTCTCTCACCCAGCAATTCTGGCTTTCTAATATTTTGAACATGCCAGCCTCTCTCTCAACTCACAGAACCTTTTTCTTTTTTAAAACACTTTTCCTTTGACTCTTCAGGAGGCTGCCTCGTTCTCATCCATGAAGCGTCGTTATTCGTATAGTGATCATTAGCCATCCACCTCCACCACATAGTAACAATTTTCTTGCTTCTCTTCCTAAATGGACCACAATTTTCCTTTTCAAGTGGCTTTGATAGGACTAATCCCATGTTCAGTTCCCGGAATGGGTCATAACTAGCTTAAGCCAATCAATGTATTCCATCTTCCTGGCTAAAACTATTGATTTAGGAATGGGCCAGGTCAGTTCAAGTAGAACAATGAAATTTCATTCTATGGTTTGTAGGGTTGATGAGGTAACAGCTAGGAATGAGAAAAGTTACAGTACTAGCTGTTGCTGTAGGATATCTCATGTCAGGGAGAATGGAGCCCAACTGAGAACAGTACCAATGCTGAGGTAGCTAAGCCAATAATTGGAGCAAGCACCCAGTTCTTTGATAATGTCATTTGAATGGCTGAGTCAAACTGTGCCTCTGGATGTTTGGTTAGAGTCCCTAGGCTTTCTGTGACTTGCAAAAGCATTACCACCACCCATACCTGAAGGAACCCTCTCTAGCTCATCTTTTTTCCCTCTCATAAGTGGTCTTTGTACCACTCTAGAAGGTAAGCACTGTAAGGACAGGTATGCATCTGTCATAATTACTGTTATAACTCTATAATTAAAACTCAGTATTTTTGAATGATTAGATAAATGAATGAGTCAAAGTAAAGGATGCTATGGTATGACCTTCATGTTTTGCCGTGTATACTTACGTATCACTTGAATCTTTTACCTAAATGATATACTATGCATTATTTTTAAAATGTTTAGTAAAAGGTTAAAAAAAAGGTTTGAAGAAATATACTTCCAAATGTTTATATTATGTAATTATATTAATAGAAAGTATCTGTGATAGTGAGATTATGGTTGGATTCCTTTCTTCTTCATATTTTTCTGAATTTTCTAAAATTTCTACAATAAACATACATTGCCTTACAATATTTTTAAAAGGAACATTTTAAAAACACTCTGAGGTCAGTAACAGCGGTCCTAAGTTGAGAATTAGACATCCCATTGTGGGCAAACAAGAACAATGTTGGTCAAAGAGAGACAAATTCAGAGTCTACAGGAATTAATCCCTCAGCTACCCAGGGGAAGGGTATTAATGAGTCCCTTAATGAGGAGGAACATAGTAGAGCTATAAAGGGTCATTATAATTTGTTGGTATTGTCTCTATGCAGCAAACCTTCTGTAGTCTTCAGCACAGAATGTGGCAGAGTGCTGTTTTCAATCTCTGTTCTCCTCTTCTTTTTTAGCAATAAAATCCCACATTTTTAACTGCACACATGGTCCTCTAGGGTAAAGACTGGATTTCCCAGCTTCCTTTGCAGTCATGTGGCATGTCACTAAGTTTCAGCCAATGGGATGAGAGCAGAAGTGTAAAGCAAGGTGTTCCTAAAGGGATGGGGCTTCAGCCCATCCTTCTCTTCTTCCTTCCAGCTGCCTGGAGTGTGTGGCCAGGAAGGCTGGAGCTCAAGCATTTGGGGCCATGACCAGGAGTCCACATGCTAAGGATGACGAGGCAAGATGATTAGGAGTCTGGCTGTCTGATGCCATGAAGTGCCATGCTGGCTCTGGACTGCTCACCCCACCCCACCCCACTCTGTACTTTTATATTAGGAATACTCTTCCATCTTGTTCAAGCTGCCAGTATTGGTTCCCCACCCTGCTTTTTTTTTAACCGTAATGCAGGTGAACCTAATCTAATTGATCCACAGTGTGGTCGTTCTCAGTAAATTGTTATGTGTCACTCTCAAGCAACCCTATTATAGTTTTCAGACAATCCCAAGTTGATTAAACCCACTGTACACTATGCTATTTAGATGACTGAACTGAGTAGACACCCCTGAATACATTGAAAAAAATTCTTATGTCCAAAGTAGACAAAATCAAGGAAGTACCTTCCTCCATTTCTCCCTAACCACACACACACTTACACACCACTTAGAGAATTAGGTCCTAATTAGTTTATAAGCTCCTTTCCCTATGGTGTGTTTTCTTAATACCTTGTGCTTCTACTTCTCTCATCTTTATCATAATTATTCTTTCAAACTCTTTTCTCTACTAGCTTCTGGAAGGCAGTGACTATGCATTACATACCAGTGCACCCCTGAGGCCGAACACTGAGCTAGGCCCACAGAGGGCACCCAACAAATATTTGTTGGATAAATAAATAACTCCTTTTTCAAAGGCAACACCAAAAGAAATTAACACATTATTAATTAATAAAATACAAATAAATTAGCATTTTCTATATTAAATGGCTAATTGGAGAATAAGAAGTTTACATGTGACAAAGTGTGGGACTGTTTCACATACGTCCCTTCCCCAAAGGTATTAAATGTATCATTCTATTTTCTCTAAGTTGCAATAAGAAGAGATCAGTGCTTGTTCATATTCTTCATGGATATGAGCACAGACTTCAGCAGGTGCTCTTTCTATACCACTGATAATGGGAAATCTCAATAGAGAAAAGAAAGGGAAGGGAGTGAGAGAAGATTTCTTTTTTAGTTTGTCAAGGTGAACACTGGCACTTCAATTTTATTTTTTTTTTTAAGGAAAAAAATAATCTAGTGAAGATAACTTAGAAGTTGGGTTCCTCAAAAATAGATAAACGATGGAGGAAATGCAGCTCTCCTGTAAACACAGATAATGACCAGAGAAACCCAGTATCTCAGGGGTGGAATGGATCTGAGAGGTTATCCATTCCAGTGAAATTATTTTTGTTGTAACATCTAAGTCTGCAGAAGATATGTTATCACTATGGGTGAGTTTTCAGGGAGGGATAAGACTGCACGTGGGTGTTGGGAGGAAGAATACCATGTGTTGAGGACAGATGGAGCTTGTGGGGAAAACTGGGTAAAATGAACTCTCTTGTCTTTGTCTTCATCTTCAAGCCTGCCTCTGGTCGTGTTTGGCTCTATTTTGAGCAGACACTGCCTCCGTGGGCTCTGTGTAAGCTCTGCGAGAGGAGCAATGTGACATCACCCCACAAATGTATCATATCATGATCACTGCTTGAGTTGGAATTCTCTGTGCACCTGTCTGCTTCACCAGGTCCATGGAAATCTGTTAATTGCCTGGTTCTCCATTACCAGTAAGTAGTAGGCAAATCATAAAAGTTTATTGAATTGATAACATTTTGTGCCTTTTTCTTAACATGGAAATAAGGAGGTGGTTCTTTGTTTGAAAATGATGTATGGCTTCAGGAGATGGCAAAAAAGACAAGAAGTTTGTACGTCTCTTTGGTCTCTGAATTGTTCCTAGAGATTGGGTGTGTGGGTTTTACCTGATTTGATAAATAAGATCAGAGACCTAGAAGTGCAATAGAAAGTCCTAGGCTCATTATTACTCTACTCTTAGATTATTGTAGACCAGAGTTTTTCACTCTGTGTCTCTTGAAAGGAGTTGGGGAGACCAGAAATTTGGAAAACAAACAAGTAGGTCCAAGTGTTTCTGTGGGACATGGTGTATTTTTCTTGATGAGCATGACTGAGTTTTGTGGTAACTGTTCTGCCCATAGCCCTGTTCTCTGGGAATTCTCTCCATTCACCCATAGCCTGTGCAACCATGGGAGGGTGGCACTGCAGCAACCAGCTTGCAATTCAAGTCACTGCTCCACCAGGAAGGAACTGAATTCTCTCTCCTGAGAATTTCAATGCCACAGAGGCCAAATCAGTCTTTTTAGGGCTCTGGAATTGAAAGTCCACATGGAGAGTCAGGGTTAGGCCCAGTGCCCCAAAAACCAAAGCCACACAGCAACCAAAGTGAGAGGAGGAGGCAGGGTCGGCAGAGGTGGCCAGACGGTGGGGAGAGTAGAGCTCATATCAGAGAGGAGCTGGGGAGCTCCATGTGGGAGATGAGGACAAGGACAAAAGGTCCAGACATTCAGAGACAGGGACTCCATGGCTGTATATAGTGCTTCACCAATGGGTGTCTTTGAGATTTGTGTCCTTTCAATAAGTGCCCTTAAATGGGCACTGATGTAGGTGGATATATATCTCTTACTAATAATCTCTGACTAAGACACTTGTTTGATGAAAGTAATCCATCTTTTCATGAATACTCTGGATTTGTGCATGAGTGCTATGAACCTCGGTGTTCTGCTACTAAGTCTATTCAGGCTTCTGTATATTCTCCACCAGAAAAGGCATGTGCCCATTACCAGGTGCCTCTACTTAAGAAACAATTTTGAAATTAAAAACTAGTTCTTTTTTTGAGATGGGGTCTCACTCTGTCACCCAAGCTGGAGGGCAGTGTGATCATGGCTCACTATAACCTTGAATTCCTGTGCTTAAGCAATACTCCCACCTCAGCCTCCTGAGTAGATGGAACTATAGGCACATGCCACCACACCTGGCTAATTTTTGAATTATTATTATTATTATTATTTGTAGAGACAGAGTCTTGCTAGGTTGCCCAGGCTGGTTTTGAACTCCTGACCTCAAGTGATTCTCCCACCTCATCCTCCCAAAGTGCTGGAATTACAGATATGAGTCACCATGCCCAGCCAAGGACTAGTTCTTTAAAAACTGAGTTTCCTAAGTTTGCTGTTAAATATGGCTTACAAATACACAAATTTTTAGGAATGTTATATCTAAAACAAGGTCACTGAACACAAATCTCATTCTCATCTGTGTTTCTCTGGCCAGCTGCATCATTGCTTCTGCCTTTCAGTGTATGTACATGATAAGGGACTTGGATGGTCAGGTACATTCTTCTCCTTTATATATGAAGAAACTGAGGCCCAAGGAAGTCAAGCAACCTACTTACCCAAGGTCGAAAAGTGATCCTGGACAAAGCTATGGATGAACTCAGTGGTCCTCAGTGCCAAGTCCCGCGGCACTCCCCTTTCATTGAGCGATCTTCTTGTCTTGTCAATATTTAATTTATCCGCTGGCTACAATAGGCCCCTCTTGGCCAGCTGAGTATAAGCTTAGGCATACTTTATTTCTTTTCCAGTGAAGTTTTTCCATGTGGTCCTTTATATAATTCGTCCTCAGCTAGGAAAGAAAATGTATGCTGGTGTCAGGGGGTAAGCCCTCCAACAGTTCCAAAGTTAGCTTTCTGCCTGCTGCATTTTTCAGCTGCAGAGCTGAGTAAATCTAGAACAAATGCTCTCACGAATCACTGATGGGGTCTGTAAAGAAGAATGTTTCCAGTCCCTCTGAGGCCTGACTTAAAAAATGCAAGTAGTTTTAGAAAAAGAGAAAGGTGGCTACTTTTCAAACCAATACTTTGTCCACCCTCTGAGTCTCTGACCTGCATGCACATTGGCTCAAACAAACGTGATCCACTTAGCTTCACCTGGCTTGTCATCTCAAATCCCAAATCAGCAGCGCCTCATATTCAAGAAGCAAGGCTGTGTAGAAGCAGCAGGCAAGACTACAAAAGGCCTAGAATAAACAAGCCCAGGAGAAGCCGACGAGTTGAGGGGAGGCAATGCTGCCATGGCCTGGAGCACTGGAGCTACTGGAGAAGTTTAAGAATGTTAGAGAATCTACCTGCCCAGTCCGGTCCCTGCCCATTGCACAGACAGCCCTGTTAGGCATTCCCCATCATGAATGTATGTGGAAGAAGGAACTGAAAGCACTGAAGGAAACTTGTAAATCCTTGGGACAATAGAAGCAAAGCATCAGAGACAGAAGCCAACCAGCCATGTGAGGAACACAGGACTAGCCCTTAAGCCTGTGCTTTGAACCTGTGCTGGGCCCTTATAAGGGAAGCAAGTGCTGCCTGTGGGGGTCATCCCAAACTGCTTCCAGCTCTGCTGCACACTGCTTTGTACAAATAGTAAAAGGCAACACGGATGTGGCATTTATCCTGGCACTGTGCTGGCCACTCTTTACATTCATTAGGCATTCACTGAATCTTCTCCAAAAGCCTGTTAGGTGGGTTTTCAGTATCCTTACTTTCCAAGTGAAGAAGCAGAACTCTGCAAAGTCAAATGACTTTCCAAATTTACACATTTATAAAGGAAAAAGGCCTAGATTTAAACCAAGGTTTTTCTAACCTTAGAATCCAAAGTCTTATCTCTAATTATCTCTTGCAATGTGTTTTTTCTACAAGAAATTGCCAACCTTCTTGGTAATCATGCTTAGATGCTGCCAAAGTTATTCAGAAGACCCAGGCTTTTTAATTCCTCCCTTCTCCTTCTCCCCGTCCCTCTTTTTCTCTTTCCCTTTTCTCTTTCTTGCTTTTATTCTTTTTTTTTCCTTTGTACTTCTTGAGAAACTCTCCCTAACCCCTAACAATATTGTTGAAACCAGTATTTGGCTCCCTGCGTCAAAAGGCTTCCTGTTTAGCAGCAAAGGTCACATTCTTTCCACTTTCCTATAAATGTGAGATCCTTGAAAGAAATTTCTGATAAGAAAAGTGTTGGACCCTTTTCTTATCAGAAATTTCTTTCAAGGGTCTCACATTTACAGGAAAGTATAAATGGTTGATAAGCCTCATAGAAGAGGGTGCCAAGCCTTAGCAATAATAAAATATCCTCAAAGGTGAAGAATCACAGAAGAAATCAGGCACAATGGAGATTAAGTCACCAAGGAAAGGAATCAGTCACCATGAAGAATTGAGGTCACCAACAGGGCCAAGAAGAGGGAGGCTTTTCCATTGGGAATGGAGTTCAAGAGGAGAGATGGCTGGTAGACTGAGCAGGTTAACCTTCTTAGTTGACCTTCAAAGCATCAGTGGGCAATGCTCTTCCTTCTCCCAAGGCTGCCTCCCTGCCGTCTAGCTCAGGAAATGGCCAGGTGGTCTTCTCTCCTTCCCCCTTGCCTTCCTTCTTAACTGGATCCAGGTTCCTGTCACATGTCCCATCCAGCAGCCTGCCTCTTGAGGAAGCCTGGTTCCTCTTGTCCTCTAACATGGCTAATTTATCTAGGCCCTGGGTAGAGTCTTATGGACAACCTACCTTCCCCCTACCCCACAATATTTGCCACCACAATAAAGTACATGGGGAAATCACATCTAGAAAAGAACATGCCCAGAAGTAGTCTCAGAATTGCAATTTCTCATGGCTGGGCTGAACAAGGCAGCTAAAGGAACTGCTGTTCTAAGCCATAGAGTTATAAAGATATCCGGTATCTCTGAGGACCATCTCATGCTATTCCTGTATTTCATTAGCTCAGCACTAATTGACTTAACTAGAACAGACAAAGGCTCATTAAAATATCATGCTGAATGAGATGTAATTTTCAGAATAATGTTAATATCAAAAAGTGATTGGGAAACAGCTTTGCCCACCCCTGCAAGTGAGGAGATATTTTGTAAGGTAAGCACTTTTCTCAACAACGGGGTTTGGAAGCTGGGAAAAGGGAAAATAATATGGATGAAGAGGCTGTTGCTGTGAGGATAGAAATTCCATGTCAACTAAACCCAGCTCTGTCTAGTCAACCCAATATCTGAACATTTGGCTTCTCAAAACGTAATTCTACTTTAACCCTAATCCACTAATTACATCTTCTCTAAATTGACCATTCAGCAATTCTTCCATACAAATTAACCACCAGTCCACTTTTAAGAGAAACTGCCAAATTAAATTTAAAATCAGCCAGTGCTGCTTTTCCCATAGGGATCAGTCAGTTGTGAAGCATCGTGGCAACGATAACGTAGGCAGACGTAGTTAGTTTTGTGTAGTATAAAGAACATGGCCTTGAGTTAGTCCTAACTTACAGTCTTAGCTCAGTCACTGTGGTGGGTTAAATAGTGTACCCCCAAAATTAATGTCCACTCAAAACCTCAAACTGTGAACTTATTTGGATTTAGGATTTATATTTGGAGATAGTAATTAGTTGAGATGAGGTCATAGTGAATTAGGGTGGGTTATACCAGTGACTGATATTCTTATAAGAAGAGGAGAGGCTCACAGAGACACACACAGGGTAGAAGACCATGTGAAGACAAAGGCAGAGATGAGAAAGATGCAGCCATAAGCCATGAGAAGTTAGGAAGAGGCGAGAAAGGAGTCTTCCCCAGAGGCTTCAGAGGGAGCATGGCCCCACCAACACCAACACCTGTTTTGGACTTCCAGCCCCCAGAACTGTGAAAGAATAAGTTTCTGTGGTTTTAATACACCAAGTTTGTGGTCATAATTTGTTATAGCAGCCCTAGAAGAATAAGACAGTCAGTAATCAGCTGAGTAAACTTGAACGAGTTATTTATCCTCTCTGAGCGTCAGTTTCTTTGTCTAGACCAGAGTTTCGGCCTACAACTTAGGATAAATTATATAGGCATTCTATTTGCTTATCTTAAAATGGACAGTAATATTACCTAGCTTTTTAAGTAGAGAGAATTGGAATTAAAATGTGTTGAGCTCCTAATACATCATGAGCATTAATAGGAATCTCATTAAATATTTGCAATAAATTTCTCTACACTGACTTGATCTGAAAAGAAGTTGAGATGGCTTAACAAATTTTTGTCTTAAAGCATGATACACTTGGACAGAACTTGATGCTAGACTTTCCAACATCCAATGCAAAAAGGGAAACATGACATTTTATGTGACTCACATATCCACAGGGTAAATTATCACTATGTTATCCTGGCAATCCTAGGGAAGATACTAATGGGCCAAACTCCGCTCTCCCATGAACCCATTTTCCTATCAATGTTTCCAGATTTGATTTAACCTCATATGTTATTAAATTTCTCTGTGAACAAGGCTTACCATAGCAAAAATAAGGGAAGACCTAATTTCTGTTGAGAAAGAACTTCTTGTCCAGTAGTGAGGTAGGGTTTGGAGGGAAGTTATATAAGCCTACAGGAAACTGATGTAAAGCAGAATAGAATCATGTCATCAATCCTTTGAAGCTCGAAAGGATGGATAAAGGACGGCAATAGGATTCTGAAATAACACAAACCCAAGTTCTATCTCACAGCCATTTTCTCACAAAGCAATGGACACCCCAAATGTTATCTCACCTCCTACCCACAGCCCAGTGCCCAAACGGGACAGTTTAGACGGTTGGGGCTTCTTCTTTTCTGAAAAACTTACCTAAGGATTGGCGTTTCCAAGAAAAGCAAAGTCTAGGAATTGATGCAAGAAATGGTATGTTAAGTTCTAGGAATGTAATAGTGAATAAAAACAGGCAAGATCCCTGCCCTAATAGAAATTACACCAATCATAACCAAATTTGAAGGTAAAAATGTTCTCTGCTATGAGAATAGATAATAAAGATGAGTGTTCTAGTTACAGCAGTCAGGGAGTTGTCCCGTAGAAGTGGTGTTAGAGCTGAGATTCAAAGCATGAGTAAAATGTATCTAGGAGAAAAGATGGTGACACAGCTTTCCAGACAGGATGAACAGCATCTGCAAAGGCACTGAAATGAGCAGAGCTTGACTAGTAGAAAGGACTTAACAAAGGCCAAATTCAGTGCTCTGGGAAGAGCACAGAAAGTCATGGAGGGAAGAAAAAAAGCTGTCGTGTTAGATGGCAATGAAATCATGCAAAGACCTTGTAAGCCATGTTAAGCTGTGTCTGTATCTCAAGAGAAATGTGAAGCCATTTGAGAGTTTAGAAGTTTGTTCTGCAGTGTGGGTCATGGATCAGCAGCATGGGCATCATCAGGGAACATGTTAGAAAAGCCTAACCCCAGGCACAAGCCCATGCCAACCAAAACAGAATCTGTTCCCCAGGTGATTTGTATGCATATTCATGTTTGAGAAGCACTGGAAACTAGAGCATTTTTTGATGGTAGAGGAACCGCCAAATGCAGAATTCAACGCAAAACGTTTATGGTTTTTCTCGAAATCCTACTATCTGTAACAAAATGGATGAACCTGGAGGACATTTGCCAAGTGAAATAAGCCTGTCACTAAAGGGCAAATATGGCATGATTTCATTCATATGAGGTGTCTAAAAGAGTCAAATTCATAGAATCAAAACATATAATAGTGGTTTCCAGTCCCTAGAAGGAGAGAGAAATAGAGAGTTGCTAATTAGCAGTCAGAAAGTTTCAGTCAAGCAAGATGAATAAACACGAGAGATATAATGTGTAACATTGCACCTATAGTCCATAATAATGTAGTGTACATTTTAAAATTTGTTAAGAGGATAGTTAAGTATTAACTCATGTTAAGTGTTCTTACCACAATAAAAAAAATATGAAGTTCTACATGTACTACTTGTACATTTTTCTGTATCTTTCATATACCTCAATATATTTTTTCCTTTTTATTATACTTTAAGTTCTCGGATACATATGCAGAACGTGCAGGTTTGTTACATAACTATACATGTGCCATGGTTGTTTGCTGCAGCTATCAACCCTTCATCTACATTAGGTATTTCTCCTAATGTTATCCCTCTACTTGCCCCCTACCCCCTGACAGGCCCTAGTATGTGATGTTCCCCTCCCTGTGCCCACATGTTCTCATTGTTCAACTCTCACTTATGAGCAAGAACATGCAGTGTTTGGTTTTCTGTTCCTGTGTTAGTTTGCTGAGAATGATGGTTTCCAGCTTCATCCATGTCCCTGCAAAGGACATGAACTCATTATGGCTGCAAAGTATTCCATGGTGTATATGTGCCACATTTTCTTTATCCAGTCTATCATTGATGGGCATTGGGTTAGTTCCAAGTCTTTGCTATTGTGAATAGTGCTGCAATAAACATACATATGCATGTGTCTTTATAGTAGAATGATTTATAATGCTTTGGGTATATACCCAGTAATGGGATTGCTGGGTCAAATGGTATTTCTAGTTCTAGATCCTTAAGGAATCTCCGCACTGTCTTCTACAACAGTTGAACTAATTTACACTCCCACCAACAGTGTAAAAGCCTTCCTATTCTCCACATCCTCTTCAGCATCTGTTGTTTCCCGACTTTTTTTTTTTTTTTTTTTGAGATGGAGCCTCGCGCTATTGCCAGGCTGTAGTGCAGTGGCATGATCTTGGCTCACTGCAACCTCTGCTTCCCAGGTTCAAGCGATTCTCTGGCCTCAGCCTCCTGAGTAGCTGGGACTACAGGCATGTGCCACCACACCCAGCTAATTTTTGTATTTTTTGTAAACACGGGGTTTCACCATGTTGGCCAGGATGGTCTCGATCTCTTGACCTCATGATCCGCCCACCTCACCTTCCCAAAGTGCTGGGATTACAAGCATGAGCCACTGCGCCTGGCCTTTCCTGACTTTCTAATGATTGCCATTCTAACTGGTGTGAGATAGTATCTCATTGTGGTTTTGGTTTGCATTTCTCTAATGACCAGTGATGATTAGCATTTTTTCATGTTTTTTGGTTGCATAAATGTCTTCTTTTGAGAAGTGTCTGTTCATATCCTTCACCCACTTTTTGATGGGGTCATTTTTTTTTTCTTGTAAATTTGTTTAAGTTCCTTGTAGATTCTGGATATTAGCCATTTGTCAGATGGATGGATTGCAAAAATTTTCTCCCATTCTGTAGGTTGCCTGTTCACTCTGATGATAGTTTCTTTTGCTGAGCAGAAGCTCTTTAGTTGAATTAGATCCCATTTTTGAATTTTGGCTTTTATTGCAGTTGCTTTTGGTGTTTTAGTCATGAAGTCTTTGTCCATGCCTATGTCCTGAATGGCACTGCCTAGGTTTTCTTCTAGGGTTTTTATGGTTTTAGGTCTTATGTTTAAATCTTTAACCCATCTTGAGTTAATTTTTGTATAAGGTGTAAAGAAGGGGTCCAGTTTCTGTTTTCTACATATGGCTAGCCAGTTTTCCCAACACCATTTATTAAATAGGGAATCCTTTCCCCATTGCTTGTTGTTGTCAGGTTTGTCAAAGATCAGATGGCTGTAAATGTGTGGTGTTATTTCCGAGGCCTCTATTCTTTTCCATTGGTTTATATATCTGTTTTGGTACCAGTACCATGCTGTTTTTTTTACTGTATCTTTGAAGTATAATTTGAAGTCAGGCAGTGTGAGGCCTCCAGCTTTGTCCTTTTTGCGTAGGATCGTCTTGGCTATATGGACCCTTTTTTGGTTCCATATGAAATTTGAAGTAGTTTTTTTCTAATTCTGTGAAGAATGTCAATGGTAGCTTGATGGGGATAGCATTGAATCTATAAATTATTTTGGGCAGTATGGCCATTTTCACGTTATTGATTCTTCCTATCCATGAGCATGGTATGTTTTTCCATTTGTTTGTGTCCTCTCTTATTTCCTTGAGCAGTGGTTTGTAGTTCTCCTTGAAGAGGTCCCTCATATCCCTAGTAAGTTTTATTCCAAGGTATTTTATTGTCTTTGTAGCAACCTGTGAATGGGAATTCACTCATGATTTGGCTCTCTGTTTGTCTATTATTAGTGTGTAGGAATGCTTGTGATTTTTGCACATTGATTTTGTATCCGGAGACTTTGCTGAAGTTGCTTATCAGCTTAAGGAGATTTTGGGCTGAGACGATGGGATTTTCTAAATATACAATCGTGTCATCTGCAAACAGATAATTGGACTTCCTCTCTTCCTATTTAAATACCCTTTATTTCTTTCTCTTGCCTGATTGCTCTGGCCAGGACTTCCAATACTATGTTGAATAGGAGTGGTGAGAAAGGGCATCCTTTTCTTGTGCCAGTTTTCAAAGGGAATGCTTCCGTTTTTGTCCATTCAGTATGATATTGGCTGTGGGTTTGTCATAAATAGCTCTTATTATTTTGAGATACGTTCCATCAATACCTAGTTAATTGAGAGTTTTTAGCATGAAGTTTTGTTGAATTTTGTCGAAGGCCTTTTCTGCATTTATTGAGATAATCATGTGGTTTTTGTCATTGTTCCTGTTTATGTGATGGTTTACTTTTTTTGATTCACATATGTTGAACCAGCCTTGCATCTCAGGGATGAAGCCAACTTGATAGTGGTGGATAAGCTTTCTTATGTGCTGCTGGATTCAGTTTGCCAGCATTTTACTGAGGATTTTTGCATCAGTGTTCATCAGGGATATTGGCCTGAAATTTTCTTTTTTTGTTGTGTCTCTGCCAGGCTTTGGTATCAGGATGATGCCGGCCTCATAAAATGAGTTAGGGAGGATTTCCTCTTTTTCTATTGTTTGGAATAGTTTTAGAAGGAATGGTGCCAACTCCTCTTTGTACCTCTGGCAGAATTTGGCTGTGAATCTGTCTGGTCCTGGGGTTTTTTTGGTTGGTAGACTATTAATTACTACCTCAGTTTCAGCACTTGTTATTGGTGTATTCAGGGATTCAACTTCTTTCTGGTTTAGTTTTGGGAGAGTGTATGTGTCCAGGAATTATCCATTTCTTCTAGATTTTCTAGTTTATTTGTTTAGAGGTATTTATAGTATTCTCTGATGGTAGTTTGTATTTCTGTGGGATCAGTGGTGCTATCCCCTTTATCATTCTTTATTGAATCTATTTGATTCTTCTCTCTTATCTTCTTTATTAGTCTGGCTAGTGGTCTATCTGTTCTGTTAATTTTTTCAAAAAACCAGTTCCTGGATTCATTGATTTTTTGAAGGGTTTTTCATGTCTCTATCTCTTTCAGTTCAGCTCTAATTCTAGTTATTCCTTGTCTTCTGCTAGCTTTTGAATTTGCTCTTGCTTATCTAGTTCTTTCAATTGTGATGTTAGGGTGTCAATTTTAGATCTTTCCCACTTTCTCCTGTGGGCACTTAGTGCTATAAATTTCCCTCTACACACTGCTTTAGCTGTGTCTCAGAGATTCTGGTATGTTGTGTCTTTGTTCTCATTGGTTTCAAAGAACTTATTTATTTCTGCCTTAGTTTCATTATTTACCCAGTAGTCATTCAGGAGCAGGTTATTCAGTTTCTATGCAGTTGCACGTTTTGAGTGAGTTTCTTAATCCTAAGCTCTAATTTGATTGCACTGTGGTCTGAGAGACTGTTTGTTATGATATCCATTCCTTTACATTTGCTTAGGAGTGTTTAACTTCCAATTATGTGGTAAATTTTAGAATAAGTGCAATGTGGTGCTGAGAAGGATGTATGTTCTGTTGATTTGGGGTGGAGAGTTCTGTTCATGTCTATTAGTTCTGTTTTGTCCAGAACTGAGTTAAAGTCCTGAATATCATTGTTAATTTTCTGTCCCATTCATCTGTCTAATATTGACAGTGGAGTGTTAAAGTCTCCCACTATTATTGTGTGGGAGTCTAAGTCTCTTTGTAGGTCTCTAAGAACTTGCTTTATAAAACTGGGTGCTCCTGTATTGGGTGCATATATATTTAGGATAGTTAGCTCTTCTTGTTGCATTGATCCCTTTACCATTATGTAATGCCCTTCTTTGTCTTTTTTGATCTTTGTTCATTTAAAATCTATTTTGTCAGAGACTAGGATTGCAACCCCTGCTTTTTTTGTTGTTTTTGTTTTTTGTTGTTTTTTGTTGTTTTTTTGTTTTGTTTTGCTTTCCATTTGCTTCGTAAATCTTCCTCCATCCCTTTATTTTGAGCCTATGTGTGTCTTTATATGGGAGATGGGTCTCCTGAATACAGCACACCAATGAGTCTTGACTCTTTATCCAATTTGCCAGTCTGTGTCTTTATATTAGGGCATTTAGTCCATTTACATTTAAGGTTAAATATTGTTATGTGTGAATTTGATCCTGTCGTTATGATATTAGCTGGTTATTTTGCCCACTAGTTGATGCTGTTTCTTCATAGTGTCAATTATCTTTACATTTTGGTGTGTTTTTGCAATGGCTGGTACTGGCTTTTTCTTTCTATATTTAGTGCTTCCTTCAGGAGCTCTTGTAAGGCAGGCCTCATGGTAACAAAATCACTCAGCATTTGCTTGTCTGTAAAGGATTTTATTTCTCCTTCACTTACGAAGCTTAGTTTGGCTGGATATGAAATTCTGGGTTGAAAATTCTTTTCTTTAAGAACGTTGAATATTGACCCCCATCTCTTCTGGCTTGTAGGGTTTCTGCAGAGAGAGTTGCTGTTAGTCTAATGGGCTTCCCTTTGTGGGTAACCTGACCTTTCTCTCAGGCTGCCCTTAACATTTTTCCTTCATTTCAACCTTGGTGAACCTGACAATTTTGTGTCTTGGGGTTGCTCTTCTTGAGAAGTATGTTTGTGGTTTTCTCTGTATTTCCCAAATTTGAATGTTGGCCTGCCTTGCTAGATTGGGGAAGTTCTCCTGGATAATATACTGAAGTGTGTTTTTCAATTTAGTTCCATTCTCCCCTTCACTTTCAGGTGTACCAATCAAACATAGGTTTGGTCTTTTCACATAGTCCCATATTTCTTGGAGGCTTTTTTCATTCATTTTTGTTCTTTTTTCTCTAATGTTGTCTTTACACTTTATTTCATTAAGTTGATCTTCAATCTCTGATATCCTTTCTTCCACTTGATCAATTCGGCTATTGATACTTGTCTATGCTTCACGAAGCTCTTGTGGTATGTTTTTCAGCTCCCTCAGGTCATTTATATTCTTCTCTAAAGTGGTTATTCTAGTTAGCAGCTCCTGTAACCTTTTATCAAGGTTCTTAGCTGCCTTGCATTGGCTTAGAACATGCCCTGTTAGCTCAGAGGAGTTTGTTATTACCCACCTTCTGAAGCCTACTTCTGTTAATTTGTCAAACTCATTCTCCATCCAGTTTTGTTCCCTTGCTGCCAAGGAGTTGTCATCCTTTGGAGGAGAAGAGACGTTCTGGTTTTGGGAATTTTCAGCCTTCTTGTGCTGGTTTTTCCTCATCTTCATGGATTTTTCTATCTTTGGTCTTTAATGTTGGTGACCTTCAGATAGGGTTTTTGCGTGGTCGTACTTTTTGTTGATGTTGATGCTATTGCTTTCTGTTTGTTAGTTCTCCTTCTAACAGGCCCCTCTTCTGCAGGTCTGCTGGAGTTTGCTGGAGGTCCACTCCATACCCTGTTTGCCTGGGTATCACCAGCAGAGGCGGCAGAACAGCAAAGATTGCTGCCCACTCTTTCCTCTGGAAGGTTTATCCCAGAGGGGCACCCACCAGATGCTCGTCGGAGCTCTCCCGTATGAGGGGTCTGTTGACTCCTGCTGGGAGGTGTTTCTCCATCGGGAGGCATGGGGGTCAGGGACACACTTGAGGAGACAGTCTGTCCCTTAATGGTGCTCCAACACTATGCTGGGAGATCCGCTGCTCTCTTCAGAGCTGGCAGGCAGGAACGTTTAAGTCTGCTGAAGTTGCACCCACAGCTACCCCTTCCCCTAGGTGCTCTGTCCCAGGGAGATGGGAGTTTTATCTATAAGCCCCTAACTGGGACTGCTGCCTTTCTTTCAAAGATGCCCTGCCCAGAGAGGAGGAATCTACAGTGGCAGTCTGGCTACAGCAACTTTGTGGCACTGCAGATGGGCTCCGCCCAGTCCAAACTTCCCACCAGCTTTGTTTACACTGTGACCAGAAAACCACCTACTTAAGCCTCAGTAATGGTGGATGCCCCTTCATTTATGTTTTTAAGTATGTGAGTATGCATTCATGTGTTAAGAAGGGACGATGATAAATTTCAACACAGAGCCATGCCCAATAATACTACATACCACCCTATTCCATGTACACTCTTTTTGAGAGCAATAACTACATTTTCTACTATGTCAGAGCTCCTCCATGCACTTGGAACAGTATTAGGTATGTATAGAATGCTCCATATTTGTTGCATGCCCTTTGTTGACAACTCTGAGGCACTCAAACCTGGTACCTCTGTGGGGTGGCTCCCACTCTGGAGAGATATCTCTTAACAATCAGGCTCTCTTTTTACTCAACACCAGAGATAAGACATGACCTGAGAGTCTCTCCACACAGTTCTCCTGTGCATACTAATTGATCTGAATTGACACACAAATGAAATCAATTTGCCACCCCCAATTTCTTTGAACAAGACATGGAAACAAATCTCAGCAACAATCAAAACTTCTGAACCTTCTGCATTTGCTCAGGGGCCTTCTGGCTTGCAAGCCTAATTTCTGGGAAAACCTTTCCAAGAGGGAAGCAAAATCACACCGTGTTGGAGGTTGGCCAGGGGAAACAGTGATGGTTACACAGCAGGCTCCCCACCCAGAAGGGGAGGAATGGATACTAGCTCTGAGAGCTTGCTTCTTGCAGAAACACCAATATTTGAAGAAGGAATAGCAGAGACATCATTGGGCCACACAATGATTAGGATGCATGCTAAATATGGTCAGCAGTATCCCAAGTATACAGATTAGCTCTGGTGGGTTAGAAAATGCAGTTATTGCTCTCAAGCAGTGCTTCCTCCTGGGGGAAGAAATTGTTTGTTCTTTTTGAACCACCAGAGCTGCCTCTGGGTCTGCAAAGAAGGATGACTGGAAGCTGTTCAAAAAGACAACTTAACCTTCCTCCCACTGGGCAACTTCAGTTACCACAAGCTTAGACAGAGATGTATAAGCTGTCAAACACCACAAAACTAATTCTAAATCTCTGAACCAAGCAAGATTCCAAGCATAAATAGCCAGCCTCATTTTGCTTTCAAACTCTTTATAAAAGGACAGACAAATCTTTCTTTCCCCCTATTCACGCATAGAGGAGAAAGATAAAACTGGATTTGCCACCAACTGTGCCAAATCCAACATTTGGTCAATTCTTTCAAGCACAAGCATTTTTCTGGACACTCAGCTCTGGGAGTGTAATCAAATGAAATTGATTTTGCTTCTGAATGAATCAACTTTATTTTGTGGGGGTTAAGTGGACTTGGCCTAGGTCAGCTTTTAGGTTGTATCCATTGGTAGATTTAAAGGGACCACCAAGTACATCCATATGTCAGTGTCCTTGGAGTCCTAATGTAAGAGGAAAAGGCAAGAAATGCAGGACATGGCTCCATCCTCAAAACCATTGCCACATAATTAAGTGATATTTTAACATTTTATTTATCCATATACTATCAGGAGAGGCAAATATATGGCAGACTCTAATAAACAGACATAGTGAATAACATCAAACAACCAAACAGAAGGTTTTGTGTCATGAGGAAAAGCCAACAATATCAATGAGGGCTACAGGCTCAGAGGAAAGGGGAAACTTGGGATCCATGTGGAATTGAAAGAGAAAAAACAGGAAGTTGGGCTTTTGAACAAGTCACCCAACAGATATATGTGTGCCTTCATTGAGCACATTTGGAATGTCTTAGCTGATGCTGTACCCTTTACATTTACACCTACCATACTCTTCCCAAGGAGAGAGTCAGGGATAGGACAGATTGCCAAATCCTGAAAGAAACATCATCCAAATGGGTAAATACATCTTTCCAAACGTAGAAAGTCCCAAATCACTTCTCTGCAATGTTCAGAAAGATTTACTCCGGAACACAAAAAGGTAGCAACTAATTCCAGCTTTCATATCTGAGTACTATAATTTCTGTATTCCCCTGGGAGTTATTCTATCACCATTTTATTTTATTGCTATGTTTGTTTTTACGCTGGGCATGAAAACCTAAGACTTCATGACACCAGATTCCATGGTGCTGATTCACTATTTTATACCTCAGCTAGCCCCTCTGAGAAAAGTACTATTGAGATATATTCCTGTTTGAGAGAGCTATCATTTTACTAATCAACACAAAGCCCATTGCTGAAAAAAAGACATGTATTTGACTGTGTTTATTATGCATCCTTGGCATAAGTGTAAGGCTTTGTATACAATGAGGACTAAGAAAAGTGTTAGTTCATTCAGAAAGTCAGTCAAAAGCAGCTGTTGATTTCAAACAGTGAGAACAACTGAATGAGGTAGGGAATTTAAATGCATTGTTTGAAATTTCATTAATGAGGTGCATTTAATGACAGTGGGAACATGCATAAAGGAGACTTAATTATATTTAGCTCACCTTCTTGAAATGGAGGTCTAAAACCAGAATGATATGATATATATTTTAAGCAGTAGGTAAAAGGAAATATAATTTTAAAAATGATATTATGCTTAATTCTGATTGGAATACAACGGGGAAAACATATTTAGATCTAGGTTCCTCATTTTAACAAACATAAATATTCATAGGAAAGTGTCTAGGGTAGTGAAGTATTCAGAAACTGCACCACATGAAGAATGGGGAGGGCATTTACCGAATTTTAACCCTGGGAGGACGGCTTCACAAAAGTAGTATCCTTGAATGACTGAAGAACTGCTTCGTGGCTGCAAACTCCTTCTATGTTGTTCTACAATGGCAGAAACCATGAAGAAGTGAGCACGATGATAGGGTTTCCAAGCTGCTAGAACTGCCCAGTGATGGAATCAGTGTGGCAGAAGCAGAACAAGATGGGACAAGAAAGGGAAATAGTTCAAAGAGTAAGAAACTGAATGAGGAATCATATTGTAGACAAGACCCAAATCTCTACATAAAAGGAATCAAAACCAGGGGAACTTTTTTTCCCAATAGAGTTTATTTTTTCAGAACAGTTATAGGTGTACAGAAAAATTAAGACCATATACAGAGTTCTGGTATACCCCACACCCAGTTTCCCTTATTATTAACCACTTACATTTGTTACAGTTAATGAACCAACATTCATACCGTATTTTTAATAACTGAAAGTTCATAGTTACTCAGATTTGCTTAGTTTTTCCTTATGTCCTTTTG